>NC_000016.10:3135000-3760000 GCF_000001405.40 Homo sapiens
CGTAGCGTAGTTTCCCAGCGAGCCCCGCGAGGACTTCCGGCGCCGGGAGCTCGCGGCGGAAGTGGGATCTCCTGGGCCGTAGTGGGCGTTGTGTGTTTCGGGGGCGGGGGCGGGGGCGGGGGCCGGGGCGGGGACGGGGCCTCTGGCCGCCTGGCTCCAACATCAAGCACCGGGCTCCGAGTGGCCGGGATCAGCGCCCCGAGGCAGAGGCCGGAGGGCGCGCGCACTGCTAGGAAGTGCTGGTCCCCCGCGCCGCTCTGCCAGCTTGGTCCCCCGGCAGACGCCCCTGTACGATCGCCGCTCGCCCCGCGGGCGAGGCTGCGGTGGACAGCGCGGGGCTCCGGCTGGCTCGCCTTCCCGCCTGCCGTGTCCTGCTGAGCGACCCTGGTGAGTCCTGGCCCTCTTCGAGGAAAGTCTTCTTCGAAGTCACCAGAGGATGAGAATGGTGCGCGCACCTTTCAGGGGTCTTGTGAGGAGCAGAATAAATAAAGTGCTTAGGATGGACTAAAGAATTGGAAACAACCCGAATGCATCACTCGAGTATTGATTAAGAAACTAGAGCATATCCATACCGCGGAAGCTCATAGTGCCGCTAATGTCTGTGCAGTAAGGTCTCATTTATGTAGAAACACATCAAGCACCTTTTCTCCCCGCTATGGATGACTTTTTTAGTAAAAGCACAGGAAAAGGTCTGGGACGTCATTTGTCAGACTGTTAAGTCGGGGGGTACAATGGTATTGAGGAAGGGAGAGTTTTACAGATTTCTATATTGTTTGAATCTTCCCTTTTTTATTAAGATGGTTTGTATTTTTTTCATTTTCTTTTTACTTTTCTTTTCTTTCTTTTTTTTTTTTTTTTGAGATGGTCTCACTCTGTTGCCCAGGCTGGAGTACAGTGGTGCGATCATAGCTCATTGCAACCTCAAACTCCTGGACTCAAGCAATCTTTCCTCCTCAGCCTCCCCAGTAGCTGGGACTACAGGAGCCCCACCTGGCTTTTTTTGTTTTTTGGTACAGATGGCGTCTCACATTGTCTTCCCAAAGGGGTCTTGAACCCCTGGCCTCAAGCAATCATCCTGTGTCTGTCTCCCAAAATGCTGGGATTACAGGCATAAGCCACCAAGCCCGGCCAGTTTGTATTTTTATTGTTGAAACAAAAAATCGATTACTGAAAATTGCATAATACACTTTTCAGTAGAGAGTAACAATGTAAGGTATAAATGTGTCATACATTTATATGTACCTGTGGATAAATGGCTTTGGATGGTGTCTGTAAGCCCTTCTGTGACACCTCAGGGCCAGATGTGTTTTGGAATTCAGAGGTTTTCAAATTTGAGAAAGATAATATAGTGCACAGACGATATATCAAGCACATCTCCAGAGGGATCTGGGGCAACACTAAATAATGAAACATATCAGTTAAAATTTTTTAATTAGGCCGGGCGCAGTGGCTCACGCCTGTAATCCCAGCACTTTAGGAGGCCGAGGCGGGTGGATCACAAGGTCAGGAGTTTGAGACCATCCTGGCCAACATGGTGAAACCTCGTCTCTACTAAAAATACAAAAAATTAGCTGGACGTGGTAGCTGGTGCCTGTAGTCCCAGCTACTTGGGAGGCTGAAGCAGGAGAATCGCTTGAACCTGGCAGGCAGAGGTTGCAGTGAACTGAGATTGCGCCACTGCACTCCAGCCTGGGCGACAGAGTGAGACTCTCTCTCAGTAAAAAAAAAAAAAAAAGATATTTAATTGATGTATAATGTGCAATACAGAAAAACACACGAGTGGGTATAGCTCAATGAAATTTTATAAACTGAAGATATATGTTATTAATATTTCCACCATAATTTTGAACATTTACATTTAGTGGAATAAATTGAGATTATAAATATGCTTATATCAGGTCAGGTGGTGCTGCCAAATGAATGACATTGGGTTTTGCTGTCAAAGAGTTATGAAACACCCGGGTTTTGGATTTCTGGCTTTGGGATGAGAGCTTGTGGGCCTGTGTTAATAGGAGAGACAGTCACATGAGCAAGGCATTACAGTAAAGCCTAGAAAAGGCTTCAGGGCCATGAAAGGATGGGGACTGGATGGCTCTTCAGCCTGGGGTTTGCTCGTGTATTCCACATCCTTCCTCCTCAGTCCTGCCATTTTGCTCTTTCCCCAGGAGTACACATCCAGATGCCAGCCCAGCTACCACAGGGGATCCCTCTGGGAGACTGAAAGTACAGGTTCTGGGGCCCAGGTTGAAGCCGACCAACCCTGAGCCTCAGGCCAGGGGAATGGCAGCCCCCTTGGAGGCCCAGGACCAGGCCCCTGGGGAGGGAGAAGGGCTTCTGATTGTGAAAGTGGAAGATTCCTCCTGGGAACAGGAATCTGCCCAGCATG
The DNA here is from genome assembly GCF_000001405.40 of Homo sapiens. Taxonomy (NCBI): domain Eukaryota; kingdom Metazoa; phylum Chordata; class Mammalia; order Primates; family Hominidae; genus Homo; species Homo sapiens. The sequence goes on from NC_000016.10 coordinate 3,137,387, forward strand.
AGGATGGCAGGGATTCCGAAGCCTGCCGCCAGCGCTTCCGGCAATTCTGCTACGGGGATGTGCATGGGCCTCATGAGGCCTTCAGCCAGCTCTGGGAGCTCTGCTGCCGCTGGCTGCGGCCCGAGCTGCGTACCAAGGAGCAGATCCTGGAGCTGCTGGTGCTGGAGCAGTTCCTGACAGTGCTGCCAGGGGAGATCCAGGGCTGGGTGCGTGAGCAGCACCCGGGAAGCGGTGAGGAGGCTGTCGCCTTGGTGGAGGACCTACAGAAGCAGCCAGTGAAAGCCTGGCGACAGGTGAGGGGCCCTTCCACATCCAGGGGCACCTGGATGGTATCTGAGCTCGAGAGAAGTGGGTAACCTGCAGAGATAAGTCTCCCAGAGGCTCACAGGGTAGGGGAGACACAGAGCCCCCAGGAGCAGGCACACAAGCACAGTGTGCCATGGGTGCCTTTCTGAAAGATGCGATCCAAAGTAAATGTGATTTATTTTTTGTGGCTTTGGAAGGCAGCAATAGGGCTGAAGTGCGAATGTTCCAGACAGGAGGTTTTAGCTCCATGCAGGGTCTGCTGATGTTTATTTGCATTTTGCTCTAGGCCTGGCTCTGGGGACACAAGGGTGTGCATAGAGCCAGCTCCAGAGTGGGGCGAGAAGGTGGAGCTGTCCGGGGCCTCTGCTACCTTGTGGGATGTTGGGTCCTTCACATTGGATGCATCTGGGGAGGTTCTAATGAGTGGCTGGGGGATGGGGTTCTGCCTTTGGCAGGAGGGTCCCCAGCTACCCCCTTGCTAAGTGGCTGTGATTCTGGCCTTTCAGGGCTGGTTCTTGCCTCGTGAATGATCGGGGAGCATCCTTGGGCACACAGCATTACCTGGTATCACATTCTCCTCCGGACTTTTCCTGGGGCACCATATTGGTCTCCTTCCCACACCCCAGCATCCTGAGGGTCATGTCCTGTGTCTCCTTCCCAGGGAGTAAACTCTGTCTCCCCCGGTCTGGTCTCGGGCTGATGAGCATGTTGTGGTTCCTGCACAGGATGTGCCCTCGGAGGAGGCGGAACCCGAGGCTGCAGGCCGGGGATCCCAGGCCACGGGGCCTCCCCCGACGGTGGGGGCACGGAGGCGGCCGTCTGTTCCCCAGGAGCAGCACAGCCATAGCGGTGAGTAAGCCTCCGTTCTTGTGGACAGTCGAGTGGCTGGGCAGGGACCTAGCTTTGTCACCGGCGTTGCCCTAAGGGTCACAGGCAGGACAGCTCCCTCTGTGAAGTCCAGGGCGTGTGTGCATGCGCACAGGCTGGGGAGGCCATAGGCGTCGGTGTCAAGCCTGGGCTGGCCTTTCTAAGGCTCCATTCTTCTCCTTCAGCCCAGCCTCCTGCTCTTCTTAAAGAGGGTCGTCCCGGAGAGACGACGGACACCTGCTTTGTCTCTGGGGTCCATGTGAGTCACCAGTCCCTTTGTCTTCTTTAAGGCACTTGGCCCTGTTGAGTTTGTAAAATGGGACTTGCTGTCCCATCAGGCCTCTTTCATCTGACCCATCCTGTCCCCGCCAGTGCTGCTGGGAGGCCTGAGCCGGGTCTTCTCACCCCATTCCAGGGACCTGTGGCATTGGGAGACATCCCATTCTATTTCTCCCGGGAAGAATGGGGCACCCTGGACCCTGCTCAGCGGGATCTCTTCTGGGACATAAAGCGGGAGAACTCCCGGAACACCACCCTGGGTAAGCACCCAGGGCCTTTGGGTCCAGGCTGGCCGCCCCCGATTCTGCTGGAACTTCAGTCTTGTTTCCCACCCCATCCTTAGCTGGTTCCAAAGCAGGCTCTCCCTAGGTCTTGCCAGGAGCCTGAGTAACTCCTTTCTTGGCTGATGATCAGTTTTTGTGCGTTTCCACATGCAGCATGGGACGGCGCCGGCGCTGCCCAGCCCTGCAGTTGCTCTAAGGGCAACTTCTCCTTTGAGTCTCACAACCTAGTGCATGGAAGTATTGTCCCCATTTTACGCATAAGGGACCTGAGACTCAGGTCAGTGGATGCTGAAGGGACACAGCTGGGACTTGGATCAGGCACAGTTGTGAGGCCACCTTGGGCTGCTAGGAGCAGGGGTGCTGACGGGGAACCCCAGCTGCTCACCAGCCTGGGCCCCTGCTCGTCAGAACTGCACTTACCAGGTTCCTCTCCATGCCAGGCCCCTTCTCAGCACCATCAGGGATCATCTTGTTCAGTCACACTCCCAGGAGGATGGGCTGCGACCTCTGTCCAGATCTGTGTTGAGTTTGGAGAACTAGAGCCTGCGTGGTGAAGGGAGCCACACTAGCTAGACCAGTTTGGCTCCTCAGTTTCCGACTGTGACGGTTGGGAAAAATTTTCTTTCTTTTTTTTTTTTTTGAGATGGAGTCTTGCTCTGTCGCCAGGCCGGAATGCAGTGGTGTGATCTCAGCTCACTGAAACTTCCACCTCCCGGGTTCAAGCAATTCTCCTGCCTCAGCCTGAGTAGCTGGGATTACAGGCATGAGCCACCATGCCCGGCTAATTTTTTTGTATTTTTAATAGAGACGAGTTTTCACCATGTTGGTCAGGCTGGTCTCGAACTCCTGACTTCATGATCCGCCTGCCTCAGCCTCCCAAAGTGCTGGGATTACAGGCGTGAGCCACCGCGCCCGGCCCTTGAAAAGTTTCAGAATTACTATAAATCTGTTCTGCTGTGGAGCTTGATATCTGGGGTTCAGAGTGGGACATTGGATCCCAGTGTGGCCTGCAGGGCACAGATGGCTTAGGGGGCTGGCCCATGCAGGCGGGATCAGAGGCTTATTCAGACTGCTGCTCTGCCGAATTTTTTCATCATCCCTGATTTATTTGGGTTTTTGTTTGTTTTTGAGACAAAGTCTCGCTCTTGGAGTGCAATGGCATGATCCCGGCTTACTGCAACCTCCGCTTCATGGGTTCAAGTGATTCTTCTACCTCAGCCTCCTGAGTAGCTGGGATTACAGATGTGCGCCACCATGCCCTGCTGATTTTTGCATTTTTTAATAGAGACGGGGTTTCACCATGTTGGCCAGGCTGGTCTCGAACTCCTAACCTCAGGTGATCAGCTCGCCTCAGCCTCCCAAAATGTTGGGATTACAGGCTTGAGTCACTGCGCCTGGCCAATCATCCCTGTTTTATAGATGAGGAACCTGAGAATTCAGCTGTGTGAACCCAGGGCTTTCTGAACCTGGAGGCCAGGGAGCTTTCCCCAGCCTTGTTTCTTCCTCACCTCAGCTCTGGCCCCAGAACCGCGTGGGACTGAAGAGGTCGCCTCCTTCCCCTTGCAGGTTTTGGGCTCAAAGGCCAAAGTGAGAAGTCCCTGCTGCAGGAGATGGTGCCGGTGGTGCCAGGCCAGACAGGCAGCGACGTGACTGTGTCCTGGAGCCCCGAGGAGGCTGAGGCCTGGGAGAGCGAGAACCGGCCGAGGGCGGCCCTGGGCCCAGTGGTGGGCGCGCGACGGGGGCGGCCACCCACTCGCCGGCGCCAGTTCCGGGACCTGGCAGCCGAGAAGCCGCACAGCTGCGGGCAGTGTGGAAAGCGCTTCCGCTGGGGCTCGGACCTGGCGCGGCACCAGCGCACGCACACGGGCGAGAAGCCACACAAGTGCCCTGAGTGCGACAAGAGCTTCCGCAGCTCCTCGGACCTGGTGCGCCACCAAGGCGTGCACACGGGCGAGAAGCCCTTCTCCTGTTCCGAGTGCGGCAAGAGCTTCAGCCGCAGCGCCTACCTGGCCGACCACCAGCGCATACACACGGGCGAGAAGCCTTTCGGCTGCAGCGACTGCGGCAAGAGCTTCTCGCTGCGCTCCTACCTGCTGGACCATCGGCGTGTGCACACCGGTGAGCGGCCCTTCGGCTGCGGAGAGTGCGACAAGAGCTTCAAGCAGCGCGCGCACCTCATCGCGCATCAGAGCCTGCACGCCAAGATGGCCCAGCCCGTGGGGTGAGCAGCTGGCTTGGCCGGAAACCCGGGGGAGGCCCAGCCACGGCACATCCTGCTTTGTTCACCACTGGGACTCTCCTTCCATCTGTGGCCACCTCCCGGGCTGTCCGAGGGACCCCAGGGTACCTCACACTCGGAGCTCGCCTGCCCTGCTTGGCTCTGAGGACCTGCCCAGCGCTCAAAGGGAACGGAAGCCTTCCCCTCCCGCCCCCGATCTTGTCCTCTTTCCCCCTTCTGCGCCTAGCGTTCCTCTTCCCCTCTAGTTTCCTGGAGCCCCAACACATTCCTGGCAGGGACAGCAGGGTGGCAAGGACTCAGGTCTAGGTCCCTTCCCAGAAGCCCCCGAGCCTCATTTGACTGTGTGGCTCTTTGGCCCCCACCCTGTGGGGTGGGTCCATGGGTCAGGCCTCTGCCCTACCAACCTGTGCCTTTCAGTGGGCGTGGAGGACTGGCCTTGGCCCCCCAGGGGGCTGCTGGACTTTGGGAGAGACAGCCCACACCTGTGGGACCGCGGGTCTTAGTCACGGCGGCAGGGGCTTTCTGGCCCCCTCCCACTCCCGTTTCCAGGCCATGACCACTCTGCCCTGTCCTGGCCATACGGACTCGGCCTGCCTTTGCCCTCGGCCTACTTGCCCTAGCATGAGGCTCTGAGAGCCACCTGCCCACCAATCTGGTGAGGATAATGGTGGCTCCAGCGACAGGAGGCCAACCCTGGAGACCAAGAACAGGGCGCCTGGCTGCCATCTTTTCCTCCAGAGGTGGGGCTGCACCAGACTCAGCACTAGCACTCCATCAGCACTAGCACCTCACTCCATCAGCACTAGCACCTCACTCCATCGGCCCCGGCACCCTGCTCCATCGGCACTGGCGCCCTGCTCCATCGGCACTAATGCTCCACTCGGCGCCCCACTCCATCGGCCCCGCTCCATCGGCACTAATGCCCCACTCGGCGCCCCACTCCATCAGCACTAATGCTCCACTCCATTGGCACTAACGCCCCAACTCCAGCGGCACTAATGACCCGCTCCTTTGACATTGGTGCCCCACTCCATCAGCACTAACGCCCTGCTCCATCGGCACTGGTGTCCCACTCCATTGTCACTAACGTCCGGCTCCATCGGCACTACCACCCCGCTCCATCATCACTATGTCCAGCTCCGTCGGCACTACCACCCTGCTCCATCATCACTACGTCCAGCTCCAACGGCACTGGTGCCCCATTCCATCGGCACTAACGCCCCGCTCCACCGGCACCAGTGCCTCGCTCCATTGGCACCAACGCCCAGCTCCACCGGTACTGGCTCCCTGCTCCATCGGCACTAACGCCCTGCTTCATTGGCACTTTGCTGCTGCCTCCTGAGCACTGCCTTCCATGAACAGGGACAGACCAGAGGCCCTGCAAGGACTCCCCCTCAGACCTCCAAAGGGCAACAGAAGAGTATTAATAAACGTGAAAACTTACCTCCAGGCTGTTCTGTTCTTTCGGTAGCTGGAGGGTGGGGATACCTGGAATATATGCCCCTTGCCCTGGCCTTGTGTCCTGGTGGCACATGCTGCTGCACCGTGACCAGGCGGAGCTGCGTCCTTGGCGTCCAGGTCGGCTGGGCCCCAATGGGCAGCCGTGTCCCCTGGGACTCTTGTCCCCCTGTGTCAGCTAGTGCCTGCCCTGCTCTGGGAGCACCGTCGGTGCTCCAGCAGAACGGGGAGCTGAGCAGGACTCAGGGTCTTCACCAGGCCACTCCTCTCCCACAACTGTGAAAGGAAGAAGGGCCCATAGACGCTGCTTGGTCAGTGGTGGGACCCTCTTGCTGCGTGTTGGGGATCTGGAACTCAAGGCTGCCCCAGGCTGAGTCCCTTGGAGGAGGGGCTGACAGCGGGCTTGCCCTTCCCACCAGCCCCTGACATCCAACTTCTCCCTACCAGGAGCCCCAGGCCGGGACCCACCAAGGGCTGGTGGGTGCGTGGTCAAAACTAGTGATCATCCAGGCACGACCCCTCCTTCCACCCATGCTGGTTCCTTCTCTTTCACCTGCTAGTGGCCTCAGGGCCCCTGGCTGAGGGGAGGCGGGGGCCGGTGGACAAGACGCTCTGGTCCCTTGGTAACAGGTGTGCATGTGCCAGCCCTCTCTGCCCCTAGGCCTTTCTTAGCCAACCTTCCATGCACACATCATCCTGCGGTCACTGTCATGGTCTCCGTTTCCCGTAAGAAGCAAGCAAGGTCTCGCTGTGGACAAGGCTGATTCCAGTTGGTGATTTTTACCTCTGGGGGCCTGGTGCTGTGTGCATGCGTGTGGCGGGTGGCCGGGATGGTACAAGGACTTCTTGGTGGCGGTGGCTGGCTCCAAATGGAGACACTCGGGTGTAACGAGATCAGATAAGCACGTAGGCCAGGAGCTAAGAATAGGATTGAGCACAGGTTCCTGGCTCGGGTAGGGGCATGTCAGTGCCAGCAAAGAAGTCACCAGCAGGAGCCAGAGAATGAAGCCCAGGCTGGGAGAGCGGGGCCAGGACCCAGGGTTCCAGGGATGGGGCAGAGTCCAGCTCAGCTCATAAGCAGAGCTGATAGTACTCGTTAGGGTAGAGGGCAAGGGTTAGGACCCAGGGCACTGAGAGCCCAGGGCCAGGAGGTGAGCTCCGAGCTTGGTGCTTGGAGGAAGCCCCGTCTCGCCCTATGGCCTTCCTGGTGGCTGGGACCCTGCGGCTGGCCACGCAGATGGCAGACACTCGAGACAGCCTGGGGAGAAAGGTAGCAGGAGGCACCGCCTAGCCCAGCTGCTCCTGCCTCCCTGCTGAGCCCCAGCCCAGCCCAGCCCAGCCCAGCTCTGGCCTTGCCTCCCCAGGGGAAGTATGACGTCCAGGGTCCAAGGGCAGCCCTGATGCTCAGCAGCCCTGGGGTGGCGGCCGCTGTAGTCACTGCCCTGGAGGACGTGTTCCAGGCCCTGGGCTTTGAGAGCTGCGAGAGGAGGGAGGTCCCGGTCCAGGTGAGCCTCTGCCTCTTACATCCACCCTCAGGCCCAGCACCGACCCCTTCCCCACTCTCCCCTGACCCAGAATCTCCTCCCCACCCAAAACCTCCCCGGACTCAGGTCGGTCTCACTCTTGCCCCTAGGGCTTCCTCGAGGAACTGGCTTGGTTCCAGGAGCAGCTGGATGCCCACGGGCGCCCTGTGGGGTGTGCCTTAGTGGCCTTGATGCCCCCAGAGGGCAGCTGAGGCAGCCACAGCAGCTGGTCCGGGAGCTGAGCGGCTGCCGGGCCCTGCGGGGCTGCCCCAAAGTCTTCCTGCTGCTCTCAAGTGGTCCTGGGTGTGAGTGAGCTGGGTCAGGATCCAGGAGCTGGGCAGGGACCCAGGGGCAGAGCCTCGGGCCTCACTGCAGGCCAACATGCTGCTTCTCTACCCAGCCTCCCTGGAGCCCGGAGCCTTCCTTGCTGGCCTGAGAGAGCTGTGTGGCCGCTCTCCTCACTGGTCCCTGGTGCAGCTGCTGACGAAGGTGGGGACGCTGGAGGGGGAGGCCCAGGGAAGCGGGGCTGGTCCTGCTGTCTCCGCTGGTTCTGCTGTGCCCCCCTAAGCCAGTTACAGTTAGATTCATTCACTTGTATCCTCCCTCCGATTCATTCTACAAACCTCCTTTATTTTCTACAGAAGTGGTCTCAGCCCCTCACCCTCAACTCGGGACCCCTGACAACCCACTCAGGATCCCCGACACTCGACTCCTCCCAGCTCCATGCCTTGGCCCAAGCAGTTCCCTCTGCCTGCTATGCCTTCCTGTTGTCCCGGGAGCCCTGCACAGTCCTCTGCAGGCTGCCAGCGATGCCCTTCCTTGCATCCACGCTTGCACTTCAGGCTGCCCCTTTCTACACCAAGCAGTGGCTGTCCGCCCTGTTAGATCGCAGGACCCTGGAGGCTGGGACTGGGAATGCTTCAAGTCTGGTCTCCAAGGCTGAAGGTCTCACTGTGTAGTTGGGTGGCCCCTGGGCAGCCCTGGGGATGAGGGGGCCCCAGCTCTCCTCCACAGATCGCCCAGCAGGGTAGTGCCCACCCCGTGAGTCTTCCCGACAGGCCCAGCCCCGCTCTAGGGAACATCCCCACCTCTCTGCGCACTGATCCCGGGGCAGGGGTTAATGGTGTGGCCACTGTCCACTCGAGGCCATCCATGCCCAGGGAAGTCCATAACCTTGAGCCTGAACTGGAGCCTGGGCCCTGCTTGAGGCCATCCTGCCTGTCTGTCCTTTGCTGGCCTCCTCCTGTCTGCATTCTGGCAGGTGACCCTGAAGAGACTATAGAAGCCACAAGCCTGGCTGAGTCTTTTCTCGGCCCCATCCCCAGCTCTTCCGCAGGGTGGCTGAAGAGTCCGCAGGGGGCACCTGCTGCCCCGTCCTTCGGAGCTCCTTGAGGGGGGCACTGTGCCTGGGAGGCGTGGAGCCCTGGAGGCCTGAGGTGAGGGGGGCAGGGCAGGGATCCAATCACATGGCCACAGTTTCCAGTGGGACAGAAGCTTAGGGGGGGCCCCGGCCGGGGAGGCCAGGAGCTGGAGTCCTCTCAGGCCACTTTAGATGTGTCTTAACCCTCTCTGCAGCCGGCCCCCGGTCCCAGCACACAGTATGACCTGTCCAAGGCCAGGGCTGCCCTCCTCCTGGCTGTGATCCAAGGCCGGCCTGGGGCCCAGCATGACGTGGAGGCGCTGGGGGGCCTGTGCTGGGCCCTGGGCTTTGAGACCACCGTGAGAACGGACCCTACAGCCCAGGTGAGGGGAAGCCGAGAACTTCCACTGGTGCTCTGAAGGAAGACCACCCCTCCCTAGAAACCTGGGGCCTCTCTCCATCACTGGCAGGAAGTGCACCACAAGTCTAACCTCTGTGCTCCCTGTTGCCTGCATCTGGCCCGTCACTTCCCTGCCTCTGGAAGCCTGGTCTCCAGGGTCCCCGAGGCCTTCCTCACTGGCTGGTTCTCTGGCCCCCCCGCCCCCTCCCCAGCTCAAAGCTTTAGCTCCAAGTCTTGGTTTCCCTCTTGGCTCCCAGCAGCCCACTCCACTCTCCTCACACCTCTCAACTTCTTGGTGCGGCTTCCCCACGAGGGCAGGAGGAGAACTGGCTCCAGGAAGCTGGGTCTCTATGTCACCTCTAAAGAGGCCATGCCAAGGCCTTGCAGGAGGGAGTTAGAAAAGGGCTTCTGGCCGGGTGCAGTGGCTCACGCCTGTAATCCCAACGCTTTAGGAGGCTGAGACGGGTGGATCACTTGAGATTAGGAGTTTGAGACCAGCCTGACTACCATGGTGAAACCTCGTCTCTACTATATAGACAAAATTAGTAGGGCATGGTGGTGCGTGCCTGTAATCCCAGCTACTTGGGAGGCTGAGGCAGGAGAATGGCTTGAACCCAGGAGGCCGAGGTTGCAGTGAGCTGAGATTGTGCCACTGCACTCCAGCCTGGGCGACAGAGCAAGACTCTGTCTCAAAAAACAAAAACAGGCCGGGCACAGTGGCTCACGCCTGTAATCCCAGCACTTTGGGAGGCCGAGACAAGCGGATCACGACGTCAGGAGATCGAGACCATTCTGGCTAACACAGCGAAACCTCATCTCTACTAAAAATACAAAAAATTAGCCGGGTGTGGTGGCATGTACCTGTATTCCCAGCTACTCAGGAGGCTGAGGCAGGAGAATCGCTTGAACCCAGGAGGCAGAGATAGCAGTGAGCCGAGATCGCGCCACTGCACTCCAGCCTGGGTGACAGAGCAAGACTCCTTCCCAAAAAAAAAAAAAAAAAAAAAGAGGGCTTCCTCCCTGGACCTGTGAGTGGCAGGCGGTGGGAGGCCAGGTGGGGCAGGGTCTGGGAAACCTTGTCAGCCTCACAGAGGGCAGCCAGTGGCTGGGGAGGCGGTGGCTTTGGCCCAGGCCTCAACATTGTTCCCACCCCAGGCTTTCCAGGAGGAGCTGGCCCAGTTCCGGGAGCAACTGGACACCTGCAGGGGCCCTGTGAGCTGTGCCCTTGTGGCCCTGATGGCCCATGGGGGACCACGGGGTCAGCTGCTGGGGGCTGACGGGCAAGAGGTGCAGCCCGAGGCACTCATGCAGGAGCTGAGCCGCTGCCAGGTGCTGCAGGGCCGCCCCAAGATCTTCCTGTTGCAGGCCTGCCGTGGGGGTGAGCGGCCCGGCCTCCTACTGCCCTCACTTTCCTCGGCCAAGCTTCAGCCCCCGGGACTCACTGTCTACCTTCTCCAGGGAGCCCGGGTACCTGCCCTTCCCTGCCCCCTCTCCTGTCCTCTCCTAGAGGTCAAGTCCACGACCTTGAACCCTTAACTCTCAACACCTGTCATTCAGCGCTCTGAATGTCTCCAGTCTGGCAAGCCTGCCCTGGAGCTCTGGAGTTGGGTTCTCACCTTGACCCCACATTCACACTAGACCCCTGAGCACCCCCAGGTATCCCCGGAGTGAGACTATCTGCCTCTCCCCACCCTCTTCAGGAAACAGGGATGCTGGTGTGGGGCCCACAGCTCTCCCCTGGTACTGGAGCTGGCTGCGGGCACCTCCATCTGTCCCCTCCCATGCAGATGTCCTGCAGATCTACGCTGAGGCCCAAGGTGGGTTCTGCCTTCCTTCCAGGGCCTGGGCTTGGGCAGGGCTGGTTGTGGGGACCGTCCAGAGAGCATCTCCAGGGCTCTAAGCTGGGGTATGGCTGCCACCTGCATCCTCTGTTTGCCAAGACAATGGGAAGAAAAAAAATCTTCCTAAACCGCAAGGGCCTTTGGGAAGTGGGAGCTTCTTCCCCTGTTGGAGCCTGGCAAGAACCCTGGAGTCGGTAAGGTCAAATAGCTTTTCTGAGGTCACAGCTGTTAAGTGGCTGGGCCGAGCTTTGAACTTCCGTCTGTCATTCCTGCCCTGCACTCTTTCCACCTCCCTGGGCTGCCCTTAAGCCACAGATGGGGAGCTCCCGGGGCTGATGGAGTTCCACGATGTTGATCACTGGAATTGATTCCTCTTGCAGGCAGCTCCTGCAGGGGCACCCCTCCAGGGAGCTCTGACCAAGCAGACATCCTGACGGTCTACTCAGCCGCAGAGGGTAAGGAGATGGGTCATCGGGAGCCTGTGGTTACACAGGGCCCAGCTTCCTGGCCTAAGATCTGGAGTAGCCTTAGGGGCAGCTAGGGCTTAGGGTTGGGGCACAGAGATGCCAGCCCAGCTGTGGTCCAGCCATGTTCCCTACATGGGTTAGGATGTGTAGTAACAGCAGTGATGGTGAGTGCTGTGAGGCGCAGCTGTGCCAACCACTGTGTGTGCAGGTTTCCTCTAGGCTGTGAGTTCCACGAGGCCAGGGTAGACCTGCCTGCCCCAAGGCCCTGCTCAGTGTCTGGCACATAGTAGGTGCACAGTAAATGTTTGTTCAGTAGTGAATCTCTCCATAGGCTCACCTCTGCAAATACCTAGCAACAACTTGTTCCAGATGCAAGAAGTCCCTGCTCCCTGCCCTGTTCTCTTGCCTGATTCCTGGGTCCTGCCTCCTTGTACCCCACTTTCCACCAACAATAGGACCCCTGGGATTGGAAGGCAGAGGGTTGGGGCCTTGGTCTGATGCTCTGGCCCTGATCCCCTGACCTAGGCTATGTGGCCTATCGCGATGACAAGGGCTCAGACTTTATCCAGACACTGGTGGAGGTCCTCAGAGCCAACCCCGGGAGAGACCTTCTGGAGCTGCTGACTGAGGTGTGTTGGGGGGTTCCAGGGTGACAAGTGGCAAGGAGCTGGGTTTGCCCTTCTCCCCAGCCCTGGTATTCTGATCACCTCCTATGAACTCCATTGGCGAAGGAGGGATCCTCTGCCCTCAATACTACAAGATAACCAAACGCAGGATGGCCGACGCTGCACAGATGCCATCCACTGCAGTTCTTAGTCACACGTACTGCAGTCGGGTGGGGAGGAGGACACTGCATGTCATGCGGGGCCACCTGGGCTTGTGCTCAGAGCAGGGTGAACCTGCAGGGCCAGTGGGAAGCTGGCTTTGTAGTGACAAGAGAGTGAGATGCCCCCTGGTTCCCACGGGCAGATGTGGTTGGTTGGTTTGAATATTTCCAAGGCCTGTCAGGGGGCTGAAGTCCATTAGGGTGACGACCAGGTGGGGTGCAGCTGGTCTGCTGAGAGGGGACCTAGGGGGTGGGAGCCTGTCCTGCTGGGTGGGGACATGTCTGGCCAGAGCAGAGGAATTCACCGTTAGGCCTCTGGAGCTCTGCGAGCCTCAAAGATGTCCAGGCAGTCCTTGAAATTTTAGGCCTTGCAATGTACCAAGCCAGGGGCTCTCCCCTGGGGCAGGCTGAGCCCCGGAGGGCTGTAACCCCGGGCGCAGGCTGGGTGTGGTCCTCAGGTCAACAGGCGGGTGTGCGAGCAGGAGGTGCTGGGCCCCGACTGCGATGAACTCCGCAAGGCCTGCCTGGAGATCCGCAGCTCGCTCCGGCGCCGGCTCTGCCTCCAGGCCTGAGGGTGCGGCGGCCACGGGGGCGCTGCTGAGACGGTGGCCAGATCCCAGCGCCATTCTTGCCTCCATCCACCCCCCATCCCCCCGGTTTCCTCATCTGAGAGCGAGGCGTGGCAGCGTGGGGGTGGCCGTGCAATAAATATCTGCCGTGAACAGTGCCTGTTCTCAAGGACGTGTGAAATAAGTGAGATAATGTGTGTAAAGCGCCTGGCACTGCATATGGACGCAATAGTGTCCATGGGAACCGAGTTGGGGCCTGTGCCCAGCTTCCGGGACTTAGGAACCCAACATGGGCTGGACTGGGCTGGGCTGGGTTGGCAGTTCGGTTATGGGAGCGTCCAGGGGGAGAGGGGTCCCAGGAAGAGGACGCATATCCCTCTCCCAGACATGTCCCTGTGTATGCGCGCCCCACCTCCACCCCGCGCTGGGCCATAGAAACTCAGGAGACACGGCCTCCGCTTTCCAGGCGGCCAGAATAAAGTCTGGGGCCAAAAGCCTCTGAAACACACCTTTGCAGGTTCACCGTGATGGAGCAAGCACAGGGGCTGGGCAAGCAGCTTGCAGCCCCTGACCCAAAGCGGCGGGAGGCACATGGGGGAAAGCGCTCCCAAACGGCGTCTCGGAGGGGCCTGCTGCGGGGAGGGTGGGGTAGGGCGGGCTCGCCAGGGCTCGAACTCACAGTCCCGGGCCCGCGGCGGCGGTTTCCACCCAGCAGCCTCAGCGGCCCGGCGCGGTGGCCCAGCTCGGAGTCCCGCCCACCGGGAGCCTCGGAAGGACCGGCCTCCCCTCACTCTAAGCATGCGCGTTAAAGCGACAGCATAGGCTATAGAAAGCTTTATGAGAATAGCTGGGAGCCATACAGCCGCAGGGCCGCGTGGCCTAATGGATAAGGCGTCTGATTCCGGATCAGAAGATTGAGGGTTCGAGTCCCTTCGTGGTCGTTGCCATGTTAACGTTTTCTTCCAGCTCCACTTAAAATTTCTTCACCTGGGACTGCACCCTGGGCGACTACGACACTCGAACTGAGTGCGCCGGTCGCTCTCCCCTCACCCCCGTAGGAACACTGGGACCTCGCCCTGCGCCTCCAGTCGCGAAGCTAAGGACCCAGGGCCAGAATAGCAGCGAGGGCGACTTAGAGAACGCCGGCAGGGCCCTGGCGGACTGCGGAGCTTGAAGCCAGAGAACGCAGGTCCTGGGATCTGGTAGGGGATTGACTTCACAAATTAACGTTCAGGTGATGGAAACCGTGACAGACGCGGGGCTGGGATTGCTTGCTGTGAGGAGTTGCCCCAAGGGATCAAAGGACACCTGTAGTTTTTTGTTTTTGTTTTTGTTTTTTTTTTGAGACGGAGTTTCGCTCTTGTTGCCTAGGCTGGAGTGCAATGTCTTGATCTCCGCTCACTGCAACCTCCGCCTCCCGGGTTCAAACGATTCTCCTGCCTCAGCCTTCCGAGTAGCTGGGATTACAGGCATGCGCCACCAGGCCCGGCTAATTTTTGTATTTTTAGTAGGGTGGGGGGGTGGGCGGGGGTGGGTTCTCCATGTTGGCCAGGCTGGTCTCGAACTCCCGACCTCAGGTGATCGTCCAGCCTCGGTCTCCCAAAGTGCTGGGCTTACAGGCGTGAGCCACCGCGCCCGGCGACATGTGTAGTTTAATTGATTATTGTGATGAAAAACTTTGTATCAACTGATCATGGGGTAACAAAGTAAAAAAGAAAACGATTATAGTGGTGATGAGCCGGGCGCGGTGGCTCACGCCTCTAATCCCAGCACTTTGGGAGGTCGAGGCGGGCGAATCATGAGGTCGGGAGTTCCAGACCAGCCTGACTCACATGGTAAAACCCCGTTTCTACTAAAAATACAAAAATTAGCGGGACGTGGTGGCGCGCGCCTGTACTCCCAGCTACTCAGGAGGCTGAGGCAGGAGAATCGCTTGAACCCGGGAGGCCGGAGGCTGCAGTGAGCCAAGATCGCGCCACTGCACTCCAGCCTGGGCGACAGAGCGAGACTCCGTCTCAAAATAGAAAATAAATAAAATAAAATAAAATAAAATAAAATAAAATAAAATAAAATAAAATAAAATAAAATTCAAAGAGTATCTCCAGGATTGAGTTAATATTTCGCCGAGGGGAAAAAAAATGTCTACCAGCGGAACCCGAGTTTAGTCCGGGTGCCGAGCAGCGCCTCTTGGGGTATCCTTCCACGGGGTGGGGTATCCTTCCACGGGGTGAAGGCTGCGGAGAGTCGCAGCTGCAGGCATGGCCTCCGGTCGGCGGACGCTGGTGACCTGGCGTCGTGCAGGGTGTCACTTTCTCCTTTAATTTTTTTTGATGTTTCAGTGGTTTACGAAGGTATTTGTTTTTGGTAGAGACGGGGCGCTCACTATTTTGCCCATGATGGTCTCGAACTCCTGGACTGAAGCGTTTACTAGGTATTAAAGGAAAAGAACGTCATTAAAATACAGATTTTTTAAAAAAGGAAAATAACACACGTGTTGGGGCAGGAAAGTAAACACCCAACGTGGCGATCCTGAGATTAACACCTAGCCAGCTGGGGATGTAGAGGGCGGATTTTGGAGGGTCATTATTAAGAGGCTTCCGACCACTGGGCGGCACCCTTGGTCTAACGGACAATGCGGGGGAGGAGGACGAAGACCGACACTTCCAGAAGCGGCGGGCTCGGGATGAGGAGCCAGTTGCTGAGCTGGCATCGCGTGCCCCTTCCCATACACTCTACCCATCGCAAGTGCATCATTCGCTACTAATTACCCCTAGACTTGGGTTGTCTCCTGAGTGGAGACGACGGCTTGTGAAGGAGTTGATCCAGGCACCTCTCGCACCCTAAGCGAAGATCATACCCCTAGACCAAAGAGCGGAGCCAAAAATCTGACGTTCGGTGTCTTTCAGGTCCCTCTGCACGTGCGCCGTCTCTTTGGGGTCCCGAGGATGCTCAGGAGCGGACGAGATCTGAACCGAAGCTTGGATTGCAGTGGAGGGGCGGGAGAAAGGCCAGGGTAGGACGGGCAGGCTGTGCAGGAACCACCGCGGAGTGATGGAGAAACTGGTCTAAGACAAGCGACAGCGTTTTGTTATCCGCCCCGGTGGCCTAATGGATAAGGCATTGGCCTCCTAAGCCAGGGATTGTGGGTTCGAGTCCCACCCGGGGTAAAGAAAGGCCGAATTTTAGTGTTCCTTATCGGGCAGAAGAGTTAGAATGCGGTATACTCCAGTGGAGGTGCGGAGTTTCCGAAGGGTTACCAAAAAGGCTCTAAATCAGAAACCTCTACCTGTTTTCAAGGAAGACGAGCACAATTTCACGTTACAGAAAAAAGGAGCCGAATCTTTTACAGGATGTTAAGTACCATCCATTTAACTTGATAGAAAGGAATGATTGTTTATTTTTCCAGGTTTGTTAATTCTATTATGGTTACAAATATTTTTTAAATCCTTTTTTTTATAAACACAATTATTTACAGATTAAATTACAAGACAACTGGTTTGTTTTAAAAATCATAAAACTGAGGCCAGGTGCGCTGGCTTAAACTTGTAATCCCAGCCTGTAATCTCCGTTTCAAAAAAAAAAAAAAAGAAATCATAAGATGGATGGCGGTATAGATGAAACTACTTATCCATGAGTAGATAATGGGGGACATGAGGGGACATTGCACTATTTTCTCTCTTTTAATACATATTTGAAATAGTCCATAGTATTCTTTTTTTAAATCCATGCAATATATGATGCCATCTTCAAGGTAAAAATTTCCCGAACTACAGGACATGGTGTAAAGTAAAATCAGAAGCCGCTCTGATGGGGACCACTGCTGGAGTTTTGTCATAAATATGTATAAAAACATGGTTGGCTTTTGCCTTTAAAACCAATAATTGGCCCGGGCGCAGTGGCTCCCGCCTGTAATCCCAGCACTTTGGGAGGCCGAGGCGGGCGGATCACGATCACGCACCAGCCTGACCAACACGGTGAAACCCCGTCTCTACTAAAAATAGAAAAATTAGCCGGGCGTGGGGGCACGCGCCTGTAATCCCAGCTCCTCAGGAGACTGAGGCAGGAGAATCACTTGAACCCGGGAGGTGGAGGTTGCAGTGAGCGGAGATCGCGCCACTGCACTCCAGCCTGGGTGACAGAGACTCCGTCTCAAAATAAATAAATAAATAAATAAAACTCATAATTGGGACTCTTCTGTTTTTCCAGCTCTGGCCTGGCTTCTCCCAGTTCCCCAAACATCCTGGACCCCATCATCTCCACTGAAATCAGGGACCTCACCTCAATGGCATTACCTTCCTCACCTCAATGGCGTTACCTTCCTCACCTCAATGGGGTTACCTTCCTCACCTCAATGGCGTTACCTTCCACACCTCAATGGGGTTACCTTCCTCACCTCAATGGCATTACCTTCCTCACCTCAATGGGGTTACCTTCCTCACCTCAATGGCATTACCTTCCACACCTCAATGGGGTTACCTTCCTCACCTCAATGGCATTACCTTCCACACCTCAATGGGGTTACCTTCCTCACCTCAATGGGGTTACCTTCCACATCTCAATGGCATTACCTTCCTCACCTCAATGGCATTACCTTCCTCACCTCAATGGGGTTACCTTCCACACCTCAATGGGGTTACCTTCCACACCTCAGTGGCGTTACCTTCCACACCTCAATGGCATTACCTTCCACCATCATAGGCCACCTGTAGAGAATGGCCACCAGAGAGCTACTTAAGGAAGCTGATGCTTCAGTGATGGATTTTTTCGGGAGGCCTTGTGAAAGGGAGTGTCCTGGCCTGGTGCGGTAGCTCACACCTGTAATCCCAGCACTTTGGGAGGCCGAGGCAGGCGGATCACGAGGTCAGGAGTTCTAGAGCAGCCAGGCCAATATGGTGACACCCCATCTCTACTAAAAATACAAAAATTAGCCGGGTGTGGTGGCGCTCGCCTGTAGTCCCAGCTACTTGGGAGGCTGAGGCAGAAGAATCGCTTGAACCCGGGAGGCAGAGGTTGCAGTGAGCTGAGGTCGTGCCACTGCACTCCAGCCTGGGCGACAGAGTAAGACTCCGTCTCAAAAAAAAGAGAAAAGAGAAAAAGAAAGAAAGAAAGAAAGGGAGTGTCCTCTGGTCTTCTCAGTGGTATGCACATCATGCGTGAAAGATGCACTCCAACATTGCTTGGTGTCTTTAGGTTTCTTTCTCTACAGTTTGCCTGAGACGTTCTGGCAGCCCGGTCTCATTAAACATAGGCCACCACTGAGTTCAATTTTCAGCCAACCAACCAAGAAACCTGGTAGGGCCATGGTCAGCTGCATGAGATAACATATTAACTATAGGCTCTTTGGGATATGCACCCAGATGGATAAATTCACCAGATACAAAATCATATCCCATCCTCCTTATGATGGCTTAAAGTAGCCAAACTTGTTTTGTTTCTGTTTTGTTTTGTCATGTAGGCTGTTTTCTCCAAGGTCAACCTTTGTAGTTCAAGATTCTCAATTTTGAGTCCAATCTGATGTCACCACTTCTGCCTAATCAATGCAGTATCTTTCACACCAAAGATTTCCTAAGGCTGTGAATTCAATTTACGTTGCCATTCTGCAACATGCCTAGTTAAATGACATGTTTGATTTTTAGCAATGTCAGCCTTGTGGCTTTAAGGTTATTGTATGGTTGCCATAAATTGTCCCTGCGTCTCTGAACTTGACTTAGTCTAAAAGTTTAGAGACCTGATCTTGTCATCTTCTTTCTGTAAGCAAACCAGGGCCTTCAGAAGACTTCTTTCCACGCCATGAACTAACGAAAGTCTGTGTGGTCACCTGTGCTGCAACAATCAGGCACAGCAGCCACTGGTCACCCAGGGCACTTGCTTCAGCCTGCAACTCCTCATAATCAACCAGGCCACGCATTGCCTGATCACGATGCTGTTGTATACTGTGAATTATGTCATCTCACGTTCCATTGGTAAGGACCTCAGCACTGCATTGAAGCCAAAATTTGTTACCAAACCAATGTCCAGGTAGCAGTCAGGAAACCATCAGCTATGTTTTTTTTGTTTTTGTTTTTGTTTTTTTGTTTTTTTGAGACAGGGTCTCACTCAGTCACCCAGGCTGGAGTGCAGTGGTGTGATCACTGCTCACTGCAGCCTCGACCTCCCAGGTTCAAGTGATCCTCCCCAATCAGCCTCCTGAGTAGCTTGTACTGCAGGCACATGCTACTTATTTTTTGTAGAGACGGGGTCTTGCTATGTTGCCCAGGCTGGTCTGAAACTCCTGGGCTCAAGCAATATTCCCACCTTGGCCTCCCAAAGTGCTGTTCTTATAGGCATGAGCCACCACACCTCCCATTAGCTATTTTCACAGAATATTTAATATGACAGTTATTAGAGAGGTATAAATACTTGTTCTGGTTTTTGGAGATAGGGTCTCACTGTGTTGCCCAGGCTGCAGTGGCACGATCATGGGTCACTGCACCCGCAAATTCCTGGGCTCAAGTGATGTTCCTGCCTTGGCCTCCCTAAATGCTGGGATTACAGGCCTGAGTCATGGTACCTAGCCTAGAACCAGATTATAAGGGTGAAATTCTAAATTTGACTCCCCTGCTGGCTGGCTGGCTGGCTGGCTGGCTGGCTGGCAATGAGGACCACGTCCCTGATGGTAGGTGAGAGTCCCTGGTGTGCTGTAGCGTGCAATTATAAGAATTTTTGCCAGTGTTAAACTGGGGTGAAATAGAAGGAGAATTCCTCTTAAGGCAAATATTATGCAGAGAGGGTCCCAAATGCTCAGTTTACTGAATATGGAACGTGTATGCAAATTTTATACATACATAATTTTTATTTCTTTTTTTTTTTTCTTTTTTTTTTGAGACGTAGTCTCACTCTGTTGCTCAGGCTGGAGTGCAGTGGCACGATCTCGGCTCACTGCAAGCTCTGCCTTCCGGGTTCACGCTATTCTCCTGTCTCAGCCTCCCTAGTAGCTGGGACTACAGGCGCCCACCACCATGCCCGGCTAATTTTTTCTCTTTTTTAGTAGAGACGGGGTTTCACCATGTTAGCCAGGATGGTCTCGATCTCTTGACCTCGTGATCCGCCCGCCTCGACCTCCCAAAGTGCTGGGATTACAGGCGTGAGCCACCACGCCCGGCCAATTTCTTTTTATTATTATTTTGAGACGGAGTCTTACTGTGTTGTCCAGGCTGGAGTGCACTGGCACAGTCTCGGCTTACTGTAACCTCTACCTCCCGGGTTCAAGTGATTCTCCTGCCTCAGTCTCTGGAATAGCTGGGACTACAGGCGCACACCACCAAGCCTGGCGAAAATTTGTATTTTTTTTAAGGGCCGGGGGTCTCACCATGTTGCCTAGGCTGGTCTCAAACTCCTAGGGTCAAAGTGAGAGGATTATAGGCATGAACCACGACGCTCGGCCTCTTTTTTTTATGAAACAAGACAAAGGGGATCCTGAAGCCAGTTGGTTGGTGGAGCGTTTTGCGTTTGCCTGACCAACAATTCCCGATTTGCAAGGTATACGGAGTCACTTCCACGTTTTCTTATTTAGTTTACTTTCTTCCAAGTTGCAAGTCTAATCCATCCGACAAAATCTCACGCCCAACGTGGGGCTCGAACCCACGACCCTGAGATTAAGGGTCTCATGCTCTACCGACTGAGCTAGCCGGGCGGCTATGAGGAAAATGGTTTCCCACACCTCTGTTGGAGCTCTCCCGAACTTCCCTATTCTATATAAAATTGGTGGGGATGAGTCCTGGATCCGAGACATGAGACATGCTACATCCTGAGCGCTAGAGCCCTAAGCTCGGCGCGGACCGAGGACGCCGCCAGGCCCGTGCGGTCTGCCGTCCTTCGCGGGTGTGTGTCATATCCGCCGACCCTCGTGGGGGTGTATCCTGTCTGCCGACCCTCGTGGGCGTGTGTCCCGTCTGCCGTCCCTCGCGGGCGTGTGTCCCGTCTGCGGTCCCTTGTGGGGGTGTGTCCTGTCTGCCGACCCTCGTGGGGGTGTGTCCTGTCTGCCGTCCCTCGCGGGTGTGTGTCCTGTCCGCCGTCCCTCGCGGGTGTGTGTCCTCTCTGCTGTCCCTCGAGGGTGTGTGTTTCCTGTCTGCCGTCCCTTGCGGTGTGTGTCCCCTGTCTGCCGTCCCTCATGGGTGTGTGCGGCACCTGCAGCTCCCGGGAGCGGGAACGTCGGGGACAAGAGCTGAAGGGACGAAGGACACTGGAGATGGCCAGGGGGAAACTCGGCGTGACTCTCTCTTAGGGCTGTGTGAGGGTTTTCAAACCCTCATCCCTGTTTAGGGCCGGCAGCGAGGCCTCACCACAGGGACAAGCCCGGTAGACCTTTCTCCTCCTTAGGCTCCCAGTAAAATGCTGGGTCCCTTGCCAGTGGAAAACGGAAGAAAAGTTTGGAGCGTTTCTGGAGCCGCCCGTTTGGGAAGAAATGAACTCTGACCCCAGCTCCGGCCCGTGTATCGGAGGTCCCAGGGCTGCGAGGGTCGCCTGGGCAGAGCTCAGGCCAAGAAGGAGCTCGGCTGAGGACAGGAGCCCGGGGTCTGTGTGGGAGACGGGATCCCTTCCTAGGATGCCCGGGCTGGCCTGCTGGGAGGCGGCGGGGTCTCCTCCTCAGGGTCCTGCACTCGGGTTTCACATCGGGTGAAATTTCTGGGCTGGGGCTCAGCACGCGAGACCGCTGCCTCACGCGGGCCACACAGACCACCTCCCCGCGGGCCGCAGCCCCTGGTCACCGGCCCTCCTCTCGGTGCTGGGGCCGCCTGGAGCCGCTGGGAGCCGAGTGGCCCTCGGGGAGGCGGCGCCGCGGTGCCCAGGGTGCGGGGTCCGCCTCTGTGCGCCTGAGGGCGGGGGTCGTACAGGAGCTCTTCCCGGGGCTGGTCCCCGAGGCGCTGCACCTCCTACCAGCTTCCTGTGATCGAAACCGAAACCTCCACCTGCGCAACCCTCCCAGATGGGCTTGAGGTTGGGGTGTGGCCGGGACCCGGGCGGGGAGGGGTAGGGGTGGAGTGAAGGCGGGGTCTGGGGGGGTGCGCGTGGACGGGGAGAGTGGAACCGCGGGTGTGGACCTCCAAGTACAGACGTCAGAGAACGTTTGTCGTCCTGGCTCGTTGGTCTAGGGGTATGATTCTCGCTTTGGGTGCGAGAGGTCCCGGGTTCAAATCCCGGACGAGCCCGCTTTTTTTTTTTTTTCTGAACACCATCATTTTCTCGCGGTGAAGATTGAGGAGCTTCACGGAGTCTCGGCCGCAGGGAACTTGGTCTCTCCGTGGCAGCTGCAGGCGCCGGGGCCGATCCGACTTCCCGCTTCCGTCCGGCTTGCGGCCCCTCGCCTTGCCCGGCTACAGGAAGGACTCGCCTGCGCCTCCTGACTGGAGCCTTCCACCTGGGAGTTCTGAGTGCGCCTAAGGCCTGGCGCTGAGGCAGTGGACCCCAGATCCGGGACCCGAAAGGAGGGCAAACACCTCCACCGCCGCGTCTGCCTCTGCGGACGTGGCCCTAGATCCCGGGTGGCCATGGAACTTGGTCTGGGCGTGTAGTTTTCCTTTGAGTGGGTCGGTTCTAAGTTTAAATTTCCGACGAGCCCAGGGTTTCGAACTTCCTTCCTTTTTTCCTTCGTTTCTCTTTCTTTTCTTTTCTTTCTTTCTTTCTTTTTCTCTCTTTCTTTCTTTTTCTCTCTTTCTTTCTTTCTTTCTTTCTTTCTTTCTTTCTTTCTTTCTTTCTTTCTCTCTCTCTCTCTCTCTTTCTTTCTTTCTTTCTTTTTCTCTTTTATTTTCCTTTTTCTTCTTTTTTTGTTTTTTGTTTTTTTTGACAGTGTCTCCTTCTGTTGCCCAGGCTGGAGTGCTGGAGTGCAGTGGTGCGATCTCGGCTCACTGCAACCTCAACCTCCCAAACTCAAGGGATCCTCCCACCTCCACCTCCCAAGTAGCTGGGACTACAGGTGCTCACCACCACGCCAGGCTAAGTGTGTGTGTGTGTGTGTGTGTGTGTGTGTGTGTGTGTGTGTGTTTGTGTGTGTAAAACCGAGGTCTCGCTGTGTTCTGGAGGCTGGTCTCCAACTTGCACTCAAGCAATCTTCCTACCTCGGCCTCCCCTCACAAAGTGCTGCAATTACAGGCCAGAACCACCATGCTCAGCTGGTTCCTTTTCCTTCCAGGTCCTGAGGTCGCAGCGGCGCGTCCCTCCGGTACATGGCGGGGAAGAGGTGCGGTTCCGGGAGCCTGCGACGCCTCTGGGGAGTCCAAGCCCGGCTCCTAGCCCTTTGCCCGAGGACGGAGGAGGACCTGGGGGGCTTCCCCTAGCTGGTGGTCTCAGTTCTCCAGGGGCGGCGGAGACAGCAGGAAGCCCCAAAACCCGAGCTGGGTTTCCTGCTTGGAGTCGCAGGGTGTGGCAATGTTGAAGTTCGCCGTGCCCCTGCTCCCTATGGGAATTAGAATCCGGTCCAGGACAAGCATCGGGAAAGGGGGACAGTTTGTGACCGAGGAAACTAGGACTGATCCAGAACAGCGCAGGCAGAGACGCGCTGGGCTCATGAAGCGCGACAAAGGCCCCGACCCCTCTTCCGCTTGGCTCGTTGGTCTAGGGGTGTGGTTCTCGCTTAGGGACCACAGGGACAAGCCCGGGAGACCCAAGAGGTCCCGGGTTCAAATCCCGGACGAGCCCACACTTTAAGAACCCAGCAGGGGCTGGGCGCGGTCGCTCACGCCTGTAATCCCAGCACTTTGGGAGGCCGAAGCAGTGGATCACTTGAGGTCAGGAGTTCAAGACCAACCTGGGCAACACGGTGAAACCCCGTCTCTCTACTAAAAATACAAAAATTAGCTGGGCATGGTGGTGCACGCCTGTAGTCCCAGCTACTCAGGAGGCTGAGGCAGGGGAATCGCTTGAACCTGGGAGGCGAAGGTTGCAGTGAGCCGAGATTGTGCCACTGCGCTCCAGCCTGGGCGACAGAGCGAGACTCTGTCTCAAAAAAAAAAAAAAAAAAAAAAAGAACCCAGCAGTTTGGGAGGCCGAGGCGGGCGGATCACGAGGTCAGGAGATTGAGACCATCCTGGCTAACACGGTGAAACCCCGTCTCTACTAAAAATAAAAAAAATTAGCCGGGTGTGGTGGTGGGCGCCTGTAGTCCCAGCTACTCGCGAGGCTGAGGCAGGAGAATGACGTGAACCAGGGAGGCGGAGCTTGCAGTGAGCCGAGATCGCGCCACTGCACTCCAGCCTGGGCGACAGAGCGAGACTCAGTCTCAAAAAAAAAAAAAAAAAAAAAAAAATCAATGTTTGTGTCTGTGGCTTGTCCTTGGGGCACATGCGTCGTGGGACACAGGCTGTTTAACCAGGGAATTTTTTTCTGGGGCAGTCAGGGTGGATCTTGTCCTGAGGGACTCCTCCGAGTGACTGGAGTGGTGGTTGCATCCCGGAATGAGTGAGGCTTGTGACCTGGAGCTCCCAGACAAAACCTACTCACTCAATGGAGCGTGTCCCGCATAAGGTGAGCTTTTTACGACTGCAGATTTGCTCTCCTGCCGAGGCAAGGCTGATAGCAGTGGCTCACTTCGTTGACTAAACTAAGGAAAACTGTGGGTGGCTTTGTCTGGTAACTGGGTTCACATCCCTCATAGGACTGATTCTAAAGTTGCCTTGCTCAGAGAGAAATGAAACGGGGCCGGGATCCAGTGTAGAGAGAGCTTTGGCTGGCTGGCGGCGCGCAAGGCCGGACTGCACAGGTGGCAGGGGCGTGGTTGTCAAATAATCAAAATGATCAGGCACTTCAGGTCCCCGGGAAAGCGGGCACAGAGGTGGCCACCCCTGTTCCCCTCCTGGCACCATGATGGTCAGGACCGCCGGGAGCCCATGCCCACCTCCCTCAGCTCCCGTGGTGCGCCCGGGGGAAATGTGGTTGGAAATCGCGGCGGCCGGGCATGGTGGCTCACGCATGTAATCCCAGCACTTTGGGAGGCCGAAGTGGGAATCGCTTGAGCCCAAGGAGTTCAAGCCCAGCCTGGACAACGTAGTGAAACCCCACCTCTGCAAAACAATTTTAAAAGTTAGCAGGGCGTGGTGGTGCGCGCCTGTGATCCAAGCTACTCCTGTGTCTGAGGCAGGAGGATCGCTTGAGCCTGTCTCAAATAAACAAAGGGCGGGGCGCGGTGGCTCACTCCTGTAATCCTAGCACTTTGGGAGGCCGAGGCGGGTGGATCACTTGAGGTCAGGAGTTCGAGACCAGCCTGGCCAAGATGGTGAAACCCCATTTCTACTAAAAATACAAAAATTAGCCAGGCGCGGTGGCGGGCGCCTGTAATCCCAGCTACTCGGGAGGCTGAGGCAGGAGAATCGCTTGAACCCGGGAGGTGCCCCTGGCGACAGGGCAAGACTCTGTCTCAAAAGCAAACAAACAAATAAAAAACAGAAACGTACATGGGAATGGGGGAGGTTGTGTGCCTGTGGGGGCAGAGGAAAATTTGCAACTCTGCACTTCCCACCCAATTTTTCTGAGAACCTAAAACTGCTCTTAAGCTGTTTTTGTGTGTGTGTGGTTTTTTTTTTTGTTTTTTTGTTTGTTTGTTTTTTCTGAGATGGAGTCTGGCTCTGTCGCCCAGGCTGGAGTGCAGAGGCGAGATCTCGGATCACTGCAACCTCTGCCTCCTGGGTTCAAGCAATTCTCTACCTCAGCTTCCTGAGTAGCTGGGATTACAGGCGCCTGCCACCATGCCCAGCTATTTTTTTTCTTTTTTTTTTTTTTTTTGTATTTTTAGTAGAGACGGGGTTTCACCATCTTGGCCAGGCTGGTCTTGAACTCCTGACCTCGTGATCCACCTGCCTTGTCCTCCTAAAGTGCTGGGATTACAGGTGTGAGCCACTGTATCTGGCCTGCTTTCGTTTGTAAAGGCCATATTTTTCTTCTCTTGGGTCTCCAATAACTGTGATGTTAGATCTTTTGTTAAAGTCCCACAAACACCCGAGGTTCTGTTATTTTTTTTAAGTTTATTGTCTCTCCAGGTAATTTCTATTGTTCTGTCTTCAAATTTGAGGAGTCTCCTCTTTTCTTCCATTCTGCTGTTGCCCATTCATTAAAGCTCCTTCCTTTGGTTTTGTATTTCTAGGGTGTAAACTTTCCGTTTAGTTATTCTTTATATTTTCTACTCCTTTCCTGAGACTTCATATTTTTTCATTTGCATGAAGCAGGAGTTTTAGCTGAAGCATGTTTATGGTGGCTGGTTCACCACCTTTGTCATCCCGTCAGATAGTCCAACCCCGGTATCAGTGTCCGTTGTCCGTTGATTGACATTGTTTTGTTGTTGTTGTTGTTGTTGTTTTGTTTTTTTTTTGAGACGGAGTTGCCCAGGCTGGAGTGCAGTGGTGCCATCTCGGCTCACTACAACCTCCGCCTCTGGGGTTCAAGTGATTCTCCTGCCTCAGCCTCCCGAGTAGCTGGGATTACAGGCGGGTGCCACCACGCCTGGCTAATTTTTTGTATTTTTAGTAGAGACGGAGTTTCATCATGTTGGCCAGGCTGGTCTCCAGCTCCTCACCTCAGGTGATCCACCCGCCTCAGCCTCCCAAAGTGCTGGGATTACAGGCGTGAGCCCCCGCGCCTGCGCGCCCGGCCTGATTGACATTTTCAAGCTGGGATTTTCCAGGCTTTGAGAATGACCAGGTCTGCGATGACACTCCCTGGCTGGGAGCAGGAGGGACTCCTGAGACTGCTCCCCTTGTGGACAAAGAGGAAGTTGGGCCGATGGCCGATGACGGCCAGGCCGCGAGGCTGCTGCTGGGCCCTGGGTCACAGGTCGAGGTGTCAGGCCTCTGAGCCTAAAGCTCAACCATTATAACCCCTGTGACCTGCACATATACGTGCAGATGGCCTGCAGGAGCCAAGAAGTCTGAAGAAGCCAAAAAAACCACAAAGAAGTATAACAGCCGGTTCCTGCCTTAAGTGATTAACCAACATTACAACATTCTACCACTGTGACTTGTCCCTGCCCTACCTTGGCTGATCAATCGACTTTGTGACATTCTTCTTTTGGACAATAAATCTTATGACCTCCCTACCACATACCTTGTGACCCCCTCCTCTGCTAACAATAGATAACCACCTTTTACTGTAATTTTCCATTACCTACCCAACTCCTACAAAGCAACCCCTTCCCCATCTCCCTTCGCTGACTCCTTTTTCGGACTCAGTCCGCCTGCACCCAGGTGATTAAAAAAGTTTTACTGCTTACACAAAGCCTGTTTGGTGGTCTCTTCTCACAGATGTGCTTGACAGAGGCCGCCCTGCAGTTCCTGTTCCGATCTAAGGAAGGGAAGGGGAGGCGAGGAAGAACTGGGTCCCAAGACAAGAGGGTCCATTTCGTGAGGCACACACTCAGGACAGACCCTACCCCGCTGCTCTACTCTTTCGCTTCAGTCCCTCCTTCCCGGCCTCCGCTGGCCCCCTGACCCCGCACTGATCATTAATGCAGAAGCAGCGCAGACCAGCAGCCGGGATCGCCGGTAATCCCAGCACTTTGGGAGGCGGAGGCGGGCGGATCACCGGAGGTCGGCAGTTCTGAGGTCGGCAGTTCGAGACCAGCCTGACCAACATGGAGAAACCTCTGTCATGAGCCGCTTGCCTCCACCGTGCATGCAGATCTGCAGGGGAGTGGGAAGAGGCAGGTTCTTTGGGTCATTTGAAACGGTTTGGAGATATGCAGAGGCTGGGCTCAATATTAAGTAGGAATTGGGATTTATATTGGCAGCGAAGCGTGGACCCAGGCCCCTTCGGATCCGCACTTGGGCCCCAGAGAGAGGTTGTTCCTTTCCTCCCCGCCTCCCACTCAGGACCACCCATGGCTAATGGTCCCTGACTACAAATTCCACCTGACTGGAGGCTCGGGTTTGAGGTTACACAACTCGCTGAGAAGGGGAGGATAGGGGCTCCCAGATGTCCGGAGACCCCGGCAGGGACTGTGCACCCAGCTGTCTGAATGCCAGAGGCCGGCTCCGCGGGTAGCCATCCCTGCACCACCTCCTCGGGACTAGAGTCACCACAGCCTTTGTTTTTTTGTTTTTGTTTTTGTTTTTGCAGCGCCTGTTTTGAGGATTCTGAGTATTAGGGTGGGAAGCAAGTATTATTACATCAGCCTGGCTAGCTCAGTCGGCAAAGCATGAGACTCTTAATCTCAGGGTCGTGGGCTCGAGCTCCATGTTGGGCGGAGCTTTTACCATTCTTGGTACACAGAATTCAGCATCATCGCAGGTGACCCAGTTTCCGAAGCTTGGCCCCTAACTGGAAGGTAAAGTTTCACTGAGTCCCAACTCAATCTGTGTCCCCATCAGAGGTTTCAAGGCCTCCTCCCAAATTCATCAATCTGACCACTGGACTGCTGTGTTATCTCTCACAGCCGGTGTCCGAGAACCAGAGTCTCTTAGGGAAAAGGAATAGGAGATTTGCACCCCAGGAAGTTCTGTCTGCTCACCCTAGGCTGGGGTAGAGAACCTGGATCCCTTTACGTTAGCACAAGACCCAAAGTTTCCTTCCCTCCCCCAGGAGACTCAGTCCCAGGGCTGGAGGTGGATGTGCTGCTTCCAAGTTCAGCCAAGGGAGAAGGGCCCTCCCACCCAGTTCAGCTGAGACTGTGGGTCAATGTAGGGGCCAGCCCTACAGGGTCTGTGGGGTTTTCTCCCCATGTATGTAGATGAGAGACCATAGAAATAAAGACACAAGACAAAGAGATAAAAGAAAAGACAGTTGGGCCCCGGGGGGACCACCACCACCAAGACGCGGAGACCGGTAGTGGCCCCGAATGCCAGGCTGCCCTGTTATTTATTGGATACAAGGCAAGGGGGCAGGGTAAGGAGTGTGAGCCATCTCCAGTGATAGGTGAGGTCACGTGGGTCACATGTCCACTGGACGGGGCCCTTCCCTGTATGGCACCCGAGGAGGAGAGAGAGAGAGGAAAGACAGCTTACGCCATTATTTCTGCATTTTAGAGGCTTTTAATACTTTCACTAATTCTGCTACTGCTATC
The DNA here is from genome assembly GCF_000001405.40 of Homo sapiens. Classification (NCBI taxonomy): domain Eukaryota; kingdom Metazoa; phylum Chordata; class Mammalia; order Primates; family Hominidae; genus Homo; species Homo sapiens. Next base: position 3,165,827 of record NC_000016.10, read on the forward strand.
TAGAAGGCAGAGCCAGGTGTACAGGATGGAACATGAAAGTGGACCAGGAGCGTGACTGCTGAAGCACAGCATCACAGGGAGACGGTTAGGCCTCCAGACCTGACTAATGTCAGGCCCTCCACAGGAGATGGTGGAGTAGAGTCTTCTCTCTAAACTCCCCCGGGGAAAGGGAGACTCCCTTTCCCGGTCTGCTAAATAGCGGGTGCTTTTCCTTGGCACTGACGCTATCACTAGACCACGGTCTGCTTGGTAACTTCCGTCTTCCCAGACGCTGGCGTTACCGCTAGACCAAGGAGCCCTCTGGTGGCCCTGTCTGGGCATAACAGAAGGCTCACGCTTGTCTTCTGGTCACTTCTCACCATGTTCCTCCAGCTCCTATCTCTGTATGGCCTGGTTTTTCATAGGTTATGATTGTAGAGCGAGGATTATTATAATATTGGAATAAAGAGTAATTACTACAAACTAATGATTAATCATACTTATATATAGTCATATCTATGATCTATATCTAGTATAACTCTTGTTATTTTATATATTTTATTATACTGGAACAGCTCGTGCCCTCGGTCTCTTGCCTCGGCACCTGGGTGGCTTGCCGCCCACTGGTCAACATGGAGAGACCACCTCCCACCTGCTCCACAATCCCCCGGCTAACTCAGGCTCTTGGGAGAGACACCAGGGCCCCAGAAACCAGTATGACCCAGCCATTACTTATCTCTCTCAGTGTTTGGATGGTGGCCCTTGTTATTAGGAGACCAGGAGTGCAGCCACCCAGTCCCTCCAAAACATGCCTAACAGGTTTTTTGGAGGCGAAGGCAACCCTGTGTAGGATGTTAATCCACCATAAAGATTTCTCATTAATCCCACTTCTGGGACAGCCTCTAAGTATTCCAGTTCATCTATTGTTTCTTGTGTAAGACTAACCATAAATTCTGCCCTTAGGTCAAAACAACCTTGCTGCTATTGCATTTACCATAAATCTTGCCCTTAAGCAAGTGCCTTAAACATTCCTTGTGAAGCACATACACCCTTTCCCTGTGGTATGTAGACCCTGGGTCTGGGCGGTAAAGGCATGGAGACCCACTATCTTGTCTCCCTGCCACGAGAGACCCAGAAGTGGATTCTGTTCATAAGTCCCTAATAAATGTTTCTTTCCTAAGAAAGATGATTTGTCAGTGTTTTTCTTCAGCCTGGCACCTTCCTTGGACTCTGGGTGTAGGTTTGCATTATGGTTGTAACCAGCCAAGGTGTGTCTTTGGAATGGGAGTCAAACCTTGATCTCTGGGCTTTAGAGTGGCTTTGGACACATTTCCCAGTGGGGGTGCTGAGGCAGTCTGGGGGCCCTGAGGAAGGCAGATCAGAGGCTGGGACAAAAGGCTACAGGCACCTCACCAGCGCAGGTCCCAATAATGCAGCACCATCGCCTCAGCCTCTGGTCAGAGTTCGAATCCCACCTCGAGGATGTTGGCTCTTGGGGCCTTATAACCATGACCTTGTGTCACAGCGATACATGGGGAATGGGGTTGGGGTCACTTGTATCCTTGGCCTGTGAGGGTTGCAGAGCCAGGGGTGGATTGCGGACTGGTGCCCACTCTTCTGTCCGAAGCTATCAATCCTGGACATTTTTCAGGGAGGGGATAGGGCTATCCTGTGATTGTCATTGAGTCTTTTTAGAAAGATTGGAGCTATCAGGCCGGGCGTGGTAGCTCACGCCTGTAATCCCAGCACTTTGGGAGGCCGAGGCGGGCGGATCACGAGGTCAGGAGATCAAGACCATCCTGGCTAACACGGGGAAACCCCGTCTCTACTAAAAATACAAAAAATTAGCCGGGCGTGGCGGCGTGCGCCTGTAGTCCCAGCTGCTGGGGAGGCTGAGGCAGGAGAATGGCGTGAACCCAGGAGGCGGAGCTTGCAGTGAGCTGAGATCACACCACTGCACTCCAGCCTGGGTGACAGAGCAAGACTCCGTCTCAAAAAAATAAAAATAAATAGAAATAAAAAAAAAAAAGAAAGACTGGAGCTATCAAATAAAGGCTGAACTAGGTATATTCCAAGAGTACAAGGTTGGCCTAAATTCAAGAAAATTATCAAAATAATTCATCATATTAACAGAATAAAAAAGAAGCTATGTGGTGATCTTAATGTTTGGAAGGGCGCTTGATGCAATTCACACCTGCATTAATCGTTTGTTTGTTTTAGAGGCAGAATCTTGCTCTGTCACCCAGGCTGGAGTGCAGTGGTGCAATCTCCACTCACTGCAACCTCCACCTGCCGGGTTCAAGCAATTCTCTCTGCCTCAGCCTCTCGAGTAGCTGGAGTAGCTAGGATTACAGGTGCCCACCACACCAGGCTAATTTTTGTATTTTTAGTGGAGTTGGGGTTTCACTATGTTGGCCAGGCTTCTCTCGAACTCCTGACCTCAGGTGAGCCTCGGCCTCCCAAAATGCTGGGATTACAGGCATGGGCCACCGTGACCAGCCAGAATCTTACTTTGTTACCCAGGCTGCAGCATGGTGGTGAGAACACAGCTCACTGCAGCCTCAACCTTCTCAGCTCAAGCAATACTCCCACCTCATGCACCAGCTAATTTTTTTGTGTGTTTTCTGTAGAGATGGGGCCTCACTATGTTGCTTAGGCTGGTCTCAAACTCCTGAGCTCAAGGGATCGTCTTGTGAGACATTGCGTCCAGCCAATTATTTTCCTTCTTTGCTTCAACTCCCATCAGTTACCAGTTCCTGGACTGGAATGCTGTTCTTCCTCCTCTTTCTTGACTGGCCCCGTATTTTCTCTCCTGTCTCAGCTTAAATGTCACTCCTAGACTCATTGTTCCCATGTCAGGAACTCATCTATATATGACAACACCCTTATGACAGCCTGTAATTTTTGAAAGTCTATTCATTTTATTTTATTTTTCCAAGACAGGGTCTTGCTTTGTTGCCCAGGCTGGAGTGCAGTGGTGTGATCGTAGCTAACTGCAGTCTCAGCCTCCTGGACTCAGGAATTCTCCTACCTCAGATTTCCAAGTAGCTGAAACAACAGACTTGTGCCACCACACCCAGCTAATTTTATTTATTTATTTAGATGAAGTCTTATTCTGTCACCTAGGCTGGAATGCAGTGACGTGAACTCAACTCATTGCAACCTCCACCTCCCGGATTCAAGCGATTCTCTTGCCTCAGCCTGCCGAGTAGCTGGGATTACAGGCGTGTGCCACCACGCCAGACTATTTTTTGTATTTTTAGTAGAGACAGGGTTTCACCATGCTGGCCAGGCTGGTCTTTAAGTCCTGACCTCTAGTGATCCACCCGCCTCAGCCTCCCAAAGTCCTGGGGTTACACGCATGAGCCACCGTAGCCGGCCTGATTGATTTATTTAAATTTAGCTACCGGGTCTTTCTATGTTGCCCAGGATGGTCTTGAGCTCCTGGGATCAAGTGATCCTCCCTCCTCGGCCTCCCAAAATGCTGGAATTACAGATGTGCATCATTGGGCCAGCCTATTTACTTTTTATTTTAAAACAATTATAGATTCACAGTAAGTGGTCAAAAAGAAAAAAAAAAGTACAGAAAACTCTTGTGTAGCATTCACCCAGTATCCCCTAAGACTTCCATAACTGTGGCTCAGCATCAATGCCAGAAAATGAACACTGGCTGTTTTTCAAAGGTATTTTTCTTGGTTATTGTCAATCTTCACTTTGAACTGTGTGCTCTTTATTTTGTGCCTACTATTGTGCCCACCAAAAAATTAGATGCATGCTTTAACACACGACGCCTGTGATCTTTGAGAATAAAAAATTTGACTCCATGTAGATAAATCTAGACCTGACTTGTTCTTTTTCATTTTATTTTATTTTATTTTAGTTTATTTGAGACGGAGTCTTGCTCTTGTCGCCCAGCTTGGAGTGCAGTGACGTGATCTCGGCTCACTGCAACCTCCGCCTCCCGGGTTCAAATGATTCTCCTGCCTCAGCTTACCAAATATCTGGGATTGCAGGTGCATGCAGCCAAGCCCAGCTAATTTTCGTATTTTTAGTGGAGACGGAGTTTTACCATGTTGGCTAGGTTGGTCTCATTCCCGACCTCAAATGATCTGCCCGCCTAGGCCTCCCAAAGTGCTGGGATTACAGGCATGAGCCACCCTGCCCAGCTTGACTTGTTCTTTTTTGTTTGTTTGTTTGTTTTTGAGACGAAGTCTTGCTCTGTCACCAGGCTGGAGTGCAGTGGCCCCATCTCAGCTCACTGCAACCACCACCTCCGGATTCAAGCGATTCCCCTGCTTCAGCCTCCCGAGTAGCTGAGACTACAGGCATGCACCACCATGCCTGGCTAATTTTTTGTATTTTTAGTAGAGATGGGGGTTTCACCATGTTGGGCAGGCTGGTCTTGAACTCCTGACCTCGTGATCCGCCCGCCTCGGCCTCCCAAAGTGCTGGGATTACAGGCGTGAGCTACCGCGCCCGGCCGACTTGTTCTTTTTTAAAGAATTAAAATATGGTCTGGGTCTTTTACTTTGGAAGAGGGGTGTTAACTTCAGAACTGTCCTAGGTTCAGTTCAGATCCCCGCGAGGGAAGGGGATTAAAGAGAGAAGGAAGTTGAGCCTCTGAGCCCATTGCGCCCCGGAATCTGGGAGGCGGCGTGACCAGGTGCCCGGGTTCCATCCGCTGGGGCTGGGCAGCCCCCCTGCCCCCGCCCAGTACAGAGGCTCCTGCCGGGGGAGGCGTCCATCGCGTTCGCTTACTTCTCTAGACCAACAAGCGAGGGACGCGGAGACTGAGTTGGCTGCGGCCACCGGGTCCCCGGACACCGTCTTCATTCACTCCCACCCTCAGTCAAGCACCTGTACCCGCAGTCCTTTCCTAAAAGAAGAAAAACGGCCGGTCGCGCGCTGTCCAGAGTACTCAGTCCTGGATCCAGGAGGTGGCTGGCGGTGAGCTGATTTCCGGGTTCTTAAACCCGGGCCCGGGGCCCAAGGCCCCGCCTGGTGGGGTCTCATCCTGCAGTTTGAGAAACCGAAGAAGGTAGGAGAGGGAGGAAGCGCCGGCTTTGCCTGTGAAAGATTCTTTCATTCGCTCCATTCTTGTTCTTGCGCGCTGGATTTACCAGGCTAACAAACAACAGCTGATCACGGCAGGCTGGGCTCCTCTGGGACTCGCACCGGGGCCTCTCGCACCCAAAGCGAGAATCATACCTCTAGACCAACAGGCCTCGGTGGCGGGAAGCACCATCTTTGCTCCTCCACTCCCTCACCCCCCTCCCGCCCCGCGCCTTATCTTTCTGGAACCCAAGACTTCGTATTCTCCGCTCTCCATAAACGTCGATGCCAGCTCTAGGAGCGTGGCCGGGAGCCCACGATCGCGGCAGCGAGAAGCCCAACCAGAGGGGAGGAGGGAGTCCCCGGAGTGGGACAGCGCTCAGGTCTGGGGTGGGGTTGATCTAGGGCAAAATAGGGCGGGCGGCCTGTGGCGATGGGCAGGACCCTCTCGCCCACCACACGCGGAACTCGCTGGATCCTCTCCACATCCAGGCCGCGTCCACTGGCTTTCCAACCTGCTCAGGTCCTTAAAGAAGGATTCAAAAGGTGTTGCGGTATTGGCCCAACAGGATTTGACCCTGAGGCCCACTCTCACCCTAATCATAACCGCAAAACCACAGCGCCTGGAGAGAGAGTGAGAGAGAAACAGAAACGGAGCGAGTGTGTGTCGCTGTGATGCCCTTTGCCGTCGCTGCTCATCCCCAGTGACCTCCTGGAACTTTTTCAGCTCTTGCTGACAGAGGAAGACACGGGGGCAGAGCTAACGTCTGAGTCAGGGCAGAGGCGCTGGGCTCCATCCGAGGGAGGCTATGGGGGCGCCTCTGGGATGGAGCCAACCACCGGCGCAGTCGGATGAAAGGTGGGCTGGCCGCTCAGCCATCCTCCTAGGGCAAGGCCTTGGGTATGAGTCAGCAGCCCCAGGTGTGAGCGCAGACCCGGTAACCCCGGCGCAGGGGAAAATACAGCGGGGAGCCCCAGGCTGCAGGCCTGACCCTGAGCATCCCCTACCAAGCCCAGTGTGGATGGGCTCTGTCTCCAAGGGGCTGGTTCACCAGGGTCTCCCCGCAGCGACCCCAGAATTCTGCCAATCACTTGGGGACGGCGATGAGCTCTATCCACTTCGGAATCAGCCGATTTGTGCCGGATTGGTGGCAGGTGTCTGAAATGTCAGCGGAAATACACGCACGGGAGGCTCGTTGGTCTAGGGGTATGATTCTCGCTTCGGGTGCGAGAGGTCCCGGGTTCAAATCCCGGACGAGCCCTAGAAGTGGTTACTTTTCCCTTGTCATTTTAGAGAATATAGAGCTAGAAAATCGGGGACCGAGCCTGAAGCCTCAACTACCAGTCGCGTTGCTCCGCTTCAGGTCGGTCCAGGTCTGTGCCTCAGCTACAAGGGACAAGGATGCTCCTGAGGCTGGCCTGGTCGGCACTTGCCTCAGCCTCGAGGGAGTCCCGCGCCCTTCTCCTTCCCAACCCCAGACCAGAGAAGCTGTACCCTCTGCAGCCCGGGTCGCTCAGCTCCACATGGGCTCCGGGTATGGTGGAGGCCGGTGGTTGGGTTCTGAGTGATCGAGTAGTGTGCACGGTCTGGGCGGGCCCTGGAGAGCTACTCGTTCCTCGACCTCCCCTCCCCGCCCTAGAAACCCACATCTCTGCAGGCCAAGGCGGAGTCACAGATGAAGCTCGTTGAGAGCAGGTCAAAGCTGCCTGACCCGATGGCCCCCTGCTGCGCTAGCCAGGAAGGTGCCCAGGAGCCACATATGGCTCTTAAACACTTGAAATATGGCTGGTCCCCTTGAGATGTGCTGCTGTGAGTACAAAATACACATCGGGATTTTGAAGACTTCGTACCAAAAAAATAAGATATCTCATTCTCTCATTACACATGGAAATTAGATTTCGTGTCTACAGTATTGAATAATATACACACATATGAAAAACATATGTTTTATATCTAAACATATATATTTTATATGTGTTTATATATTATATGTAGTATATATGTATCATATAATTATATTAATAATATGATTATATCATAATAATATAATTGTATTATATAATTATACTTTTCTTTGAGAAGGTGTCGCTCTGTTGCCAGGCTGGAGTGCATTGGCACCATCTCGGCTCACTGCAACCTGTGCCTCCAGGGTTCAAGAGATTCTCTTTCCTCAGCTTCTGAGTAGCTGGGAGTATAGGTGGGTGCCACCACGCCTGGCTAAATTTTTTTTTTTTGAGACGGACTCTCACTGTGTCTCCCAGGCTGGAGTGCAGCAGTGCGATCTTGGTTGGCTCACTGTAACCTCCGCCTCCTGGGTTCAAGTGATTCTCCTGCCTCAGCCTCCTGAGTAGCCGGGATTACAGGCGCCCGCCACCACACCTGGCTAATGTTTTGTACTTTTAGCAGAGACAGGGTTTCACCACATTGACCAGGCTGGTCTCAAACTTCTGACCTCGTGATCTGCCCACCTCGGCCTCCCAAAGTGCTGGGATTACAGGCGTGAGCCACCGCGCCCAGCTATTTTATTATTATTATTATTATTTGAGACAGAGTCCCTGTCACCCAGGCTGGAGTGCAATGGTGTGATCTTGGCTCACTGAAACCTCTGCCTCCCGGGTTCAAGTGATTCACGTGCCTCAGGCTCCCGAGTAGCTGGGACTACAGGGACTCAACAGCACTCCCGGCTAATTTTTTGTATTTTTAGTAGAGACAGGGTTTCACCATGTTGGCCAGGCTGGTCTCGAACTTCTGACCTCAGGTGATCCGCCAGCCTCGGCCTCCCAAAGTGCTGGGATTACACGTATGAGCCGCTGCTCCCGGCCTCGGACAGTTCTTTTAGGGGTAGAGGGAAAGATGACAGGACCAGGCTCCCCATCCCTCATCTGCACCCCACAAACATGGACCCACAAAATTGAGGCTCTCAAAGGCCCCAGCTTACACATCTGTAATGTGAGGATAATGGCAATTAAAAGATTAATTCGAGTATTAAAATTTCTTCATGTTTTGGTAAAGCATGTAGAACAGTGCTTGAAGACTTCCACATTAACTCTTGGCTGCCCAGCCTATACATTTCAGACTTGCCCGATCACATGTGCCAATTCATTTAAATAAATCTAGTAAAAATAGCAACACATCCATGCACGTGTACACATAAGCGTCATCCGTCTCAAGTATCTCTTCTAATGGTTTTGTTTCTTCTTTCCAGAGCCTAGCTGATACAGCAAATCCTCCAGGTGTTTGGTATGGTGATTCACCAGCCCAAGAAGAAGTAAAAAAACGGAAAGCCCAGGTCGAAGCCCCAGTGCTGGGGCTGAACGTGAGGGGTCACCCCATACACACTCCCCTCTCGCTGCTGGAAAAACCTGCTGAGGTTAGAGCTGCCCTCAGCCCCTCCCACTTTTTCTTTTCTTTTTTAAACTGCTCGTTTCCTGTCCGGATAGCCTTCCTCCGGGCGGCAAGGCCCGACCACCACGGCAGCATAACAGCCTGCCCCAGTCTGGCTAGCTAGGTGGGTCGAGATGAGACTCCACTCCCCCCACCCCTTACTCTCAGGCATGTGACTTGAGCCCTCTCAGGCATCTCCCTTAAACCTTGGACGTAGGGTTTGAGGGGCGCCCCCTCCTGGCTGAACTCTGGGGTCCTGGAAGAAATAGGACCTCAGCGTGGAGTGAGAACAGAAGAGCCAGGAAAAACAGAGTCCACGGAGCGCCTGAAGCCGCCGCCCGCACAGCCCTGCCAAGGAGGAGACTCGAACCTGGGGAGATGCAAGTGCTGAGGGCTCAGGGGGGGATTCTTTTTTTTTTTTTTAATTTTTATTTTTTCTGAGACAGGGTCTTGCCCTGTTGCCGAAGCTGGAGTGCGATGGTGCAATCATAGCTCACTGCAGCCTCAGCTTCCCGAGTAACTGGGACTCCAGGCGCGCGCCACCACGCCCGTCTAATGTTTAAATTTTTATTTTTTGTAGAGACGGGTGTCTCGCTATATTGCCCAGGCTGGTCCCCAACCCCTGGGCTCAAGCGATCCTACCCCCTCGGCCTTCCAAAGTACTGGGATCACAGGCGTGAGCCACCGAACCTGGCTAGGGAATTCTTCTTCAGCCGAACAGCAGCGGCAAAGGCTAAGGGTCCTAGAAAGGAACGGGAAACCGTCACCTGCCCAGGTGGGACGCGAGGCAAGGAACCCAGCGCAGGAGGCCGCTGGGTCACGGAGGTTTCCTGTCTGCTTCCCGCCGTCACTGCCGGCCGCCTCCCACCTTCTCCCGGCCCCCTGCAACCCAGCCCACCCCAGCCCACCTCCCCCTGGTGGGGACACGGTTTTCTTTCCGGGGTGCCTCGCAGTTCCTGCAGTCCCTCCCTCTTCCCCACCCCCACCCCCATCCTTTGGGCAGGAGTCACAACAATTTCTTGCTCCAGTTTGGCAGCTGCGGCTCTGTGCCACACCCTCCAACGGGGCTGGATGCCCAGGGTCTGCTGCCTCCATGGGATCTGGCTGGGCTCGAAGTCGGGGCTCAGCAAAGGTATTTCGTGTGAACGAGGAATCCACGGGTCAGACCCGCTTCCACAGCCCTGAGTCGGGGCGGGTGCCAGGGCCAGTCACCCTGACACTCAGGAGGTGCCGGCCTGTGGGGCGTCCGCGGGTGGGCCTCTGACGCAGAGAAAGACCCAGATCCAGCTACCTCGGGGGCCTCCTGCTGCGCCTCGCCTTTGGGGCAGGCCTGAGGGCAACGCTTACTGCGGAGCAACTGTGTTCTACAGTGTAGTCCCGACACTGAAGACTCCTGGTCCTGGACTCTGCTGTAATCTAGAAATCCACTAAGGTAACGTTGGCGTGTCGCCCGGCTAGCTCAGTCGGTAGAGCATGAGACTCTTAATCTCAGGGTCGTGGGTTCGAGCCCCACGTTGGGCGATTCCTTTTTACTGCGAGCCTCACCCGCAAGGATAGCATTGTGAGTTTCTGTTCCAACTGGGTCAATTTTCTTCTCTCAGCCATCTGCCCCTGGCGATGCAAGATTTGGTGAAAGCAGATGCCTGCTCATCCCAGGAAACCATCCTGGAGTGGGGTTTCACTACTCCTGACCTCAGGTGATCTACCTGACTCAGCCTCCCAAAGTGCTGGGATTAAAGACGTGAGCCACCGCGCCTGCCCTGAATTTCCTCTTCTTGTAAGGACTCCAGTCATATTGGATTAAGGCCCATCCTAATAACCTCATTTTGTCTTAATTACCTCTTTAAATACCCAGTCTCCAAATACAGCCACATTCTGAGGGACTGAGAGTTAGAACTTCAACATATGGATGGTGGACAGTCACAACTCAGCTCATTAAAGTGAACATTGTGTACATGGTTTAGTATGAACATATGTCTTAAATTTCCTTGAGCATAGGAGTGGAATTCCACTTAGGAATGGAATTTTGGGGTCATTTGGTAGTTCTGTGTTTAACATTTTGAGGCTATTATTCACAGTGGCTGGATTATTTTATATTCCCACCAGCCTGACTGAGGGCTCGTGTCCTAGAAAAGTAGTAATAGATTTACATAGATATTTTGCATCAAAAAATATTTATTCTGAGATTATACTTAAAAACCAGGAAACAGGCTGGGCGCGGTGGCTCACGCCTGTAATCCCAGTACTTTGGGAAGTCAAGGTGGGTGGATCACGAGGTCGGGAGTTCGAGACCAGCCTGGCATGGTAAAACTTCGTCTGTACCAAAACCACAAAAATCAGCTGGGCGTGATGGTGCGCGCCTGTAGTCCCAGCTACTGGAGAGGCTGAGGCAGAAAAATCGCTTGAACCCGGAAGGTGAAGGTTGCAGTGAGCCGAGATCGCGCGCCACTGCACAGCAGCCTGGGCAACAGAGCGAGACTCCGTCTCAAAAAACAAAACAAAACACAACAAAAAACAAATGGAAACAATCTACTTGCCCCAAAATAGGGCATAGATTAAATGAAATTATCATAAATCCAAAATGGAGGATAATGTCATAAAAAATAATGTTATATAATGATGATCCCATGTGTGTAAAACTCTAGAAAATGCAAAATAATACAGTGACAGAAAGCAGAGAGTGACGGACTGCCAAAACTTACCAAATTGTACACTTTTTTTTTTTTTTAAATGGAGTCTCACTCTGTTGCCCAAGCTGGAGTGCAGTGGCGCGATCTCGGCTCACTGCAGCCTCTGCCTCCCAGGGTTAAGCGATTCTCCTGCCTCAGCCTCCCGTGTAGCTGGGAACAGGCACGTGCCATCACACCGAGCTACTTTTTGTATTTTTAGTAGAGACGAGGTTTCACCATGTTGGCCAGGCTGGTCTCCAACTTGTTAGATATGAGTTCCAAATTTCTTTTCAAAGATTCAATATGTCAGTATGTTCAATTCTTTACCTTCTACTTTTAAACTTAACTTCCTCATAAAGCAACCTTTTTCAATTACCTACTCCACCCTGACTCTTTCGATTACCTGCTCTGTAATAACCATTTTTCCCGCCAAACCATTCGCTCCGTCACTCTCTTTAAATTATCCAATGGCAATTAGTTTAGCCTGTGCGGTCTAACCCTAGCCAATAGGGGAATGACACAGCAGCAGGGGCCACGTGCGAAAGGGATAAGAACCCCTTCCCCTCCCTTGTCCAAGTGTGCTCTCACCATTGCTCCATCTGTAAGGGCGCACCCTTCTATAGAAGTACCTTGCCTTGCTGAGAATTAAAAACAAAATTTTATATTTTCGGGCTATTTCTTTTGCGGCACCGAAACTTTGTATATAACAAACTCCTGACCTCAAGTGATTCGCCCACCTCCGTCTCCTGAAGTGTTGGGATTACAGGTGTGAACCACCGTGCCGGGCCTACAACCGGCAATTCTTGATCCTTCACACCGACTCTCGCTGTCCTCCAAGATTTTTCCTCTTTACCTATAGAGTCTCCAGGACTCGATCCCCAATCCCTTGCAAGCCCTGCAGGGAAACTGGAGGGCACTGGCTTCCCCACCTTTACTCCCCACAGTTGCTCCTCAGGACCACAGGAACGGAAGGGACCAAGCCCCTAACCTAGAATGTTAGTGATTTTAGAAGGAAAAAACTTTGGGCTTATTCAGGACTAGAACCTGAGATCTCTTACGCCTTATGTGAAAAGCATGCCTGAATCAGGCTTGACGGCACATTCCTATAATCCCAGAACTTGGGTAGTCTGAGAAGGGAGGATTACTTGAGCCCAGGAGTTCAAGACCAGGCTGGGCAACCAAGAGGGACCCCATCTCTACTATTGCTACTGCTACTACAAAAAATAAATTGCCAAGAATTGTGGCTCAGCCTGTAGTCTCAGCTACCTGAGAGGCTGAAGTGGAAGGACTACTCGAGCCCAGAAGGTCGAGGCTACAGTAAGCTGTGACTGCATCACTGCACTCCAGCCTGGGTGACAAAGTGAGACTCTATCTCAAAATTTCAGAAAAAGCAAAATAGAAAAGCAGGCCTACTGATCAGTGCCTCTTTCTTTTCCTTCCTTCCTTCCTTCCTTCCTTCCTTCCTTCCTTCCTTCCTTTCTTGAAACGCAGTCTCGTTCTTGTCACCCAGGCTGGAGTGCAATGGCATGATCTTGCTTCACTGCAACCTCTGCCTCCTGGGTTCAAGCGATTCTCCTGCCTCAGCCTCCCAAGTAGCTGGTATTACAGGCGCCTGCCACCATGCCTGCCTAATTTTTGTATTTTTAGTGGAGACGGGGTTTCACCATGTTGCCCAGGCTGGTCTCGAACTCCTGATCTCAGACGATCCACCCACCTCGGCCTCCCAAAGTGCTGGGATTACAGCCTTGAGCCACTGTGCCCGGCCCAGTGCCACTTTCCTCAGTGGGCTCCAAGTGACCTTACAGCTTGACCTATCTCAGAAGGCCAGGTCTGGATTTTGAGTGGTGTTCCTTGCAGCAGCATTAAGGAGCACACCCGAGGAGTTGTGCCAATGTATTTTTCATTATAAACTATCCTAAATAGGCTGAGTGAGGTGGCTCACACCTGTAATCCCAGCGCTTTGGGAGACCAAGGCAGGCAGATCACCTGGAGGTCGAGAGTTTGCGACCAACCTGACCAACACGGAGAAACTGCATCTGTACTAAAAATACAAAATTAGCCGGGCGTGGTGGTGCATGCCTGTAATCCCAGCTACTTGGGAGGTGAAGGCAGGAAAATCGCTTCAACCCGGGAGGCGGAGGTTGTGGTGAGCCAGGAAGGTGCTATTGCACTCCAGCCTGGGCAACAAGAGCAAAACTCCATCTCAAAAAAAAAAAAAAAAAAAAAAAAACTATTCTGATAAACCGGCCGGGCGCGGTGGCTCTCGCCTGTAATCCCAGCACTTTAGGAGGCAGAGGCAGGCAGATCACCTGAGGCCAGGAGTTCGAGACCAGCCTGGCCAACATGGTGAAACCCCATGTCTACTAAAAACATACAAAAATTAGCCGGCCGTGGTGGCGCGTTCCTGCAATCATAGCTACTCAAGGGAGGCTGAGCAGGAGAATTCCTTGAACCCGGGAGGCAGAGGTTGCAGTGAGCGGATATCCCATCACCACACTCCAGCCTGCGTGACAGAGCGAGACTCATCTCAATCAGTAAATCAATCAGTCAATAAACCTCACTGCCCCAGGAATGCCGACACCAAGTCAAGCAGACCTTCTCTTCCCTGCCGTCCGCTTCCCTGACCTGCTGGGGTTGGGAGGGCACATTCTGTGGCAGGTTGACTGGGTTTCCATGTTTCCATCCCAGCTCCTCAATTTTGTCTGAAAATGCAATAATAAGAGTATAGTAGTGAAGATTAAACGAGTTTAGATAAGTAAAGAGCTTACAAGAGTGTTAGGCATGGTGAGCCTAATAAGCATTAGCTACGTCTACTGCTAATGTTGAACATCCTAATCTCTGCCCCCTGGGTCACCGTCACCAGCCTCACAACTCTGCAAGCAGGTACCAGCAGCACCACGCTGGCCGTACAAGCAGAGATCCAGTGAAATCTTGTATGCACCCAGAGGGTCCGGGTGGAGGGAGGTTGGGTAACTCAGGAGACCACAGCTGCTCCCTCCGGCTGCACTGGGCACTTCTGGGAGGATCCGGCACCCACCTCCCTGGGCTGGAGGCCTCTAATCAGAGAGGAAGGCAGGAAAGCCAGACACTGGGACTGTCAAACTAGTGAACATTGGGATCTCTATCCCCCTCTACTTGATGGGACCTGAGTCAAACTCTACCTGACATGACCCCCTGGGGATCAGCATCTGGGCAGTGTTGCTGGACAAGGGTGGAGCCAGGCATAAGGACGATGGGAGATAAGCAGAGAAAGGTTTTGTAGGTGGCTCCTTGTCCAGGCTATGATTGTTGCTTAGGGTACAAGAGAGTCCAATCCTGTACAAGCTAAGGTTCTCAGACTTTCTTCTGTTTTAATGAGGACAGCCCTGTTGGGATCCCAGAAAAGGAAAACCCTAGTGGGGGTCTTCCCCAGGGCCTCTGCTATCAAGGAGCGAGGAATTACTGTTCTCCTGGTCTTCCAGGTAGGAACCGCATCCATGGGGCAGGAGCCAGGATGGCTTTCTGGAATAAGCAGGGGAGGGCATAACCAGACATTGGTCACTTTAAATCTTCTGCTTGAGTTTCTTCTTTCACCAAGTCTTGCATTGCCAGGGGCAGAAAGCTGGGAGAAAAAGATGTACCTTCATGGTACAGCAAAAGGCACGCCCAACGTGCGGCTCGAACCCACGACCCTGAGATTAAGAGTCTCATGCTCTATCGACTGAGCTAGCCGGGCTTCCTTATAGGATCTTTTCCATATCTACAAATGGGCCGAGTGGCCTAAGGGTGGTGGAAACAAAGGGAGGTAATGAATCACCCCGGGAAACCAGGGCGCGCTTGGGGTCCCCCACAACAGACTCAGTTCGCCACCGACGTCCCCGCTAGTGCAGGATTTCCCTCACCACCCCGCAATCTCCCATAAATGGGGGTGACCTGCCAGAGTCTCCTTCGTCACCGCGCCGGCATATATCTGTGTTCTCCCAGTCCGTGCCCTCCTCTGAAAAGGCCTTCTTTCAGAAAGAGAAAAAACATTCTCAGACTGCGACTGCACGCACTTAAAGAGTCAATGACAACCTTGGCAACCCTTTTTTTTTTTTTTTTTTTTTTTTTGAGGCCACTTGAGTTACAGGGACAGGAGAGTTCTGCTGTGTATGGGCCATCCTTGCAGCTGCAGACAGAAAGCCCAAAGCTCACTGGGACTCACAGAAGCCCTCGCAGGTGCTGCTCCGCACTGTAACCTACTGTGGCGTGCATCTAGTTGTTCCCTTTCCATTACCGTGTGCTTCTATATCTAGAACTATTTGGTTCTTTTTTCAATCAAGAAGGTTGGAGGTCCTGATGTCAAAGATATTTTCTTTATTGCCTTTCATTTCTTTAGACACAGTAGGGACAGTTGTATTATAAGTCGGATACACTTTGCATCTGAAATATTTGCAATATTGTTTCTGTTCCTGTTAATGAGTTGTTGCTCCTGGTACCTTCTTTCCTTGTTAATTTTTAGGGTGCAATGTCCATTTTCCTTGCAAATTTCTTTGTGTAGGAAATTCTGTGAGATCTGGAATACAAATGTATTTGTCCACACACACACAAAATTATTGTTTGCTTCTGCAGGGGCTCAAGGGCATAACCAGACATTGGTCACTTTAAATCTGCTTGAGTTTCTTTCCACTTGGTCCTCAAGCGCTCAAAATTGGATTAGTCACGACTCTTGGTTCCCGGCATGTTCTCAAACCCAGCATCCCAAACAAAAAGGAAGACTCTGCCAATAGATTCTGTCCTCAGAGTAGATGTGAGGAGGCCCCAGTCCTGGTGGGCGCTGGGACTCAGGACGCAGATACCCGGGTTCCTGGGTTCAGTCTGTACCCCTTCCAGAACTAGGATAGGGGAGGAGAGGAGCCCCAGAAGGCTACACGCAGGTGAGGAGTGTCGGGATGTGGGGAGGGAGAGGACTCTAGACCCCAGATACAAACGCCCATAGCCCATCTCCTCTGCTCAAGTGCCCGGCTTTCTCTCCTTAAGGCTCTAGCCGCCGGAGCCAGGGACACTGGGTGGGAATCCCAGTGTAGAGCTTTTAAGGTGTCTGACAGTGAAGACTCGGCTCTTACTGTATATAGGAAGGACTTATCTCTTCTTCAGTGCCTCGAATGAATTCCTACTGACAAAAGTAGCTCATAAATAAAAATAATAATAAAAGCAGAAAACAAAAATAGCAAAATATCAAACAAAAATATTAGGGAATAGGGCTCTGACGACAGTGGTGAGAAAACTCCAAATAAATTTTAAATGTGGCAGTGGGTGGTGTCAGACAGCTTTAGATCTTTGTACAAATTAACTTCGAAGTCTGAGCGCGGTGGCTGACGCCTGTAATCCTAGCACTTTGGGAGGCCGAGGCGGGCTGATCACCTGAAGTAAGGAGTTGGAGACCAGCCTGGCCAACATGGCGAAACCCTGTCTCTACTAAAAAAAAAGTACAAAAATTAGCCAGACATGGTGGCACGTGCCTGTAGTCCCAGCTACCTGGGAGACTGAGGCAGGAGAATTGCTTGAACCCAGGAGGCGGAGGTTGCAGTGAGGTGAGATAGCACCACTGCACTCCAGCCGGGGCGACAGAGACTCTGTCTCAAAACAAACAAACAAACTAACTTCGAAGGACTCGGGCTGCGCTGACCTGTCAGAGCTGTCTGGATCTCTGATCTTCATCTAAAGTAGGAAAGGGTAGAAACCGATATTTTGGACCAAAAACCGGGCTCGTCCGGGATTTGAACCCGGGACCTCTCGCACCCTAAGCGAGAATCATACCCCTAGACCAACGAGCCACACGCCCCGTAGCCTCCGGCTTGTCTTTGTGGCCTTCGTGGAGTCCTCGTGGCCAGAGGTGGGGACCCAGCAGAGCAGAGCTAGGAGGAGACTCCGATTTCCTGAAGTCTGGAAGAGACAAGTTCAAGCGCGGGTGGACGCGGAGGGAGCCCTGAGCCCCCGCTTCTCCCTGCGCCGCACAAAATGGGGAGCATCCCCTGTGCCCCCACAATCCGGGGCCCCCCGGGCCCTCGCCCGCCTCCGCCTCTCAGCCCTGGGCTGGGGATCCGCGCGTCACGCCGCGTCGCGTAGTGAGGAGCTCCAGCTCCGGCGGGACATGGGAACCTCTCAAGAGCTGGCAGCGGCTGCGCGGAGGGTCCGCGAACCGCGACCACTGGACGCCCGCCTTGGAAACGCTGCAGCCCGGCGGCGTGGTGCAGATGGGTGGTCAGTAGAGGCCTCGCCAGTGCACCAGGAACCAGCCACCAGGCCCCCTACCTCGACGCGCCCCACGCTTCTCCCGCTCCGGTCCTCTCTTCTCCCCCAGGGAAGCCAAAACCCAGAAGGTGAGCTTCCCACGTGGAACCTCAATTCAAGAGGCTGACACTGAGCGTCGCTTCGCTCCACCAGACCCGCGGCGCCCGCCGGAGTCAGCGATGTACCCCCTTCCCTTTCACTGGGGGAACTGGCGGAACCTCCGGTCACCAGGACGTGGGGAAGCAGAGGCCGCTTGGGGCAGCAGAGGCCGCGTCCAGGTGTCGGTTCCGGGGCACCTTTTACTGTCACTCTGTCCTTCTCTGTGTCCAAATTTCACCCGGAGCCCGAGAATTCGGCAGGTCTGGACTGAAAACGTCTCCCCATCCCCTCCGGATCCAAGCCTCGAATTTCCTGGCTCAGTGGGAAGGCCTCGGGGTCTGGGCGTGGAGACGGGGCCCGAGACCCCCACCCCGCCAGGGCCCACTAAAGTGCTGCCAGCTGAGCCCCGGCCTTCGCCCCTCCTTCGTCTCTCCCTCATTCCCCTCCCTCTGACACCCCGCCACATACATTACTCCCCGCAATACCATGCAATTTTAAGCTAGGGTAGGGCTCACCTGAGACTGGAGCCGCCATACCGTCGAACCCTACGAAAAATTTATGCCCGTAAATAAACAAGCCCGGCGCATTCTTCCTTATTCTAAATAACTTCTTCCTGCTGCACGGGGTCGTCTCCTTTAACCACGGCTACCGCAGTTGGTAGTGCTGGATCCCATTTCAGGGTGATGGGATGCTGGATCCCATTTCAGGGTGATAGGACCGACCGCAAGGCGAACGATTCAGGCCCGTCCGTCTGCGTCCCGGGACCCCGGGAGGTCTCCACTGACGCCCTGCCAGCAGCAGGCTCCCTCCGCCTTCCTAGTCTCCTGTCCTTGCTGAAAATGCGAAATGGGAAAAAAGAGAAGGAAAAGGGGGCTCGTCCGGGATTTGAACCCGGGACCTCTCGCACCCAAAGCGAGAATCATACCCCTAGACCAACGAGCCGCCGCTTCCCCTCTGTTTTGTTGTTGTTGTTGTTGTTTTTTGACACGTCCTTCCGCCCCTGACGCAGAGCGAGACTCTCTCCATCGCCCCAATAGCTCAGTCCTTAGCGCGCGCACCTGCGAATCTGGGCTTTTGGGTTCGCGGCCACCCTCAGATTTGCGAGGCAGGCTTTACTGCTGCTGGATAAACCAACCAGGTTATCCGTTGAGGTTATGAGCTGGTGGTTTCAATGTCGTCCTGATATGAAATATAAGTGCATTTGCCTATCACTAAGGTAAAAGGATTTCCAGGCAGGATAGTGATGTCAGAAATCACAAAGGAAATGTACAGATTTTACCCAAGTTTTTAAAACGGCAAATGACAATCCAAAGAAAATACAATCTGAATGACAAATCAAGGGCTTATTACCGGGCTTCATAGTTTTGTTTTGTTTTGTTTTGTTTTGAGACACAGTTTCGCTCTTGTTGCCCAGGCTGGAGTGCAGTGGCACAATCTCGGCTCACTGCAACCTCCGCCTCCTGGGTTCAAGCAATTCTCCTGCCTCAGCCTCCCGAGTAGCTGGAACTACAGGCTTGAGTCACCACGCCCAGCTGATTTTTGTATTTTTAGTAGAGACGGGGGTCTCACCATGTTGGCCAGGCTGGTTTTGAACTCCTGACCTCAAGTGATCTACCCACCTCGGCCTCCCAAAGTGCTGGGATTACAGGTGTGAGTTTGAGACCAGCCTGGGCAACATAGTGAGACCTCGTTCGTACAAAAAAATAAAAATAAAAAAATTAGTCGACAAGACATGGCGGCTCACTACTGTAATCCCAGCACTTTGGGAGGCCGAGGTGGGCAGATAACCTGAGGTCAGGAGTTCCAGAGCAGCCTGGCCAATATGGTGAAACCCCATCTCTACAAAAATATGAAAATCAGCCAGACCTGGTGGCAAACAGCTGTAATCCCAGCTACTCAGGAGACTGAGGCAGGAGAATTGCTTGAACCTGAGAGGCGGAGGTTGCAGTGAGCCAAGATCATGCCACTGCATTCCAGCCTAGGCGACAGAGCAAAACTCCGTCTCAAAAAAAAAAAAAAAAAAAAAAAGTTAGTTGAGTGTGGTGGCAATCACCCATAGTCCCAGCTACTCAGGAGGCTGAAGTAGGAGGATCTCTTGAGCCCTGGAGGTGGAGGCTTGCAGTGAGCCATGTTCATGCCACTGTCCTCCAGCCTGGGTAACAAACCCTGTCTCAAAATTATAATAATAATAATAATTTGGATCTTGGATAGAGGCATACACAAAGGGAAGATGGTATGAAGGCCCAGGGAGAAGATGGCTGTCCCCAAGCCAAGGAAGGAGGTCTCAGCACCAACCAACCCTGCCCATACTTAGTCTCAGACTCCAGCCTCCAGAATAGTGAGAAAATAAATTTCTGTTATTTCATCCACTCAGCCTATGGTACTGTTATGGCGACCCTAGCAAACTAATACAGTATTATTCAATAATACTAAATATTATTCTGTCATAATTAGGAATGAATTATTGACATATGCAACAAGGATGAACCTTGAATACATTATGTTAAGTGAGAGAAGCCAGACATGAAAGACTGCTATTGTATAATTCCATTTATATCAAATGTAGAGAACAGGCAAATGCGTGGAGACAGAAAGCATACTAGTGGTTGCCAGAAGATTGGAGGAGGGAGGAACAGGGAGGACTGCTAATGGGTACTGCATCTGTTTTGGGCTGATGAAAACATTCTAGAACTAGATAGTAGTGACTGTTGCACAATCACATGAATATATAAAAACCACTCAATTACACACTTTAGTGAATTTTATGGTATGTGTAGTATATCTCAATTATCAATATACTGAGTCAAAGCATATGCCAAAATTGGAGAATTCAGACATATAGCTATTCCCCACTGGCTTCTGTGGTAAGGCTATGAGATAAACTAGGCCTAGAATGGAATTGATGCAGCGGGCAGTTCAGAAAGTGGGGAAAGAAACTTTGCTAGTGAGGTGAGTGGTTTTTCATGTTTATTGGCCATCTGTGTGTGTGTGTGTATGTGTGTGTGTGTTTGCTTTCCTTTTTCTGTGAATTACCTGTTGGTGTGCAAAGACAGCTGTTTACGTGGTTCTCTAGCCAGACTTTCCAGGGCACTTCCTGGCTGTGTGAACTTGAACTAATTCCTTAACCTTTCCAGGGCTCCAGTTGTGTCATCTGTAGACATGAAGATAATGGTGTACTCCTCGTGCATCTGCTGAAAACAACATGAGGCTGGGTGCAATGGCTCACGCCTGTAATCCCAGCACTTTGGGAGGCTGAGGCAGGCGGATCACCTGAGGTCAGGAGTTTGACACCAGCCTGACCAAAACAGAGAAACCCCGTCTCTACTAAAAATACAACAATTAGCCTGGCATGGTGGCACACGCCTGTAATCCCAACTACTTGGGAGGCTGAGGCAGGAGAATCTCTTGAACCCAGGAGGCAGAGGTTGCGGTGAGCCAAGATCACCCCATTGCACTCCAGCCCGGGGAAAAAGAGCAAAACTCCGTCTCAAAAAAAGAAAGAAAGAAAACAGCATGAGTTAGTTCATGGAAACCAGCAGAGTCTAGTCCCTATTCAGTAACTGACGAGAATGAGCAGTTGGACTCTATTCTGTTTCCTTTTTTTTTTTCTTTCTTTCTTTTTTTTTAGACAGGGTCTCACCCTGTCAGGCTGAAGGGCAGTGGCGCAGTCTGGGCTCACTCTAAACTCCATCTCCCGGGTTCAAGCGATTCTCGTGCCTCAGCTTCCTGAGTAGCTGGGACTACAGGCACGCGCCACCATACCAGGCTGATTTTTGTATTTTTAGTAGAGACAGCGGTCTGGCATGTTGGCCAGGCTGGTTTCGCATTCCTGGCTTCAAGTGATCACCCGCCTTGGCCTCCCAAAGTGCTGGGAATACCGGCGGGAGGTACCGCGCCCAGCCTCCTTCACTTTTCTGTGACTTCCAGAGCAGACAATACATAAGACACCGGGAGAGATGCCTGCAGGTGAGTAGACAGGGTTCTCCTTGGCTTCCTTTGAGTCTCAAGGAAGTCACTGAAGCAGCGGGCCCAGCTGCCTTTTACGCCTCACGCCAGCCTCCAGACACACCCATTGCACCATGTACTGCTACTTGGCAAACTTTGTCACGGAAATCCAATGTTTCCAGTTTCTGGGTCCCGAAACTCTTCCCATGCAAGCTCTAGGACAATCTCTTTTTCTCCAGTCTCCACTTCAAGGCTCAGTTGTTTTCCACCTATGGCCCTTAGGGCCAGCCCGAGGCTACACTTGCCAGCCAGAGAGGCTGCGGCAAGCAGCGTTTATGCTCCATAGTCCCAGGTGAGGAAGACGAAGCCTTTTTTGTCATAGATCTTCATTTCTTTTCTTAAATGTCTTTTAAAAATATGCCTATGTAATTTTTTAAAGGATTCGAAATCTATGTAGCCCAGTAATAAGCCCTTAGTTTGTAACTTCGATTGTATTTTCTTTGGATTATCATTTGCCGTTTTAAAACCTTGGATAAAATCTGTGTATTTCCTTTATGATTTCTGACATCTCTATCCTGCCTGGAAATCCTTTTACCTTAGTAATAGGCAAATGCACCTATATATCATACCAGCACGACATTGAAACCACCAGCTCATAACCTCAGCGGGTAACCTTGTTGGTTTACCCAGCAGGAGTAAAGCCTGCCTCGGAAATCTGAGGGTGGCCGCGAACCCACAAGTCAAGATTCGCAGGTGCGCGCGCTAAGGACTGAGCTATTGGGGCGATGGAGAGAGTCTCGCTCTGCGTCAGGGACGGAAGGACGTGTCCCCCACCAGAAAAAGGAAAAAAAAAAAAAAAAAAAGAAAAAAGAAAAAAGGAAGCGGCGGCTCGTTGGTCTAGGGGTATGATTCTCGCTTTGGGTGCGAGAGGTCCCGGGTTCAAATCCCGGACGAGCCCCCTTTTCCTTCTCTTTTTTCCCATTTCGCATTTTCAGCAAGGACAGGAGACTAGGAAGGCGGAGGGAGGCTGCTATTGGCAGGGCCTCAGTGGAGACCTCCCGGGGTCCCGGGACGCAGACGGACGGGCCTGAATCGCTCGCCTTGGTGAAATGGGATCCAGCGCTGCCAACTGCGGCAACTGCGGTTAAAGGAGACGACCCCGTGCAGCAGGAGGAGGTTATTTAGAATAAGGAAGAATGCGCCGGGCTCATTGGTCGCTACAGGGGCATAAATTTTTTCTAGGATTCCAGAGTATGGCTGCTCCAGTCCCAGGTGAGCCCTCCTCCGCTTAAAATTCCAGTTTATTCGGAGAAGGGGAGAATACCGGAAGCGGGGGAGAAGGGAGGGGAGTGAGTGAGAGGAGGGAGGCGGGGAAGACCGGGCATCCGCGGGCAGCACTTCAGTCGGCCCTGGCGGGGTGGGGGTCTCGGCCCTTGTCCCCACCCCCAGACCCCGGGGCCTTCCCACTGAGAGCGAGGGAATTCGCGGCTTTGATCTGGAGGGGACAGGGAGCCCCTTTTAGCCCAGATCTGCTGGATTCTCGGGAGTCAGGTGAAATCTGGATACAGGGAAGGGCAGAGTGACAGTAAAGGGTGCCCCGGAACCGATGCCCGACGCCTGCTGCCCCACGGCCTTCATTCTTGCTCCTCCTCACGTCCTGGGGACTGGAGGTCCCGCCAGCTCCCCCCAGTGAAGGGCAAGGGGGCGCATCGCAGAATCGCCCCTGGTGCGCAGCGTAGTTGGTGGCCTAAGCCGTCTTCTCCGAGAGCTCAGCCATCCTGGGCACTTGAGGCCAGGCAGGCGCTGCGGGGCTGGTTCAGTCGATGGAGAAAAGAGACTCTCAGCGTCAGCCTTTAGGGTTCGAGGCCCACGTGGGAAACTCGCTTTCTGGGTTTTGGCTTCCCTGGGGAGAAGGGAGGACCGGAGCCGGAGAAGCGTGAGGTGCGGCGAGGTAGGGTGCCTGGTAGCTGGTGTCTCGTGCACTCCGTCAGGCCTTTATTGAACACCCATTGGTGCCACGCTGAGGGACTGCAGCGTTTCCAAGGCGAGCTTGCAGTGATCGAGGCTCGCAGACCCTCAGCGCAGCCGCTGCCTGCTATTGGGAGGTTCCCATGTCCTGCGGAAGCTGGAGCTCCTCACTGCGCGCCTCGGAGACGCCGAATCCCCAACTCAAGGCCGAGTGGCGGTGGCGGGCGAGGACCCAGGGCCCTTCTGGATTGTGGTAGCGCCAGGGCTGCTCCCCATTTTGTGCGTCGCGGAGGAGGGGCCGGGGCTCTGGGCTTCCGCCACACCCATCCTCACTTGAAATTGCCCCTTCCAGGCGGGTCTGAAATAAGATTCTACTCACTGGGTCCTGCTGGGTCCGCCCCAGCCGCCCCCAGGATGCTAGGACGCCCACAAAGATAACCTTAATGCGTAAATCGTGTGGCTCGTTGGTCTAGGGGTATGATTCTCGCTTAGGGTGCGAGAGGTCCCGGGTTCAAATCCCGGACGAGCCCGGCTTTTGGTGCAGGGTAAAAGTCGTTTCCTGCTCTTTTTTAGATTCGGCTCGACTTACAGACCTCAGCGCAGGACGTGGACGCCCTGCAAAGGTAATTTGTACAAAGGTCTCAAGCTATGTTGACGCCGCCTACTATCCCACTACCTCTTCTTAAAATTCATCTAGAGTCCTGTCACCAGTGTTGCCAGAGCCCTTTTGACAAGCTATTTTTTTTGTCGTTTGTTTGGTTTTTGGTGGTTTTTGTTTTGTTTTGTTTTGTTTTTTGTTACTTCTGGCAGTGCAAACTCGAGGCACCGAAGAAGAGACAAGTCCCTATATACAATAAGAGCCGAATCTTCACAGTCAGACGCCTTAAAAGGTCCAGCCTGGGACTCCCACCCACTATCCCCGGTTCTAGCAGTCGCAGTCTTAATGAGAGAGTGAGCCAGGCACTCGAGCAGTGGAGATAGGCTATGGGTGTTTGCGTCTGGGGTCCAGAGACCTCTCCCTCCCCACATCCCGTCACTCCTCACCTGCGTGTAGCCTCTTGGGGCTCCTCTGCTCCCCTGTCCTGGTTTTGGAAGGAGTACGGACTGAACCCTGGAACCCGGGTACCCCGTCCTGAGTCCCAGCGCCCACCAGGACTGGGGCCTCCTCTGGTCTACTCTGAGGACAGATTCTATTGGCAGGGACTTCATTTTTGTTTGGGACGCTGGGTTTGAGAACGTGCTATGAATCAAGAATCAAAGAAATTTACAAGGAAAATGGACCCAGCACAAGGAGGCAGGGAGGCAGGGCTCACGCCTGCAATCCCAGCACTTTGGGAGGCTGAGGCAGGTTAATCACCTGATGTCAGGAGATTGAGACCATCCTGGCCAACATGGTAAAACCCTGTCTCTACTGAAAATACAAAAATTAGTCGGTCATGGTGGCGGGCGCCTGTAATCCCAGGTACTAGGAAGGATGAGGCAGGAGAATCGCTTGAACCCCGGAGATGGGGGTTGCAGTGAGCTGAAATGGCGCCAGTGCACTCCAGCCTGGGTGACAAGGTAAGACTCTATCTAAAAAAAAAAAAAAAAAAAGACCGCAAAACAAGGTATCATGAACAACAAGTCATCAACAGTAGGCAACAGAAACAAAATTGCAAACATTTTGGATGCAGACTATTGGGAAGTCTGTAATACAATTATCCTTAGGAAAGGCAATAAAGAAAATATCTTTGACAACGGGACCTATGTAAAATGCTCTCCTTTGAACCTTCTAGATTGAAAAAACAACCAAATAGTTCTAGATATAAAAGCACACAGTAATGGAAACGGAACAGCTACATGCACGTCACAGTAGGTTACAGTGCGGAGCGACACCTGCGAGGACTTCTGTGAGCTCCCAGTGAGCTTCAGACATTCTGTCTGCAGCTCCAAAGATGGGTTAATTTGCCCGATACACAGCAGAACTCTCCTGTTCCTGTAATTCGAGTGGCCTCCAAAAAGAGGTTGTCGTTGACTCTTTTAGGTGCGTGCAGTGTGGGTATGTTTTTTCTCTTTCTGAAAGGAGGACATTTCAGCGGACGGCAGAGAATACAGATTTATGCCAGCGCCCTGCGGAAGGAGCCTCTGGCGGGTCATCTCCATTTATGGGAGATCGCAGAGCGGTGAGCAAAGTCTTGCACCAGCGGGGATGTCGGGGTGGAACTGAACCTGTTGTAGGGGACCCCCAGTGTGCCCTGGTTTCTGGGGCTGATTCATTACGTCACTTAGTTTCTACTATTCTCATGCCACCCCGCCAATTACTAGACATAAAACGTTCCCAGGGAAGCCCGGCTAGCTCAGTCGGTAGAGCATGGGACTCTTAATCTCAGGGTCGTGGGTTCGAGCCCCACGTTGGGCGACTTGTTTTCTTCCTTGCTACCTTGGAGTTCTGGAAACAGCCAGCATTTAATGAACACTACCAGGTGCCACATCGCGCTCTGTGATGGTATCCCCTCAATGATTGAATTTTGGTCTCCGCGCGCTCCCAGCAGCAAGGATTGTCAGTGAAATGACCAAAGGCAGCACCGGGACGGGCTGGTTGCCAGCCAGGGGCAGAGGGGCGGGGGCGGGTGAGAACTGAGGGGCCACAGGATGGGTGTGAGGGGTGCAGGGGCCTCTCCCCACTTTGTGCGGTGCGGAGAGGGGCCGGGGCGCTGGCCCACCCACTGAGTCTGCAATCCCAGTCTCCTGTCACTTTGCTTTCGCAGGCTTGAGCTTTATCGCTCCAAGTACTCCACGGCTGCCACAAAGAAAAGTAAAGGGCCTGCTGCTGTGGCTCGTTGGTCTAGGGGTATGATTCTCGCTTAGGATGCGAGAGGTCCCGGGTTCAAATCCCGGACGAGCCCCTCTTCTTATTTTTGAGACAGAGTCTCGCTCGGTCGCCCAGGCTGGAGTGCAGTGGCGCTATCTCAACTCGGTTGAAGCTCCTTCTCCTGGGTTCACGCCATTCTCCTGCCTCAGCCTCCTGAGTAGCTGGGACTACAGGTGCCCGCCACCACGCCCGATTAATTTTTTGTATTTTTAGTAGAGATGGGGTTTCACCGTGTTAGCCAGGATGGTCTTGATCTGACCTCGTGATCCGCCCGCCTCGGCCTCCCAAAGTGCGGGGATGACAGGCGTGAGCCACTGCGCCCGGCCAACAGCCATGCA
The DNA here is from genome assembly GCF_000001405.40 of Homo sapiens. Lineage (NCBI taxonomy): Eukaryota > Metazoa > Chordata > Mammalia > Primates > Hominidae > Homo > Homo sapiens. Next base: position 3,192,365 of record NC_000016.10, read on the forward strand.
CTTTCAAGGGCTCAAGTCCAGGGTTTACTCCAGTGAGACTCAACCCCTCGGTCCTGGATTTCTCTGCTTCAATTTATAAAATATAAAGTTACTGGGGGAATTTAGAATATGGATTGTATATTAGATCGCCTTGTCGCATGAGTGTCTGAGGTCCCGGAAGCCTCATTGGTGGGATGAGTATCTTGAGCAGCTCCAACACTGCTGAATTTTTACCACTAGGTAAATGACAGTCACAGCGGATTCCAGGGGTTGTGTCCACGATCCCGGGGGGCGTCGGCTTTGAGCAGCCTCAAGGGGAGGGTTTTGTCTGGCTCCTTGCTTCCTCTCGCGCCGAGCCTGGAAAAGCGAGGTGCAGGGTAGAATCTCCCGGGCCGCCTCCGTGTCCCGGACGTTGGCCCAGCTCTGAGTCGCGGCGCTCGGCCCTGGGGTGCGGCCCGGGAGGCTGCTAAGAGGGCGCTGACTTGGGCTTGCAGTTGAGCTTTTGGCGGTCCGGTGGGGTGTCTGACTCGCGCCGTCTGCAATCTTCCTCCCGGGTACTGTGCCCCGCGGGATTAAAAAAAAAGAGTTTTTAAAAATTTTTTATCTTTTTTGAAATGGCGTCTTCCTCTGTCGCCCAGGCTGGAATGCAGTGGAGCGATCTCGGCTCACTGCAGCCTCCGCCTCCCAGGTTCAAGCGATTTTCCTGTCTCAGCCTTCCGAGTAGTTGGAGGAGCCACCACACCCGGCTAATTTTTGTATTTTTAGTAGAGACGGGGTTTCGCCATGTTGGCCAGGCTGGCCTCGAACTCCTGACCTCAAGTGATCCACCGCCTTGGCCTCCCAAAGTGCTGAGATTACTGGCGCGAGCCTCCACGCCCGGCCCCTGCAGGATCTTTTGTCATGCCCTGGACCCCAGGAGGACCTGACCTTTATTAAACACAGTGGGGCTGTCAAGGGCCTCGCGTCAAGGCTCAGCGCTTCACCGACGCACCCAGCCCGAGACCCTCCGTTGCTCTCTGACTCCGAAGGAAAATCTAGTTCCTTCGGGCGCCTGGGACTCCTTTCTGGAGGATCAGACGAGTCGGGCTCCGCGAAGCCCATGCGGGCTGGAGGATCGGAAACCACGCGGGAGAGGATAGCGCCGGTGGCGCGAGGACGCAGACTGCAGAGCTCTACGGGGAATGGGAGTTTTCTCTCGTTCACTATGGCGTCCCCGGCGACCCGAATGGAGGCTGCTGCGTTGCAAGAACTGGGCTAAGACTATTTTTTTTGAGACAGGATCTCACTCCCGTCGCCCAGGCTGGAGTGCAGTGGCGCCATCTCGGCTCCCTGCAGCCTCCACTTCCTAGGCTCAAGCGATCCTCCAGCCTCAGCCTCCCAAGTAGATGGGACTACAGGCGAGCGCAACCACAACCGGCTAATTTTAAAATTTTTGTAGAGACGGGGTCTCGCTATGTTGCTCAAGCTGGCATACTTCCTTGAATAAATGCCCAAACCAATTCTAGGGTCATTTTCTAGCCACCCGCGATAAGTTATTCTGTCTTTTAATATTCTCAGTAGGGCACGTGGTAACTGCCCCAGTGGCCTGATGGATAAGGTACTGGCCTCCTAAGCCAGGGATTGTGGGTTCGAGTTCCACCTGGGGTAAGACAACACCGACCGTAGGTGACTTGGGGTAAGGTATCACGCCTTTTAAAAAGGACAAAGCATGGAGACACATAAGTAGAAAAACTTTGCAAGAATAAGAAGAAACGGCATGAATTTGGAAGAAAAACAGGGCATTAAACAAGACACACAATCTCCTCTCTCTCTAGGATGAGAAGAGTGAAGATTTTACTTACCTCTCTCCACATCAAAGGGACAAGAAAAAGCAATGTACAGCTTTTGTATATATCAAAGTGGGAAAATGTTGGAGGCTGGTTTTCTGTTTTGGTTTGTTTGTTTGGTTTGGTTTGTCTTTCTGTTTTAGAAAGCACCCCTTGTATACACACCTCTTTGGCCCACACGTTCCATTTCATAGAAATAAGAGTACCATGTATGTACAAGGATGTTTTATTGCAGTAATTTTGTTCAAAAACGGGAAGGGAGATGACCATGAATAGGGGATGAATTGAATACAGTTTGTTTCATTAATGTTGCTCAACCTCAGAAAAGAACGTTCAATCTATCCTGGTTGACTTGGATATCCCCCACGGGAGAGATGTATGACACTTTACAAAACAAGCAGCGACTCTGAGGCCCCAGATGTTTGTGTATGATCAGTGCCAAAGGCTCTTGGCACTCGGGCCAGAGGAGAGGAGGGGAGAAAAAAGATTCTAGTAAAATGGAAAAATATGCAGATCAAAAGTAAACAGGAACAGGAGAAAACAGAGGTCTCTTTTGGAATTTAAGGGGGGCACTTGCGGAATTGGAAGTGAGGTGGGCAGATGATCATGTGGACTTAATGTGGTTTATGATCGTGAGTGATTTAGGTCTCGCTATGTTGTTCAGGCTGGTCTGGAACTCCTGTGCTCAAGTTATCTTCCTGCCTCGGCCTCCCAAAATGCTGGGATTACAGGCGTGAGCCACCGCCCTTCTTCTGTGACTTCTGATAGTGACTCCTGGGCATGAAAGACCTCGAGGGTGGAGTCTTGGCATCGGTCCAGGATTTGGGGTCCAGCAAGTGCTGTCCAGATTGGCGTGTCACTCAGTGAGCACTCTGGTGGCGGAAGGCCCCGTGTCCCCCGGAGCACAATGCCAGCCGTGCTCCGGGAAGCGCATCCCGGCCCAGGAGGGTGCTTCTTGCTCAGAGCCCGGGTCCTGGACCCAATCTCAGACCCTGCGCCTCCGGCGCTCTCCCCCCAACCGTTCCTTCTCTTCCTGCCGCTACGGAAACAGGAGAGAATCCTCCCTAAAAAGACAGGTAACTCATTGTGCTAATTGCGTTTACTATTAAAAAAAGAAAAGAAAAGAAAACAGAAAAAAAGGCAAAAAACAAAACAACAAACAAACCAAAACAGCTACCGCGACTTGTGTGCGGGTTAAACGACGCACTAGCTTCAAATGCGGGCGTCCATCCCAGTGAGAAAGGAAACAGGGCCCGGCGCGGTGGCTCAGAGAGGCAAGGCCGGGAGATTACCTGAGGTCAGGAGTTCGAGACCAGCCTGGCTAACATGGTGAAACCCTGTCTCTACTAAAAATACAAAAATATTAACCGGGCGTGGTGGGGGTGGCCTGTAATCCCAGCTACTCGGGAGGCTGAGGCAAGAGAATCGCTGGAGCCCGGGAGTTGGAGGTTGCAGTGAGCAGAGATCACACCATTGTATTACAAGCCCGGGGGACAGAGTGGAACTCAAAAAAAAAAAAAAAAAAGAAGTGAAGACCAGCAACTACCTCTGATACAGAATCCACCCTCTTTCTTTTTCTGTTTTGAAAGTCCATTTTGTTAACTGCTATATCCCCAGTGCCTGGCACACAGAGGTGCTCAATACATATTTGAGAGCATGAATTACTTTATTGGGCAATGTGGCCCCCAGTACATCTGGGCACACCTTGGGACTGAGAACATAGGGTGGGATGTACCCTCCCACCTGGGTGCGCAGCCCCACCAGGTGGGTTTGGTCACTGAGCCCCTGCCTGGGGCTTCCAGGACCCCAGAGTCTCTGTGCCACCCGCCAGCAGGACGCGTGGGTCACGTCTCTCCTGGTGGACTTTCTCTTCTCCTGGGAAGGGCAGGACCCAGCGAGCAGTTGGTGGCACTGCCTGATTCATCCTCACGTTCATGTCAAGTGGTGAGCACACACTCCATTATCAGAAAACCTTGCAGTTATGCCCAGCTAGCTCAGCCGGTAGAGCACAAGACTCTTAATCTCAGGGTCGTGGGTTTGAGCCCTGTGTTGAGCACATGTTTCCTTTTCCTTTGCAGCCCTAGGCTGCAGAGAAGGTTGAGACATGGAGTACTCTCAGGTCTTTGCCCAGTGAAAGTTTTTGGATGAAGGTTAGTAACGTTTAGCAAGACTTAGGAGATGCTAATCGGGGCCATTAAAGTTTTAAAGTAAAAATATTATTATTATTATTTTGAGATGGGGTCTCCCTCTGTTGCCCAGGCTGGAGGGCAGTGGTACGATTACAGCTCACTGCATCCTTGACCTCCCAGGCTGAGGATATCTTCCCACCTCAGCCTCCTAAGTAGCTGGCACCACAGGCACGCACTACGACACCCAGCTAATTTTTAAAATTATTTTTGTAGAGATGGGATCTCACTATTGTTGCCCAGGCTGGTCTTGAACTCCTGGGCTCAAGAGATCCCCCTGCGTTGGCCTCCCAAAGTGCTGGGATTACAGATGTAAGCCACCACGACTGGCGGTGAAATTAATCTTTTTTTTTTTTTTTTTTTGAAATGGAGTTTCGCTGTTGTTGCCCAGGCTGGAGTGCAATGGCGTCCTGCAACCTCCGCATCCTGGGTTCAAGCAAGTCTCCAGCCTCACCTCAGCCTCCCAAGTAGCTGGGATTACTGGCGCCACCACCATGCCCAGCTATTTTGTTGTTGTTGTTGTTTTGTTTTGTTTCTTTGAGACAGAGTCTCACTCTGTTGACCAGGCTGGAGTGCAGTGGTGCAATCTCAGCTTCCTGCAACCTCCGCCTGCCGGCTTCAAGTGATTCTCCTGCCTCAGTCCCCCAAGTAGCTGGGATTACAGGAGTGCGCCACTGCACCTAATTTTTGTATTTTTTTCAGTAGAGACAGAGTTTCACCATGTTGGCCAGGCTAGTCTCGAACTCCTGACCTCAGGTGATCCGCTCTCCTCAGCCTCCCACAGTGCTGAGATTACAGGCATGAGCCATCACACCTGGCATTTTTTTTTTTTTTTGTATTTTTAGTAGAGACGGGGTTTCACCATGTTGGCCAGGCTGGTCTGAAACTCTTGACCTCAGGTGGTCCACCTGCCTCGGCCTCCCAAAGTGCTGGGATTACAGGTGTGAGCCACTGTGCCCAGCCCAAAACTAATCTTAATAATACATTTTATTTGAACAAATGTTTTATGTCACAAGTAATCAATATATACATTATCAATGAGATAGGTTATGTCGTTGTTGGTTTTTTTTTCTCTCATTCTAAACCTTCAAACTCTGGCATGCTTTCCTCTAAGGCACATCTCAACTTGCACAGGCCACATGTCAAGGGCTCCAGAGCCACCTGCTGCTGGGGGCCAGTTCCTCAGACAGCGCAGTCCTACATCTGACTACAAGCTTAAATGTGGCCACATGTCAAGGGCTCCAGAGCCACCTGCTGCTGGGGGCCAGTTCCTCAGACAGCGCAGTCCTACATCTGACTACAAGCTTAAATGGGCTGGGGAGAGAGGGAGAGGGAGAGGGAGAGGGAGAAGGAGAGGGAGAGGGAGAAGGAGAGGGAGAGGGAGAAGGAGAGGGAGAGGGAGAAGGAGAAAGAGAGGGAGAAGGAGGGAGAGGGAGAAGGAGAGGGAGAGGGAGAAGGAGAGGGAGAAGGAGAGGGAGAGGGAGAAGGAGAGGGAGAAGGAGAGGGAGAGGGAGAAGGAGAGGGAGAGGGAGAAGGAGAGGGAGAGGGAGAAGGAGAAAGAGAGGGAGAAGGAGGGAGAGGGAGAAGGAGAGGGAGAGGGAGAAGGAGAGGGAGAAGGAGAGGGAGAGGGAGAAGGAGAGGGAGAAGGAGAGGGAGAGGGAGAAGGAGAGGGAGAAGGAGAGGGAGAGGGAGAAGGAGAGGGAGAGGGAGAAGGAGAGGGAGAGGGAGAAGGAGAGGGAGAGGGAGAAGGAGAGGGAGAAGGAGAGGGAGAGGGAGAAGGAGGGAGAGAGAGGGAGAGAGAGGGAGAGAGAGAGACAGAGAGAGAGATTATAAGGAATTGGCTCACGCAGATGGAGGCTAACAGGTCCCCAAGTATGCAGGGTGAGTTGGCAAACTGGAGACCCAGCAGAGCTGATGGTGTGGTTCTAATCCGGAGGCTAGCAGGCAGGAGGCCCAGGAAGAGCGGGTGTTTTCATGGGATTCTGAAGGCACAAAATAGCTGGTGTGCCATCTGGCTGAGGCAAGTAGGCTGACATGTTTCCCCTGTTGGTGGTGGGGATGACACATGCAGAGAGAGGACAGGCTTAACCCCTTAAGCAGGGGAAATGCCTGATGAACATGGGTGTTTTAGGGGAATCAACACAGTTCTGTACAGATATGCAAGCGGGGACAGGGAACAGGTAGCTCTCCTGGGCCTGGTCTATGTTGGACCTGATGGTGGCAGCTGGCAGGAGATGAAACAAAACAACAGTGAGACTTTGTACTTCAGGTGAAAGGGTAGTGGCGAGGTCCTGCCTGGTAGAAACCATGAGGTCTTCTGACCCTTTTTGTTTACCCTTAAGAAATCACAGCGGTGGACGCGGTGGCTCACGCCTGGAATCCCAGCATTTTGAGAGGCGAGGCAGGAGGATCACTTAAGCCCAAGCGTTCAAGATCAGCTTGAGCAATATGGCAAAACCCCGGCTCTACAAAAAATACAAAAATTAGCTGGGCTTGGAGGCTGTGATGGGAGGATCGCTTGAGCCCAGGAGCTTGAGGCTGCAGTGAGCTGTGTTCACTCCTCGGCACTCCAGCTTAGGTGACAGAGCAAGATCTTGTCACAAAAAACGAAAACAAAAACAAAATCAAAACCCATTAAAGAAGGTGAGGATGGTGGCTCACGCCTATAATCCCAGCACTTTGAGAGGCCAGGGCAGGAGGATCACTTGAGCTCAGGTGTTCCAGACCAGCCTGGGCCAGAAGGCAAGATCCTGTCTCTACAAAAAAAAAAAAAAAAAAAAAAAAAAAAAAAAAAAAAATTACCTGAACATAGTGGCATGTGTCTGTAGTCCCAGCTCCTCAGGAGGCTGAGACAGGAGAATCACCTGAGCCTGGAAGGTTGAGACTTCAGTGAGCTGTGTTCATACCACTGCATTCCAGCCTAGGCAACAGAGGGAGACCCTACCTGAAATAATAATAATTATTATGATGATGAAAATAAAAATATATAATAAAAGAGATTAAATAGCTGGGCACAGTGTCTCATGCCTGTAATCCCAGTATTTCAGGAGGCTGAGGTAAGAGGATTGCTTGAGCCCAGGAGTTCAAGACCAGTCGAGACCAGCCTGGGCAACATAATGAGACATCATCTTTACAAAAAATTTAAAAATTAGCCAGGTGTGTTGATGGTCTCACTATGTTGCCCAGGCTGGTCTCAAACTCCTGAGCTTAAGCGGGCCTCCCACCTTGGCCTCCCAAAGTGCTAGTGTTGACCATTGATATGATACCTTGGTTTATGTATTCTTGGTTTAAAAGAATTTAAACAAGAGACACACAGCAAAACAAATGCAGCATAGAGTAACTTCTTGCAAAAGAAAAAGGATATTTTGAAAGTTATGGCTGGTTGCAGTGGCTCACACTTGTAATCTCTCAGCACTTTGAGAGGCCAAGGCGGGCGGATCGCCTGAGGTCAGGAGTTTGAGACCAGCCTGACCAACATGGAGAAACCCCGTCTCTACTAAAAATACAAAATTAGCTGGGCATTGTGGTGCATGCCTGGCAATCCCAGCTACTCGGGAGGCTGAGGCAGGAGAATCGCTTGAACCCAGGAGGCGGAGGTTGTGGTGAACCGAGATCATGCCACTGCACTGCACCCCAGGCAACAAGAACAAAACTCCGTCTCAAAAAAAAAAAAGAAGAAGAACAAAGTTAGGTGCAGAATAGACAGTACACCCTGAGAGAGAGGGAACTGAGGGCAGGCCGCTTGTAAGAATGAGACAGCAAAGATGCACGAGGGAGACTCCCTTTATGGGAGCCTTAAATGGTTATTCATAAGGAGATGAGAGAGGTGTTACTAGTAAGCCTGTTCTGGGTGGTCTTCTTCTCAGTGCACAAGTGCTGTAGCTGTGAATGCTTGTTCATAGGTTGCACGTCTCGTTAGCATCTTAAATCTCCACCCAGGGATATGTTTTTTACTATTAAAATGAGGAAAAAGGCTGGGCATGGTGGCGCATGCCTGTAATCCCACTTTCGGAGGCCGAGAGGGGCGGATCACTTGAGCTCAGGAATTCGAGACCAGCCTGGCCAATATGGTGAAACTCTGTCTCTACTAAAAATACAAAAATTAGCCGGACATGGCAGTGCATGCCTGTAATCCCAACTACTCGGGAGGCTGAGGCAGGAGAATGGCGTGGACCCGGGAGGCAGTGAGCCAAGATTGCGCCACTGCGCTCTAGCCTGGGCGACAGAGCAAGACGTCATCTCAAAACAAACAAACAAACAAAAAACGAATAAACAAACAAAGAACCAGGAAAAGGTCAATTTGAAGGCAGGTAAGATCAGAATGCACATGCTCTACAGAAGGGAAAGTACCTACTGAAGATAGCTTTGCTTTAATGACCTCAATTACAAGGTGAATGCTGAGGCTTACTGTGTGGACTGTGTGGTCACCACAGTTGCTGTGTCCCAAGAACATGGTCACATTCTTGACTACCTATCCTGCCTCACTAGGATTACAGGTGTGACCCACCATGCCTGACCAATGGCATTAATTACATTGACAATGTATGCAATAATCACCATTATCTGTTTCCAAAACGTTTTCGTTTCAAACAAATTCTGTAACCATTAAGCAATAACTCCCCACATCCCCTTCCCCAGCTGTTAATAACCTTTAATCTACTTCCTGTCTCTATGGATTTGCCTACTCTAGACATTTCATCTAAGTAGAATAATACATTATGTGTTCTTTTGTATCTGGCTTCTTTCACTTAGCATAATGTCTCAGGGTTCATCCACATTGTAGTGTGTGTCAGTGCTTCATTCCTTTTTTATGGATGAATGATATTCCATCATAAGGATCTACCACATTTTGTTTATCTATTCATCTGTTGATGGATACTTGTGTTATTTTCACATTTTGGCCATTGTGACTAATGTACAATAATTGTTGTACAAATATCTGTTTGAGTCCCTGTTTTCAATTCTTTTGGGTACAAACCTAGGAATGGAATTGCTGGATTGTATGGTAATTGTATGTTTAGCTCCTGGGGGAACAACCCAACTGTTTTCCCCAGCAGCTGCATCATTTTACCTTCTCACCAGCAATGTAGAGCTCTAGTTTCTCTACATCCTTGCCAACACTTGTCATTTTTGTCTGCTTGTTTAATTATTGCCAAATACGTGGAGGAAAAGGGGAATTCCTATCCTCCTCCATTTAGTCCTGGTGACAATGTCCATCACTGGATTCCCGCATGGAATGGATTGAGCTGATGATCCAGAATGATGAGAGTACTCTGTTCTTCCATGCAGAATGGTTTGTTCAGGTTTGGACACATGACCCACGAAGGGATGATCACAACCTTACCTGGAGTTGAGGTAGGAAGCAGGGCTCGGACACTGGACCAAATTGAGGATTAGCTAAAAGAGATGGGGCGGAAGCAGCTTTCCATAAGACATACCCACCAGTGACACCCAGGCGTCACTGCCCCTTTCCATGGCAATGACTCAGTGACCCAAACGTTACTACCCCTTCCCTAGAAATTTCTGCATAAACTGCACCTTATTCTACATGTACTTAAAAATGGGTATAAATATGGCTGCAAAACTCCCTAGAGCTGTTACTCTCAGCACACTGCCTATGGGGGAGCCCTCCTCTGCAGGAGCAGTCAGGCAGCTGTAACACTGCCTGCTGCTTTAGTAAAGCTGTTTTCTTCTACCACTGGCTCGCCCTTGTATTCTTTCCTGGGCAAAGCCAAGAACCCTTGCAGACTAGGCCTCACTTTGGGGCTCGCTTGTCCTGCATCAGTACAATGTTATTAATAAATAAACATTGGTAGAGGGAAGTTTCATGTGCCCTGTGGCTGCTAGTCTGGAAGGATGTGAATTTGGAGCCACTGTTGGACATCTTGCTGCCACATGAGGAGAGGTAATCTGCAGAATGAAGCTGAGCAGAAGCCAATGCAGTAGTGAGATAGAGAAATACAGGGTCTTGATGTTATCATTCAGCTCCCTGAATTTGGTCTGGCCTGAAACACAAAGGCTTTGCAAGAAGACACCTTGGATTTTGTAATGACATTAACCTGTCATTTCTCCCTAGGCTGATATGAGTTGGTTTTCTATCGCTTGCAAATAATGTCTTTGCTAATTCAGTGTCCATTCTCCTCCTCCTCCCCAGATCTTTCGTAATTAGCTTTATGGGTTGTTTGTTGTTCTTGTTGTTTGTTTGTTTTTAAGACGAATTCTCGCTCTGTTGCCCAGCCTGGTGGGCATGGTAGTGCACGCCTGTAGTACCTTGCCTGGGCAACAAGAATGAAATTCCATCTCAAAATAATAATAATAATAATAATAATAATAATAATAATAATAATAATAACAATTTAATATCTTCAGCCTTCACCTAGTGGACATGGTCTTAGCCCAGTGCATTGATGAGGTTAAGAGTCACGAGATATTTAACATAAATTACCTAGTTTAGTTATTACAACCCTACAAGGTGAATATTATTTCTCCACTCTATAGATGATGGGAGCTGGTGATTCAGTGGAGGTTACTAGCTTTTCTAAGGCTATACAACTGGTAATGGTGGATCTGGAAATTGAGTGCTGGTCTGTGAAAATCCAAAGGTTATCTTCTTAATCCCAGTACAGCTTCACAGGTATCTCCCAACAAGATCAGCATCCCAGCTGGGTGGGGGATAAAATACAGGGTCGTGAGTTTCCTCTAGCAGAAGGATTGTTGCCAATGATTACCCCTTAGATTGCATCACTTTCAGTGTTGCCAAGTGCTGAGGCAGGAATTATGTATGACAAAGCTTTATCGTCAGTGTCGGACACAAAAGAGCCAAGGAGGGGAAGGGACAATTACTCTCTGCTTTTCTCAATGAGGCTCTCAGGGAATATGACCCTAGTGGCCATGGAGGCTCCTGTGAAGAGCTTGCCCTGTGATTCTTCCAAACATCCTTCCTGCATCAAGGGCTGAGTCTGTGCAGCCCAGCTCCTGATTCATGAGATACTCAGCCTCAAAGCTCCAGTGACGAGTCACCCTCCCTCAGACCAATAACCTCTGGCCAGGTCTGAAAAAGGGAAGCCAACCCAGGACTTCAGGAGACAGTGAGGACTGCTGCTCTTTCTGGGTAAGAGTCAGATCATTGGCCAGGTGTGGTGGCTCACGCCTGTAATCCCAGCACCTTGGGAGGCCAAGGCGGGCGGATCACGAGGTCAAGAGATAGAGACCATCATGGCCAACATGGTGAAACCCCGTCTCTACTAAAAATACAAAAATTAGCTGGGCGTGGTGGCACGTGCCTATAATCCCAGCTACTTGGGAGGCTGAAGCAGGAGAATCACTTGAACTAGGGAGCTGAAGGTTGCAGCGAGCCAAGATCTCGCCACTGCACTCTAGCCTGGCGACAGAGCGAGACTCCGTTTAAAAAAAGAAATAAAAAGAGTCACATCAGTGGGACTTCACTGATAACTGCTTGTCAGGACTTAAAGCCTCAGAGGGACCCTCCTTCCTTTCAATTATGTGGAGCCAGAAAAACAGTCCTGAGCTCAGCAGCAGTCCCTTGCAATCACCCAGTCAGGACCAGCCTCTGTCCCGTCTGTCTGACATCCTGAACTGTGGGGAACACAAACTGACTGAGTTTCTGCCCAGACCTCTGGGTTGTTCCATTTTAATTTTACAAATTGGACTCAGGGTGCTCCGTGGATATAGCCAAGAAGGCCTGGCTCAGACTTCTGTAAACCTGAGCCCTGAACATAGCAGTAGCAGCCCCAGCAGGGTTGACAATATTATCATTTACATCCTGCAAGCAAAATTCTACTGCCATTCCTGTGCCCCATCTTAACCAGCATTTTCCAAGCTTTTGCATTTCGTCTTCTTTGTCTGCCTCTGTGTCCAGGATCCCAGGCCCATGAGCGGGACAAACCAGTCGAGTGTCTCCGAGTTCCTCCTCCTGGGACTCTCCAGGCAGCCCCAGCAGCAGCATCTCCTCTTTGTGTTCTTCCTCAGCATGTACCTGGCCACTGTCCTGGGGAACCTGCTCATCATCCTGTCCGTAAGCATAGACTCCTGCCTGCACACCCCCATGTACTTCTTCCTCAGCAACCTGTCTTTTGTGGACATCTGCTTCTCCTTCACCACCGTCCCCAAGATGCTGGCCAATCACATACTCGAGACTCAGACCATCTCCTTCTGTGGCTGTCTCACACAGATGTATTTCGTTTTCATGTTCGTGGACATGGACAATTTCCTCCTAGCTGTGATGGCCTATGACCACTTTGTCGCCGTGTGCCACCCCTTACATTACACAGCAAAGATGACCCATCAGCTCTGTGCCCTGCTGGTTGCTGGATTATGGGTGGTTGCCAACCTGAATGTCCTTCTGCACACCCTGCTGATGGCTCCACTCTCATTCTGTGCAGACAATGCCATCACTCACTTCTTCTGCGATGTGACTCCCCTACTGAAACTCTCCTGCTCAGACACACACCTCAATGAGGTCATAATCCTTAGTGAGGGTGCCCTGGTCATGATCACCCCATTTCTTTGCATCCTGGCTTCTTATATGCACATCACCTGCACTGTCCTGAAGGTCCCATCCACAAAGGGAAGGTGGAAAGCCTTCTCCACCTGTGGTTCTCACCTGGCTGTGGTTCTCCTCTTCTACAGCACCATCATTGCTGTGTATTTTAACCCTCTGTCCTCCCACTCAGCTGAGAAAGACACTATGGCTACTGTGTTGTATACAGTAGTGACTCCCATGCTAAACCCTTTCATCTACAGCCTGAGGAACAGGTACTTGAAAGGGGCTCTGAAAAAAGTAGTTGGCAGGGTGGTGTTTTCTGTCTGATGAAATAATCAAGACTGAATCTCATTCCCAAGGAAATTTATTTTTCACCAATTGAGTTTAATGCAGTAGTTGTTTCATTAAATGATGTTCTTGCTAGTGACACACTTAGTAATTATACTAAGTTAAACTATTAATTATAATTTTTTTTGAGACAGGGTCATGCTCTGTCACCCAGGCTGGAGTGCAGTGCCGTGATCTTGGCTCACTGCACCCTCCATCTCCCAGGCTCAAGTGATCCTCCTGCCTCAGCCTCCTGAGTAGCTGGGACCACAGGTGTGTGCCACATGCCTAGCTAAATTTTTTTTTTTTTTTTTGAGACGGAGTCTCTCTATGTCGCCAGGCTGGATGCTGTTGCGGGAAGTCAGGGACCCTGAACAGAGGGACCAGCTGGAGCTGTGTCAGAGGAACATAAATTGTGAAGATTTCATTTTAATATGGACATGTATCGGTTCCCAAAATTAATACTTTTATAATTTCTTACGCCTGTCTTTACTGCAATCTCTGAACATAAGCTGTGAAGATTTCACGGACATTTATCAGTTCCCGAAATTAACACTTATAATTTCTCATGCCTGTCTTTACTTTAATCTCTTAATCCTGTTATCTTCGTAAGCTGACGATGTACGTCACCTCAGGACCACTGTGATAATTCTACCTAACTATACAAATTGATTGTAAAACATGTGTATTTGAACAATATGAAATCAGTGCACCTTGAAAAAGAACAGAATAACAGTGATTTTAGGGAACAAGGGAAGATAATCATAAGGTCTGACTATCTGTGGAGTTGGGCAGAATGGAGCCATATTTTTCTTCTTGCAGAGAGCCTATAAATGGACGTGCAAGTAGGGATATCACTGAATTCTTTTCCTAGCAAGGAATGTTAATAATTAAGACCTTGGGAGAGGAATGCACTCCTCGGGGGAGGTCTATAAATGGCTGCTCTGGGAGAGTCTGTCTTATGCAGTTGAGATAAGGACTGAAATATGCCCTGGTCTCCTGCAGTACCCTCAGGCTTATTAGTGTGGGGAAAAAACCCCACCCTGGTGAATTTAAGGTCAGACAGATTCTCTGCTCTTGAACCCTGTTTTCTGTTGTTTAAGATGTTTATCAAGACAATACGTGCACAGCTGAACATAGACCCTTATCTGGAGGTTTTGATTTTGTCCTTTGCCTTGTGATCTCTATTGGCTTCAGAGGCATGTGATCTTTGTTCTCCTTTTTGCCCTTTGACACCTGTGATCTCTGTGACCTACTCCCTGTTCGTACACCCCCACCCCTTTTAAAGTCCTTAATAAAAACCTCCTGGTTTTGCGGCTCAGGTGGGTCCTACCAATATGGGATGTCACCCCCAGAGGCCTAGCTGTAAAATTCCTCTCTTTGTACTCTTTCTCTTTATTTCTCAGCTGGCCGACACTTAGGGAAAATAGAAAGAACCTATGTTGAAATATTGGGGGTGGGTTCCCCCAGTAGAGTGCAGTGGAGCCATCTCGGCTTCCTGCAACCTCCACCTCCCAGATTCAAGCTATTCTCCTGCCTCAACCACCCGAGTAACTGGGACTACAGGTGTGCACCACCTGTGCAGCCCGGGTGAAGACTCACTGGCCTCATCCTCCTTTTATGTGTCCTCTGCAATGGTCAAGCATAAAGGCTGGGTCACAAAAATGCTCAGGCAAAAGAACAGCAGAGTGAGGCTGGGTGTGGTGGCTCATGCCAGTAATCCCAGCAGTTTGGGAGGCTGAGGCAGGTGGATCACCTGAGGTCAGGACTTTAAGACCAGCCTGGCCAACATGGTGAAACCCTATCTCTACTAAAAATACAAAAATTAGCTGGGCGTGGTGGCAGGCGCCTACAATCACAGATACTCAGGGGGATGAGGCAGGAGAATTGCTTAAACTTGGGAGGTGGAGGTTGCAGTGAGCCAAGATCAGGCCATTGCATTCCAGCCTGGGTGAAAGAGCAAGGTTCTGTCAAAAAAGGGAGGGGAGGGGAGGGGAGGGGAGGGGAGGGAAGAAAGAAAGAGCGGAGTGAAATGTGAGTACCACAACGAGTAACAAGCATTTCAGATGAACCTGGGGCCCTGGTCCGCTTGCAGCCCAGGCGGTGCAGAGGTGAAGCGACGCTGAACCTTGGGAACCGGCTAGGAGCACCCTGATTGGCTGCCTGACTTAGGGGGCAGGGTCAGCCAGAGCCAGGTCTTTGACATCAGGGAAACAAATCGACATTTGGTCTTCCCTCCATCCAGACCAACTGCCTCTGTCTCTCCTCTCAAGTCAGCTCCCACCCACACCTTCAAGAACCAAGTCAATGCCACCTCCTCCTCCGTGAAGCCTCCGGATTCACGCTTCCGGCTCTCAGAGCTCTGTTTTTCTTTGGTTTATCATTCCCTCTCCACAAGGGCTTTCCGCAGACTACGAGACCTACAGACCCGAATACACACATGACTCACTTTGTATCTCGGTGTCCAGCACTGCTGCTAGACCAAAGGTGATCATCAACTTTAACTGAAAGGAAAAAATATAGGTGAATGCATATGCATATTGCCATACATTTTAATTTGGAGAATGTTACTTTAGAATAAGAAAGAAATAGCAGAGGGAAATGTGAGTACTACAGCAAGTAACAAGCATTTCAGATGAACCTTGGGCCCTGGCCCGCTTGTAGCCCAGGTGGTGCAGAGGTGAAGCAACGCTGAACTGTGGGAACTGGCCAGGAGCACCCTGATTGGCTGCCTGACTTAGGGGGCGGGGTCAAATGACAAAAAATCATTTTGTTATTTGAAAGCTAGTGTCTACGTATGCATTATGGTACACCATAAACCATAAAGAAGAAAATTAAAGTAACCTGTATCCTTGCAGCTCAAAGGTAATCGCAGTTAGGCACTTGGAATATTGTTTTACAAAAGTTGGCTGCAATCGATGCATATAATTTTGAGTTCTGATTTTCCACTTCTTACTTCCCATGTCAGTGGAGCTCTTAGAAACGTGATTTTTTTTTTTTTTTTTGAGATGGAATCGCGTTCTGTCACCAGGCTGGAGTGCAGTGGCACGACCTTGACTCACTGCAACTTCTGCCTCCTGGATTCAAGCAATTCTCCTGCCTCAGCCTCCCAAGTAGCTGGGACAACAGACACGCACCGCCACGCCCAGCTACTTTTTGTATTTTTAGTAGAGACGGGGTTTCACCATGTTGGCCAGGACTGTCTCCATCTGCTGACCTCGTGATCCACCTGCATCGGCCTCCCAAAGTGCTGGGATTACAGGCATGAGCCACCATGCTCAGCCCAGAAATGTGATTTTTTTTTTTTTTTTTTTGAGATGGAGTCTCGCTCTGTCGCCCAGGCTGAAGTGCAGTGGCATGATTTCCGCTCACTGCAAGCTCCACCTCCGGCTTCACACCATTCTCCTGCCTCAGCCTCCGGAGTAGCTGGGGCTATAGGCGCCTGCCACCACACCCAGCTAATTTTTTGTATTTTTAGTAAAGATGGGGTTTCACCATGTTAGGCAGGATGGTCTCAAACTCCTGACCTTGTGATCCGCCCGTCTCAGCCTCCCAAAGTGCTGGGATTACAGGCATGAGCCACTGCGCCTGACCCCAGAAATTTGATTTTAATGGCTGCATAATATTTCATCACAGGGACGTGATATAATTCACCCTTTCCCCAACTCTGAACAATTTCAAGTGTTTCTGTACCATAACAAACACTGCTGCACACTTCCTTGTGTGGGAATCATTGTTTGTGTTTATTATTGCCACAGGTAGCCTGACTGATCTATTTCTTCAGCTTGGAGTAAAAATGTCACCTTTCCTTTGTTATTCATAATTTCTGCCTAACCATACCCTGCCATTACTACCAGGGGGTCCAGCACCTCCCTGTGGGTGTCAAAAAGCACCCCAGGAGTTCACTCAGAGGAGTCAGTCAGGTGGAGAGAGGGAGAGACTGGGGAGCTAGAAGCATCCACTGGCACGATCCTGTGAGTTACGGCACACAGTGCAGTCCCTGCCCTTCGATGCCTGGTCAGCTGACAGCCTGTGTGCTGCAACATAGATGCCTGTGGCCCATCCCTTTGGGGGCCACACTGGGACCCACCTAAGGTTCAGATCACAGCCATCTGTGTTCAAACTCATGTTATTCTCCACTAAAATCTGACTCTGGGCCGGGTATGGTGGCTCCCACCTGTAATCACAACACCTTTAAAGTCCAAGGTGGGAGGATCATTTGAGCCCAGGAGTTTGAGACCAGCCTGGGCAATATAGTGAGACTCCATCTCTACAAAAAATTAAAAAATTAACTGGGCATGGTGGCTCATACCTGTGGTCCCAGCTACTTGGGAGGCTGAGGTGGGAGGATCACTTGAGCCCAGGAAGTTGAGGCTGCAGTGAGCTGCGATCGTGCCACTGCACTCCAGCCTCGGGAACAAAGCATGATCCTGTCTCCAAAAAAAAAAAAAAAAATCTGCCTCCGGATGGACACCCACTCCCTGGCCCTGGGGCTTCCAGTCCCACTGTGTCAAACCAGGTTTCCCCAGGAACACCCAGAGCAGATCCAGGCTTATTCCTTTGAGATTCCCTCTGGGTCCTAGGGATCTTTTTATGTGGAAATGACTTCAATATATTTTTTTCTCATGATATAGCTGTAGCTGTAAAATATAATCCAAATAGATCTATATGAAGATTATAATGTTTGAATTCTGACTGCTTCTTATTATTTATTTAGTTGATTTGCAAAGTCTAATAATTAACATTTCAATTATTTTCTTTCTATATGTTAATAGCTTTTACCTTTTTTTCTTTACAGAATGATTGCAGTAAGCTTTTACTTTTTTTTTTTTAACGTCCTTTTTTTTTCTGCGGGGGGGATGAAGTCTCAGTCTGTTGCCCAGGCTGGAGTGCAGCAGCACGATCTCAGCTCACTGTAACCTCTGCCTCCTGGGTTCAAGTGATTTTCCTGCCTCAACCTCTTGAGTGGCTGGGATTACAGACATCCACCACCATGCCTGGCTAATTTTTGTATTTTTAGTAGAGATGGGGTTTCACCATGTTGGCCAGGCTGGTCTTGAACTCCTGACCTCAAGTGATCTGCCTACCTTGGCATCCCAAAGTGCTGGAATTACAGGCATGAGCCACCATGCCGGGTCAGCTTTACTTTTTGATTTGATCTTTGGTTATGGAGGTGATGTGGTTTGGCTGTTTGTCTCCACCAAATCTCATGTTGAAATGTGATTCTCAGTGTTGGAGGTGGCGCCTGGCAGGTGGTGTTTAGGTCATGGGGGTGGGTCCCTCATGAATGGCTTGGTTCCCCCCACACAGTAATAAGTTACCATGAGCTCTGATTGTTAGAGCCTGGGAGCTTCCCCTTCTCCCTTTTATTCCCTCTCTCTTCATGTGACACACCTGTTTCCACTTCACCTTCTGCCATGATTGGAAACTTCCTGAGGCCTCACCAGAAGTAGGTGCCCACACCATGCTTCTTGTACAGCCTGCAGAATCATGACCCAAAAAAACTTTTCTTTATAAATTACCCAGAGTCAGGTATTTCTTTATAGCAGCGAAAACGGACTAACACAGAAGGCCTGGAGGCTGGTGAATGTTATCCATTCATTATAAATTATATTAAATACCTTCTAGAAATAGAATGATCTTTGTCCTCTTCAATTCTTGTTTCTGCTTAAAGCATACTTTGGTTAATACTAATATTACTCATTCTGCTTTCTTGTGTTTGCTCATTCTCTCAGACTTTCTGAAATAGTTGACTTGGATGAAGGGCTCCTTCCCTCTGTATCAAGATCTTCCTTTTCAAAGCTTTCAGTATGTGAGAAAAAATTAGGGCAGGCAAGGTGGCTCACGCCTGTAATCCCAGCACTTTGGGAGGCCTAGGCTGGTGGATCACGACGTCAGGAGATCGAGACCATCCTGGCTAACACGGTGAAACCCCGTCTCTACTAAAAATACAAAAAAATTATCCAGGCATGGTGGTGGGCACCTGCAGTCCCAGTTACTTGGGAGGCTGAGGCAGGAGAATCACTTGAACCTGGGAGGTGGAGGCTGCAGTGAGCCAAGATCACGCTGCTGCACTCCAGCCTGGATGACAGAGTGAGACTCTGTCTAAAAAAAATTAAAAAAAATAAAAAAAAAATAGAGTGTAATCTAACACCTAGAAAGAACAGTCTACAGGCCGGGCATGGTGGCTCACGCCTGTAATCCCAGCCCTTGGGGAGGCTGAAGTAGGCGCCTGTAATCCCAGCCTTTGGGGAGGCCGAGGTAGGCGGATCACCTGAGGTCAGGAGTTCGAGACCAGACTGACCAACATGGTGAAACCGCATCTCTACTAAAAATACAAAAAAAAATCTGGGCGTGGTGGTGGGTTCTTGTAATACCAGCTACTCAGGAACCTGCGGTGGGAGGATCCCTTGAGCCTGGGAAGTGGAGGTTGCAGTGAGTCGAGATTGTGTTACTGCACTACAGCCTGGGCGACAGTAAGACTCTGTCTCAAAAAAAAAAAAAGTGATTCTGTTTTTCAGTTTGTCTTTTGTCTATCTCACACACTTTTGTCTCTGCTCTTCCACGTATATTTTTATCTACTAATTTTCACCTTTGAATGTCCCTCTTTTGAAGATGGGTGAGTGGGGCTTCCAGTTTTGTAAGGGATACTTGCGTTATGTTAGGATCCAGCCTAACATTTTCAGGAGGGTGTGTTTTGGGGAAGAGGTGTGCGTATTAATACCACAAGCCAGAGGATGACTCTAGTGGACATTTGTCAGACTTTGTGGCTTCCAAGCATCTGGGCCCACTTCCAAAGTTTGTAGAGTCCCCTAATTTATGGATGTTGTTGGGAAGAGAGCCCACCTCCCACTATAGAAATAAGTACACCAGAAACTTGCTTCTGAGTGTCTCTTTCAGCTAGAATGAGAGCAAGTGACAGGCTCTCTGCCCATCAGATATATCTGCCCTGCATTTGACACAGAGAAGGGGAGACAAGGAGGAACTTGCTCTGTCAGTTTGTAGGCAGCCATTGTAGGGACATGGATTCCTGGAGCGTGACGACAGTAATGCTAGGGGTAGCAGCGAATGTCTGTGAGAAGTACATCAGAAATGCAAGCTGCAGCATCTAGTGCTTGGTGGCAGCAGCACTGGTGTCCTCACTAGCTGGCTTGGAGTCATGATTTGGGGCACTGTTAACAGATGAATTTTTGTTGTTGTTGTAGTTTTGTTTTGTTTTGTTTTTGTTTTTGTAGAAACGGGGTCTCGCTGTGTTGCCCAGGGTGATGTTGAACTCCTGGCCTCAAGCAATCCTCCTGTCTTGGCCTCCCAAAGCGCTGGGACTTCAGGCATGAGACACCACACTCAGCCATAGACTCGTTTGTTAGTTCTCCTAAGAAACAGAGCCAACAAAATATATTGCTAAAGGGTGGGTGGGGTGGGTGGGAAGGTAAGATTTTAAACTCTAAGGAATTGGCACATGTGATTGTGGAGGCTTGGCAAGTTCAAAGTATGCAGGGTGGACCAGAAGGCTGTAGACCTAGCGAAGAGCTGATGTTGTTGCAGCTTGAGTCCAAAGGCAGTGGGTTGACTTTTTCTATTGTGGCCTTCAACTGATTGGATAAGGCCCACCCACATTATGGAGGCTAATCTGGTGTACTCAAGTTCTATTGATTTAAATGTTAATCTCATCTTAAAAATACTCCCCAAAAAGAAAAATAAGAAAGAAAGAAAGAAAGAAGGAAAGAAAGAGGAAAGAAAAGAGAAAGAAAGAAAGAGAGAGAAAGAAAGAAAGAAAGAGGAAAGAAAAGAAAGAGAAAGAAAGAGAGAGAGAGAAAGAAAGAAAGAAAGAAAGAAAGAAAGAAAGAAAGAAAGAAAGAAAGAAAAGAAAAGAAAAGAAAGAGAAGAAAGAGGGCTGGGCGCGGTGGCTCACGCCTGTAATCCCAGCACTTTGAGAGGCCGAGGTGGGTGGGTCACGAGGTCAAGAAATCAAGACCATCCTGGGCAAAATGGTGAAACCCTGTCTTTACTAAAAATACAAAAAATTAGCTGGGCGTGGTGGCGCGTGCCTGTAGTCCCAGCTACTCGGGAGGCTGAGGCAGGAAAATCACTCGAACCTGGGAGGTGGAGGTTGCAGTGAGCCGAGATTGCGCCACTGCACTCCAGCCTGGCGACAGAGCGAGACTCCGTCTCAAAAAAAAAAAAAAAAGAAAGAAAGAAAGAGGCGCCAGGCGGGGTGGTTCACGCCTGTAATCCCACCACTTTGGGAGGCTGAGGTCAAGAGATCGAGACCATTATGGCCAACAATGTGAAACCCTGTCTCTACTAAAAATACAAAAATTAGCTGGGCATGGTGGTACGTGCCTGTAGTCCCAGCTACTCGGGAGGCTGAGGCAGGAGAATCTCTTGAACCCGGGAGGTGGAGGTTGCAGTGAGTTGAGATCAAACCACTGAACTCCAGCCTGATGACAGAGTGAAACTCCATCTCAAAAAAAAAAAAAAAAAAAAAAAGAGAATGGGACAGAGAGAAGGTGATTGGATTTATACATTGTAGCCAAGCATGTAGTGATAGCTTTGCTCAATCCTGGTTCCAAATACTCTGGTTCAACCAGCTATGGTGAAGGGGAGGTGGTAGAAACACGACTCCTGGGGCTCCACCACATTGTGCCTATGCAGATTAGGAAGCTCTATCCCAAGAAAAGGGCAAACCATGTGAGTTGCAGGGACATCCCCAAAGATGTCCATCCTAGGGGTCTAGAGTTCATAAATCACGGCATCCTGGATTCTCCTGGAGAAAACCTCCCTTACAATCAGACTACCCTTCATCTCAAACATTTTCTTTTTCCTTTTTTTTTTTTTTTTGAGACAGAGTCTTGCTCTATTGCCCAGGCTGGAGTGCAGTGGCACGATCTCGGTTCACTGCAACATCCACCTCCTGGGTTCAAGTAATTATTGTGCCTCACCCTCCCAAGTAGCTAGGACTACAGGCACATGCCACCATGCCTGGCTAATTTTTGTATTTTTAGTAGAGACTGGGTTTCACCATGATGGCCAGGCTGGTCTCGAACCCCTGACCTTAGGTGATCTGCCCACCTTGGCTTCCCAAACTTTTGGGTTACAGGCGTGAGCCACTGTGCCTGACCCCAAACATTTTCACGAATTAAGCCCATCTCAGTAATGTGCTCGTAACATTCCCTCCTGTAAAATGGAAAACACGAAGCATCACTAATGTCTTAAGATGACCAGGCAGAGGAAAGCAAGGGCTACACAGAAAACACGGAAGAGCCCCATATCTCAACAAAGGAAGTGATACTGCAAAGGATTTCATGACAGAATTTCCACACCTGTGGGCACAGGAGCAGATCACAAGGTGAGGAGGTTTGTGGTTCCAAGGAATCTTGTCTGCGATTTATCTGTATCAGGATGGCTTCATTTCTAATATCTACAAGTTTTGGTCCAAGAGTTTTATCTAAACGTTAGATAATATTGAATGTCGTCGTTGTTTGGTCCAAAGGGGCCAAAATTAGGTGGGACAATTATGTTCTTCTTGTCCCTAATGAGGCTCTCAGGGAATCTGGTCCCAGTGGCCAAAGGAGGTTCCTACAAATGCCTGCTCTGTGATTGCCCCAAACATTTACTTACACAGAGGACTAAGACCATGAGCCCCTACTCCTCACACACTCAGGACCCGCCTGTGTTTCCAAGACATTCCAACTCCCACAGTAAGTAGAAGCATTGACCAGTTATGTAGAAATGAGGAACAACTGAGAGTGACAGCACCAACCTTCTCCAGGAAAGGTCGCAGAGGTGAACAATTAAGTATGTGTTGGCTCAGATGTGAAGTTCTTTTAGGAATCTTCTTTGCTACATCATCCAGATACAGGAAGTAATGAGTAATGTACAGAGAAGTGAAGTACAGGAGTCCTGAATCCATCAGTTGTCACTTGAGATTAACCCAGTAATCATCAGTCATTCCTCCAGTCTCTTTATGAGCTGCTAACTAGTTGGGTGGGGAACTGAATGTACCAGAGACACACACATTCTCAGAGTCAGGCTATGTGTACGTGTCTGTGTGTTTTGTTTTCTTTTCTTTTTTAATAGAGATGGGGTCTTGGTATGTTGTCCAGGCTGGTCTTGAACTCCTGGCCTCAAGCCATCTTCCCTCTTTGGCCTTCCAAAGTTCTAGGATTACAGGCATGAGCCACCATGCCCAGCCTGTCTGTGTTTTCAACGTTAAATATGCAAAATAAGAATCAGTGAGTCGTCTAGGAAAAGCATCGTAACTGAGTGTTGGAAATTGGACGTATGGGTGAGGAGACCACATCCTGTTTTTGCAAGTTTGTGAATTGATTTGCAAACGTGGTTCTTCCTGGAGCCTCATCACATCTTAACCACCCATGTGTATGTTTCTGAATTCACTGTCTTCTATGCAGCTGGGTCCAGACATATGAGAGGGACAAACCAGTGAGTGTCTCCGAGTTCCTCCTCTTGGGACTCTCCAGGCAGCCCCAGCAGCAGCATCTCCTCTTTGTGTTCTTCCTCAGCATGTACCTGGCCACTGTCCTGGGGAACCTGCTCATCATCCTGGCCATAAGCATAGACTCCCGCCTGCACACCCCCATGTACTTCTTCCTCAGCAACATGTCCTTTGTGGACAACTGCTTCTCCACCACCGTCCCCAAGATGCTGGCCAATCACATACTCAGGACTCAAACCATCTCCTTCTCTGGCTGTCTCATGCAGATGTATTTTATCAGTGAGCTTGCTGACATGGACAATTTCCTCCTGGCTGTGATGGCCTATGACCGCTTTGTCGCCGTGTGCCGCCCCTTACATTACACAGCAAAGATGACCCATCAGCTCTGTGCCCTGCTGGTCACTGGATCATGGGTGGTTGCCAACTCGAATGCTCTGCTGCACACCCTGCTGATGGCTCGACTCTCATTCTGTGCAGACAACACCATCCCCCACATCTTCTGCGATGTGACTCCCCTCCTGAAACTCTCCTGTTCAGACACACACCTCAGTGAAGTGATGATTCTTACTGAGGCTGCCCTAGTCACGATCACCCCATTTCTTTGCCTCCTGGCTTCCTATATGCACATCACCTGCGTTGTCCTGAGGGTCCCATCCACAAAGGGAAGATGGAAAGCCTTCTCCACCTGTGGCTCCCACCTGGCTGTGGTTCTCCTCTTCTATGGCACCATCATGTCTCCATATTTCAGAACTTCATCCTCCCACTCAGCTCAGAGAGATATAGCAGCTGCTGTGAGGTTCACAGTGGTGACTCCCGTGATGAATCCTTTGATCTACAGCCTGAGGAACAAGGACATAAAAGGGGCTCTTGTAAAAGTGGTTGCTGTGAAATTTTTTTCTGTTCAATAATGGTATAGGCTTAAGAAAGTCCTAGAAGGAGCTAATTTCTGAGATAATCGTTTATTTTTTCTACTGTGTGAAACTTAGCATTGTTTGTTTGTTTGTTTGTTTTGAGACGGAGTCTCTGTCACCCAGGCTGGAGTGGAGTCGTGCGATTTCGGCTCACTGTAACCTTTGCCTCTTGGGTTCAAGATAATCTCCTGCCTCAGCCTCCTGAGTAGATGAGATTACAGATGTGTGCCACCACAATTTTTTTTTTTTTTGTATTTTTAGTAGAGACGGGGTTTCACCATGTTGGTCAGGCTGGTCTCGAGCTCCTGACCTCAAATGATCCACCTGCCTTGGCCTCTCTAAGTGCTGGGATTACAGATGTGAGCCACCGCACCTGGCCAGCATTTGTTTTCATAATAGAAACATCTGGTATCTATTTTGGGAGAACAAAACCCTGCATATAGACTCTTTAGGTTAAAGATGGAAAGAGAGATCCTTTAATTAAATGACCCGACAATTCCAATTGTCAATGCCCTCCTGCCAAAACCTAGAAGGAACACACCTGTAGTTCAATAAGTTGGATTTACTAATTATATAACAAGGGAGAATACACAGCATCAGCATCGGGAATAGTGAGGTGTCTCAATAGAAGAGTCCTAAAAAGGACTTCTGCTTGTGTAATGTTGGTGAGGAAATAGGAATGAGTCTGTGCTCTGGAGTAGATGCCATTACAGAATAGAGATAATTCTGAATGAGTATCTTTTTTTTTTTTTTTTTTTTTTTTGAGACAGAGTCTCACTCAGTCGCCCAGGCTGGAGTGCAGTAGCTCGATCTCCGCTCACTGCAAGCTCCGCCTTCTGGGTTCACGCCATTCTCCTGCCTCAGCCTCCTGAGTAGCTGGGACTACAGGCGCCCGCCACCATGCCCGGCTAATTTTTTTGTATTTTTTTTAGTAGAGAGGGGGTTTCACCGTGTTAGCCAGGATGGTCTCGATTTCCTGACCTGGTGATCCGCCCGCCTCAGCCTCCCAAAGTGCTGGGATTACAGGCGTGAGCCACCACGCCCGGCCATGAATGAGTATCTTAATATATTTTATCTAGAAGGAAAGAAGAGGCCAAAGCTGTGATTGCCAAAGAAATAGCAGTCACTCATATCAACCACCATAGGGGGATGTTTGGTGATTTTTGTGGCTATGACCATGTTCCTGTTTTTGTGTTGAGACATCATTACAGAAAGGTCTTGCTTTGTTTTGCTCTAGCACAGTCAGTGTGGCCTTATCTGATACCGATGTTCTGTGAAATTCTCTATGTTGATCAGGAGAACACAAAAACCTTGCTGTGAGGGCCAGGCCAACTCCTGTCAGGGTTGTTTACTCTTTCTCACAACAGAGACCTTGACATGAACACATCTGATGGAAAGATCAGACATTTGTTGGGACAGGAAGGGGAGGATTGATTTTATTTTATTTTATTTGAGACGGAGTCTCGCTCTCTTGCCCAGGCTGGAGTGCAGTGGCGAGATCTCGGCTCACCGCAACCTCTGTCTACCAGGTTGAAGTGATTCTCCTGATTCAGCCTCCTGAGTAGATGGGATTACAGGTGCGTGTCACCACGCCAGGCTAATTTTTGTTATTTTTAGTAGAGATGGGTTTTCACTGTGTTAGCCAGGATGGTCTCGATCTCCTGACCTCGAGATCTGCCAGCCTCGGCCTCCCAAAGTGCTGGGATTACAGGCGTGAGCCACCGTGCACGGCTGAAGGGAGGATTTATTTAGCGTTCCAGAAAGCCCTAATTCTGCCACTCATTTGAGCTATTTTTATTTTCTTATCTAACCTTTATGTATCACACATTACAGCAGGAATATGGGTAAGTTAAACAAGAAAAATATCTTCCACAGTCCCAAATATCCAGCCATATCAATCAACTACATCTATTTTTTTACACTCTGTTCTGTGTCAATGCACATATATATTTTTATTTAGATACTGATTTATATCCTGGTTTTTCACCTTTCATTTTATAATAAAGCTTTTCCAAATCACTACATAGTCTCCACAATTTTATCTTAATACTTTATATGTCTCCATCAAGTTCTCTAGCAAAAGACTCTTACTAATAATTCTATTTCTAAATTAAAACATAAAGGAAATTTACTATTTAAGAGCGTGATTTGAATTTTATTTGTAGGCCAGGCGCAGTGGCTCACGCCTGTCATCCCAGCACTTTAGGAGGCTGAGGTGGGCGGATTACCTGAGGTCAGGAGTTTCAGACCAGCCTGGCCAATATGGTAAAACCCCGTCTCTACTAAAAATACAAAAATTAGCCGGGTGTGGTGGCGTGGTGCCTATAATCCCAGCTACTCGGGAGGCTGAGGCAAGAGAATTGCTTGACCCTGGGAGGCAGAGGTTGCAGTGAGCTGAGATCACGCCACTGCACTCCAGCCTGGGTGACAGACCGAGACTGTCTCAAAAAATAAATAAATAAATAAAAAGAAAGCGATTGTAGAAAATAACAAAACTGACCAATTATGAAACTGGTTATTTTTTCCTTGTCTTTGACATTCAGCATTTCTTTCTTTTTTCTTTTTTTTTTTTTTTTTTTTTTTGAGAAGGAGTCTCGCTCTGTCGCCCAGGCTAGAGTGCAGTCTTGCGATCTCGGCTCACTGCAAGCTCCGCCTCCTGGGTTCACGCTATTCTCCTGCCTCAGGCTCCCAAGCTGCTGGGAATGCAGGCGCCGGCCACCACGCCCGGCTAATTTTTTTTTTTTTTTTTGTATTACTGAGACAGGGTTTCACTGTGTTAGCTACGATGGTCTCGATTTCCTGACTTTGTGATCCGCCCGCCTCAGGCTCCCAAGCTGCTGGGAATGCAGGCGTGAGCCACCACGCCTGGCTAACATTCAGCATTTTTACTATGATGCATCTGTTTGTGGGTCTCTTTGTGTTTATCTTACTTGAAGTTTACTAAGCTTCCTGTCTGTATAGATTATTATGTTTTAATAAATTTGGGGCCGGGCGCGGTGGCTCAAGCCTGTAATCCCAGCACTTTGGGAGGCCGAGGCGGGTGGATCACGAGGTCAGGAGATCAAGACCATCCTGGCTAACACGGTGAAACCCCATCTCCACTAAAAATACAAAAAAATTAGCTGGGCGTGATGGTGGGCGCCTGTAGTCCCAGCTACTCGGGAGGCTGAAGCAGGAGAATGGCGTGAACTCGGGAGGTGGAGGTTGCAGTGAGCCAAGAACGTGTCACTGCACTCCAGCCTGACCGACAGAGTGAGACTCCGTCTCAAAAAATAAAATTAATTAATTAATTAATTAGGGAAATTTTTAGCCATTATTTTTCCAAAATTTTTTCCTCTCCTTTCTCTCTTCTTCTGGTACTCCCATTGTGTGTATTTGGTGCACTTAATGATGTCCACATTTCTTTGAAGTTATATTCACTTGTCTTTTTTTTTTTTTTTTGAGATGGAGTCTTGCTCTGTCACCCAGGCTGGATCTCCCCTCACTGTGGGTTCAAGAGATTCTCCTGCCTCAGCCTCCCAAGTAGCTGGGACTACAGGCACTCTCACACTGTCATGCTGGAGTCAACCTCCCATTTACTCTGATTTTTTTTTTTAAAGAGATGAGCCCAGCGCTTTGGAAGGCCAAGGCAGGGGGATCACTTGGGCCCAGGAGTTTGAGGCCATCATGGACAACATAGCAAGACCGCGTTTCTAGAAAAATAAAAATAAAAAAATTAGCTGGGTGAGGTGGCATGTCCCTGTAGTCCCAGATACTTGGGAGAGTTAGGCGGAAGGATCTCTTGAGTCTACGAGTTCAGGGCTGTAGTGAGCTATGATCACAGCTCTGTACTCCAGTCTGCGCAACAGAGTGAGACCCTGTTTCTTAAAAAAAAAAAAAAAAAAAAAAAAAAAAAAGATGTGGTCTCAGTAAGTTGCTCAGGCTGGTCTCTAACTCCTGGATTCAAGGAATCCTCCCACCTCAGCTTCCAAAGTAGCTGGGACTACACGCACATGCCACCATGCCGTCTTGATAATGTTTTTTAAATTTTAAAAATAATTGTTTTTTGAAATGGTATCTCACTCTATAGCCCAGGCTAGAGTGCAGTGGCATAATCTCGGCTCACTGCAACTCCACTTCCCGGGTTCAAGCAATCCTCCTTCCTCAGCCTCCTGAGTAGCTGGGACTACAGATGCCTGCCACCGCAACTGGCTACTTTTTGTATTATTAGTAGAGATGGGGTTTCACCATGTTGGCCAGGCTGGCCTTGAACTCCTGACCTCAGGTGATCCACCTGCCTTGGCCTCCCAAAGTGCTGGGATTATAGGCGTTGAGCCACTGCACTCAACCAAATCTTTTTTTTTTTTTTTTTCGTAGACAGGGTCTCACTATGTTGCCCAGGCTGGTCTTGAACTCCTGGCCTCAAGCCATCCTCCTGATTCGGCTTCCCAAAGTGCTGGGATTACAGGTGTGAGCCACTGCGCCTGGCTTATTTTCTGTAGTTACTACTGGAATTGGATCTTTGGTCTCTTACATTTTCCAACTCTCGCTCTACCGCTATATTGGGAAACTGTTCACTGTTGTTTACTTTTTCAACTTAACTGGTGATCAGGCTCCTTAGGTAACAGAACTTACTCATCCAACAACTTCCCAGGGGCTCTCGTGTTTGGGGGCGGCCCCTGGTCCTGGTCGGGGCGCTCCTCTCATTCCCACCCAGCCTCACTATTGCGGAAGGAAACCCTGCGGCCCATGTCCTGCCCTCTGGGACACTGGGTGCTGATTGACGGCAACCCTGACCGTGGGCACCTCCCCAGTCCAGGAGATGGTGTGGGTTGTGGTGGCTTCACCCACCTACACTTAAAAAAACAAAAAGCTACTCAGGAAGCTGAGGCAGGAGGATTGTTTGAGCCTAGGAGGTGGAGGTTGCAGTGAGCCAAGATCGTCCCACTCCAGCCTTAGCAACAGAGCCAGTCTCAACTAAAGAAAAAAGTGTCTCAGGTACCGTGCCATGGCTTCATGAGAACTGATGTAACCCCCGACTCTGGGCAGGGCTGCCAAAGAGTGAGAGAGTGGAGACTCTCTCTCACCACTCACTTCCTGGCAGCTACTTTTCTGGATGCATGGGCAGGTCCCCTACACATGAGATGGTGTGGGTTGTGGTGGCTTCACCCACCTACACTTAAACGAAAAGCTACTCAAGAGGTTGAGGCAGGAAGATCGCTTGAGCCTAGCAGGCGGGAGGTTGCAGCGAGCCAAGATCACCCCACTCCAGCCTTATCAACAGAGCCAGTCTCAAAGAAAAAATTAACTGTCTCGGGTACTGTGCCATGGCTGCATGAGGACTGATAAAATACCCGACTCTGGGCAGGGGTACCAAAGAGTGAGTGGAGACTCTCTCTCACCACTCACTTCCTGGCAGCTACTTTTCTGGGTGCACAGGCAGGTCCACTGCACATGGTAACAGCCTGCCGACTCTGGAAACACAGTTCAGGATCCCAGTCCTAGTGCACTGGTCAGACTTTCAAATAAGCGAATAACGTTGTGGGCAGCCTGTTTTGTTCGCTTTGCTGGCTTTACAGGGTACTTCCTGTTGGCCTGAAATACAATGTTGGTAAAGACAGTTTTTCTGTGGCCTTTCTCTGTTGTGGAGGATTTGTTGTTTTTAAATTACGATTCAGGACTGAACTGTATCATAGAATGTCCTTCTTTCAGAATGCTTTGTGCCAAAACAAGAAACCTCAGAATTACATGTTAATAACAACAAACAAAACAAAAAAGACCAATAGGCAGAAGGCAAGAAACAAAAACTATTCTTTGTAGATGGTGTCATTTTACCAAAAGTTAACAGAACTAAACCAACAAACTATTGAAAATTAACAACAGTGAGATGACTATACAAATATATAATTAAAAATAACTTTCCCATGTAAAAGCAATAATCAACTATAAAAATATAATGGAAAAAACTACAATAACAAAATTGTGTAAAACAAGTGAAGAAAATTAGAAAAATTTTCACAGGAATATAATACTCTAATAAATAGAAAGGCATGTTTCTGGATGGGAAACATACACTATAATTTTTCCCAAATAGCTTATAGGATTTCTTTATTCCAATCAAAACACCAATGTATAACTTTTGGAAACCTAAAGCAAGCAAAACTGAAGAATCCCTAAATCGCACCACACGATCAGTCCGTAAAGGCACCGCTGGCCTTGCTTCTAGGCAGAGGACAGGAAGGTATGGATATCAAGAGGCTGAAGACAATTAATACCCACTACAATGAAGACACCTGGAAACCTGTCTCTTGAGAGGCAATGTGAGCTAACCACTGGAGACGTAATTTCTAATCATACAACACTTTGCCTTGTGAGGTAGTGACCACCCCATTGCCAAAGGTCTGATGACAGCATAGAGGGGACCTAAGCATATGGTAAGGTTATTGATGAGACATGGATCCAAGCCAACTTTTTCCTGCCTCCAGGTTGACCCTTCCTCTCTGGGTCTTGGGGTTTCCTTCGTAGCACATGAGATCTGGGCTCAACAGAGGGACAAGATTCTGAAGAGCTTTTCTAGTGGTGGGGCTGGATGGCCCTGCCTGAGTAATCCAAACTTCTTTTAGCAAGGGAGAAGCATGAGACGGCTGCTGGAGAGATCAACAGCAGAACAAAATACAATAAGAACAGTAGACACCTAAATTATGTTGTGAAAAGGAATCTGTAAAAGTCAGTTTTATCACAAATTGTAAATATTATTGAAATTGATTGCAAATTTAGATCACATACAAATGAGAGTCTGACATTCAACTGTTTTCCTATATTCCAAAGTAAACAATTCCTTTCAACACTCAAGACTTAAACAGGTATTCTTAGAGGGTTATATGAATTGCTATCAGAAGCTGTTGGCTAACAAGCCAGTAATTTGGTTCTTTCACCAGAACACAGTTCCAGATAAGCATCTTTGCACTATTTCTCAAGTATGAATCCCCATGTGGGGGGAAAACGGATATACTTTCAATAGACACAAGTCACTCTTTGCCTTCCAAGTAAGCAGACTCCAGATTCATCTTCAAAGTGTTGGGAAAGGGGATCTGTGACCTGTACATTATCATATAACTTCAAAAAGGAAAGCTCCTTAGTCCAAAAAGCCTAGATGCTGAGGTATAGCCCTTGAAATGTTTTCTTCCCTGTGAATTTTCTAGCAATTTGAGGTTTTAGCTAAGATGGGCATTTATCCAATTTTGGCAATAATGAGATTTTTACACATTTATACCTTTTTAGGCAGCTTGGGAATTCAGAACTACTTATGAAAGCTCTCAGGTTGAGGCAGCACCATCAGACCCAGAAAGGGTTCCCAGTATTACTTCTGCTTTCGGGTCTTACAGGCTGAGTGGGTTTTCTCATGCCGGGTACAGTTTGACAGCCGACCAAATCTTCTCCCACATTTTTTGCAACCATATGGTCTCTCAGCCTCATGACTCTGCAGATGAAGCACAAACTCCTCATTCTTTGGGAAGGTTTTCCCACATTCTGGACACTTAAATATCTTCTCCCTTATATGGATTCCTTCATGACGACTCCGATGAGAATTCTGACGGAAGTTTTTTCCACACTGAGAACAGGAATAAGGTTTCTCTCCTGTATGAATTCGCTCATGTTTATTGAGGTTTGTTTTATGATTGAAGCTTTTCCCACAGTGATTACAGTCATAGGGTTTTTCTCCAGTGTGGGTCCTCTGGTGGGAAATGAGGTAAGAACTTTCATTAAACTGTTTCCCACACAGTGGACAAGTGTACCATCTCCTTGTCCTCCGATTTCGAGTAAGGGCAATAATACTGATGTCTACATATTTTGAGAGTTCCTCTAGAGGAGTATCATTCTCAATGGTAACTAACAGATTTCTCATTTTCCTTTTTTGTGGAATGGATGTATTTAGTCGTTCCTTTTCCTGGTTATCGGGAGGCTGCTGAGAGACCAAGGAAGAATCCATTTCATCATCATCTGAAGACTTTTCTCTATAATCTTCATTTTCTACAGGTTCCCTCTCAGGATCTTCACCTTCAGGATTACTGCCATTGACTGCTGAAACAAAGAGAGAATTTAACAACTTCTGAGAGATATCACAACACCAGGCAGGAAAAAACAAGTCAGGTTTCTTATGCCACAGCCACCTTGAACGTCAATCTGGGGAGTGGCGGATACTGCCGTCGCACTCCTTTTCCATACTTATTGAGGGTGGGATACATAACTGATAAATCTTTCCATCTACCACAATGCAAGCACACTTTAAAGAAATAAAATGAGTGGGATTTCACTGAAAGACTTCAAATGTTTGTTCTCTTCATAGGTGTTAATTACTCGACAAGTTCATATTCACCTTATACTCTGTAGAGCACTCAGGTAAGGACTAGGGATGAAGACTATACATCTATACAGGGAACCACTCATCATCTTGAAGGAGTCTGGTAACTGAATAGTAAGACGAACCACTTGTAGGTTTTCACTATATTAAATATTATCACACTATTATAGCACTAAATAATATCATAATGTCTTACAATGAGAAAATTGAAACAATTCCAATAAGCAAAATTAAAGAGGGCACAGCATATTCATACAAAAGTTTATTATTGGCCAGGCGTGGTGGCTCACACCTGTAATCCCAGCACTTTGGGAGGTCAAGGCGAGCAGATCACCCAAGGCTGGGAGTTCAAGACCAGCCTGACCATCGTGGAGAAACCCTGTCTCTACTAAAAATACAAAATAAGCTGGGCATGGTGGCACATGCCTGTAATCTCAGCTACTAGGGAGGCTGAGGCAGGAGAATCACTTGAAACCGGAAGGCAGAGGTTGCAGTGAGCCGAGATCGCGCCATTGCACTCCAGCCTGGGCAACAAGAGCGAATCTGTCTCAAAACAGAAAAAAGTTTATTATTTGGCAATTAAAGAGATTACTACAACTAATGAAGCTTTGGGATTAGAAGTCAGTAGTGTTTCTCTTTGTGTAGGAAAGGAAGTAGTGAGTGGGTACAGGGCACAAAAGGGATTTTTGGGATGCTAAGAAAAGTCCATTTTGGGTGGTGCTTAGTGTGTACATTTTGTGAAAACTTGAGCTATATATTTACAATTGGTAGGCTTTTTCTATATTTCCATTATACTTCAGAAAAAAGTCAGTGTAAGCAGATTATAAAGACTGGGTAACAAAGTGAAAAAGAACCATGCTGTGGATATACTTGTGTGACAAGGGACCCCTCAACTCAGGCCTACTGAGAGTCAAGGGTTCAAATCAACCACCAAGACATGGGGGCTGATCCTGAAGCTGGAGTTGGAATCTCTGCTGGATTCAGCAGTTTCACACCAATAGATTTTTTTTTATTTCACTTTTTTTTTTTTTTGGCAGAGATAGGGTCTTGCTATGTTGCCTAGGCTGGTTTTGCACTCGTGTACTCAAGCAATCTTCCCAAAGTGCTGGGGATTACAGGTGTAAGCCCCCACACCCAGCCTTAATTATTTTTTCTTTCTTTTTTTTTTTTTTTTTTTGAGATGGAGTCTCGCTTTGTCGCCCAGGTTGGAGTGCAATGGCACCATCTCAGTTCACTGCAAGCTCCGCCTCCTGGGTTCACTCCATTCTCCTACCTGAGCCTCCCCAGTAGCTGGGACTACAGACGTCCACCACCGCGCCCAGCTAATTTTTTGTATTTATAGTAGAGAGAGGGTTTCATCGTGTTAGCCAGGATGGTCTTGATGATCTCCTGACCTCGTGATCCACCCGCCTAGGCCTCCCAAAGTGCTGGGATTACAGGCATGAGCCACTGCGCCCGACCTAATTATTCTTTTTAATCACTCCCTTAGGATAATGAAATGTCAATTTTTACCATAGCTCTTGACATGAACTACCATTCTGCTTTCAAAAACAGCTCTACTAATTTCATGTGAATATTAACTTTACCTAATCTTGTTAGCATTAAATTTTAAAATATTTAATAGGTATAAAATAGTTTCTCATTGTAGTTTTACTTTGGATTTTCATTATGCAAAATAATCTACTGGGTTAAGGCTTTTATAAATGTATATCTTTGTCAATGATTTCTTGTCTAAATAATTTTTAACTCAACTCTTCCTCTTTAACTACACTTGGACTGCTTCCAACCTTGTGTTTTTACAAACAATACCACAGTGAATAATCTTCTTTGTACATCATTTCGAATGTGTTCTGTTGCTATATCTGTAGGTCAGATTTCCAGAATTGAACTCCTGGAACAAAGGATAAGATGGGTAGTTACAGATGCAATTACCCTTATACAGGGACTATACCATTTTATATGCCCACCAGCAATATACCTGTTTCTCAACAACCTCACCATCAATGTGTTTTTATTTCTATAAATATGAAATACGCAAAATGTTAATTCACTAGAGGCTTAATTTGCACTTCTTTTTGCTCCTGTCACGCAGGCTGGAGTGCAGTGGCGTGATCTCGGCTCACTGCAACCTCCACCTCCTGGGTTCAAGTGATTCTCCTTCCTCAGCCTCCCGAGTAGCTGGGATTATAGGCATGCCCCACCACATCCAGCTAATTTTTGTATTTTTAGTAAAAATGGGGTTTTGCCATGTTGGCCAGGCTGGTCTCAAAACTCCTGACCTCAGGTGATCCACCTGCCTCGGCCTCCCAAAGTGCTGGGATTACAGGCGTGAGCCACCATGCCCCAGCCTTTTGTACGTATTTGAATCTGTCAATCTTTTCTTTCAAGGCTTCTGGGCTTTTGAGTCTTAATTACAAAAACCTTCCTATCCCATGGTTATAAAGGAATCACTCATATTTTCTAAATGTGCTTTTTATATTTGTTTTAAACATTTAAAATCTTTGATCCATGTGGACTTTTTCTTGGTATGTAAAGTAAGGTACTAATTTATCAAGTGGCTGTCAGTCGTCCTAACACCTTTTATCAAAAAGTCCCCCTTTATGGTTAGGCTTTGTGTCCTCGCCCAAATCTCATCTTAAATTGTAATCCCACATGTCAAGGAGACATCAGGTGAAGGTAACTGAGTCATGGGCGGGGGGGCCTTCCCCCATGCTATTCTCATGATAGTGAGTTCTCATGAGATCTGATGGTTTTATAAGGGGCTCTTCCCCCTTTACTCGTACTTCTCCCTCCTGCTGCCTTGTGAAGATGATGCCTTGCTTCCTCTTGCCTTTGCCATGATTTTAAGTTTCTGGAGGCCTCCCCAGCCATGCTGAACTGTGAGTCAATTAAACCTGTTTCCTTTATAAATTACCAAGTCTCGGACAATTCTTTATACCAGTGTGAAAATGGACGAATACACCAACTTTATCACACACTAAACTCCCATGTGTATTTGAGGCTATTTCGGGACTTTCTGAGATCACAGTCTTGTTCCAAGGGAAAAATGCTATTGGTATTGTTGAAAAAAAACACATCAAATTAATAAATCAACAAGAGGAGAAATGACCTTTTTATGATATTGTCTCCCTAGCCAAAAACATAGTATTTTTTTTTTTTGCTTTCGTTGAAATCTACTCTTGTCCTTTAGCCTTGTTTTAAAGTTTCCTCATAAATTTGCACATTTCTTGAGTTTATTCCTAAGTATTTAAACTTTCATGTTTCTATTCTAATGGGGCCTTCCACTGTATCTTCTAAATGACCCCATTTATATATGTGAAAGCCAATGATTTCTGTTTATTCACTTTATTTCCCACTACCTTAGTGAATGGTCTCATTTTTTCCCATGAGAGTACTTAAGACAAATAAATGTTCTTATTTTTAAGTTTTCTGATTACTCTGTTCTACCTATAAGGAAGTATCTGTTAACTATTTTGTTAAATGTTCTTATAAAGGAGAGGCTTCAATTTTGTCAAGTATCTTTTCAGTAACTATACAAGTAAACAAATGATTTTTCTCCTTTATATATAAGAAATATTAATAGATTTGTATTATTTCTGTTTTTTTAATTATTTTTTTTGAGATGGAGTCTTGCTCTGTCCCCTAGGCTGGAGTACAATGATGTGATCTCAGCTCACTGCAACCTCTGCCTCCCGGGTTCAAGTGATTCTCCTACCTCAGCCTCCAGAGTAACTGGGATTACAAGCACGCACCACCACACCCAGCTAACTTTTGTATATTTTTTTTTTAGTAGAGATGGGGTTTTGCTATGTTGGACAGGCTGGTCTCAAACTCCTGACCTCAGGTATCACCCGCCTTTGCCTCCCAAAGTGCTGGGATTACAGCCGTGAACCACTGTGCCCAGCATGGGGACTGGATTTCAACACGAGATTTGGAGGGGACAAATATCCAAACTATATCAGCAACCTTGCGTCAAAGGGGTAAAAACAAATTAAAATTGCATATTTTTTCTAGAAAACATTATACAGACCTTCATATTCATAGGTTCTGCATCTGAGGATTCAACCAACCAAGGATTGAAAATATTTGAGAGAAAAAAAAAGGATGGTTTTGTCTGTACATATTCAGTTTTTTTGTCATTCCCTAAACAATTTAGTATAACAACTATTTATGTAGCATTTACTTTGTATTAGGTATTATAATTGATCTAGAAATAAAATATATGGTAGGATATGTGTGGAGTATATGTAAATGCTACACCATTTTATATAATGAATTTGAGCATCCATGGATTTTGGTATCTGAGTGGGGGTCCTGGAACCAATCCCCCATGAATACCAAGGACAAGTGTATATCAGAATTTATGGTATAACCTAAAGTGATGCTCATAAGAGAGCTCATGGCTGTAAAAACATGTATTAATTTAGAAAAATGAGAATAATAAAGCCTCTGATTCAAAGTTAGAAAAACAATAGGATAAATTTAAAAGAATGAAGGTATTAATAAATACCAATTAGAAAGTAATGAGTTAAAAATAGAAAAAAACTAGTAAGATTTAAGCAAAAATAAACCAATTTCCATAGAGAAAATTGAAATTATCAAAAAAAGACTAGCCACCTACCCAAGAAAAGCACCAGCCTCAGACAGTTCCACAGAAAATTCTTCTAAACTTTTAAAAATTAAATAATTCAAATGCTAGGAAAATTTCCAGAGTATAGAAAAAGAAGGTTGGGAGGCCAAGGCGGGCAGATCACAAGGTCAGGAGATTGAGACCATCCTGGCTAACATGGTGAAACCCTGTCTCTACTAAAAATACAAAAAATCAGCCGGACAAGGTGGCAGGCACCTGTAGTCCCAGCTACTCGGGAGGCTGAGGCAGGAGAATGGCATGAACCGCAGGGGGCGGAGACTGCAGGAAGCCAAGATCGCACCACTGCACTCCAGCCTAGGTGACAGCGAGACTCCGTCTCAAAAAAAAAAAAGAAGGAAACTTCCAAATTCAAACAAGAGCGAAACTCTGTCTCAAAAAAATAAATAAATAAATAAAGACAGAGAAATCTGAGCCCCAGTGATGGAGGTGGGGCCTAGTCGGAGGTGTCTGCATCATGTGGGTAGATCGCTCATGAATGGCTTGATGCCACCTCAAAATAATAAGTGATTTCTCACTCTTAGTTCACTAACAATGTGGCTGTTTAAAAGAGCCTGGCACCTTCCTACTCTCTTTCTTCCTCTCTTGCCATGTGAAGTCTGCTCTCCTTCAACCATGAGTAGTTTCTTGAAGCCCTCACCAGAAGCAGACGCTGACGCCATGCTTCTTGTACAGCCTACAGAAAACTGTGAGCCAAATAAACCTCTTTTCTTTATAAATTACCCAGCCTCAGGTATTCTTTTATAGCAGCACAAAATGTACTAAGACAGTTGCTTAAGAGTTTTAAATTTTCCAGGTGGAAGGAACTTTAATTTACTGATCTTTATTATTAATTTCTAGTTGTACTGCATTGTGACAGATCCTACTTTATTTCTACTCCTTGGAATCTGAGTCTTTGTTTGTTGCCTAGTATTTAGTCAATTTTCTTCAATCTTGAAAAGGTGTATTCTCCTATCACAGCACACAGTAGCTATAATAAGAATTATCTTACTGAAAATCTGTTTAAGTGTTCTACGTTTTTCCTTATTTTTACGTGGTTCACTTGGCCAACACACACATTCTCTGTTTCCCTAGGTTATCAAGGACTGTTCTTTGATTCCTGCCACCACAATGTTCAATCCGTTATAGTTTTTCCTTTGCAAAAATTGGTTAAATGTTACTGTTTCAATTATCATCACCTATAAATTGATGGCTCCCCAATCCCTATATCCTCACATCTGAACTCCAATCCCCAATTTCCAAATATCTGGAGGATAATCTCATTTTATTTCCCATCATGGATTCAATCTCATCCAAAATCAATTCCACCTTCTTCACTACTCTGCCCCGGGTCCAAATCTTACCTCAGTCTTGCGATAGCTCATTATACCTATAAAAATTTCACACTGCTTATCGTTTGATGAATGACTTGTCTTACAAACCAAATTGGAAGATTACAAAAGGCAAGAATATAACATCTTCGTAACCTGATGAATACAATTCCAGAACCCAATCCTGCCTGAGGAAAAAACTAGTACATTTATGAAATGCTGGTAAATGACTAAGCTTAAGCCACCAGCTTCAGGGTACGGGTGGAGGAAGTGGGGAACAGAGGGTGAGGATTGGGTCTTAGGGGCCCTGAAGTGCATAGTCGAAGTGATCTTGGAGGCAATATATCCACTAACCAGTCACCCAAAATAAATGCCAGCTCTGCCCAAGACTCAGGAAAAACTCAGTGTTAATAAATCTGATCTTTTTATCCTTTTCTCTAAAATAAAGAAGATATCACATAGAGCAACCTGCGGGAAATTAACTACACTCATTACATACCAATACTTCTGACCATACGGTATAATTACAGCTAAGAGTTTGACAGTCATAATGGATTTCTGTCACCCCAGGCAACTTCTAAAACCTATTCTCTGTACAACTTCACCCTCAGAAACAAAAAGCCCTGAAGGCAAAGTAAAAAGTGTCCGGCACTCAGTAAAGACATTTGTGCGGGCCTCTGCCTCTAGGGTTGCAACATTTCTAGAGAAAAGGTAAAGCATCTCTAAGCAAATTATAGAGAGGCTGCTGCTTGATCAGTTCATACACAGCACTGGGGGACACTTGTCAACTATTACTGGGAAATGAGGACAAATAAAGAATGCCCCATTCACCAACCATACACGGAATTCATTGACAAAATTATGAGAAATGCATCTAGGAGACAGTACAGCCCTGGGCCATTACTGCAAATTCTGATGTCAGATTCCCTGAGTCCGAATCCCTGTTCCCCTACTTACAACTGTGTGAACTTTAGCAAATTTTGTAACCCCTCTCTGCCTCAGTTCTGTCACCTGTAAGGTGGCAGTAATTTCTATACCACTCAGTATTACTCTGAGAAGTACATGAGAGAATAAACACATGAAAAGCATTTGGACTAGTGCCTAGCATGTAACAGCATATAAGTGCTCATTAAGTGTTAAACATTACTTTCACCAATAGTGGAATATATTTTCACTTAGGCTAGTAGTCTTCACATCTATTGAACATCAAAAAGGGGAGGGGGATTACAAGAGTTAGTCATGTGTTCAATGAAAACATTCAAATATACCTGTTGAGAACAGAGTTCAGAAAATGGGTTCAGAACAGTTTCTATATCCACAGTTTCTATGTCTGCAGGTTTTCCCTACCTCTCCCCTCACTGCCCCCAAGATACAGGGAAAAATGGCCACCCACCCACAGCTGGAGTTCTGTGGCAAGGCTCTGCTACATTGAATAAAACAAAAGTAAAATAAAATGTGTGTGTGCACATAGGCTTACCAGGTGTGAATCGTCCCCCAAAGCTAAAGAGATGAAGGACATGCTTTTCCCAAAGCAAACAACCTGAACACACAAAGGCTGTGATTTCTTACCCAGTAACATCATTTCCCCGACACTGCTGTCATCTTCCTTCTCTGACGTGAGTTGTTGAGTAGGATCCAAGCTCACACATTCTTCCTGGCAGTGAAATACATTCAAATCCTCAAAGACCACCAGCTCCTGAAAGAGCAAGAGGCCCCTTTCATCTTAGTAACTGAGGTTCACTGACAGCCCTACTGGTAAGAAAAGCTGACACACAAAGATCAAGGGAAGGGATAGCAAGAGGGACCTATAAATCCCACAGAGGTGCAGCAAAGACAGGACAGCCAGGCTGAGAAGGGCTCAAGGAAAAAGCAGAAGAAAAACACCCAAGAAGGCCAACTCCTAAGAATGTGTTTTTACACACAGGTTGGCCAAG
Source organism: Homo sapiens (assembly GCF_000001405.40). Classification (NCBI taxonomy): domain Eukaryota; kingdom Metazoa; phylum Chordata; class Mammalia; order Primates; family Hominidae; genus Homo; species Homo sapiens. The sequence goes on from NC_000016.10 coordinate 3,232,786, forward strand.
CACGGAAGGTGATGGATTCAGGCAGTAAATGGGAAAACCAAACCCACCTCAGGGTTAGCTTTCAAATACAGAGACACTGTCTCTTGTTCCTTTTGGACTCCTTTGGGCAGAAGCTTCACCAAGGGACGAGGATGCACTGGGGAAAGAGGAAGGTTTAGTTAGTGAAAAACTCAGTGACTCTAACACAGAGACTCCCCATACCGCGAGGCCAGGCTGTCCTCATTCCTTTGACAGGTAACTCATGGCCTTTTCTGCTCCTGTGAGCCCTTATAGAGTTCAAGCCATAAACTCTAGGGTCTTGAACCTATGGCATCTCCCTGTTATGAAAAGAATGACTTCTCTAAGCACCTTTCAGAATTTCCCATAGAGTATTACTAAAGGAGAGCTTAGGGCAACGTAAAGTGTGAAGATGCCCAGAAAAAGCACAAAATTTCTAAAATTCCACATCAACCTAACTCAATAATTCATCTGATTTATCCTTAAAAGATATTTCCCTCAGAATGTTTGGGTAAAACTGACACTACAGAAAGATGCACACTGTTTATTCTGTGGCCTTACTCACACCCAGCACTTGAGAAGAACTTCCTCTTTCCAACACTAGAATTGACTCCTTTTCCAATATACACCATCCTAACTTGAATTTATAACTAACACAGAAACCTATCTTAGACTCCAGTACCTCCTCCTCCTCTTCTAGTGAAACAAGCATGTGCTTCTCACCTCTGTTCTGAAGGCTTGAGCTCACATCTTTCATAATAACCAAGGTCTCCTTGACTTTCTGACTGGGCTGGACCAGGCTTGGCTTGGGCAAGAAGGTGAGGAAGTGCTCCAGCACTAGCTGGTGGATGGTCTTGGGCCCGTTAGTGGCATCTCGAAGTAGGTCTTGGCCCAGCTTGGAGTCTGGCGGAACTCTCAGTATAAAGGACTGCTTTGGCTTTGGGGGCATAGGAACCACTTTTGCAGCCATCATGCCTTGCAACCACACACCACACTCGTTTCGCGGGGCCTCCAGAGCCACCTCTTACTAGAGGAAATCTGCCAGAGAGCCAAGCTGTAGACAGAGAAACCAGGGATTACCCAAAAGACCAGGCACGGCATTACTGCACTCCAATATGTGGCATGGCTGGTGAGGCTACATGAGATCTAAAGAAAACGACAGCTGGGATAGGGAAATCATAACTGAAACGCAGTATTTGAACAAGATATGCTTAGGAAGATGTGAAAGGAAGATCCTGAGAATGAAAAACAGAGACTGTGCAAACCTCAAGTCCAAAGGGAAGGGAGTAAGGGTGGAGCGGAGAAGGCCAAGGTCCAGCCTCCTGAGAAATACAAAGTGTGGCCAGGTACCGGTGGCTCACACCTGTAATCCCAGCACTTTGGAAGGCCCTGGCGGGTGGATCGCTTGAGTCCAGGAGTTCAAGACCAGCCTGGGCAACACAGCAAGACACCGACTCCATAAAAAAAAAAAAAATTAGCTGGGCGTGGCGACACAAGCCTGTGGTCCCAGCTACTGGGGAGCTGGGAGGATTGCTTGTGCCCAGGAGGTCGAGGCTGCAGTGAACTGTGATCGCGCCACTGCACTGCAGTCTGAGCGACAAAGCAAGACCCTGACTCTAAAAAAAGAAAGGAAAAGAGAAAGGAAAGAAGGAGGAAGGGAATCAGGGAAGAGAAAGAAAATAAAAGGAAAAAGAAAGAAAAGACAGAAAGAAAGACGGTGTGTAAAACCCACCAGGAATAGGTTAAATCAGGCTTGGAGAAAGAGCAATGGGCTAGAAGACAGGAAATCTGGGGTCAATACCGAGGACATCTGCCTAAAAGCAGGTTGGTCACTGAATCTGGCCATACTGTACCCCTCGAACCGAAGCTCCCTCCGGTGCCCTTTGGGCGGGGAGGCGGTTGGTGACTCTCCCGGGGAGCAGATGCAAGGCCGAGGAGGTGTCCACACACCGCCTGCCGACTCCTCTCCGCCGTCAAAGCTCTGCTGAGAGCGGCAGGCGACATCCCACTAAGGACCGCCGGGCCAGGCTCACTCTGGGGCCTCTTCCGCTGGTCAAGGAACACCTTTACCGTAAAGCTCAGCGTGCGCCCCTGCCTGAGGCGCTCACCAGGCTCCCTACCCGGCCTTGCTCCCTCAGCAACGGACACGCTCCGCTCCCCAGAGGCGGCCTCAGCCTGGTTCCCGCCCTCACGGAGCCCCTCACCTCTCGGGGCCTCTGCAGCCCCTGAGCGTTTGCTGGGGACGGCTCAGAGACTCAGGCTCCGGGAGAGATAGAAAAACTAGGCGCGAGCGGTCGAGCCCTCCCCTCGCCCTTCCGAGTGCCCTCACAGGTCGCCGGCGACTATTCGTTCGCGCCGCCGCCAGTTGAGGAGAACGGCAGGGACTCGGTGCCTTCTGGGAAGTCGGGCGCTCTGCGGCTGTGACGTCACAACCGGTGCCTTGTTTCCGGTGCAGAAGCCTGGTCTCCCCGTTCGGAGCCGGCAGTCTGCGCTTGAGACGTTAAGACTTGAGACAGGCCAGAGGAGCTCTCAGGGCCGGAGGGAGGCCAGGACGGCTGTAGCCTCTCTGTGGTTCTGCCTGGAAGACGGAAGGCAGGTGGTTGGCTCTAGTCATCCACGACGGGCTGGCACCTCTCCAGCTGCGGCCAGTCTAACCCCAGGGCCTGCTGGGAAATGTAGTTCGAATGCAAACAACCAATGGACGACCGTCAGGCGCGGCGGTTGGGGCGGGGCAGGCCCCCCCACCGCCCCACCCCCCGCCCACCCAGCGCCCGCGCTCCCCCCACCCCCCACCCCGCCACCCCCCTACCCCGCCACTCCCCCACCGCCCTACTCTCCCCACCCCCCACCCCCCTACTCTCCCCACCCCCCACCCCCCACCCCGCCACCCCCCACGGCGCCACCCCCCAACCCCCACCCCCCTACTCTCCCCACCCCCCTACTCTCCCCACCCCCCTACTCTCCCCACCCCCTACTCTCCCCACCCCCCTACTCTCCCCACCCCCCCACCCCCTACTCTCCCCACCCCCCTACTCTCCCCACCCCCCTACTCTCCCCACCCCCCCACCCCCTACCCTCCCCACCCCCCCACCCCCCTACCCTCCCCACCCCCCTACCCTCCCCACCCCCCTACCCTCCCCACCCCCCTACCCCGAGGCTTAAAGGAAGCAAGCTATCTCTCCGACCGGAAAATCAAGACGCCTCCGCGGTTTCCGCCTTTTACTGCGGTTCTCCAGTAAAAAGACTGCGGAGGCGGACAGGGTGTGGCCGCCATGGGACTCCGCCCCCGCTCTGGTGACTCCCATAGGTTAGAGATGGGGCACCGACATTGCCCACTCCAGCTTGCTAACTTCTACACTGCTGTCCGCACCGGCCGTCTTGTTTTTAAAGACATCTTAATTGCCCTTCTCCTACTGTCTCGGTTTCCTTTCTCAATTTCAGCTTCCTACGGAGGCCGAACAGAGTTTTGTGTTTGTGCGTTGTATCCACACTCGGTTCGTTCCCCAGTGACGCACTGATCAGGGTTCGGACAACTTGTGGGCAGGGATGGCCTTATTTCTCGATGTAATACCAGCCTCCAGAAAGTTGACAAAAGTAAAAATATAAATGAATGCCTCTTCTTAAAGTTAATTATACCTGACTAATGGCTGACGATGGCTTAAAATATGTTACAAAGAAACGAGTATGAAAACTGTGTGGCACCAAGACATTCTAGAAAAATAAGGAATATCTGCCTTTTCAGATCAAAATTTACTAAAAAGCCTCCGTTAATCAAAGCATTATGGTTTGAATTATGAGGCAAAACAGATAACTGAGATGTCTTGAAGTAAAATATAAACCTGTGTGATTGTATTTTTTAAGAACTTTTTCTTGACTCTGTTAACAAACAAGAAATAGACTGGAAGATAATTGTAAAGATTAGCTACACAAAAGATTATACATTCCTAAGACAAAATGAACCCCTGCCAACTGACAAAAAGCAAAGGCAATGAGGAGCTCTTCCCGAGAGGAGGAAAACTAATTGGTCATTAACATTTAAAAAGATGCTTAACCACACTACTAGTCAAGATTATCACTTTTAAAGGGAACCACATTTTTCACCTATCAAACAATGAAGGTGGAGAAATAGGCACTCCTTTCGCTGGTAGTGTGGTGTGTGAAGTCATCTTGTAATATATATTAAAATTAAAAGTACAAGTATGTACCCTTTGACCTTCACAATCTCATCTGTGAATCTGATGTCTACAAATTTCTTGTAGAATTCTTTGTAGTGACAAAAACTAGAAATGACATGCATGTTCATACGTAAGGAAAGGAGTAAATTGGTGCATTCATACTCTGGAAATTACCCAGCTATGAAAAAGAATGGATTGGAACTATATGTACACCTGGAGGGATGGCCATAAAATATTACATGAAAAAGTTTCAGAGCTACATATATTATGCATAATTATATTTTTGGAACAAACAAAACACCTTGTGTATGTTTGTGTTGAGGGATACACAATAGATTATTAAAATGGTTACTCATGGGATGGCCAGGCGCAGTGGCTCATGCCTGTAATCCCAGCACTTTGGGAAGCCAGAGGTGGGCTGATCACTGGAGGTTAGGAGTTCAAGACCAGCCTGGCCAACATGGGGAAACCCCATCTGTACTAAAAATACAAAAATTAGCCGGGCGTGGTGGCGGGTGCCTGTAATCTCATCTACTTGGGAGGAGGCTGAAGCACAAGAATTGCTTGAACCCAGGAGGTGGAGGTGGACGTTACAGTGAGCCAAGATCGCACCACTGCACTCCAGCCTGAGTGACAGGCACACCAGCCTGGGCGACAGAGTAGTAAGACTCTGTCTCTAAATAAATACGTAAAATAAAAATAAAATGGTTACTCAGAGGGAGGGAATGGAAATGGAGAAAAGGGAGAGATTACACTTTTTTTTTATTGTGTCACTTCATTTAATGAGCACGTCAATTTGGTAACTAAAAATAATAAAACCTTAAAAAAAAATAGAACAATAGGCCGGGCATGGTGGCTCATCCCAGCACTTTTGGAGGCTGAGGTGGGCAGATCATCTGAGGTCAGGAGTTCGAGAGCAGCCTAACATAGTGAAACCCGTCTCTACTAAAAAATACAAAATTAGCCGGGCGTGGTGATGCATGCCTATAATCCCAGCTACTCAGGAGGCTGAGACAGGAGAATCATTTGAACCTGGGAGGCAGAGGTTGCAGTGAGCTGAGATCATGCCACTGCACTCCAGCCTGGGTGACAGAGCAAGACTCCATCTTGTGGGGGCGGAAAAAAAAGAAAAAAGAACGATAAAGATTTTTTAAAACAATTTGATGGAAAAAAAGAACGATAAAGATTTTTTAAAACAATTTGATGGAAAAAAAAGAACGAAAAAGATTTTTTAAAACAATTTGATGGAATCCTGTTTTTAGAATCTAATCCGTAAAATAAATGACATAAATGGATTTGAAATGATACCATAAATTAAGGGTGTAAACACAATATGTATCTCTATAAATGCCTTTTAACATGAAAAGATGGCTATTGTCACATACAATTAAAGAAATGAAATTTAAAATAATAATTACAAAAATAATATTCAGTATTCTAAAAGCAAATTAATACAATTATTTAAGAGGGCAATATGACACTTCCTATTTTAAGAAGTAAACTGTTCATAAACTTTGTAATGGTCAATTCTCAACTCATTTTAAAGAAAAACTCACGCCTGTAATCCCAGCACTTTGGGAGGCCGAGGTGGGCGGATCATGAGGTCAGAAGATCAAGACTATCCTGGCCAACATGGTGAAACCCCGCCTCTACTAAAAATACAAAAATTAGCTGGGTGTAGAGGTACACGCCTGTAATCCCAGCTACTTGGGAGGCTGAGGCAGGAGAATAGCTTGAACCAGGGAGTTGGAGGTTGCAGTGAGCCAAGATTCTGCCACTGCACTCCAGCTCGGGTGACAGAAGGAGACTCCATCTCCAAAAAAAAAAAAAAAAAGGTTACATCATGATATGTTTATACAGTGGAAGCCAACAGAACCATTGAAAAGAGATACTTTAAGTGAAAAGGCAAGTTATAAAGCAGTATGTATAATAAGTCGTTTTAAAAATAAAATGTTAGGCTTTTTTTTTTTGAGATGGAGTCTTGCTCTGTTGCCCAGGCTGGAGTGCAGTGGCGTGGTCTCGGCTCACTGCAACCTCCATCTCCCAGGTTCAAGCAATTCTTCTGCCTCAGCCTCCTGAGTAGCAGGGACTACCGGCGCCCGCCACCACACCCAGCTAATTTTTGTATTTTTACTAGAGACGGGGGTTTCACCATGTTGGCCAGGATGGTCTCGATCTCTTGACCTCGTGATCTGCCCGCCTCGGCCTCCCAAAGTGTTGGGATTACAGGTGTGAGCCACCGCCCCCAGCCTAGGCTTTTTTTTTTTTTTTTTTAACTGGAGGAATATACAATAACAAGAGTTAACAGTTGCTTTCTAGAAATGTTGGCCGGGGGGGAGGGAAAGAGAGTTAATATTGGTTGTCTCTAAGGAGTAGGATTAGAAGGAATTTGTCACTTTTTATGTTTTATAAATCCATACATTTTCAAATAACAAGTGTTCCTTTTGTAGTTGAAAAAAACAACTATTTGAAAGGTGAGTTAATTTAGTATCTGATCATCTAGGAGTAAAACTAAGTGAAGAAAGAATTTCCTATTTAAAAGATCTTGAATGCAAATCAAAACTATAATGAGATACCACTTCACACACACTAGAATTACTATAATAAAAAATACCATAAAAATGTTATTGGTGAGGATGTGGAGAAAATGAAACCCTCCTATATTGCTGGTGGTCCAGCTACTTTGGAAAGGACCTAAAATGGTCCAGCTACTTTGGAAAACAGTTTGGCAGTTTCTTTTTTTTTTTTTTTTTTTTTTGAGACGGAGTCTCGCTCTGTCGCCCAGGCTGGAGTGCAGTGGCGGGATCTCGGCTCACTGCAAGCTCCGCCTCCCGGGTTCACGCCATTCTCCTGCCTCAGCCTCGTCAGTAGCTGGAACTACAGGCGCCCACCACCACGCCCGGCTAATTTTTTTTTGTATTCTTAGTAGAAACGGGGTTTCACCGTGTTAGCCAGGATGGTCTCGATCTCCTGACCTTGTGATCCGCCTGCCTCGGCCTCCCAAAGTGTTGGGATTACAGGCGTGAGCCACCGCACCCGGCCGGCAGTTTCTTAAAATAGTTACCATGTGAACAAGCAGTTCAATTTCAAGGTATAAACTCAAGAGAAATGGAAATGTGTGTTCACACAATAACGTGTTCACACTAGCCTAAAAGTGGAAACAACCCAATGTCCTGTAAGTGATCAGTGGATGAACAAGAAGTGATATTTACATGTAATCATATAATGGATTATTCAGTGATAAAACAGGATGAAAGTAGTGACACATGCTGCAACGTGGATGGGCCATGAAAACACACTAAGCAAAAGAATCAGTCGCAAAAAACACATATCGTATGATTCCACTTAACATCATATGTCCAGAATAGGCAAATCCATAGAGACAGAAAGTAGCCTAGTGGTTTACATGCTCTGGGGAATGGGGGAGAATGGGGAGTGACTGCTAATACATATGATAAAATGTTCTGGTATTAGTGGTGATATTTATACACACAATGCATATACTAAGAAACACTGAATTTTCCACTTTAAAAGGATGCATTTTATGGTATGGATTTAGAGCTCCATAAAATAACCACTAGGCAGAGAAATTTCATCAGACAGATTCAAATGTGTACTACCTAAAACATTTATGTTTTTGTTTTCCTTTTTTAATTTTTTTATTTTTTGAGACAGGGTGTTGTTCTGTTGCCGAGGTTGGAGTGCAGTGGCACAATCTCGGCTTACTGCAGCCTCTGCCTCAAAGGCTCAAGCAATTCTCCTGCCTCAGCTTCCGGAGCAGCTGGGACTACAGGTGCTCACCACCATGCCTGGCTAATTTTTGTATTTTCTGGTAGAGACGAGGTTTCGCCATGTTGCCCAGGCTGGTCTCGAACCCTGGATGCAAGCGATCTGCCCACCTCCGGCTCCCAAAGTGTTGGGATTGCAGGCGTGAGCCACCGCACCCAGCCTAAAACATGTATGAAGAAGTACAGCAAAACACGAAGTTCAATATGTAGATTCCAAATAGCAAGTATTCAAAGGAACTGTACAATTTCCATAGAATGAAGCAAAAAGCAGAAATTCACATGGAAAAATTCACAGCCTCATTAACAGGTAATGAAATAAAACAGAAGTAAGGCCTCATTACATCCCTATTAAATCAGCAAAAAAATTTTAAATGGCAGTCATTGCTTTGGGCATGAAATATTTTAAAAATCTTTGCAAAGGATGGTATGGCAACCCGTAGGAAGCATTATCAGATATTTCACATTCAGGAACCATTTTAGGAATAACACAGGAGAAAAAAATATGTATATGGTGAGGTGGTGGAAAATATACACAAAGATATTCATGAAAAGCTTATAACAAGGGAGAATCGGGAATAAGACATGACCCACCGCAGGGAACAGCTAAGCCGTAGGTCATGTGAACTGTCCTGGGATGTGGATTACTCTTATAGAATAAAACTCGTGGAGGAAAGCCCAGCAAGTTTACCTGCTCTCATCATAGCCATGGAGTATCTGAGTCTAATCTACACTCTAGTAGTGAAGACAGAGGAGTTGGCATAGGAGTTTGGAATTTAATCTTCATTTGATTTTTTTCTTCTTACATCCACTTTTTGGAGACAGGGACTCACTCTGTTGCCCAGGCTGGATTGCCGTAGTGCAGTCTCAGTTCACTGCTGCAGCCTCGATCTCCTGCGCTCAAGCCATCCTCCCACCCCCATCCCTATGGCTAATTTTTGTATTTTTTGTAGAGACGGGTTTTCGCCACATTGCCCAGCTGGTCTCAATCCCTGGGCTCAGGCGATCCACCCGCCTTTGCCTCCCAAAATGCTGAGATTACAGATGTGAGTCACCATGCCCGGCCCCTTTACATCTCTTTAAATGAAGGACAAATGCACGGGATGTGTGTGAAGTAGAACCTAATATTCCACAACCCGCAGATTTTCCCATACAAACCAAGACAGAATAATCTGACACTTGGAATACATGCCAAATGTTTTTCCATACAGTAGTCCCATCTGCTTCCTGAAATGCAGTCGGGAAATGGGATTCCACAGTGATTGAGTGACAAATGCAAATGACCAGATTTTCTAATTTTTTTATTCATGAGGCCCAGTCAATTCTCTTAAGAATCATGGCCCGGCATGGTGGCTCATGCCTGTAATCCCTGCACTTTGGGAGGCTGAGGTGGGTGCATCACCTGAGGTCAGGAGTTTGAGACCGGCCTGGCCAACATGATGAAACCTCATGTCTACTAAAAATGCAAAAAATTAGCCGGGCATGGTGGCGGGCGCCTGTAATCCCAGCTACTTCGGAGGCTGAGGCAGGAGAATCTCTTGAACCTGGGAGGCGGAGGTTGCGAGCCAAGATTGCACCACTGCACTCCAGCCTGGGTGACAAGAGCAAAACTTTGTCTCAAAAAAAAAAAAAAAAAAGAATCATAGGCCGGGCACAGTGGCTCATGCCTGTAATCCCAGCACTTTGGGAGGCTGAGGCGGGTGGATCACCTGAGGTCAGGAGTTCGAGACCAGCCTGGCTAACATGGTGAAACCCCCGTCTCTACTAAAAATACAAGAAAACCAGCCTGGTGTGGTGGCACGCACCTGTAATCCCAGCTGCTCAGGAGGCTGAGGCAGGAGAATCGCTTGAACCTGGGAGGTGGAGGTTGCAGTGAGCTGAGATCGTGCCACTGCACTCCAGCCTGGGCCACAGAGCAAGATTTGGTCTCAAAAAAAAAAAAAAAAAATCATAGTTCATTAATCCAGGTACACAAATACTTCTATCCCAATCCAGTCTGCTTGCGTTTCTCTAGGCTTCCCATATCCTCAAGACAGAAGCAGAGAGAACAAGGGGACATATATCCTTGCCGTGGGGTTCTGAGGGAAAATGAGGGCCAAATCTTCTGTTCAGGAGCACCTGAGAGTGCCACCCACCAGGGGCGGATTATGCAACGACTCCGTACTTCCTCCTCTGAAATCCATGGTGTGTCATCAGTACATGTCTTCACCCGGATTGACTAACATGTTCGTTCCTAACTTACCTCTGCTATAATCGGGTAGGCTCCGTGGGCACAGTAACTATTTTGTTATTTTTGCATTTCCCATAGCAGCTAGCACCTAGTCGGCATTCCGTGACTATTGAGTGTGAATGCAAGATACAAGGCCAGAAGCAGGAAGAGAGATGCAGTGTTGGGCATTCAGTCAGGCCCCTGACCACCCACTGGACAGATAGTCAGAGGAGCTGTGTTCTTCCCTCCATCACGTGTCCCAGGGCTGAAGATAGGTTGAAGGGGCCCAGAGAAAGAGCAGCTGGCGAATGTATAGATGTGGGATCTGGCTGTCACATTGTAAAAGGAGATGCTTCCAACTCTGTAGTCCACGAAGATGCCCACACGCTTGGGAGGCTCCTTTATTAGCAGGCGGGTCGGGGGAACGCTGGACGCCTGGTACTCATTTTCCTTCATCATTATCACCACCCAGTAGCCATTCTCTGGCGACAGAGTCATGTTCCCTTTCCTGCTTATGGATGTCTTGCAGGCTCCCAGGATCCATGCTGTCTTGTCTCCAACCTCCACCTCCCAGTAACGGCGGCCAGAGAGGAAACTCGGAGAGCCCAGAACAATGATACAGCTGTCAAATCTTTGCGGGCCATCAGGCAGCCTCTCCCACTTGTTTCCAAGTCTAACACTCTTCAGATCATCAGAGAAGATGAGGTTGGGGTAAGCGGTTTCTGCATCCAGAATCACATTAACTGCAAAGAAAATTTGAATACCTAGGTAGGGGTCCATGGGCAACATCCCTACAGGGTTCTCCCCACCTGCAGGAAACAGGGACAGGGTAGTTCTTCTGGAACGTGGTAGGGGAGAGCACAGGGATCCAGCAGGCCAGGGCCACTTGCCTTGATCTGGGCACTTACCAGCATGTGCCTGAGCGCCAATCAGCTCCGGAACTACGGAGAAAAATCAGATAGGGAAAAAAATCCTGAGCATTAGCATTAAGAGGGGCTAAATTACACTGTCCTGACAACAAGGAAAGACAAGGAACCCCCTGCTTAGGGCCCTGCATGCTATGTTGGGTATAATCCCGTTCCTCCCAGGAACCCAGGCCATGTTGGGGACTGTGGTCTAATGAGTCAACTCAGTCAATGAGTCACGCACAGAGCCTGGGGGGCCTGCCATGACCTTTCTCCTACCTTTGCTCCAGGTGTTTGGTTTTTTTTTTTGTCTTCTAAATAGGGCCCCTCAAGTCAACAGCACAAGGGAACACTGCAACAACCCCAGGCCAGCACACACCATTACCGCTGGACTCACCATTGAACATTTCCATTTCTGAACGCAGGGTTTCTAAAATGTGGGAAAGGGAGCAGAGAGAAGCTGGAGTTAGGTCCCTCAGCCAGGGACAGATGGAGGAGAGGTTGAAGGCAGGTCAGCAAGACCAGGGGAAGAGGAGGGAAGTGAGGGGCTCTGGGCTATGTGGATCTTAGGGAGGAAGTGAGCATGCACCTCCAATCTTCTCCCAAGCCCATCTACCTGAGAAGTACTTTGTGCTCTTCTCCACAAACTCTGACTTCTGGTGGAGGAGTTGGATCTTTTGTTTTATCTCTTGAGGAGTGGTCCACTTTTCAGGGACAGGCACTGTCTTAGCCCTAGAGACAAAAGACTGTTGACCAGAGAAGGCCGGAGCGAGGGGGTGGCCCAAGTACCCGTGAGCTGGAAATGAACTACATTCTCCACAGGGCACACCTAGCCCAGCCTGAGCTACACAAAGAAAAGTCTTCCCTGGATTCAGAGGTCTAAATGCTGGTCCTCAACTTTGGCCACAGACTGTCATGTACTGGGGTGCTTTAAAGACATGGATATCAAAACCACAAGGAGTTTTCAGAATGGACTTAAAATGACATTGATATTATCTACTAGAATTATCTATGTCAAATTGATTATACACCCCTTTCTTTCTATTGAAATAAAAAGATAATAAATGAAAAAAAAACACACACAACAAAATATCCCTTCACATCCATTAGAATGGCTATTATAAAAACAGCAACAACAGAAAAAAATAGACCAGGTATGGTGGCTCATGCCTGTAATCCTAGCACTTCAGGAGGCCGGGGCAGTGGGATCGCTTGAGCCCAGGAGTTCAAGTCCAGCTTGGGCAACATGGCGAAACCCTGTCTCTATTAAAAATACAAAAAAGTAGCCGGAAGTGGTAGCACATGCCTGTAGTCCCAGCTACTCAGGATGCCAGCTACTCAGAATCACCCGAGCCCAGGAAGCTGAGCCTGCAGTGAGCTGTGACTGTGCCACTGCTCTCCAGCCTTAGTGATGGGAGTGAGACCTTGTCTCAAGAAGAAAAGAAAGGAAGGAAGGAAGAAAGGAAGGAAGGGAGGGAGGGAGGGAAGGAAGGAAAGAGAAATGGCTGGGCACGGTGGCTCACGCCTGCAATCCCAGCGCTTTGGGAGGCCAAGGTGGGTGGATCACTTGAGGTCAGGAGTTTGAGACCAGCCTGGCTAATATGGTGAAACCCTGTCTACCAAAAAAATTAGCTGGGCATGGTGGCACGCTCCTGTAGTCCCAGCTACTAGGGAGGCTGAGGTGGGAGAATCCCTTGAACCTGGGAGGCAGAGGTTGTAGTGAGCCAAGATCGCGCCACTGCACTCCAGCCTGGATGACAGAGCAAGACGCTGTCTTCAAAAAAAAAGAGAGAGAGAGAGAGTGAAACAGAAGAAAATAAGTGATGGCAAAGATGTGGAGAAACTGGAGCCCCTGTGTGCTGCTGGTGGGAATGTGAAGCGATGCAGCCCCTGTGAGAATTAGGATGGTGGTTCCTCAAAAAAAATTAAACACAGGATAACCACATGGTCCCGCAGTTCCACTTCTGGGTAGGTACCCAAAATAACAAAGCAGGGTCTCAAGCAGATATTTGTACACCCTTGTTCATAGCAACATTATTCACAAACCAAAAGTTAGAAGAAGTCCCGATATCCATGAATGGATAAGCAAAATGTATGAACACACACTGGACTATGATTCAGCCATAAAAAGAAAATAAATTCTGATACACGTTACAACACGGATGAAGCCCGAAGACATTATGCTAAGTGAAGAAGCCAGACACAAAAGGACACCGGGATTTTGTAAAGCTCCCAGGTGATTTTAAGGCTTAGCCTCTTCCTGTCCCTTCCCTCCCCTCCCCTTCCTGCTGGGCTTAGCCCAGCTCCACTCCAAACAAGCTTCCCAAGGCCACCAGTAGGCCTGAAGGGGCAGCTTTCATCAGATGAACTGCACGGGACACAATGCACTCGGAAGGTTTCTTAGGGAGCCTCCATCTTGTTTCAGCAGGATGGGCTGAATTCACCCTTCCCAGTCTGCAGCTCCATACCCGGCCAGCCTCCCTGCTGACCAGATGCCCTTCTCCCTATCAAATCCAGAGAGGCTTTGGGAAGCTGCAGAAAAAAGGAGGAGTCTGGAATCACAGACCCCGGGGTTGGGAACATCTCCCTCCCAGGTCCCTTCTGGGACTGTCTCCCCCATATGCTTTCTGCAAGACACCCCAGGGTACACCACAGGACCTCGCTGTACCTGTGCAAGATGTCTCCAATGTCCTAGGAGAAAAAAGAAGGAAACTGTCGGTTACCAGGCTCCTAGTGGCTGGGCTGACTCCTGGCCTCTACTTCTGGGCTCCTGGACTTTTAGCTCCCCGCTGCACTTACCAGGGCTCCCTGCCCTAGGGTGTCAGTGGAAGTGGAGCACCTTTCTTCAAGTCTAATTCTAACCACGGGAATTCAGGCATCCCAGGTGGCGAGGCCTGCAATGGAACGGCCCTCAAGCCCTGCTGATCCCTTCTGGGAAATGGCAGAGATCCCCTGGATACCAGGCCACCCTGGGCTCCTGAGAGACCTCATCAAAGGGGTCTGGGCACAAGAGGCACTGTGGGTCACCAAGACCAAGTCCTATCCTAGGCCTTAGGGGCTTCACCCACTTGTTCCAGCACGGCTGATGGCAGAGCTGGGAGCCTGAGGCATCCTGATAGGCACAGGGGACCCAAGAAAGCCGGGCCCAGGCACACCCACCTGCAGAAGTTCCCATTCTGACTGGCACTCCTTGGCCTCCAGTTCCCCAATCAGCGCATCGAGCAGGGCGATGTCCTGGGATACGCGGGTGTCATATGCCTTCCTGATCTGCCCAACCATCTGGCCCACGTCCTCCAGTGAGGCCACAAAGAAATGCTCTTGCTGCTCCAGGAAGTAGTACACCTGCTCCAGCTTCCTCTGCACCCGCTGCTTCAGCGCTTCAGTTTGTTTCTGGGGAGCAGAGGACAGGGAGGTATGGGGGTCTGTGCTGTGGGTGGACGTGGATGTCCAGGAACCCCCAGAAGCCCACCTCCTGGAGGTGGATAAGAGGTGGGCTTATGCTGCCTCTTCAAGGCCTAGATTCCAGAGCAGGAGGCGATATTGTCTGGAACCTTCCAGAAAAGACTGAGCATGGCTGGGGCTAGCTCTGGGAAAATGTCCTTAAACCTGGTGTTAAGGTTTAACTGTGTCCCTTCCAAAATTTACACGTTGAAGCCCTAACCCCCAGTACTCAGCATGTGATCTTATTTGGAGATAAGAGTTCTTGCAGATGTAATTAGTTAAGATGTGGTCCTACTGGGATTGGGTGGGTCCCTAATCCAATATAAATGTTGTCTTATAAAATGGGGAAATTTGGGCTGGGTGCATTGGCTCATGTCTGTAATCCCAGCACTTTGGGAGGCTGAGTTGGGCAGATCACTTGAGATCAGGAGTTCGAGACCAGCCTGGCCAACATGGGGAAACTCTGTCTTTACTAAAAATACAAAAATTAGCCAGGAGTGGTGGCATGTGCCTACAGTCCCAGCAACTCGGGAGGCTGAGGCAGGAGAATTGCTTCAACTGGGGAGGCGAAGGTTTGCAGTGAGCCGAGATTGCACCACTGCACCCCAGCCTGGACGACGGAGTGAGATTCCATCTCAAAAAAAAAAAAAAAAAAAAACCCTAAAAAACAAAAAAACCAGCCCAGGCACGATGGCTCACACCTGTAATCCCAGCACTTTGGGAGGCCGAGGCAGGTGGATCACCTGAGGTCAGGAGTTTGAGACCAGCCTGGCCAACACGGTGAAATCCCGTCTCTACTAAAAATACAAAAATTAGCCAGGCGCGGTGGCAGGCGCCTGTAATTCCAGCCACTAAGGAGGCTGAGGCAGGAGAATTGCTTGAACCTCGGAGGTGGAGGTTGGAGCAAGCCAAGATCGTGCCACTGTACTCCAGCCTGGGTGACAGAGCGAGACTCCATCTTGGAAACAAAACAAAAAAACAGAGAGTAAATTATGAAGTTAAAAGTGTTCTTGGCCGGGCGCAGTGGCTCACATCTGTAATCCCAGTACTTTGGGAGGCCAAGGCGGGCGGATCACGAGTTCAGGAGTTCGAGAACAGCCTGACCAACATGGTGAAACCCCATCTCTACTAAAACTACAAAAATTAGCCAGGCATGGTGGCACTCACCTATAATCCCAGCTACTCAGGAGGCTGAGGCAGGAGAATCGCTTGAACCCGGGAGGCAGAGGTTGCAGTGAGCCAAGATCACACCACTGCACTACAACCTGGGTGACAGAGCGAGACTCCGTCACAAAAAAAGAAAGTGGCGTTCTCCTCCCTTTTCCTCAATCCCATCTTTCTGCAGTAGTCACCGGCATAGGTTGCTCTCTACCATCTTCTGGTGAGTATGAGAAAGCATGACAGGATCCTCAGAGGTGACCCCTGCCTGCTGGGGGTGGTCTCCCTCTACAGGGATGAGCTTACCCTTGGCTGCTGGTTACCCTCTGTCCCCTGAGAGGAGGTGGCCATCCCTGCTGCCCTGTGAACCACAGCAGAATCTCGGGGACCCCTGCTCACTCTTCCCACCTTCCTCCCAGGGACGGATGGGCCATCAGCCACCTCTGACCTTACCAGAAAGCTCACTGCCTTCTCCTCCCCATAGGATCGCTGCTCCTCCCCTGATTTTCTCAGCTTCTTCAGATGCTCCAGCTGCTTCTGAATTTTCTTCTGGAAAAACAGCACTTGTTGAAAAGCTTGAATTTGGCTCCTGCCATCTTTAGCTGGTGCCAACTCTGGAGGGGAACATCTCCTTCTGGTAGCAAGGCTGAGGGTGCTGCTGCCAGCGGCATGGGGAGGGGTGCTCAGGAAAGAGGAGGGAGGAATGGCTGAATTGCCAAAGGCAGCAGAGCTGAGAGGCACTTCCTCTGAGCCTCTGGATTCAGCCATACCTGAAGCCAGCTCCCCCTGGATCTCTGAGCAACATAAACCTGTAGCTCCCCTCTTTGCTGGACTGGTTTATATTGTGTTCTTGCCATTTCCAGCCCAAGAATGCTGGTTAATGCACCAACAACCCAGAGTTGTTGGGAAAATGAAGTAAGGCCCAGTGTGTCCAAGTGCCTGGCAGAGAAGAGCCCACAGGCAGGGAGTGCCTACCTTGTGTTCCAGGGCGACCTCCTCAATGGGGCGCACCCGGTGGCCTTGGTGCTCCTGACTCAGACTGCAGATGAGGCAGATGGGCTCATCGTGATCCTCACAGAAGAGCAGCTGGACCTGCTTCAGGTGGCGCTTACACTGTGGCAGGGGCTGGGGGCTTAGGCTTCCCGGGCTCTTCCTTTCATGGGAGTCCTGGCACCGGGGGCAGCCAGGTGAGCGGCTGCCTGAGGCCTGGGGGTGCCCAGAAACTGCCTCGGGGAAGCTGCAGGAATCACGCACACAGGTACCGTCAACTGGGTCTCCTTCCTGGGCGTGGCAGCGGGGACTCGCAGCCGTGTCTGGTGGCCTTCCTGGGGACATGCAGTGGAAAAACCCCCTGAATGGCAAACCCAAGTTGCTTACACAGAGGTATCACAAAGCACAGCGGACACAGCCCTTGCCTGAGATGTGCGAGTTCTCAGTTAGACTCTGCCCACTTCCTAGCTTGTCCTCCCCCGACTTCCATCCAGTGAGGAAGCAAACAGGCCACTGGGCCTGAGAGCTAAGGGCCAGACCTCAGACATTCCTGAGCCTTGGAATTCTTGGGCATTTATCCTAAAGAAAGACCCATGGCCTTGTGCTGTTCCTCCTGCACAGACATAGATCTAGCAGGTGATGCCAAGGAAAGAGACATTCTGACCAGTGTTCCTTTGCCACTTGAACCCATCCCTGGCTGCCCATAACGTGAGTGGAGGCTTCCAGGGGATGGTGACTTGTGTACCTCGCTCCTAGCTGGATCCCAGCCCCTAGCAGAGTACCTGGCAAATGCAAGCATTTGGAAAATGAGTATTGAATGAAGGAATAAATAGACCACTGCTCACATATGAGTTCAATAACCATTAAATGAAAGCAAAGAAGGGGCTGGGTGGTGGCTCATGCCTATAATCCCAGTGCTTTGGGAGGCCAAGGTGGGAGGACTGCTTAAGCTCAGGAGTTTGAGACCAGCCTGGGCAACATGGCAAGAGCCCACCTCTACAAAAAATTAAAAAATTAGCCAGGTGTGGTGGTGCACACCTCTAATCCCAGCTACTTGGGAGGCTGAGACAGGAGGATTGCTTGAACCTAGGAGGTTGATGCTGCACCACTGCACTCCAGCCTGGGCAACAGAGTAAGATGCCATCTTAAAAGAAAAAGCAAAGAAGGGGGGCATTATAGGGCTAAAGACTGGAACTCATCATGAAGACCTAACAGTTATGAATAGCTCTACTCCAAGACTCTAATTGCAACTTCATAAGCAGACATGCCACGAGATACAAGAAGAAATAGAAACACAAGGCCGAGCGCAGTGGCTCACGCCTGTAATCCCAGCACTTTGGGAGGCCGAGGCGGGTGGGTCATGAGGTCAGGAGTTCAAGACCAGCCTGGCCAAGATGGTGAAACCCTGTCTCTACTAAAAATACAAAAATTAGCCGGACGTGGTGGTGGGCACCTGTAATCCCAGCTACTCGGGAGGCTGAGGCAGGAGAATTGCTTGAACCCGGGAGGCGGAGTTTGCAGTGAGCTGAAGTTGCGCCACTGCACTCCAGTCTGGGTGACCAAGAGAGACTCCATCTCAAAAAAAAAAAAAAAAAAAAAAAGAAATAGAAACACACTCAATCCTTTAGCCCCTGCTACCTCCTCCCACCTCACAGTGTCCCAGAAATTCACAGCACATCTGTAAATGAGACTGCTAGTAGTCACCAGAAATTATTCTCCCTCCTTCTCTCGTGATAGAATTAATTGTCCACGTTTCCCTGTTTCCCTGCCTCCCATTGCCCCCCAAATGCCCTGCATTTCTCAGCCTCCTTTGCAGTTAGGTGTGGCTATTTGACAATAATATGACCAAAGGGATGTAAATGGAGGTGTCACAAGCAGCTTCTAGAAACTTCTAGAGCTTTCCCGAGGGATACTATTCCCCTCTGTTCCTCCATCTTGCTGCCTGGCATGAGGACGTCACCTTCTGAGAGCAGAAGCTTGAGGACAAACTTGGTGGGACAGAGCAACAGCAGGACCCCAGGGTCCTGGCCCACGGATCTGCCTGGGACCGCCTGTGTATCATTTATGTGAAGGAGGCACAAACTTCTTTTCTGTTGAGGTTACTGTTATTTGGGTGTTTCTATTATTCACAACCAAACATAATTTTAATGACTACCTCAGCAGTAGATAGTTAGGACTTTAGCCAATAGGCTTTTCTTTCTGCTGAGAGAAAGGCAAATGGTAGAATCTCAACCCCATGATGATGCATTGCTGTGAGGTTATTGTGAGAGGGAGTATTTTTAACCAGTCTTCCCCAGATTTTCTACCTGGTGTCCATAAACCCCTTGGATTCTAAAGATGGTCTTCAGAGTGTCCAAGAACTACCTGAAATTTGATGTGACATTTGTGAAGCTGTGCATATATGCATTTTTCAGGGTCTAAGCCTGCATCAGATTAACGAAGCGGCCCTAGAAGACACCCAGGAATCCCAATGATATAAATACAGTGGGGACCTGGTGCAGTGGTGCACACCTGTAATCCCAGCAGTTTCGGAGGCAAAGATGGGAGGATTGTTTGAGATCAGGAGTTCGAGACCAACCTGGGCAACATAGCAAGACCCCATATCTAAAAAAAAAAAAAAATTAAAAAAAATACAGTAGGGATAAAAGAAAATTAGGGGGGAAATACTTCAGTACTTTTCAGGTCACTATTCCTAAGGATGCTAGGTTTTCCAGATCCCAGGGTCCTTTCTCACTGGAAGACCCAGGGACTTCTGGATTTGAAGACTCATGCAGCATACCACATCCTTTCCCCTCCCAGGTCTCAGGGGTCCCTGGACTCCCAATTCTTTTTTTTTTTTTTTTTTGAGACAGAGTTTTGCTCTTGTCGCCCAGGCTAGAGTGCAGTGGCATGATCTTGGCTCACTGCAACCTCTGCCTCCTCGGTTCAAGCAATTCTCCTGCCTCGAAGCCTTCTGAGTAGCTGGGATTATGGACACCCGCCACCACGCCCAGCAAATTTAGTATTTTTAGTAGAGATGGCGTTTCACCATGTTGGCAGGCTGGTCTCGAACTCCTCACCTCAGGTGATCCGCCCCCATTGGCCTCCCAAAGTGCTGGGATTACAGGTATGAGCCACCGCACCCGGCCTGGACCCCCAATTCTATTTCTCCTCCTTGAGTGCTGTGATTTCTCCTCTCCAGCCAACAATGCATTGGAAAGTGTGTTCCATAGGCTGGGTGTAGTGACTCACACCTGAAATCCTAGCACTTTTAGAGGCTAAGGCGGGGGATCGCTTGAGCCCAAGAGTTCAAAACCAGCCTGGGCAACATAGACAGTCCTCGTAACTACAAAAAATACAAAAAAAAAAAAAAAAATTAACCAGGTGTGGTGGTGAGCACCTATAGTCTCAGCTACTTGGAAGGCTGAGGTGGGAGGATCGCTTGAGCCTAGGAGGTTGAGGCTGCAGTAAACTGTGCTCACACTACTGCACTCCAGCATGGGAGACAGACTGAGACTCTGTCTCAAAAAAAAAAAAAAAAAAAAAAAAGGAAAGTGTGTTTCTGAATGCTGCCCCCACCACGAGCATGGAATTGTCACCTGGATAGCCTCGGTACCCTCTAAACTGGTGGCATTTTTCTTTTACAGTTTTTTTTTAGTCTCTTTACCTATAGGGACAGCTGCTTAAAAAAATCCAGATGGCCTGGAGCCTCCTGATCCCTTGCCAAAAACCAGAGGAAGTTAAGATCAGAGCAAAACCAGTGCAAACTGGAAGAGGTGACTTCCAGTTACCTTAAGATCATTTACACATTGTTATAAGGCTAAAGGTCCCTCCCCTAAAAGAAGATGGCCAGGGTTTTGTGTCCATGCGATGTAGGAAGAAGCATGCTGGGGACAGCGCCTGCACATATGGAACCCTGCCCTGGGCCTGCTTACCTATCTCCCTTCCCCTCCCTGGACTCTAAAATCGCCCTGCCTCCCATCCCTGGCAAGCAGACGCCTGCAGAGGTGAGCTCCCCTTCTCCATTCTTTGGCCACTGATAACACCTGATTGCCTTTTTCAATCGGACATTCTTTCTTTCTTTTTTTTTCCCCCCAAAATGTTTAAGAGACAGGGTCTTGCTCTGTTGCCCAGGCCGGAGTGCAGTGGCACATCCTCAGCTCACTGCAGCCTGGAACTCCCTGGCTCAAGCAATCCTCCTGCCTCAGCTTCCTGAGTGGCTAGAATTACAGGCGTGTGCCACCATACCCAGCTAATTTTTTTTTTAGTTTTGTAGAAGTGGAGTCTGGCTACGTTGCTCAGGCTGGTGTGCAGTGGCATGATCTCAGCTCACTGTAGCCTGGAACTCCGTCTGCTCAAGTGAACCCGAGCAGCTGGGACTACAGGCGCGTGCCACTATTGTATTTTGTAGAGATGGGGTCTCACTGTGTTGCCTAGGCTAGTATGGAACTCCTGGGGTCAAGAGATCCTCCCGTGCAGGCCTCTCAAAGCTCTGGGATTACAGGCGAGAGCTACCACGCCCTGCCCAACCTTTGGGTTTTTATTTTTTTAATTTCGTTTATAGAGATGGCGGGGGTCTCACTACATTCACCAGGCTGGTCTCAAAGTCTTGGCCTCCAGCAATCCTCCCGCCCTGGCCTCCCAAAGCGCTGGGATTACAGGCATGAGCTATCGTGCCCGGCCAGCCATTCTTTCTCTGCAGCCGATATAAAGTAGGAAAGAACACAATTTACCGGTGACCGAATGTTCTGGATTTCCAGGGCCTTCCTTCAGGTCCGCAGATGCCCCTCCATCCGGAGTGGGCCTTGCCCGGGGTTCTGTTGCCGAGTCCAGATTCGCAGCTGTCTTTTCCTCTAGAGTCAGGAGAATTTCTGGATTTGCGGGCGCCTTCTCCCCTGTAGAAATGGTGACCTCAAGGCTTCTAGGTCGCATCTTTCCCGAGGGCAGGTACACTTCGAAGGGCCTGCACTCCTTCTGCCCCGGGGCGCCCCCCGCCAGCCCCTGCAGCCTCCCCGCGGAGCTGGCGTTTCTGCGCAGCCGGACCTCGGCCTGGCCCCCCTCTAGCGCCCTGCAGGGGCCGGGGCTTCTCCCGCCCGGCAGGGCCGGGCTCCGGGTCCGAGGCTTGCCCTGCGCGTCCAGGCCCTCCGAGGCCTTCTCTCTGCGTTTGCTCAGGGGCTTCCTCGACAGCCCCCTCCCGGCCTCGGGCTGGCTGCACCGCAGGCTGGCAGCTCCGCCCCCGTACGGCCGAGGGCCGTTCCCCTCGTTCCCCTCGGGGTGGTCTGGAGTCTTCAGGCTCCTGGGCTTGTTCTCCCCCAGGGAGCTGGACGCTGCGGAATCATCTGTGCCGTTTTCTTGTGTGGAATATTCTGGAAGGACAACCAGATGCAAAATGATGAAGCTGTCCCACGTTTAGGGCCCAAGATTCAGGGCAGAGGAGAGAGAATCCCCTTGGATATTAAAGTTTAGAAATTGAGGAAAACAACGGGCCGGGCGCGGTGGCTCATGCCTGTATTCCC
Organism: Homo sapiens; assembly: GCF_000001405.40. Classification (NCBI taxonomy): domain Eukaryota; kingdom Metazoa; phylum Chordata; class Mammalia; order Primates; family Hominidae; genus Homo; species Homo sapiens. The sequence goes on from NC_000016.10 coordinate 3,254,941, forward strand.
GGCACTCTGGGAGGCCGAGGCGGGAGGATCACCTGAGATCAGGAGTTCAAGACCAACAGGGTGAAACCCCGTCTCTACTAAAAATACAAAAATAAGCTGAGCGTGGTGGCGCATGCCTGTAATCCCAGCTTCTCCAGAGGCCAAGGTGGGAGGATCATTTGAGGTCAGGAGTTCGAGACCAGCCTGGCCAACATGGCAAAACCCCGTTCCTACTAAAAATAAGAAACTCAGCCAGACGCGGTGGTGCGCACCTGTAGTCCCAGCTACTCGGGAGGCTGAGGCATGAGAATCGCTTGAGCCCGGGATGTGGAGGTTGCAGTGAGCTGAGATCGGGCCACTGCACTCCAGCCTGAGTGACAGAGCAAGACTCCATCTCAAAAACAAAAGTTCAGGACTTCCTAGACTAGACAATGGCAGTCAATTACCATTCAGTAAGAACATGCTTGATGTTGCTATGTATTTCTCTCTCTCTTATTTTATTTTTTGAGACAGGATCTTGCTCTGTTGCCCTGATGTGATCTCAGCTCACTGCAACCTCTGCCTCCCAGGCTCAAGCAATCCTCTCACCTCAGCCTGTTTTCTGTTTTTTCAATAGCTGAAAATACAGGTGTGTGCTACCACGCCTGGCTCATTTTTTTGTATTTTTGGTAGAGACAGGGTTTCACCATGTTGCCCAAGCTGGTCTCAAACTCCTGAGCTCTAGCAATCCACCCACCTTAGCCTCCCAAAGTGCTGAGATTATTTATAAGTGTGAGCCACCATGCCTAGCCTATATTTCTCAAATAGTACTTTTCAAACGTTTTAAGCAGGACAACTGTTTCAAATAAGATCTTACACAGGTCAGCAAAACCCAGATTATACGCTTTAAAAATAAAAATAAGCCGGGCACGGTGGCCTATGTCTGAAATCCCAGCACTTTGGGAGGCTGAGGCGGGAGGATCACTTGAGGTCAGGAGTTCGAGACCAGCCTGGCCAACATGGTGAACAGCACTGAGAAGATTCTATACCAACCCCGTTCATATGATTGCATAGCAATCCCTTTTTGCTAACCTAGAGATGTTTGTCTGACATGAGTATTAATCATAAATGTAGTGAAGAAGTCTCAAAGAACAGGTGTTCCAGCTCCTGCCTTTCGTGACCCTGACCTGCTTCTTAAAAAACCCATTAGGAGCCTGAAGGAAGTTTACTAACCCAGTTCCAAAGGCCAGAGTGAAGAAAGGGACGTTCCTGAACTAAAGTCATCTGGATTTTGGTAGACCTGAGACTCCCAATCCCCAGGTCAGAGTGAGCTGCTCTGAGCTCCTGGTCCCCTTTCCCACAAAGCAGCCAGCACTCAGCACTGGATGAGGAGGAGGCCTGGGCCCGCTTACCCTGAATGGCTGCCCTGTGGAGCTCCTCGGCCAGCAGGCGCTGGTTGATGGCCCGCAGGACCTGCAGGGTGAGCTGCACGGCGTACTCTTCCCCATAGTAGGTGACCAGCAGAGTGGCCATCTTCACCGGCCTGGCTCTCTGGATCTGGCTCCGGGGGATCCTGGAGTGCTCCTTCTGCACACTGGTGTTCTGCAGCTTGAACTTGAACTTCTCGAAGTCATAGGGCACCAGCTCCTCCAGGGTGGACAGCAGATGGTCACTAGGGGTCTTAGCCATGGTGCTGAGCAGGAGAGGCTCGAGCCAGCTGTCTGGCTTCTGGTAGGAAAAGAAGCCTCTGTCCTTGGTGAGCAAGAAAAGGCAGGTTGTGAAATAGCGGAAAAGGCACAGGAAATGCTCTGTGTCTTGGTGGGAACTGAGACTAAGGGTAAGGGTGTGTCCATGCCGGCTGTGTTCTCTTCTTACAGGTTCAGAGGATTTTCCAGCTGGGAGGGCTCCATGCCTTGGCAGACATGTGCCCCCACACCCCTCCCAAACCCTGGACCTCGCCTCCACACTAGACCACAGACAGATGGGCAAGTCTGCAAGGGAAGGTCTGGGATTGGATTCCAGACACCCCCTCCAATCTTCCTTCCTGCCAGGATCTGGGGCTGGCAGAGCGGGTGAGTGGGAACAGAGAGGACTATGCTGAGGGCCCGCCCTGCTGGTCAACTGTTCTCCTCCAGACTCGGGGTTTCAGGGACCTTCCAGAGCCAATGGCACAGGACGGGGGAAGGGGTGGGCACTGAATACAGTCCTGTGAGCTTTGCCTTTCCTGGCCCAAGAAGGCAAGTGAGGCCAGAAGGGCACTGCCAGGAGATAACTCTTGCCATGCCATCACCCCTGTTGATCCGGTTCCAGTTGACTGGTTCTTCCAGCCACATGAAGGACTTGAAAAGCAATGCCTGGACCACCAGCCTGACTCATCTGTTCCCAGAGCTGACTCAGTCCTCGCTCCCTGGAGCCAGAATGCTCTTCCGTGCACATTCATTGAACATTCTAGACAGTGTGCCAAGATGCTGGAGCTACACGGGTGAAAAGGCACGGGTGTCCTTCAGCTCATATGTGGTGCAGGGCCCCAGAGGTGGCTTTGAAGCTAACAGAAGTTACATGTTGGGGGCAGGGCACAGTGGCTAACGCCTGTAATCCCAGCACTTTGGGAGGCCGAGGTGGGTGGATCACCTCAGGTTGGGAGTACAAGACCAGCCTGGCCAACACAGTAAAACCCCATCTCTACTAAAAATACAAAAATTAGCCAGGCATGGTGGCACGCACCTGTACTCCCAGCTACTCAGGAGGCTGAGGCAGGAGAATCACTTGAACATGGGAGGCAGATGTTGCAGTGAGCCGAGGTTGCGCCATTGTACTCCAGCTTGGGCGACAGAGCGGGACTTTGTCTCAAAAAAAATAAATAAATGAAAAATTACATGTAGGGTGAACTGACTCCTCACTTACCTACTTCTGACCGTTGCATACCCTAATTTTTTTATTTTTAGATAGGGTCTTGCTCAGTCACTCAGGCTGGAGTGCAGTAGTGGGATCTTGGCTCACTGCAACTTCTGCCTCCTGGGCTTGAGCAACCCTCCAACCTCAGCCTCCCAAGTAGCTGAGACTACAGGTGCATTCCACCACATCTGGCCAATTTTTGTATTTTTTATAGAGACAGGGTCTCACTATGTTGCGCAGGCTGGTCTTGAACTCCTGATCTCAAGCGATCCACTCGCTTTGGCCTCCCAAAGTGCTGGGATTACAGGTGTGAGCCACTGCGCCCGGCCAGAAGTTTTGTTAATAATGCAATTTACCCTTCACCAGCACTTCCTCGGCACCAGCCACCACTAGCTTTATAAACACTTCCTCCTAGAATCTCTGCAGCACCCTGCAGGGCTGCGTTTATCATCCCCCTGTGCAGCCAAGAATCTGTAGCTTAGTGACTTGCCTAGAGCCAAGATCCAAACGTCAAACCACTTCACAACATCGTCTCCTGCATGACAATAATTTGTGATTTTACTGTTAATGACTACCCATGGATGTCACATTTCCAGCTGACCACTGAGGTCCAGGATGGGTCACTTCCACAGGTCAGTCACAACATTGCGACGCCTAGCTGAACACCCAGCTCTGGGTGTGAGCTCCTCTGTGTGTGCCCAGCCTGGGATTCAAGGCTTTGATGAGTTCTGGTTGGTTGAATTTAACTTACTGTCCAGCTGGTCCACCTGTTTCCTATTTCACAGAGTATTTGGTGTTTTTGCATTGTTTTCATAGCTGACAACAAACATGCAGTTTGCTAGATCTTTCTGAGCCCAAACCCAACATCTTCCCTAAAAAAAGGGTGAATTGGGCTGGGTGTAGTGGCTCACACCTGCAATCCCAGCCCTTGGGAGGCTGAGACAGGAGGATTACTTAAGCCCAAGAGTTTGAGATTAGCCTGGGCAACATAAGGAGACCCTGCCTCTACAAAAAATAGAAAAAATATTAGCTGGGTGTGGTGGCACACACTGGTGGTCCCTGCTGCTACTCAGGAGGCTGAGGTGGGAAGATTGCTTGAGCCTAGGTTCAGGCTGCAATGAGCTGTGATTGCACCACTGCTCTCCAGCCTGGGTGACACAGCAAGACACCCTGTCTCAAAAAAAAAAAAAAAAAAAAAAAAAAAAAGTGGATGAAATGCACATTGATGGTGCAGACAGCAGATTTTTGGAATTTTTAGGCTGGGCCAGAAGAAGGGTGTTGAATGGGGTATCACTGGGGCCAGCACCCGTCCCTGACTCTGGACGGTGGCAACCCAGCACCTCCCAGGCAGTCTCCCACTACCAGATGGAGAAAGGATGAGACTGTGCAGTGACGCTGTGGGTGCTGTGTGATCCCATCTCGTCTGGTCAGAAAACTCCTCGGAGCTGATACCAAAACCCCATGACAGAATTGGGCAGGGAATGATACTTTCTGGTCTAAAGCAGGATATTTTGCAATTGCGGTGACACGTTTTGCAACAGAGGCTGCTCTGAGGCAGGACTTCTGGAAGGCAGTGTTTTGATGCCACTTTGGACTTTCTAGGGCAAGGCAGGCTCACAAAGCTTTTGTTTGGAGGGGTTCCAGTAATTTCTCACAGTGAAAATAGAATTATTGCCCTTCTAACGTCATTTAAGTGTTTAATAATCAAAGTGGAATGGTCATGGGCTGTCTTGTGTGCCCCTGCCATTGGATGTGTGACCTTATTTGGGGTGACATGGCAAATCTAAACCCAACAAAGCTGCTGCAAAGGGTCTACTCTCGGCTATTACTCCTGGGAAATGTGCGGCTCAGACACCACGACCTTCACTCCACTCCTGGTCACCAGGGGTTTCACTTTCTATGGCATTTACTTCTGCACATTTTGGGATTTAAAAAAATGAAGATTGTATTACTTTCGTAATAAGCAAAAAAGATAGTTTTAAAAAGTCTTTCAGACCAGGTGTGGTGGCGCACGCCTGTAATTTCAACACTTTGGAAGGCCGAGACAGGTGGATCACTTGAGGTCAGGAGTTCCAGACCAGCCTGGCCAACACGGCAAAACCTCGTCTCTAATGAAAATACAAAAATTAGCCAGGTGAGGTGGCCCGCGCCTGTAATCCCAGGTACTCCGGAGGCTGAGGTAGAACTGCTTGAACCTGGGAGGTGGAGGTTTCAGTGAGTCGAGATTGCATCACTGCACTCCAGGTTGGGCAACAGAGCAAGATTCCGTATTTAAAAAAAAAAAAAGTCTTTCACAATTAGCTTAACTTCTAAGGGAGTATCAGTCCCGTGCCCCTAAACCATCATGATAAAGGAGGTATATAGTATTTACTTATTTATTTACTTGATTTATTTTGAGACAGAGTCTCACTCTTATCACCTGGGCTGGAGTGCAGTGGCAAGATCATGGCCCACTGCAACCTCCGCCTCCCGGGTTCAAGCGATTCTCCTGCCTCTGCCTCCCGAGTAGCTGGCATTACAGGTGCCCGCCATTACACCCAGCTAATTTTTTGTATTTTTAGTAGAGACGGGGTTTCACCATGTTGGCCAGGCTGGTCTTGAACTCCTGACCTTGTGATTCGCCCGCCTCAGCCTCCCAAAGTTCTGGGATTACAGGCGTGCGCCACCGTGACCAGCCAACTATTTTTTCATAGATGATGAAATGTAGGCTTACAGGTAGGGTGACCAACACATTTTGTCTAGGAGCAAAACCCAATTTGCCCAGTCTTAGCACTGAAAGCCTAGTTCTGGGAACGACCACAGTCCGGGGAAATTGGGACAATTGCCCACCCTGTTTAGATGGGTTAATTGACATACTGAACACATGTCTAGCTAGGAAGAGGCACCACAGGGCCATTCATTTACTCTTGGAGCACCTGCTGTATGCCAGATGCTATTCTAGGTACTACTGATACAGAACTGAACAGAAAAAAACTTCTTGCAGTGCTCACATTCTTTTTTTTCTGATATAAATGCCCTTCAGAAGAGGCCACATTCTTTTTTTTTTTTCGAGATGGAATTTCACTCAGTCGCCCAGGCTGGAGGGCAGTAGCGCAATCTCGCCACTGCAACCTCTGCCTCCAGTGTTTGAGCGATCCTCCTGCCTCAGCGTCCCAAGTAGTTGGGATTATAGGTACCGACAACCACGCCTGGCTAATTTTTGTATTTTTAGTAGAGACGGGGTTTCACCATGTTGGCCAGGCTGGTCTTAAACTCCCGGCCTCAAGTGATTTACCCACCTCGGCCTCCCAAAGTGCTGGGATTACAGGCGTGAGCTGCTGCGCCTGGCTCAGAAGATCCCGCATTTTTTTTTTTTTGACGGAGTCTAGCTATATTGCCCAGGCTGGAGTGCAGTGGTGCTATCTCAGCTCACTGCAAGCTCCACCTCCCGGGTTCACGCCATCCTCCTGCCTCAGCCTCCCGAGTAGCTGGAACTACAGGCGCCTGCCACCACGCCCGGCTAATTTTTGTATTTTTAGTAGAGACGGGGTTTCACCGTGTTAGCCAGGATGGTCTCGATCTCCTGACCTTGTGATCTGCCCACCTCGGCCTCCCAAAGTGCTGGGATTACAGGCATGAGCCACTGCGCCCAGCCAAGAGCCCACATTCTTATAGGAAAGTGTGAATTGATATAAACAAACAAATACACAATGTATCAGGGAGTGATAAGTTGGGGGAAAAAACAGCAGAATAATAGGGTTAGTGAGTGCAGGGGATTGGTTTCATATTTTTTTATTTTTATTTATTTATTTAGAGACAGAGTCTCACTCTGTCACCCAGGCTGGAGTGCAGTGGTGCTATCTTGGCTCACTGCAACTTCTGCCTCCCGGGTTCAAGCAATTCTCCTGCCTCAGCCTCCCAAGTAGTTGGGATTACAGGCTCACACCACCATGCCAGGCTAATTTTTGTATTTTTAGTAAAGACGGGGTTTCACCATGTTGGCCAGGCCAGTCTCAAACAACTGACCTCAAGTGATCCAACCGCCTTGGCCTCCCAAAGTGCTGTGATTACAGGCATGAGCCACCGTGCCCCCTGGTTTCATATTTTAATAGGGCACTTGAAGAAGGCTTTTGTGCTTGAACAGAGACCCAAAGGAAGAGGAGTAAGCCAGGTATTCATTTTGAGGATGAGCAGTCTTTGCCTATTTACAGAGTGCAAAAGGGGTAACTTTGTGCTTAGTGTTTGAGGAAGAGTGGTGGCTGGAGCAGAGGCACGGAGGAGGAGTGGATGGAGGGGTTAGAGAGGGAGCTGGAGTCCCCTATCAAGTAGCAGGGCTCCCAGGACACAGCAAGGACTTGGCTCTTACTCTGAGATGAGGGGACACTGGAAAGTTTGAGCAGAGCAGTGACATAATTGGAGTTACGCTTTAAAAGAAACATTCTGGGCCGGGCGCGGTGGCTCACACATATAATCCAGCACTTTGGGAAGCCAAGGAAGGTGGATCACCTGAGGTCAGAAGTTCGAGATAAGCCTGGCCAACATGGTGAAAGCCCGTCTCTACTGAAAATACAAAAATTTGCTGAGTGTGGTGGTGATGTGCGCGTAGTCCCAGCTACTCTGGAGGCTGAGGTGAATCACCTGAACCTGGGAGGCGGAGGTTGCAGTGACCTGTGATCGCACCACTGTACTCTGGCCTGGGTGAAAGAGTGAGACTGTTTCAAAAAAAGAAAGAAAAGAAAAGAGAACACTCTGGCTTCCATAAGAGACAAGAGATGAGAAAGGTGGAAACAGAGAGGAGAAAGCAATCTATTGTCACAATGCAGGAAAGCGACTGCAGGGCCCTGAACCACTGTGGAGGCAGAAGGGTCAGATTCTGGGTGATTCTGAAAGCAGGGCTGACATGATAAGGGTAGACTGGATACTGGCGGGTGTGAAGATGCATCTAAGATACCTGTTTCTGGCCAGATTTTACAAAGGGCCCTTGTTGCTACCTTAAGGAGTTAGTGTTGAATCCTGCAGCAGCTAAGAGCTTCTGCAGGATCTCCCTCTCAACTTGGACCAACCCACCTGCCGATCCCAGCCCAGATCAATGAGATCTGCTGCCCAGTCCCCTACGCAGATAACACTAATTGTAACTGATCTTTCTGAGGGCACCTCCTGAGCAGCTTGGAAACGGAGGGAGAGGAGAGGAAGCCAGCTTCCCAAAGTGGGGTGTGGCAGGTGGCCTTAACCCTGCTGAAGGGCTGCAGTCATGGGGCTCTGAATAGATCCCCACACCACTCACCAATGAGCTTCATTTGGAAGGCGGTAACGTTAAACAAGAGGGTTTGTAAAAAATAAAGGCCTACACACATAATTTTTTCTGATTATTAAATCTAGGTGGAGAGTACGTGAGTATTCATGTTACTCTCTCAACTTTCTTGTGCTTAAAAATCTTAAAATAAAAACTTTAATACGCTCTGTCCTACCAATATTTATAGGAACCTGACTAGCAGCCAGGCTTTGGACACGCAATCCCCGGCCACCAAAGGGCTGACAGGCTAGTGAAAGGGGCAGAAAAATAACAAAACTGTGTCTGGAAGGCAGCTACTCCCTTTTTTTGTTTGTTTGTTTTTTGAGACGCAGTCTCACTCTGTCGCCCATGCTGGAGTGCAGTGGCGCGATCTTAGCTCACTACATGTGCCTCCGGGGTTCAAGCGATTCTCCTGCCTCAGCCTCCTGAGTAGCTGGGACTACAGGCGCGCGCCACCACGCCCGGCTAATTTTTGTATTTTTTAGTAGAGACAGGGTTTCACCATATTGGTCAGGCTGGTCTCGAACTCCTGACCTCGCGATCCGACCGCCTCGGCCTCCCAAAGTGGTGGGATTACAGGCGTGAGCCACCGCGCCCGGCCCTTTGTTTTCTTACCAACTAAGCAGCAGCACTGACACTGTTTCCTTTGAGGTTCCGTTTGCTGAATCCTGCCCTCTAAGGTGCTCCGCCCTTCCACTCCCCGCCCCGTGCTGCTGTCATTCCCACGCCTCACCCTGTTTTGCAACTTCTTGTTTATGAGCCTGGAAGCCACGAAGTGGTGGGAAATACGAGATTCAAATATCTGGTGGCCGTGTGACGTGAGTAAATTACTCGATTTTTCTCAGTTTCCATTTCCTATCAAATGGGTTGTTCTGGGAATTCGGGGAAGTAACAGTGCCGGGAACCGCGGGAGGAACCGCCAGCTGCGTCCTCGGACGTCCCCAAAGCCCAGGGCGGCGACTGGCACGACTGTCAGGGGCGCGTCTGTTAAGAGGACAGGGGGTCCCGCCCCGGCACAGCCGTCTCCTCCAGGACCCCTCCCGCCGACGCCCCACGGACCCCACGCCCGAGCGGAGACCGGCGCGAGTCCGGGGTCTCCGGTCCGGCAGCCCCTCCCTGGCCCGGCGCCCCAAAGGGAAGCGGCCTGGGGGAGGAGACGTGTGGAAAGAGCGGCAGAAGATAAAGAGGAAGTAGCGGTAGAGAATAAAAAGGAACTGTCCGCAGTGTGCCCGGACGCGGGGAGGCGCTGGGGTCAAGCGAGACCCGACCTGCACGCAATTCCCGCCGGGGTCCCGGCCTGCCTGCGGGAGGGAAAGGACCCAGGGCGGCTTCTGCCAAAAGTGCGGCTTCTGCCGAAAGTGCGTCTTCTGCCGAGGGGCCCACATAAGGCGCGACAGACACTCCAGCCCGACCCCGACGCCCCGCCCTCACGCATGCACATGCGCGGAACACTCCCAGAAACACATCTCCCAGAGCGCCCCGGGAGCACGCGAGCCAATTGGAGGGCGGATTAGCGGGGGCCCACGTCTCCCAGAGGTCTCCGAGTCGCGGCTCTGTTGGTCTGATTGGCAGCCGCAACAGCCTATAGCTGCTTTTCGCCGGAGGGGCCACGCGCCGTTTGCCGGGACTGAGCCGCTGTTGTCGCTGGTATCCCGGGAGCAGCGCCGGCAAGTGGAGTCGTCGTATTCCGGGCGGCCCGCGGCCCACGGGGATGGGACGTCCCGGGGCTGTGCTGACCCCAAAACCCTTCCACACTTTATTAGCCTGTCGCCCTTCTTTCATGTTTACAGCAAATATTTTCCGAGTGCCTAATGTGTCCCACTTACTGTGCCACGTGCGAGGGTGCACGTGTCAGGCAAGATCGCTGTTCCAAGGAGGCTGAGAACAAGTAAATGGTAATTACCAGTTATGACCAAAGCTGTGAAAGGAACAGATACATCAGCCTAACAGCAGCACTGCCGTTTTCTCCCTTATAATCAGCAGAGGCGGGCTAGAGCAAGGATTCTCAAACTCTGCCCCCTCAGAACCCTAGAGTACGGTTGCTGAAACTTCTGTTTTTTCCTTTTGAACAAATCTAGTAACATGCTGTGAGCCAGAGAGGTAATGGTTTGGCTCAAAGAAGGCACATGCATCTGGTTTCTTTCTTCTTTTTTGAGACGGAGTCTCGCTCTGTCGTCCAGGCTGGAGTGCAGTGGCGCCATCTCCGCTCACTGCAAGCTCCGCCTCGCGAGTTCACGCCAGTCTCCTGCCTCAGCCTTCCGAGTAGCTGGGATTACAGGCGCCCGCCACCACGCCCGGCTAATTTTCACGCCCGGCTAATTTTTTGTATTTTTAGTAGAGACGGGGTTTCACCATGTTAGCCAGGATGGTCTCGCTCTCCTGACCTCGTGATCCGCCCGCTTCGGCCTCCCAAAGTGCTGGGATTACAGGCGTGAGCCACCGCGCCCGGCCCAGGTTTCTTATTTCAGGAGCTTCATAGGCATAGACCTCCCTCCTTCCCTCCTACCCCCTCCCCCCTCTCCCAACTAATGCCAGACCGGCCACTACTTTTTAACTGTTTTACATATTTAACCTTCAAGAAAGATTTCCTTTGATCCAAGTGTATTGCAGCCCACAAAAAAGCTTGGAAACCCAGCTAGATGGTCTGTTTTTCTAGTTCCTACATTGGATTTAAGTCCTACCCATCGAGACTACTGTCTTCAGGTAAGCATATCGAGGCTGTATTCACCTTCATGGTGTTCTCAGGGGCACTTTCTTACACAAATGATGGTAATCATCCTAGATCATTTCCCTGCCTGCCACACTTGCCAGTTAGTTAGAAACTGTAAACCCCTTAAATGTCTGTCACCAGGGCACTGGCTGAATAGCTGAGTAAGTTTTGGTGAATCCATTCCTTGGACTACACTGCATCCACTGAAAACAGTGCGGTGAATTTCTGTGTGCTAATGTGCAAAGATGGTTTATGTATTATTCAGTGGAAAAAGCACATTTGCACTACAGTGCAGATAGCATGATCCCATGTTTGTAAATAAGAGAAAAAAATGTTAAAATTTAAGTATCTGGAGGGAAATGCAAGAAATAAATATGACTACCTTTCAAGAGTAGAATTGGGGGTAGAAGTTGGCCTTTTCCCTCTATGTCATCTATACGTTTTATTTTTTTATTTTATTATTATTTTTTTGAGACGGAGTCTCACGCTGCTGCCCAGGCTGGAGTGCAGTGGCATGATCTGGGCTTACTGCGACCTCCGCCTCCCGGGTTCAAGCAATTTTCTGTCTCAGCCTCCTGAGTAGCTGGGATTACAAGCGCACGCCACCACGCCCGGCTAATTTTTGTATTTTTAGTTAGAGATGGGGTTTCACCATGTTGGTCAGGCTGGTCTCGAACTTCTGACCTTGTGTTCTGCCCGCCTCAGCCTCCCAAAGTGCTCAGATTACAGGCGTGAACCAGTATGCCCGGCGTTCAATGAGCATTTTTAAAGTTTTATGACTCATGAAACATAGTCCACAAATATATGCTCATTGTGAAATAGTAACGGAAAATAAAATATGGCAAGCTAAATGTTAGAGGAGAAATTTCTTATTTTGCTCCATTACTTTTACAGCAGAAAAATTAAAAAATTTATTAGCTGAGACTTTGTTTCACTGGGGTGCAGAAGATTAAACAAATGATTTTTAAAAGCAGACTCTGCCCATAGAGAAAAAATATTCGAGGTTTCCAAAGTAGAATAAGTTTAAATTAGCAAGTCAAATAAGGAACCTTGAGCCAGTACCGAAGGAAACACGTCCCAGACCTATCTCCAAACACACACACACACACACACACACACACACACTGCAGGCATAACATTTATGCAGACAGACTGTTCTTTAGGGCATAATTGTCTCATGTCTCAATTCCTCTGAAGCTCCAGAGCAGAAACTGAAATTTTAAAAATGCAGTTGAGATAAACTGAAATGACTGACAGGCCATTTGCCAAGAAAAGCTTTGGTTCTTTGGAACAAAGACAGTGCCCATATCCCAGCCAACATCAGGTGGTATTTCTCTTTCTGTCCTGTAGAGGGCATCTTCATGTGTGGGCACCAGGGCTGCGGCTGGAACCACAGTGGACACCCCACGCTCCAAGGACAATCCTCTGCAGAAACCAGCAGCTGGAAACAATTCTTAATGCTGCAGGAAGTAGTTAGGAGAAAACGACTGTGTAAGTCAGAGCTAAAACTGGAGTTCAAAAACCACAGAAAATATTTCCAAGGCTGTCTGTGAAGTGGGGATGTCAAAATACCAAAAATTACAGCTTTGGAACTGCAGTGGATGACCTTTAATTGATGCAGTTTATAGGTGCTAAGTATTGTGTGTGCTTTACGTTGCCTCATGTGAGTGCTTCATAGCAGGGTGTGACGCTGGCCAAGTGATATACCTACCCTCTTTGTCCCTGTTTCTATCAACTGTAAAATGGGGGTTCTAGAGTTGTTGTGAAGATTAAATGAGCTAATACACACAAAGCACCAAGAACAATGCTGGATACAAGGTAATAGGTGTTTCTTCCTAGACTTCACTATCCTCATGTGAGGTGGGTATGTTTATTTATTTATTTGGGGACAGGGTCTCGCTCTATCACCCAGACTGGAGTGCAGTGTTGCAATCATGGCTTAGCTCCCTACAGCTTTTTAAATTTAATTATTTATTATTATTATTTTTTTGAGATGGAGTCTCACTCTGTCACCCAGGCTGGAGTGCAGTGGCACGATCTCTGCTTACTGCAAGCTGGGCCTCCCGGATTCACACCATTCTCCTGCCTCAGCCTCCTGAGTAGCTGGGACTACAGGCGCCTGCCACCACGCCCAGCATATTTTTGTATTTTTAGTAGAGGCGGGGTTTCACCGTGTTAGTCAGGATGGTCTCGATCTCCTGACCTTGTGATCTGCCCACCTCGGCCTCCCAAAGTGCTGGGATTACAGGCGTGAGCCACCGTGCCTGGCCTCAGCTCCCTACAGCTTTGACCTCCCCAGCTCAAGTAATGTCCCACTTCAGCCTCCCGAGTAGCTGACACTACAGGAATGCACCATCATGTATACCTGTGGTCCTAGCTACTTGGGAAGCTGAGGTGGGAAGATTGCCCCTGAAATAAGACTCTAGATACAGGTCCCTTTCTCTGAAATTTTTGAAACAAAACGCCTAATTCAAAAAAAGTTATTTTTGGTAGAGACGGGGTCTCACTATGTTTCCCAGGCTGATCTCAAACTTGGGTTCAAGCCATCCTCCCTCATTGGCCTCCCAAAGTGTTGGGATTATAGGCAGGAGCCACTGTGCCTGTCCAAGGTGGGTGTTGATATATTCAATTTAACACAGAAAACAGGAAGTTTGTACACACTGACTTGCCCAAGGCTACACAACTACAAAGAGTCAGGTAGCCAACATTCAGTCTCAAGGTCTGTGTCTGCAGAGCTCAAGGCCTTTCCTTTGGCTTTGCTGTCTCTTGGCATCTGGTAGCTTAGCAGTCATCAAGCCAACCCCGTCATGTTACAGAGGAGGACACAGGCTTCCAGGGGAACTGACTGACTTGAGTTCTACACATCAGTGCAGAGCTGGGACTAGAATTCTGTCCACCTAACTGTATTTGGAAGAAAGTTAAGTGCTATTGACTACACCTAATATCTGAAAGATAAAGGGAGAGGCAGAAGCAAGAATGAATAATGTGGCTGGGCGCGGTGGCTCACGCCTTTAATCCCAGCACTTTGAGAGGCCGAGGCAGGTGGATCACGAGATCAGGAGTTCAAGACCAGCCTGACCAACATGGTGAAACTCCATTTCTACTAAAAATACAAAAATTAGCCGGGCATGGTAGCGTGCGCCTGTAACCCCAGCTACTAAGTAGGCTGAGGCGGGAGGATCGATTGAAGCCGGGAGGTGGAGGTTGCAGTGAGCCGAGATCGCACCATTGCACTCCAGCCTGGGCAACAGAGCGAGACTCTGTCAAAAAGAAAAAAAAAAGAATGAATAATTTTTAAAGCAGGCTGTGAAGAACTAAAAACATGAGGACACGGAAATTCAGAAACACCCATTTCAATATGATTCCTTTCGGATAACTTGAAGCCCAAACAGGATGGAAAATCACAGGCCAAAGTCACCTGAAGGAAGGCTGTCACCCATGACGGACAACCGGGATGTTGCTCTCCATTCATCCCAACGGCAGCAAAGTCTGTCCTGGAACATGGAATGGTTTCTTTATACAGACAACTAAGACTGGCTCCAAGAGAAGAGTTGCTACCACTAACCCCTACATGCTGCCTTGAAAGAGTTGGTGGTAGGTGTTGGAAAATTAATCTGAGTAATTAGGAAACAAAATTTGAAACAAAGAATCCCATGCACAATAGTAGCAAAACCCATAACCAGACATGATAAGAAATTTGCAAGACCTATAAGAAGAAAAGTATATAGGATTACAGAATTTTAAAAGTCCCAGATCATTGAAGAAATACACCACAGTCGTGGATGGAAGAGTTAATATTACAAATATATCATGCATTCCTAAATTAATCAACAAATTATAAGCAAACCCAATTGAAATTGTAACGAGATTTTTTTTTTACATTTTTAAAAAAATGTGATCTTGCTATGTTGCCTGAGCTGGTCTCAAACTTCTAAGCTCATGCGATCTTCCTGCCTTGGCCTCTCAAAATGCTGGCATTACAAGTGTGAGCCACCATGCCCAGCCATAACAAGACTTTCTTTTTTTTTTCAGACTGGGTCTCACTGTTGCCCAGGCTGGAGTGCAGTGGCGTGATCTCAGGTCACTGCAACCTCTGCCTCCCAGGTTCAAGTGATTCTCCTGCCTCAGCCTCCCGAGTAGCTGGGATTACAGGTGCGCCCCACCATGCCCAGCTAATTTTTGTATTTTTAGTAGAGATGAGGTTTCGCCATGTTGGCCAGGCTGTTCTGCCCACCTCACCCTCCCAAAGTGCTGGGATTACAGGCATCAGCCACCGCACCAGGCTGCAAGATGTTTAAGAATGGGCTTTGACAAGTTGATTTTTAAAATTCATAGCCAAAAAAATTGTGAAAAAAATACAGTGGTGTGAGATGTATTGTAACAGATATAACAACAAGCTGTGAAAATACAGTAAATTAGAACAGTAATATGTTTTTACAAGAATGGATATAAGGTAAATGGAAACAAGATTCCGTAAGACGTGTGTATATGCAAAAGATGGTATTTAAAACCCAAGGGGAAAAGGTGGCCCAACTTATAAATAGTTTTGGGACTGTTGACAGTTGAGCTGGAAAACATAGACTTCTGCCTGACATATATAAAAAATAAACTCCATATATATATATATATATATATATATATATATATATATTTTTTTTTTTTTTTGAGACGGAATGTCGCTCTTGTTTCCCAGGCTGGAGTGCAATGGTGTGATCTGGGCTCATTGCAACCTCTGCCTCCCAGGTTCAAGTGATTCTCCTGCCTCAGCCTCCCAAGTAGCTGGGATTACAGGCATGTGCCACCACACCCGGCTAATTTTTTGTATTTTTAGTGGAGATGGGTTTTCACCATGTTGCCCAGACTGGTCTCGAACTCCTGACCTCGAGTGATCCACCCGCCTCGGCCTCCCAAAATGCTGGGATTACAACCATGAGCCACCGCACCTGGCCCAGATGATTTAAAGAAACACGAAGTGTAATATCTGTAAATTTGTTTAAATTTCGCAGTGAGGAAGATCTTTCTTTTTTTTTATTTTTTATTTTTTTATTGATCATTCTTGGGTGTTTCTCGCAGAGGGGGACTTGGCAGGGCCATAGGACAACAGTGGAGGGAAGGTCAGCAGACAAACAAGTGAACAAAGGTCTCTGGTTTTCCTAGGCAGAGGACCCTGCGGCCTTCTGCAGTGTTTGTGTCCTTGGGTACTTGAGATTAGGGAGTGGTGATGACTCTTAACGAGCATGCTGCCTTCAAGCATCTGTTTAACAAAGCACATCTTGCACTGCCCTTAATCCATTTAACCCTGAGTGGACACAGCACATGTTTCAGAGAGCACAGGGTTGGGGGTAAGGTCACAGATCAACAGTATCCCAAGGCAGAAGAATTTTTCTTAGTACAGAACAAAATGAAAAGTCTCCCATGTCTACTTTTTTCTACACAGACACAGCAACCATCTGATTTCTCAATCTTTTCCCCACCTTTCCCCCTTTTCTATTCCACAAAACCGCCATTGTCATCATGGCCCCTTCTCAATGAGCTGTTGGGTACCCCTCCCAGACGGGGTGGTGGCTGGGCAAAGGGGCTCCTCACTTCCCAGAAGGGGCGGCCGGGCAAAGGCGGCCCCCCACCACCCGGACGGGGCGGTTGGGCGGGCGGAGGCACCCCCCACCTCCCTCCCGGACGGGGCGGCTGGCCGGGCAGGGGCTGACCCCCCACCTCTCTCCCGGACGGGGCGGCTGGCCGGGCAGGGGCTGACCCCCCACCTCCCTCCCGGACGGGGCGGCTGGCCGGGCGGGGGCTGACAGATCTTTCTAACCAAGATAAAAAAACTGAAAAAGTTAAAAAATTCAGGTAAATAGAAAAATTAGAAAACTTCAGTATGACAAAAACAGCCATGAATATGGTTAAAAGGCTGGATGCAGTGGCTCATGCCTGTAATCCCTGCACTTTGGGAGGCCAAGGTGGGAGGATTGCTTGAGCCTAGGGGTTTGAGTCTCCACAATGTAGGCAGACCCCATCTCTACCCTCCCTCACAAAATTAACTGGCCATGGTGGTGTGCGCCTGTGGTCCCAGCTACTCAAGAGGCTAAGTTGGAAAGATCGCTTGAGCCTGGGAGGTCAAGGCTGCAGTGAGCTGTGATTGCACCACTGCACTCCAGTCTGGGTGATGGAGCAAAACCCTGTCTTAAAAAATAAAAATAAAAAAGGTGACAGAGAAAATATTTGTACATACGATAATACCTGGAATGTTAAAGCACTATAATTTTTTTAATGCTCAAAGGCTTAAATAGGCAACTCACGGCCGGGCGTGGTGGCTCACACCTGTAATCCCAGCACTTTGGGAGGCTGAGGCGGGTGGATCACGAGGTCAGGAGATCGAGACCATCCTGGCTAACACAGTGAAACCCTGTCTCTACAGACTACAAAAAATTAGCCAGGCATGGTGGCACGTGCCTGTAGTCTCAGCTACTCGCGAGGCTGAGGCAGAAGAATTGCTTGAACCCAGGAGGCGGAGATTGCAGTGAGCTGAGATCCTGACACGCACTACAGCCTGGGCAATAGACTGAGACTCCATCTCAAAAAAAAAAAAAAAAAAGGCAACTCAGAGAAGAAATACAAAGTACCACGTGAAAAGATGCCCAATCTCCAAGTAATCAGAAACATGACAGGCAACAAGGGGATATTATTTTTTTTTAAATAGCGGCAGAGTCTTGTTATGTTACCCAGGCTGGTTTAGAACTCCTGGGCTCAAGCAGTCCTCCTGCCTTGGCCTTCCAAAAGTGCTGGGATTACAGGCCCTAAGCCACCACACCCGGCTGAGGGGACATAATTTTTCACCCACTATATTATCACAAATTAATATGATTGCCACAGCCAACTTTAATGAGCATGCAGACATAGAAGCACTTTCACACCTCAGGTTACGAGTTAAATTTGTGAAGCTTTTTTTTTTTTTTTTTTTTTTTTGTGATGGAGTCTCACTCTTTTACCCAGGCTGGAATGCAGTGATGCAATCTCGGCTCCCTGCAACCTCCACCTCTGAGGTTCAAGCGATTCTCCCACGTCAGCCTCCTGAGTAGCTGGGATTACAGGCACCCGCCACCATGCCCGGCTAATTTTTGTATTTTTAGTAGAGACGGGGTTTCACCGCGTTGGCCAGGCTGGTGTCAAACCCCTGACTTTAGGTGATCCGCCCGCCTCGGCCTCCCAAAGTGCTAGGATTACAGGTGTCAGCCACTGCTCCTGGCCTGTGAAGCTGTTTTGGAAGGTGATTTGCTGCAAGTTTTCAAAATTAAAAATGCACAAGCCTAGGCCAGGCACGGTGGCTCATGCCTGTAATCACAGTACTTTGGGAGGCCGAGGTGAGCAGATCACTTCAGCCCAGGAGTTTCAGACCAGCCTGACCAACAAAGTGAGACCTCGTTGCTACAAGAAATAAAAAATTGGGTGGCACATGCCTGTGGTCCCAGCTACTCTGAAGGGTGAAGTGGGAGGACTGCTTGAGCCCAGGAGGTCAAGGATGCAGTGAGCCAAGATTATGCCACTGCACTCCAGCCTGGGTGACAGAGGGAGAACATATCTCAAAAAAAAAAAAAAAATGCACAAGGCTTTTGCTTCAGTGATTCCATTTCTAAGACTATATCCAATGTACCCAAATATGCACGTCTGAGATGTTCATTGGAGTATTGGTTGTTAAAGGAAACAGCTGGAGACAATCTAAATGGGGAGACAGTCAGTACAGCTGTGGTATATCCATAGTATGCATGCTCTACAGTTGTTAAGAGTGGCAATGGCCTATTCATCTGGACCTAGATAGATGTCAAAGGCACACTGCTAATATTTAAAAAGAAGATCTGGAAAATATGTATAGCATGGTGTATACATATAATTAGCCCATATAGGTACATGAAGTTCCTCAGGAGACTGGGAGGATGCACAGCCAGGTAAACCTGTAGAGCATGGAGACATTAGGTGGGAGGTGATGGAAAAGTCCCTCAGTTTTTTTTTTTTTTGAGACAGTCTCGCTCTGTTGCCCAGGCTGGAGTGCAGTGGCATGATCTCAGCTCACTGCAACCTTCACTTCCTAGGTTCAAGCGATTCTCCTACCTCAACCTACCAAGTAGCTGGGATTACAGGCGCCCGCCACCACGCTCAGCTAATTTTGGTAGTTTTAGTAGAGATGGGGTTTCACCATGTTGGCCAGGCTGGTCTTGAACTCCTGACCTCAAGTGATCCTCCCCGCCTTGGCCTCCCGAAGTGCTGGGATTACAGGTGTGAACCACTGTGCCCAGACCTTCATTTTGTTTGTATACATCTGTATTCATTGAATCTTCTACAAGGTTTATTTATTCATGTATGCCTATTGTTCCGGTTATCTATTGTTGCATGAAAAACACCCCAAAACTTAATAGTGTAAAACAGCAGCCCCTTTATTATGCTCACAACTTGGTGGTCAGATTTCAAGCAAGACCCAGAGGCACAACTCATCTCGTTCCACAGTGGCTGGAGCTTCAGCTGAGGTGGCTCAAATGGCTGGAGAACACTTCCCTGCAGCAGAACCTACAACCATCTTCCTCCCCTTTCTGGAAAAGGTTTGTTTCTGAGGCTGGAGTCAGAGTCTTCAAACCAACAGCCAGAGATAACATTGCTAATTATGCCCCTTTCCTTGGTCTTTATTTGAAATGAAACGGTTCTGTTACCGGTAGAGGGTCTTGATGCAAATTGTCCAGGTTCTTGGCATTTTGAACAAAGAACTGGACAAAACGCACAGCAAAGCAAGGTAAGAATGAAGCAGCAAAAGCAGAGATTTATTGAAAGTACATGCCACAGTGTGGGAGCCGGCCAAGCAGCAGCTTAAACACCCCCTAGAGGTTTCCCATTGGCCACTTGGTGTTCACCCCATGTAAATGAACCAACCTCAGTCAGTCTGATTGGTTGCAACCAATCAGAGGCTGAAGTGAAGTTACAAAGTTACACTCCTGTGCAAACGTCTGATTGCAAAAAGCAGCCAGTCAGAGGTACCTTCAATTTCCCATCTGCCCCTCAGAAAAGGTGGGCATTGGCAAAGGGAGTAGCCTCTGGTCCTTTTGTTACTTATGCGTGGAAAGTTGGGGTTTTTCTTTCGATTTAGTTCTAGGAAGTCAAGGTGAACTGGCCTTCAGTTCCCTGCCTCCAGACCCTATTCTGCCTCAGTTCAAATACACAAAACCTAACAAATACCTATATGACCACCTTCCACAACTAATCAATGGCAGTGTCTATTAGTTTGACTTTGTTTCTATTTTACAAGAAGCAAAAGCACCTCTGGACTCTCCACTAGAGAGCTATGTGCAGCCACTCCAGCATGGTGCTCTCAGGGTAACCAGACTTCTTACACTAGCTCCAAGTGCAAGTTCTCCTAGCAAACAAGATAGAGGTTGCAAGGCCTTTTATGACCTCACCCTGGAGGTCACACCACATCTGTATTTCATTGTATTTCATTGGTAGCAGTCACAAGCTGCCCAGATACAAGGCAGAGGGACAGATGCCCCACTTCTTGATGGGATGAGTGGCAAAAAAAAATCTGTGACCATGTTTAAAACCCAGAAGATTTGGCTGTTAGAGATTTGTGAAGTTTTTAAAAGTTAAGAATTATTAAAACAAAAATAAAACCCAGGAGACAAGGTAGTGGAAGTGTGTCCCTCCCATTCACTGACCAAGGTGAGGGGACTCTAGTCCTTTGCTGCTGACCTTCAGCCTCCCTTCCTCTTAAAAAGAGGTCCTAGTTGGGGAGCGATGGCTGAAGAGTTACCATAAAATACCAAGTAGGAGCGAGGTGCGGTGGCTCACGTCTTTAATCCCAGCAGTTTGGGAGGACAAGGTGGGAGGATCGCATGAGCCCAGGAGTTCAAGACAAACCTGGGCAACATAGCAAGGCTCTGTCTCTACAAAAAAGGAAAAGAGTACAAAGTAGGGCCATTTAGTATGGTTTCATCTTTATTAAAAGTCTTAAGTTTTAGATTTTTGAAGTTATCACCAATAAAATATCCAGTTGTGGTCTTGTGTTGAGTGAAAATGTTATTTAAATGCAGATATTTAAAATATACTACAATTTTTGTGCTATTTTAATTTTCTAGGAGCCTTAAAAAATGTGTGGCTACTGAAACTGTGCCCCAAAGAGTTAAAGAAATCAGTAACTAACAGAAATTCTTGAGTCTGCAGGATGGCAGATAAGAAACAACTCGCTGGCCAGGTGCAGTGGCTCACACCTGTAATCCCAGCACTTTGAGGGATTGACCCACTGAAGTGGGTGGATTACATGAGGTCAGGAGTTCGAGGCCTGGCAGGTTGGTGGGCACCTGTAGTCCCAGCTGCTTGGGAGGCTGAGGCAGGAAAATCACTTGAACCCGGGAATCGGAAGTTGCAGTGAGCCGAGATCAGGCTATTGCACTCCAGCCTGGGCGTTGCAGCGAAACTCCTACTCAAAAAAAAAAAAAAAAAAAAAAAAAAAAAACAACTTGCTGAAATGCTGAAGAAATGCTGAAACTCCCTCCCTATAAGATAAAAGAAGAACAAGCAGAAATCTGTTGGAACCAATAACGCTGACTGGAGTCTGCACAGAATGAGCTTGCTGACATCACAGCCTGAATTTTCAACACAGGTTTCATGCTGTCCCTGAATTTGCATGAGACCCATTAAGTAGCTTGAAGAGGTAACTGCGAAAGCCCAAGGACTTTCCACATCTCCCCTTTCCTTCCACTAATAATCACCTACTAATCTCAGAATCCACCGCCTGAACCTTTTCTAATAAAAATAACTGCCTTAAAGCCAACACGGGGAGACAGCCTTGAGCTTGATATTCCTGTCTCCTTGTGAGTCGACTTGCAATACAAAGCTTTTCTTTTTTCAGAACCACAGTGTCATAGTATTAGCTTCTAGGGTATCAGGCTGGAATGCACTGGTGCGATTATGGCTCACTGTAGCCTCAATCTCCTGGACTCATGCAGTCCTCCCACCTCAGCCTCCCAAGCAGCTAGGACCACAGGCACTTGCCACCACGCCTGGCTAATTTTTGTTTTTTTTGTAGAAATGGGATCTCACTATGTTGTCCAGGCTGGTCCCGTGCTCTTGGGCTCAAGTGATCCTTCTGCCTATGCCTCCCGAAGTGCTAGGAAAAGCCTCCCAAACTGGAAAATATGGGATGGCTTCCCAGTTGTTAAAACACCCTGATTTGGGAGCTGATTGCTTATAAACACTAAGAAAAAGCTAAGAGCTGAGTTCGCCTTCCCATTCTGTTCTCAGGTTTCTCTCCTTATAGAGAGGTTCTGATCATCTACAAGCTTTGCTAAATCTGGGGTGTTTCTCTACTGATTTCCTAAATGTTTGTAGTCTTTTTTGTAAAATTGATGATTCAATTTTATTCTCCTCTGAAGTAACAATAGATGCAGAGTCTGACATTTCTTCAGCTTTGAAGAATCTGCATTTTCTCTCCTGATCTCAAAACCTGTAAGAAAAAGAAATTGCAGATATCACCCTGTCCAAGGAGAAAGAGGGGGGAAAATAAGAGTTGTATTAAAGTAGTAGAGAGAAAACAGAAACTGCTAAATAGAATCCCAAAGCCTTTTATTCCAAGTAAGGCTGAATTTTTCTTTTCTTTCTTCCCGTTTCTTTCCAGTGAACACTCACCTCTCCTGGAGTCAAGTCATTGTTTCTTTCCTTTGGAATCCTGCTATTCCTGCACCCATGGCTCTTCTCTAGGCTCCAGTGGGAAGTACAGGTCAGGGTTTGGGACTAGATATACTGGTCATAAGAAATACAGGGAACATGATAGTCTGGGTCACACTGATTTTTCCTGAGTTCAAGCCGATTTCCAGGACAGATGGCCTCTCCATATTTATTTCCTTCTCAATTAGGATTATTTCACCTGGAGCCTCTAACAGGCAGCTGGCTTTTTTTGAGACAGGGTCTTGCAGTGTCTCCCAGGCTGGACTGCAGTGGCACAATCTCAACTCACTGCAGTCTTGACCTCCCAGGCTCAAGGGATCCTCCCACCTTAGCCTCTGGAGTAGCTGGGACCACAGGCATGTGCTACCATGCCCTGATAATTAAAAAAAAAAACTCTGTAGAGAGAAGGGCTCTCTCTGTTGCCCAGGCTGGTCTTGAACTCCTGGCTCAAGCAATCCTCTTGCCTCGGCCTCCCAAAGTGCTAGGATTACAGGTGTGAGCCACTGTGCCCAGCATAACAGGCAGTTTTTCAACATTAGAACAAAATCTAGGAGTACGAAAGGCATACTGGAAAAATAATAAACAAACATTAGAACAAAAACAAAATAGGGGGAAGATCCTTTTGTGCTCAATTCAAAGCTATTCTCCTCCAATCTCTGGGAAGAGGAGTGAATTAATTCTGCTAGTCAATGCACTGATTTAGTTTTACCTCATTTTTTGAATATTTTGATAATAAAATTATCTAAGAACCAAAATATCAAGTTAATCTTCCTAAAATTCTGACTATATTAAAACTGAGAACTATTCTCTTATTGAATCCAAGAGAAGAGAGAGGTAAATGTGGTAGTTAAACTATGTCCTGGATTAATTTCAGTTAAGAGACTTTCAAATAAGAATTAGTATCTGAACTGGTTTGGTTGGCAACCAGCAAAAACAATCTTTACATGTTTGTTTTAGCTGAAGCCTAGAAGTAGATTGTCTTGATATTAACCAAAACAAATATCTAAGAGTGTTTCCATCAATCCAGACAATTAGTAAAATGGTCTCCAGTGTGGTCTCCCCTGTGTCCTGCCATGCCTCCCCTCACTGACAAAAGTTTGGGTTGCACCCTCTTTCCAAGTTCTTTCCTCTCCCTCCTCATCTTGACAGTTTACTGGTCTGAAAAAAAAAATAGGTTGGTAAATAGTGATCTAATATGCAAATAGAGGAATATGTCTAAATATTAACATTATCAAACAATATTAGTAAGACAGTTTGGTTAATGTTAGTCCAAAGGAAAATTTAAACTCCAGAACATTTAATCAAAATATAAGTGGCGTAAAATGTCTCATTTTATCTTTTCATGAGGAAAGGTAATATATTCCATATTAATAAAAATAAAATGCATTTCAAATGAAATGCCATTTAAATTTGCTATTTTGTTTATGATTGGATTTCAAAGCTAGGAGTAGGATCAAAGAGCATGTGGTACAGGTAAAAGAAAACCCTAAATCCAGCGCTTTGGGAGGCCGAGGCGGGTGGATCACCTGAGGTCAGGAGTTCAAGACCAGCCTGGCCGACATGGCAAAACTCCATCTCTACTAAAAATACAAAAATTAGCCAGGCATGGTGGCGTGTGCCTGTAATCCCAGCTACCCGGGAGGCTGAGGCAGGAGAATCGCTGGAACTTGGGCAGAGGCTGCAGTGAGCCTTGACTGCGCCACTGTACTCCAGCCTGGGCGACAGAGCAAGGCTCTGTCTCAGAAAAAAAGAAAACCCTAAGTCATAGATCAAAGGAATGCTGTAGTCAAGTAAACGAGGGGAGAGACCAAAGCTGGGGGGAGTGGCAAGTAGCAAAGGCTTAGAGTGGCAGAAGCTCCCGGAGGCTGAATGTACCCTAAGATGAAAGACAGGAAAAGCATCGATTTAAAATGACGGCTATGTTGCCCAGGCTGGTCTCAAAACTCCTGGGCTGAAGCAATCCTCCTGCCTCAGCATCCCTAATAGGTGGGGCTACAGTTGCATGTCACCACAACCAGTTAATTTTTAAAATTTTTTTTCTGTAGAGACGAGGTCTTGCCATGTTGCCCAGGCTGGTCTCAAAATCCTGGCCTCAAGTGATTCTTCCACCTCAGCCTCCCAAAGTGCTGGGATTACAGGCGTGAGCCACAGTACGTGGCCTAGTCTTGAAAGTCTTAACACTGTAGATTTCACCAAATGTCACTTTGAAAACCAGGCACAGATAACTGGCCCCTTGAGTACAAAGGAATCTGTAAGAGCTAGTTAGGGAATGAAAGAAGTCCCAGAGACAGAGTCTAGTACCCATGAGACCTAAAACCAGGAGTGGTAAGGGTTCTTTGTCGAAGATTCAAATTTATTTTTCTCTGCAACAGTCACGAAGTCACCTGCAGCTGAGGATGAGAAAACACAGTTAAGTCCTCACTTAACATCACTAATACGGTAAGTCCTCACTTAACATCATTGATAGGGTCTTGGAAACTGGGACTTAAAGGGAAAAGACATATAATGAAACTAATTTATTTTTGTCATCAACCTTATAACAAAATGTGCTTTCACTTAAGATAACAGTTTCCAACCTATCTAGGACATTGAGGACTTACAGTGTTAAGAAAGTAGAATCTGTACTGGTTTCAAAGGCGCTTACTTCTCTTCACTACTTACTTTTCACCAAAGCCCTAAAGTAGCAGTTCTTAGTCTTTTTGGCGGTTTTTAGAACTTGATGAAAGCTATGAACCCACTTACTAGAACATACAGATACACACACACACACACACACACACACACACACACACACACACACACATCCAATTTTGCATACAGTATCAAAAGGTTTACAAAAATCTCCAAACCCATCCATGGATCCTCTGGAACTGCATTGGCCAGTATGGTAATACTTGGCAAGACTAACTCCATTTTAAGTGCCCATTGGCTACCATCACAGAAAGTTCTATTGGATAGCACTGCTCCAGACATGGAGGCAGCTTAAGAACCCTGGCCCTGGCCGGGTGCAGTGGCTCACGCCTGTAATCCCAGCACTTTGGGAGGCCAAGGTGGGCGGATCACCTGAGGTCAGGAGTTCAAGAGCAGCCTGGCCAACATGGCAAAACTCTGTCTCTACTAAAAATACAAAAATTAGCCGGGTGTGGTGCGTGGTGCCTATAATCCCAGCTACTCGGGAGGCTGAGGCATGAGAATCGCTTGAACCTGGGAGGCGGAGGTTGCAGTGAGCTGAGATCCCACCACTGCACTCCAGCCGGGGCGATAGAGCGAGACTCCATCTCGAAAAAACAACAAAAAACCCCTACAAATCTGCTGGCCTGTTAACACCACTCCTAGTCTAATACCAGCTAGTCTGTTTTCCACATACTGGCAGATCACAAAGAATTGGAGGAGGACTACTACCACCACTGATTTTGAATAACCCTGAAAGTTCATCTTTTTTTAAAAAATTAAATTATTATTGCTATTTTTTGAGATGCAGTCTTGCTGTCGCCCAGGCTGGAGTGCAGTGGCACAATCTCAGTTCACTGCAACCTCTGCCTCCCAGGTTCAAGTGATTCTCCTGCCTTAGCCTCCCCAGTAGCTGGAAATACGGGCGTGCGCCACCATGCCCGGCTAATTTTTTTGTATTTTTAGTAGAGACGAGGTTTCACCGTGTTAACCAGGAGATGATCTCGATCTCCTGACCTCGTGATCCGCCTATCTTGGCTTCCCAAAGTGCTGGGATTACAGGCGTGAGCCAGCGCACCTAGCCTAAATTCATCTACTTTTAAGTACCTATAAATAGCATAAAATCAAAAGGACCTTAGATAGAAAATGATTAATCCCTCATTCTCCCTATCTCAAGGTATGTGTAGTTCTGCAAACATTCCCATGCCACAGATTCTGCAATAATAATCTGAGTGGCTTTTCTTTTTTGAGATAAGGCACACATTCAGGAACTTGCTGTGCATGCGTAACAGCTACTATTTATCGGATTCATACTATGTGCCAGGTACTGTTCTAAGCATCCTGTGTAGCTCCGCTCATTTCATCCTAACCCAGTGATATGAGGTGAGGTGCGTATAGTAGTCCCTCAAAACAAATGAGGAAACTGAAGTTTGGGGTTTAGTGAGATTACATAAGTTGCCTGAGATTACATAGTAAATGTCAGAGAAAAGTGGTTTTGAGGCTAGAGTCTTCTGCAATTGGTTATGAGTCTAGAATCTATGTCTCTTGAAATAGGAATGTCCAATGATCGTGCCATTGCACTTCAGCCTGGGCGACAGAGCAAGACCCTATCTCAAAAACAAAAGAACAGGAATGCCTAAAACCACCAGAATGGTCCTAGGGAGCAAACAAGGCTTTCCAAACTGGACCTTGAGTGCTATGGGGTCGCTGGCTCTGCATCTGCCACGACAGCCTGTGGATCTGTCATCTTCCCTGGAATAAAATTTTTAAAAAAGGCCAGGCGTGGTGGCTCACGCCTGTAATCCCAGCACAGTGGGAGGCTAAGGCGGGCAGATCACTCGAGGTGAGGAATTTGAGACCAGCCTGGCCAACATGGTGAAACCCCGTCTCTACTAAAAATACAAAAATTAGCCGGGCGTGGTGGTGGGCGCTTGTAATCCCGGCTACTCAGGAGGCTGAGGCAGGAGAATCGCTTGAACCCGGGAGGGGGAGGTTTCAGTGAGCCGAGACTGCGCCATTGCACTCCAGCCTGGGCAACAAGAGCGAAACTCCGTCTCGGAAAAAAAAAAAAAAGAAAAAAACTAAAATATCAGTACTCTTTTCACTTAGTCATCACAAACCCCTTTAATCCCATATTACCCTCTACTATCATGGTAGCCTCACCTTTGACGACAGACTAGCTGTGTGACCCAAGTAAATGACTTCAGTGCCACCACCTGTAGGAAGGGGCTGCTAATAGCATCTGCTTCATACTAACGTGTTTTCAGGATCGATCTGCATATAAACGCTCAATACACGGTAACTGATTGTCACATTCTATCCCAGGACGCTTCCATTTGCGGATCTCATGGCCCGGAGGACCTGGGCCGCCTCACAACTGGGCAGCCCCGCTCACCGACACAAAGCCCACAACCGCGCCCAATAGGGAATCGGCCCTGCGGCCCTCCTGCCACTCGCCCCCAACTATCACAGTCCACGGCGGAGCTGGAGGCAGATCCCGCCCTTGCAGGGCTGGGTAAGAGACTGAAACTTGGAGAATGAACTGCAGGCGCTGCACATCTCGGGCAGATTTAAAATTCGGTCTAAAATCGGAAGCAGGTGCCGCGAACCCAGACCCGAGCGCTCCTCTGGGACGTCCAGCCGCAGAAGCGAGCCCAAAGCCCAGCAGGGTTCTCCGCGGGACTCGGGGTTTCAGAACCGCCGGGCTCTTGGGCGCTCGCCCAGGGCGCACGCGCAGTCGCGAGGCCGCGCCGCGGACTGCATCTCCCAGCAGGCCCCGCGCAGCAGGCCACGCGGCGCCACTGACTGGGCGGGCGGCTAGCTCCCTGGCCTCCCCGACATGCCGAGGAGCCCCTGGCTTCCGGAGCCGACGAGGCCGCAGGGGCCAATGGGACCATCTTCAGCCAGCCCAGAGTAGCCGAAGCGGGTGGGGCCTGGCTTGGGAAAGGATTCATCCGGGGAAGCTGATTAACAATTCAGATTTCCGGGTCTCACCCCGACACTGACGCACTGGAGAGCGCGTGGCCCTGGGATCTGCGTTTTCCCAAGCGCTCCGGAGTAATTCTAACCCAGGTTGCCCGCCAGTCACAACGACCTCAGGCTTGTTTTCTTCGCTTGGATCCAGCTGCCCTGCCCCCAGTCACTCCCAGAATTTCAGGGCGCGCCCCGTGGCCCCGCCTCTCGTCTCCAATTGGTCCCTCGCTCATCCAGTCCCCGTAGGCCAATCTTCCCTTCTCATTGGTAGGCGGTGAGTGTGTGGAGAAACCTGACCTAATGGGCGCTGGAGTTCGCAAAACGTGACCCGGAAATTGGTCACGAGCAGGCGCCGTGGGCTTGTGGACGCCTAACTTGCGCGCTGAGATTTCCGGCGTGGGAGCAGAGGTCTGAGTCTTGCGTGGGTCCTCTATATAGGGTGAGAAGCGTGGCGCTCGGTTCCTGCCTCGGGGAAGTCCTGGCGCAGATGGGCCACGGGGCCGGCGTGGCGGCGCCTGGGACCGACTGAGGCCTAGGCGCCGGAGCCGGCCGCGCCTGGGCTGGAGCGGGGCTCCTCGGCCTGGACTGGGAGCCCCCGGCCCCGGGCTCCTGCTGGCGCCGTCCAACCTTACATGGGTTCAGGGCGCCTTCGTAGGCGGGCACGGCTGGTTTCGGGCTAAGGCGCTCTGGAGACCTGACGATGGCGTCGGGCCCGGGCTCCCAGGAACGGGAAGGGCTCCTGATAGTGAAGCTGGAGGAGGACTGCGCCTGGAGCCAGGAGCTGCCCCCACCTGACCCAGGACCGAGCCCCGAGGCCTCCCACTTGCGCTTCAGACGGTTCCGCTTCCAAGAGGCAGCTGGTCCCCGGGAAGCCCTCAGCCGGCTCCAAGAGCTTTGCCATGGGTGGCTTCGGCCTGAGATGCGCACGAAGGAGCAGATCTTGGAGCTGCTGGTGTTAGAGCAGTTCCTGACCATCCTGCCCCAGGAGATCCAGAGCAGGGTGCAGGAGCTGCATCCGGAGAGCGGCGAAGAAGCGGTGACCCTTGTGGAGGATATGCAGAGAGAGCTTGGGAGACTGAGACAACAGGTGAGAGAGAGAGAGAGCTGTTTTATCTGTGGTTTGTTTAGCCCTGAGCACTGGGACATTGCGCCCCCGGTCGAATTCAAGTAAATTGCCCTGAGTAGACCTTACGTGGGGAAGAGGACTTGTGATTTAACCTGGAACACTCATCCTCCAGATTTTCCCCCAAATGAACGAAAGCAGTGAAGAGTGCCCTGTTTCCACGCGGAGGCGGTGTCCCTGCAACAGTTAGTGTTAGCCATGGAGTTAGATCGCCAGCGTTCAAATCCTCAATCTGCTAGTACTAGCTTTGTTACTTTGGCAAGTTACTTGATCTCTTTCGGCCTGTTTTCCTATTCGTAAAATGAGGATATTAACATACTTTCTAGGGCTTAGAGGGAGAGCAGCATGTAAAGTTGTGAACACTACTAGCTTATGAGTGCTTAGTACTTGTTACCTGTTGTTATGTTAGGGTCCACGGTCTGGTCTTCTCTGCAAAGCTGGGCCTCCGTTAATTGTGAACTTTGAAAGATAATTTGGCACCGAGGCCCTGAGGTCATTGGTCCCCAGGGCTACCCCAATTTAGCCTATCCTATAGTGAGGAATAGAAGCACCTAGAAAAGGTGGGGAGAGCAAAAGGGAGTGAGGTGTATCTTAAGAGCTGTGTGGGGAAGGTGTGCTCTGGGAGTGGGCCCTTTCCCTAACCCCTCCCCCTGCACATGGGATCAAAAAAGCCTTTAGTGTAAACCATTTTTCTGTTACCTGGGCCCAAAGGGATCGCCTGAGGTTCTCTGTTGAAGGTTTGCTCTCAGTATCCTATACTAATTTCCCTTCCTCTTGGGCCCTGTTGTGATGATGAGTGATGTGGGTTGGTTCCCAGGTCACAAACCATGGGCGGGGAACAGAAGTGCTTTTGGAGGAGCCTTTGCCTCTGGAAACAGCACGAGAGTCACCGAGCTTCAAGCTGGAGCCAATGGAGACTGAGCGAAGCCCTGGCCCCAGGCTGCAGGAGCTGCTAGGCCCCAGCCCCCAAAGGGACCCCCAGGCTGTAAAGGAGAGGGGTGAGGCACAGTTATCTGGGCAGGTGGGAGGGAGGAGGGGCTTGGGGGTTGCCCCCGACACTAGCTGGATGTAGCAATGATGCGAAGGAGAAGGAATTTCTGAAGATCAGGTTCTCACCTGTGGAATGAAAGACCTGCAGTTGGTGGTGTGGGTTCTCCTGGGGCTGGGGGAAGGGAAGGGAGTCTCAGTAGAGCCCTTTTTTATGCAGAACAGAGGCGATTTAGAACCACTTGAATGACGCAGGGTTTGGAGTGCTACTCTTGGTACTCCTTCCCTCTCACCCTGTCATTTTGGATATCAGCTGATTAGGCCTCTGTGCAGTTTAGCGTCATTCCCAAAAGCAGAGGCTGGGTGTTGGGGAATGGATACTGTGTTTTAATAATCCTTGGGTTGCCAAGAGTTAGGAATGCCATTCTCATTATAATTTCTGTCACCTTCAGCATTATCTGCTCCCTGGCTTTCTCTTTTTCCTCCTGAAGGGAACATGGAAGACAAGGAGATGACTGGGCCCCAGGTGATGTGGAAGTTTCCATTGTCTCCCCCCAGCACCCTTCCTCCCCTGAGTGTTGGGGGTGGGGGTTCTCCATGTGGAAGGTCCTTTGTCCCTTACCACAGCGTCTCCCCCACTGCTTTGTCTATTTCACACCTCACTTGGAGGCCTGATACCCTTCTTCCCCCCTGACATGTGCTTGGCATCCCTGGATTTTGCCCCTTTAACCCATGACTCTGCTTGAATTGTTCTTGGTGCATCAGGGGCTAAAGGAGATCTTGTGCTGTTTCAGTTGCCTGAGAGCTTAGAGGACGTGGCAATGTACATCTCCCAGGAGGAGTGGGGGCATCAGGATCCTAGTAAGAGGGCCCTCTCCAGGGACACGGTGCAGGAGAGTTATGAGAATGTGGACTCACTGGGTAAGGACTTCTTTTCCAGGGATGATGACTGCGCCATTTCTGACCAGGGTCCTGCCCGTTATTCATTCACCTCCTGGACACAGACTCTGAGTTTTGCCAAGAAGCCTCCACAGGAGACTTCCCTTTGTCTAAAGTCCCCTGTACGAGAGTCATGTATCTGCCAAGTGGTACAGTTGGCACAGGCAGCCCGGGACTGGAGTCCCAGCTGCCAGAGCCTAAGGCGAGTCTGAGCCATGTGCACTTCCTAGGGCAGAGCAAACCCAATGCGGTGACAACCTGCCAGCATCACACACATGCAGTATTCCAGGATGCTGGGGGGCTCTAAATGGTTGATTCCTTGCAATTTTCAGATGCTTATTCTTATGAGCTCGCCAGTGTTTCCTGTGTTCCGTTAGTGTTTCTAGGCTCGTCCCCAAAGACAAAAATTTCAGGGGTAGTAGGATCAACATTCCAGCCTATCATCTCTCACAGCCCATAAAAATTCAGAAAGTGGGGAGGGTCTTGTGGAAATTTGGAAACAATGTATAGCTCCAAAGTAGGCCATATCATAAATTAAGATTTACCTATGTCTTGTACTGTACTCAGAGTTTTAAAATTATGCCTACGGAATATGACAGACTGACATATAGTTGGATTTAGGTGGAGGATATGCTTGTATTTATTGTACAATTCCCTCAACTTTTCTGTATGTATGAGAATTCTTTTAATAAAAAGTTGGGGAAGTCTTAACATAAAACAAGACTGTGTGTACATTATGATTATACCTATGTTGAAACACACCAGTAGAAAGACTCACTGGTGTGGTGGTGGTAGTCCCAGTTACTCAGGAGGCTGAGGGGAGAATCACCTGAGCCCAGTAGGTCAAGGCTGCAGTGAGCTATGATGATGCCACTGCACCTCAACCAGGTGACAGAGTGAGACTCTGTTTCAAAACAAACAAGACACACCGCACATTGTTTCCATATATCAGGTTTGCCTAAAAAGTATCACAACTGTACATTTGTTGACACTAATTCTGCAAACGCAATCTTGCTCACTGCAACCTCTGCCTCCCGGGTTCAAGTGATTCTCCTGCCTCAGCCTCCAGAGTAGCTGGGATTACAGGCATGCGCCACCACACCCGGCTAATTTTTTGTATTTTTAGTAGAGACAGGATTTCTCCATGTAGGTCAGGCTCATCTTGAATTCCCGACCTCAGGTGATCCACCCGCCTCCCAAAGTGCTGGAATTACAGGTGTGAGCCACCACACCCGGCCTTTTTTTTTTTTTTTTTTTTTTTTGAAGTGAGTCTCACTCTGTTGCCCAGGCTGCTCTGGAACTTCTGGGCTCAAGCAGTCTTCCTGCCTTAGTCAGGAAGTGTGCCACTGTACCAGTTTCCATATTACTTTTCACTGCTGTGATGTCCAAAGTTGAACATGGCCCTTTTAGTGAGAGATGCTAAATAGGAAAAGATCAGATTACAGCTTGTTGGAATTAAACTTCTGTTGGAGTCCATGTTTGCTGGAGGTGGAGGTTTTTGTTTTTCTTTTTGGCACAGCATAGAAATGGCACTTGTGGGTTTTAATCTCATGGTCCTCTTAGAGCCCTGGGTCCTTTTCTGATTGTCTATTATGTTATATTTTCTTTCCCTGGAGTTGTCCGGTCAAATTTAGTTCTATTTTGTATTTATATGTAGAGACAAGGCCCTTTTATGATATTAAATGGATTATTCAAGGAACTGACCATGTTCATTTTATAGTTATTTCAATTACAGTAGTGTACATTCTCATTGCAAAAAAAAACATTCCAAGTACCATGAATATTTAAAAAAAAAAAAAATTGGCCGGGCGCAGTGGCTCACACCTGTAATCCCAGCACTTTGGGAGGCCGAGGCAGGCAGATCACTTGAAGTCAGGAGTTCGAGACCAGCCTGGCCAACATGGTGAAACTCCATCTCTACTAAAAATACAAAAATTAGCCGGGTGTGGTGGTGCACGCCTGTAATCCCAGCTACTTGGGAGGCTGAGGCAGGAGAATCGCTTGAACCTAGGAGGCAGAGGTTGCAGTGAGCGGAGATCGTGCCACTGCACTCCAGCCTGGGCGACAGAGTGAGACTCTGTCTCAAAAAAAAAAAAAAAGTCTCCCTCCCCTAATTTCTTTCTCTAGAGGTATCCACTGGGAACAGTTTGTGTATATTCCAAGTAACTGCTGTCAGATTTATGGAGCATTCTGTATTTATCCACTGAGGGCAGGGAACAAGACTGTTTCCCTACCCTGGTAGAGGAAAGTGGCAGTACAGAAATCTGTTTCTTTCATTGTGAACAGAGTCTCACATTCCCAGTCAGGAGGTCCCAGGCACCCAGGTGGGACAAGGAGGAAAGCTATGGGATCCCAGTGTCCAGAGCTGCAAGGAGGGCCTGAGCCCCAGAGGCCCAGCTCCAGGTAAGGAATGAAGACAAGTGGCCTGCGCAGCAAGCAGCAAGGCTCTTGCAGTTAAGAGTGAGGCATTTTTTGGTTTTGTTTTGTTTTGTTTTGAGATGGAGTGGCACTCTTGTTGCCCAGGCTGGAGTGCAACAGTGCGATCTCGGCTCACTGCAAGCTCCGCCTCCCAGGTTCAAGCGGTTCTCCTGCCTCAGCCTCCCGAGTAGCTGGGATTACAGGCATGCGCCACCACGCCCAGCTAATTTTTTGTATTTTTAGTAGAGTCGGGGTTTCTCCATATTGGTCAGGCTGGTCTCCCTGACCTCAGGTGATCCACCCACCTCGGCCTCCCAAAGTGCTGGGATTTACAAGTGTGAGCCACCGCCCCCAGCAGAGTAAGGCATTTGAGGATTTGGGTGCAGGGCCGGCCCAGCACAGCTGCTAGAGAGGTACATTACGTCCTTTGACCCTGCCATTCTCCATCCCAGTGAGGCAAGTGAGGAACCCAGGGTGCAGAGTTCAAGGAGGCCCTTATTCTTGAGCTTACTTGTCCCACCCTACTCTCAGCCCTGCTCCATCCCACCCATTCCTGAAGGGCAGAATCGAGAGGCTCAGGTGGAAAGGAAAATTCTAAGACTGGTCTCGGCTCTGATTCCTTGACCAGTGGCCCGACCCTTTATCCTGATGCTTCTCCAGAGTGCTTTACCTTTAGGAGAGGATGGGATTCTGAGGTAGAAGCAGCCCTTCTGGGCTGCTGACCTAACAGGCAGCGGCAGACAGGTGGGATTTTCTTTTCTCCAGCATAGAAATAATGTACGGGTTTGGTTTCTCTCTCTCTACCAGGAGAAGAGAAATTTGAGAACCTGGAAGGTGTTCCGTCTGTATGCTCTGAGAACATCCACCCTCAGGTGCTGCTTCCTGACCAGGCCCGAGGGGAGGTGCCCTGGAGTCCTGAGCTGGGAAGACCTCATGACCGGTCGCAAGGGGATTGGGCGCCTCCCCCAGAGGGTGGAATGGAGCAGGCCTTGGCAGGAGCCTCAAGTGGCAGAGAACTGGGGCGACCGAAGGAACTGCAGCCAAAGAAACTCCATTTATGTCCCTTGTGTGGCAAAAATTTCTCTAACAACTCAAACCTAATTAGGCACCAGAGAATACATGCAGCTGAAAGACTGTGTATGGGTGTGGACTGCACTGAAATCTTTGGTGGGAACCCACGTTTCCTGTCACTACACAGAGCACACCTGGGAGAGGAGGCCCACAAGTGCCTTGAATGTGGGAAATGCTTCAGTCAGAACACCCATCTGACTCGCCACCAACGCACCCACACGGGTGAGAAGCCCTATCAGTGCAACATTTGCGGAAAATGTTTCTCCTGCAACTCCAACCTCCACAGGCACCAGAGAACGCACACTGGGGAGAAGCCCTACAAGTGCCCTGAGTGTGGGGAGATCTTTGCTCACAGTTCCAACCTCCTTCGGCACCAGAGAATTCACACTGGAGAGCGACCTTATAAGTGTCCCGAGTGTGGGAAAAGTTTCTCTCGGAGTTCACACCTCGTCATTCACGAAAGAACTCATGAGAGAGAGAGACTTTACCCCTTCTCTGAGTGTGGGGAAGCTGTGAGTGACAGCACCCCCTTTCTTACAAACCATGGAGCCCATAAGGCAGAGAAGAAGCTCTTTGAATGTTTGACTTGTGGGAAAAGCTTCCGGCAGGGCATGCACCTCACCAGACATCAGAGAACACACACAGGAGAGAAACCGTATAAATGTACCCTTTGTGGGGAAAACTTCTCTCATAGATCCAATTTAATCAGGCACCAGAGAATCCACACAGGAGAAAAACCCTATACCTGTCATGAGTGCGGAGACAGCTTCTCTCACAGCTCCAATCGGATTCGCCACCTGAGAACGCATACGGGAGAGAGACCCTATAAATGTTCTGAATGTGGAGAAAGCTTCTCTCGGAGTTCCCGTCTTATGAGTCATCAGAGAACTCACACAGGTTAGTAACAGTGGGGTTTCTCTTTGCCCCAGGTGAGGTGGCATATTCAGAGGAGCCTGTTGGCAAGAGCTGGTATTCCCTGCCCAGCCGACCAAATGACCTCTGCATTCTTCAGGTAATGGGGGCTCATTGTGAGGGAGGTGCAGAGGCAGCAGAGGATTGGCATAAAACTGAAAAGGAGTTCTGTCTGCATGAGAAAGGATGGCAAGTCTCTGAGGTGACCTCAGGGTGGAATTCTCTGTTAAGTCCACCCTGCCCCAGGGTGCTCCTACCCTCTTGGTCTTTTTAAAGCCAAGGTGCGATTTGGGCACCTGACTGTCCAGTTTACCTTAACAAGTTTGGGAATCCATGTGATGTTTTTGATACTTCTTCCTCATTTGGGACATTCAGTAGGAGCATTTGGGCTTCCGGGGCCCCTGAGACCAAAGAAGAGGGGCCAAGTACCCTGGGAAATCAGCTGAAGGTCAACAAAAGACTGGTTGTGAGTTGCAGCTGTCCCGAAGGCCCCAGTTGGGAAGCCATGGGCAGTCCAGATCAAGCCACCACGTGCCCTACGATGGCCTAACAGGAGTGCCCATTGGCAGATTACACATGTAAATATGACCTCAGACAAAAAGGAACCAGAGGCCCAAGGGCAATAATAAGGTGGAATTTGCAGGTCAGCCCAGGAATTGGCAGAGGAAGTAGGTGTCTGATAACCCTTTGTGGAGAATGAGATTCCCCCCACCTGTGTGAGAAAAATAAACAGCTCTGGAGTCTTGTTCCTGACTCCAGAGGAACGAGAGCATTCCAGGAAAGAGAGATTCCCTGGAAAATTGAAAATGTGAATCCTAGGGGGAAATTGGGGATTGTGTCTTTCCCTGTTGAAAATGTTTGGATGGGAATAAATATCTTCAGGAAACATAAATGTCTGTGAGTCTTCAATGAAAGCCTCTGTCTAGACCCCCGAGTGTTGATCTGTCTCCCCTCTGCCTTGGTCAGAGGCCCTGCTTTCTCATAGACTTACTGGGTTGGTCAGGAAGATGCTGACAAAGGAGGCAGCAGACAGGCAGAGGCAGGTGAGGGCCTGGCAGCCTCCAGGCTGGGACTGCCATGTGGTAACAAAGGGTCAAGCCAAATGGCTGCTGGGGTGATGCTGTCATAGGGTCTCTAGAAAGTATTCTTTCCTTCTGTGGTCTATAGCAGTAAAAATGTTTTCAATTCTTTGTTTAGAATGTTTACATTCTTACTCAGTAGCTGAGGAAGATCTGACTCTTAGAGAACAGGATATTTTGGTCTTGCAACTGATTTCCAGGGTGGAAGTTAAGATGGTCCCAGTATAACTGAGTTATTGATTATTAATGGTAGGAAGATATAGGAGATGGCGCAATTATTAAGGGAAAGCATTATATTTATTTTTTGGTAGAGGTGGGGTCTCACTATTTGCCCAGGCTGGTCTTGAGTTCCCGAGCTCAAGCCTTCTTCCCATCTTGGCCTCTCAAAGTGCTGGGATTACTAGCATTGCATTTTAGAATGGCATATCAGAAATAGGAATTCTAGTAGTGTGTATCTGTGGGAAACGGGGGAGTATTCTAAGAGTAGGAAATCGGATGCCAGGAAAACACCTCAGGATACAGCCCCGGAGGAAGGTATCCAGCTGTTCTTCGGGTGAAAAAGATGAAGAAACAGTCCTTTGGGAACAGGCTGATGGATATAGCAACTTGAAGTCATGGAAACAGCGCTCCATTGATCCTTCTCTCAGCCCTGCCTCAGTTTAGTATGTGTTTTTCTTTGGTTGTCTGAGCCAGTTTTTTAATATCTCACTATTTCTCATTTCTGTAACTTCCTCTTAATCAGCTTGTTCACAGGAGGAGGGCAGTGGTGGTGTGGGGGTTGAGGGCAGGGAAGTGGAGGGTTAGGATTAGAGAGATCAGAGTAGGATCAACAGTGGTAGGAGCAGGACCACACTCCAGTGGAGCAGTGCAGGGCCAGCCAGGCTGCTGATGTCATGAATTGGATGGAATGTAAAGCTGGTGTTCCTACAAAGCACTCTGGTTAAGATGGCAGTTTATGTGGACAGAGACTGGAAAGCGCCCCTTCCATCTACTCTCCCTCCCTTGGTAACATCACCCACACAGATCTTATGATGTGGTCCAACTGGTGCTGCTCATACTTGGAACACTGCAGCTTGAAGCTGGGAAATGACTCTCAGGTATTTGCCATAAAAAGGCATTCCATTGGAACGCTTCACTCAAATCTTCAGTCTAGTTCCCCTTCTAGTAAACTTCACATGCTTAGCTGTTCTTGGCCTGTTTTAATGAGATGACATCACAGAAAATAACTACATAAAGCAGCACTATGCCTGGCATGTAAGAAAGTGCCAACTGTCGACAGATGATCCAAAAGATTTCCTTCTAAGCATCTAACACTGACTGAGGTCACTGAAGACCACACTGGCAGGAATTTCAGGGACTGATGACATCTCCTTCCCTTGTACTCATGTTTGAGAGAGTAGGTCTGATTCCCTTACTGCAGGCCCCCATGAGGTCTGATACGGTTCGGCTCTGTGTCCCCACGCAAATCTCATCTCTAATTGTTATCCCCATGTGTCAAGGGAGGGACCTGGTGGGAAGTGCTTGCATCATGGGGACGGTTTTCCCCTATGCTGTTCTCCTGATACTGAATTCTCCCGAGAGCTGATGGTTTTAAAAGTGTAACAGTTCCCCCTTCACTTGCGTGCTTGCTTGTTCTCTCTTGCCACCTTGTGAAGAAGGTACCTACTTCCCCTTTGCCTTCCGCCATAATTGTAAGTTTCTTGAGGCCTCCCCAGCCACACAGAACTGAGTCAATTAAACCTCTTTTGTTTGTAAATTACGCAGTCTCTGTATCTTTATAGCAGTGTGAGAACTAGGTCACTGCAAGAGATGTCCAAGTTAGTGCTTTTTCACATTAATACTTTGCCCACTAGGGCTCTTGTAAAAGAAGCCAAAACAGTTTGAGTGGCTTTTATGTCACAGGGAGACTAACCCTGGGACAATAAGGACCTCTAGCCTCTAAGTCCAAATGGGTGCAAAGAGGTCTTGGGAGATGTGGAGTGACCCTGAGCAGCAGCCACACATCCTTAGCAAAGGTAGCACATGAAACCAGCAGGGAGGCTGGTGGGTGAGAACCAGTGCCACATCTAAGCCCTGTGAAAAGGCCTGGCAGCGTCAGGCTGGGGAGCAATGACAACAAAGCCAGAGGTGGGACACAGACTGGAAGAATGTTTTAAAAGCACTGAATTTTTCAGAAAAATCCATCAGAAGTCACTTTAAAAGTTTTGATGGCTGTAATGAAAGAACTTTTGGGTCTCAGCACCATAATCTGAAATTTCAGGTTTTAGGCTCAGCACTTTTTTGTTTTGTTTTGTTTGAGACGGAGTCTCGCTCTGTCACCCAGGCTGGAGTGCAGTGGCACGATCTCGGCTCACTGCAAGCTTCGCCTCCCGGGTTCACGCCATTCTCCTGCCTCTGCCTCCCGAGTAGCTGGGACTACAGGCGCCCGCCACCACGCCTGGCTAATTTTTTCTATTTTTAGTAGAGACCGGGTTTCACCATGTTAGCCAGGATGGTCTCGATCTCCTGACCTCGTGATCTGCCCGCCTCGGCCTCCCAAAGTGCTGGGATTACAGGCGTGAGCCACCGCGCCCCGCCTAGACTCAGCACTTTTTAAAGAAGAGTGATTCATTACATTAACTGATACTACTTTGGAATGTGCAAAATCACCACTGCTTTAAAACTTGTAATTTTTTCTAAGTGTTTCACAAGCATTTGAAACAACTAAGTCACGTAAAGTGTCTTAATGTGTGTTACAGGAAAACCAACTAGCAAATTTCTTAGCACTAGGAGACTTAATTTTGGAGGTCAGGAACTCAGGAATAGCTAGATGAATTCAAGCAAAATGCATTTATTTATTTATTTATTTATTTGAAATATTTTCTTTTACTCTTCAGTCTAGCTTGCAAGCACTCCCAATTATTGACTTCTGTTCTTGAAAGGGCGGTTAATATTTCCTTCCCATCATATACTTTTTAATAAGACCAGCTAGACCTTGCCTGAGTGGTACAGTGAAGAGGCACTGGGAATGATCTAGGTTAAGTTCAACAACGACAAAATGGTTGAGGAAAAATGACTCAGATCACAAAAAAATTCTGATCTCCCAGTTAATGTTATTGCTCTCAATTAGCTTACAGAGACACCTTAAATGTCTCAAAAGATTCTGTCAGAAATCCGGTGGCTCTCAAGCATCCCCAACGTGCTCCAAGGAGAGTAGTATTTCTCCAGGCAGCGAGAACGGGAAAGAAAAACATTAAGGAGTATCGTTCTGAAGTCCAGCGTATGTTTTTGGACATCATGAGGAATTGCTTGCCCTCCATTCCGTTCAGGGAGGCCAGTTCCCCACTCCCGAGGTGCTGCTGCCCTTGAGGGAGTTCTCGGCTCTCCTGGGCCTCCCGGCAGGAGTCCAGCCCCAGCACCCGGCGCAAGTGTGAGTGCCTGGACTTCTCGGAGAAGTTCCTATCCCCAGGAGTGATTTGCAGAACCAGAGACTCCCTTTTCAGGCTTGGGCAAAGCAGACGCCTCCTGCTCCGCATCGGCTCACACGCGGCCGGGCCCACGAGCCTCCTCCAACCGCCGCCCCGGGCCTCGGGGCTGCCGCTCCCCTCAGCGTCGGCTCTGCCCCCAGAAGCGAAGGCCGCCCTGCGCCCGGTCCCGGCCTTTCCCTGCCCTCTGGCCGGTCCTCCTCCCGCGGCCGTCCCGGGACCTGTGCCCAGACCCCTGGGGCCACGATCACGCCCCAGCCGCCCAAGTCACCGCCCCTCCCCTCCCTTCCAGCGTTCCCGCCCGGGCGGTGTATGGTGGCTCCGGTGTATGGTGGTTCTCGCACGCACAGCCGCAGGGGTTTCCTCTCCTAGACTCGAGGCGGTGGCGCACCTGCACCCTCTAAAACTCCCCCGTCGGCCCTCGCGGTCTAGCGGGAGGCGCGGAGGGCCGAGCTGGGGTGCGTGCGAGCGGGCGCCAGGAAAGCGCGGGGCCGCCCTAGGGGCTAGGCCTTTCTTTAAACAGTGGGAGGCCCACGAAGTGTCTGAAGCCCGAGGCTCCCCTTTTTGTTTTAGTTCGCTCTCTTCTGGTAAGAGAATAAGGGTCGGGCAAGAATGGAGAGGGGACAGAAAAGGAAGGCAGGGCAACTGAAGAGGCAGAGTCAACGCAGAAGGCGAAGGGAGCCTGGACCAGGGCAGGGCAGTGAGGACGAAGAGTGGAGAGGAGAGATCCAGGAGGTGGAGCGGTCAAGACTTACGTGGGCCGAGACCCGTCTAAAATCTCGTAGGATGTCCCCCAGGGACACTAGCCTTGACCTGTCTTTCCTGCTCTTCTCCGCCAGAGGCCCCCAAGGCAACGGTCCAGGGACCTTGCAGCTTGCCTGGGAGATACACGTGCCCACCGCAGAGACTGAGCCCCTGCTTCACAACTTTAAACCCAGCTCAAAAGTCACGCACTGTCCTCTCAGACACCTCCCCTGCTATCCAAGTCTCAAAGGCCCTCCCTATGCTCACTTTGGCTCCGGCCCTTACACATCCCATGGTGGTTTGTTCTCATTCATTTTCTTGGTTATTCAGAGCTGAATCTCCAACAACATGCTATTGTCTAGTACATGAAACAGTTAACAGGAAGTTTCCAGAATCAATGAGTACTTTTGAAAACTGGGGTGACTCTCGGTCACTCTAGGAATTTATTATCACTAAAAAGAATGATGATGTTTGATGCAAAGACCCAAACTAAAAGGAACTAGAGAGCTGCCCAGAGTCCTCATCTGCCATCCCCCTCCACTTCCACAATCCATCCTGTCCCAGGCTTGGAAGGTCTTTCAAAAGAGGCAAAACATCAAGCAAAGAGTAATTACTACCTTCGCCCTCACCCAACCCCAGCTTGCAGTCATTATGGACTAATCTTAAAAAAAGAAAAAGTCAAGCTGCTTGATGTTAAAGGTCTCCCATCTTCCACCA
The DNA here is from genome assembly GCF_000001405.40 of Homo sapiens. Classification (NCBI taxonomy): domain Eukaryota; kingdom Metazoa; phylum Chordata; class Mammalia; order Primates; family Hominidae; genus Homo; species Homo sapiens. The sequence goes on from NC_000016.10 coordinate 3,296,573, forward strand.
GGCTGCAGACTGAATAAGGCAAGAAAGCACAAATCAAGCCTAAACTGAATGTAAAAAGGATGCCCAGTGGCAATGTTGATATATTTTTTCTACAAGTTCTGGGTAATAAATAAGGCACAAAAAAGATAACTACTGAATTTACAAGGTGAAAATATCAGCAATCACTACTAATAAAAAAGGAACCCACTTACAGCAACAACAAACCTACCTAGGAACAATAAAAAAAATGAGAACTCCATTAAATGAAAACTGCACTTACAATTTGAAAGGAGAGAAAAGTAATGTAAATTCTTTCCAATTTTACTTAAATTAGGAATAAATTCGCAGAGGGAGTTGGTGTCTGGAGGAGGCTTGAATAAATTTTATGCTGAAGTTGACTTAAGATAGTAAGAATAGCTTGTATATTTTCAAACATGGAAAGTGGGCATTTGCTTTTCATTAAAATTCACAGGCCGGGCGCAGTGGCTCACACCCGTAATCGCAGCACTTTGGGAGGCTGAGGCAGGCGGATCACGAGGTCAGGAGTTCAAGACCAACCTGAGAAACATGGTGAAACCTCGTCTCTACTAAAAATACAAGTCAGGTGTGGTGGCACGCGCCTGTAATCCCAGCTACTCAGGAGGCTGAGGCAGAATTGCTTGAACCTGGGAGGTGGAGGTTGCAGCGAGCCAAGATCGTGCCACTGCACTCCAGCTTGGGTGATACAGCGAGACTCCATCTCAAAAAAAAAAAAAAAAAGAGAAATTCATATTAGCCAGTAATGAAAATGGCAAGGTACTAGAGCAAGAGTGGACCCCAGTAGTTCTGTATTTAGTCACTAATTTTATACTATAATTGCCTAGTATTCACCAGTGTAACAGAATACCCATCTCAGAAACAGATTCTTTTTTTTTTTTTTTTTTTTTTTTTTGAGACGGAGTCTCGCTCTGTCGCCCAGGCTGGAGTGCAGTGGCGCGATCTCGGCTCACTGCAAGCTCCGCCTCCCAGGTTCACGCCATTTTCCTGTCTCAGCCTCCCGAGTAGCTGGGACTACAGGCGCCTGCCACTGCGCCCGGCTAATTTTTTGTATTTTTAGTAGAAACGGGGTTTCACCATGTTAGCCAAGATGGTCTCGATCTCCTGACCTCGTGATCTGCCCTCCTCGGCCTCCCAAAGTGCTGGGATTACAGCCGTGAGCCACCGCGCCCGGCCAGAAACAGATTCTTGAAGATAATATATGAGAAAGGAAACACTGAAAGCCAATAAGAGCTAATTATCCAAACAAAGCTTGTTATTTGCAAATATCAACTCACCTGACACCTTATATTAAATAGGGAACAACCATAAAGATACCATTCTTTTGGTTACAAAATTAGCAAAAACTAAGAGCTTAACAATATTCAATGTTGGGATTGGTGCATTGGGAGAAGTACTTTCAAAATAATGGTGGGAATGTGAAAGCAATTTAACAGCGTGTATCGCAGCTTTTTCAAAAGTTCATTCTATTTGACCTGGTAGTTCAACTGATACGTTACATCCCCTGGTGGAGTATTAAAAAACCATCAAATGTGAGGTTAAGAGATTTTAATGACCTAAGGGAAACTCTCAGAAATAGTGCCGTATGATGGTTAAAAGCCTGAGCTTTGGCATTAAACAGAATTTAAGTCTCACCTCTGCTGTTTACCAGTTTATGTGACCTTTGTCGAGTTACTTAATCTCTCTAAATCTGTTTCCTTATGTATTTGAAAAGGGAAGTCATTATTATGAAGACTAACATATATATACGATCCTATATACTCAATAAATGCTAACGTATTAGTAACAAACCATAAAATATGTTAAGACAGTAAGAGATAAGGTTTTATTTACAATGTAATCTGCCTATTTAAAAAATATATGGTATACACCGAAGTGTTGAGGTTATCATTAGTCAATAGAATTGAGTGCTTTTTATCTTTTTTTATATATTCCCTATAATCAGCATGTTACTTTCACAGTAAGAGGAAAACAAACACTAAATAGGTAGTAACAGAGTTAAGAAAGCAGAGTGTGTTTTACCATTAAATTGAAAACCTAATTTATCCTTATCTTAAAGCTAACTAGAACTAGTCAGCACAGTTTCTTTGTTATACGATATGATTACAAACTAATGCTTTTCGCAAAGGCATTCCACCTTAGATAATCTGGGACAATACTTCATTATTCAGATCCTTGTGTAAAATTTAAAAAAATGAATTTATGAAACACAAATTTAAATAAATTTAAAGAAACACAAATGTATTATTTTCAAACTGTAAATTTTATAACCATTATATAAATGGGCACTGATATACAAAATAATGTCAGTTGCTAAAACAAGACAATTCACAGCTGGCCTACATCATATAATGGCAGAAATCTTTAAACACAAAATCTAATGATTAGAACCAGAAGTTGAAGGCCCACTGAAGGAGTCCTTAATATTATGAGGCCTAGGTTTCAAAAAGCTACCAATTCTAGAATGGATTTTACTCTGGAACTGTTTCTTGACTATTTCTTGTTGCATCTCTTTCAGTGTGAAGTGGAATCTCTGAAACTCAGGTGTGGCATCAACAAAGTCAAGAAGGTAGTCCAAACTCTCTCTTACAGCAGATAATTTAAATTCAGCAGTCTGCTTCTCAGCTTCTCCTCCTTTTTGAACAACTTCCTTTGTTATTCCACCTTTGGTTTTTAGGAGACAACCCTTTTCTTCATCTCCATTTAACCACACCCTATCATCATCCAACTTAGTTTCCAACTCCCCACATTTTTCAAGAATTTCTCTATAATCCCCATGTTCTAAGCCTTGAAAATCATATTCAGGTTCCTTTTTGTAAAGAAGATTTTCCCATGCATTTGCTATGGTTATTTGTTTTACTTCTTCCCAACTTTTTGCCCAGTTAAAAATTGCACTTTTTATATTGTAGATTTTAATTTTGGAAACTCCTTTATCTCCTTTCTCTTGCTCATCATCACTTTCTTCAAATATTACAAGACTCTCTTCAAGTTGCTTCCATCTATACAGCCGTTTGCAGCTCAAGATCACACCTTGATTCATTGGTTGAATCAAGGTTGAAGTGTTATGGGGGAAGAACATACATTTTATTCGACCATCCTCACTGGTTAGGGATTCAGAGGAAGGATGAGCCGGGCAACTGTCCAGAAGTAACAATGCCCTGACGTCCTCGTCATGAAATCTTAGAACATTAAGTTGAAAATGTCGGACCTCAGGAACAAAGTTTTGAAAAAACCATTCTGAAAACAATTCTCTGGTGAACCAAACATCTTTACTGGGTTTATATATCACAGGCAATGTACTTGTGTCCTCTTTCACACTTTTGGGCAGTTTTGATTTTCCAATAATGATTGACTTTAATTTATGAGTTCCGTCTGCATTTGCACATAAAAAGGCAGACAACCTTTCTTTGTTTATTTTCTTCCCTGGTAGGCAGATATCTTTCCTACTTGCCTGAGAATTTTCTGGCATTGACTTCCAAAAGAGGTCTGTTTCATCCCCACTGTATAGCTGAGCTAGACACAGTTTCTCCTCTTTGATTATCATGGACAGTTTTTGTCGAAATGGCTCAACATTTTCAGAAACTGAACTTAGGACTTGTTCCCCACATCCTTTTCGGTTCCCAATTGCATGCCGATTTCGAAATCTAAAAAGCCAACCAGTGCTAGCTTTGAAATCTGTTCGCCCAAAACACCGTGCAAATCTCTCTGCAGCAGCCTGAAGCTCCACGCCTCTTACCGGAACACCGGCTGAGCGTTTCTGTTGGTACCACATGTAGACCGCATCATCTACATCACCATATTTGGCTCCCGTTGTCCTCTTTCTCTTCTCAGCCCCTACTAATGGCATGTCCTGCTTCAGTACAAAGTCCAGAATTAACTTCTTATTTTTTTTAATGTCATAAAATGTTGACTTACTGATTCCAAATTCATCCATTACACTTTTAAGTGATCGTCCAGCTTCAATTCTACTTAGAACCTTCATTTTCTCCTCCAAATTCAGTGTTGTATATTTCCCTCTCTTATTCATACTGAATTTAACTCTGAACCACCAACAGGAGAAAACAAAGGGAAAAGCCTTAATGAATTGGCAAAAAAAAAACCCACATTTTTTAAACAAAACTTAGCTGAAAGCCCCAGAAGGCATGGGCATTGTATTGGAGGATAATGGACTGAAGGGGCTAACCATGACTGAAGAGCTAGTCTAGAGGTGGAGGTCTTATGCACTCAGAAAGCTGCCAGTTGCAAAGTCCTGTCTGGCTCTTGCTCCTGCAAGCCATGAGTGATCATTTTTCAGAATGCCCCCTACCTCTCCTCTCTTTTGACAGATACAACAGCCTCAGTCAGGAATGACAGGAATACCTGCATACTTTCCCTAACTCAATACCGGAAAACGGACAATATGAAGAGAGGAGGGATGGAGCAAGATGTGCCCACAAGACAGGTGTGATAAGTTTCCATAAAAACTGATGCTTCAGAAGAAGGGAGCGTGAAAGACTCAAAGGCAATGACAGAGTAATCTTGTGTGTAGCAGAGATGCAATGTGGCTTCTCCCCTTCCAAAAAGACCTGATTTTACCTCACTGCCAGAAAAGAGAATGGTGCTCAAATTGCTTTGTACATAGTGTTCACTGGGCAGCAGTTCATCTACCTGGATAAGGGCTCCGAGCTACAGGGACCCTGACATTGGGATGTATGGAGAGTTGGAATTCAGGAACAGTTGTACCGAATCTTGAAGTGAAGAAGAAAGTAGTTTGTTGTACATATGAATGAAATCCAACTTTTATTGCATTCAATATAGTATTGTCAAGCACCGTGCTTTAACTTGAATGTCTCTTGTGTTTGCCAAGGTAATATGTAAGTATGTAAATAATTTATTTGTCAGTGGCACTTTACCATTCTCAGATCTTCTTTCTTGGGAACATCTGATTTATTCTCAAGTGCTATTTTTCACTGAAACTGTTCTCTATTTGAGATATTATCAAGTTTCAGAATCACAGCAATTCTCAGAGATGAGCCCAAAAGTTTTACAAATATTTCACCATAGTTAAAAATTTTTAAAGATCTGTCCTTTCATTTGTTTTCCTAAATTTACACTATAAGTAACATACTTTTTATATTTGAGATTTTGATTTCTCTTCAGTGTTTATTTTACTTAATTTGAACCAAGACTCAACTTTTCCACAGAAGAAATCTAAAAGGTTTCTCTGCTGCTGTTTCTGATCAATTGTTTCTCATAAATCCTACTGGCAAACTCTTCTGTCCCTCTAGGCCCTCAAATACTCTTTTCGGGTCCTCCTGGTGCTCCCCAAAGCCATTCCAGGTCCTTAGAAATGTCTTAGTCTAGATTAATTTCCTGGTTCTCAGTCCAGATACACAACCTCATGGGAAGAAACAAAAACTGCCACTTTTATCCATTCCAGGTGCTACGAAGAAAGAAAAGTATGTCAGAGAAATAAGGGAAATGGCTGGTATCTCAGTTATTCTTCCTCTTCTTTAGGGCAGAATCTGACTGGCCCATTCATTCCTCAACTACATAGAATTCTCTCTCTTTTTTTTTTTGAGACAGAGTCTTGCTCTGTCACCCAGGCTGGAGTGCGATGCCGCCATCTCGGCTCACTACAACCTCTGCCTCCCGGGTTCAAGCAATTCTCCTGCCTCAGCTTCCTGAGTAGCTGGGACTACAGGTGTGTGCCACCACACCCGGCTAATTTTTGTATTTTTTTGGTAAAGAGGATTTCACTATGTTGGCCAGGCTGGTCTCGAACTTCTGAACTCATGATCCGCCCGCCTCAGCCTCCCAAAGTGCTGGGATTACAGGCGTGAGCCACCACACCTGGCCCATAGAATTCTCTTAGGTCTCTCATCTAAAAACCCAGAAGAGTCAGACCACTGGTTTTCCTGTAACATTCATTGCAAGAAATGCCAACTATGAGTTATAGAGCATGGAGAAGATTACAAGAGAATATGGTAGTAATTAGGGGGTGGAGCCAATGGCAGGCTACGATCAAGCAACTTTCTAAATGAGGCAACTATAATTAAGGCAGTTAGTAAGTGATAACTCAGACATAAATCTTGGTTTATCTCTTTCACTTATAAATAGAAAAATAAAAAAGTATTTGCTAGCCAATAGCAGCACCATTAACTCAAGCTAGTCACCTAGCAAAAATATTCAGGCCACTATGACAGTTGTGTAGGTGTCTCAGAATTAATGTATTTGCTTTCAATGCTTCTCAGCTGTGCCGTCGTCTTTTTTTTTTTTTTTTTTTTTTGAGATGGGGTCTGGTTCTGTCGCCCAGGCTGGAGTGCAGTGACACAATCTCGGCTCACTGCAACCTCTGCCTCCAGGGTTCAGGCCATTCTCGTGCCTCAGCCTCCTAAGTAGCTGGGATTACAGGCACGCACCACCATGCCCCGCTAATTTTTATATTTTTAGTACAGACAAGGTTTTGCCATGTTGGCCAGGCTGGTCTCGAACTCCTGACCTCAAGTGATCCACCCACCTAGGCCTCCCAAAGTGCTGGGATTACAGGTGTAAGCCACTGCGCCCAGCCACAGTCATCATTTCTAAAACAGTGCCCAAGCAAGGGGAGGTGAAACCAAAAGGAAAGGCTCAAGGAATGTTTGTGGGCTTCAAAGGATAAGCCACTATGGCAGCAAACCTCACACAATGAAAATCACCAGTGCCTCTTATTCACTATTCACAATTTGTGCCTTGCTGCCTCTTTTTCCCATGAATCCCTTTTCCCTTTAACCAACTTCCTGTGTTATGAATCAGGCCTGTCAATGATATCCAAGGGCACTGCTTAGCACTGCTAGCAGAACTTCACTTATTCAACTTAATAAATTCTAATTATATATTCAGCATTGGGCCAGGTGATGAGAATCTTAATGCTGATGGCGCTACTGTCCACTGGTTCTGATAGACTGAGAATATTTACTGCTGAAGAAATGAAGTCCCAACCTGGCTGAGATTTTAAGGAAATGAACCTACTTAGACACAAATTCAAGTGACTTAGGCAGATGCTCATTATTAAATCTGTTTATCTTTCTCTCTCACTTAAAAAGGATCAAGATCTATGCCTAAGAGGAGTTACATACCATCCCATCCAAAAGCAAAAATAGCATAATGGCCTGGTAATGGCCTCTCATCTTCATTCTCACCTTAAACTTACCTTAGATGAACTGCCATAGAAAGCAGCTCAGTCCAAAACGCTCAAATGGTGCTCCAGGATTTACTTTTTTGTATTGTTTTGTTTTGTTTTTTGCGACGGAGTCTCGCTCTGTCGCCCAGGCTGGAATGCAGTGGCGTGAACTCGGCTCACTGCAAGCTCCGCCTCCCGGGTTCACGCCATTCTCCTGCCTCAGCCTCCCGAGTAGCTGGGACTACAGGCGCCCACCACCACGCCCGGCTAATTTTTTTTTGTATTTTTTAGTAGAGACGGGGTTTCACCATGTTAGCCAGGATGGTCTCGATCTCCTGACCTCATGATCCGCCCGCCTCGGCCTCCCAAAGTGCTGGGATTACAGGCGTAAGCCACCGCGCCCGGCCAGGATTTACTTTCTTAAATGCACTCTTTTCATTCCCATTCAAAGGACTCCAGTATAAGTGCCACATAAACTCGTTTTCTAACTTTTAAAACTCTTCCTCTAAATGCAGCCCAACTCAGTAAAAACGTACCTAAGATCTCACAGTCTAATGTTTCCAGCTTTTAAAGCCTTTACTCCTACCCTTCCCTCTGCCTGGAAAGTGTCTCCATTCCCTGCTGTGGACAAAATCCCTCAAGGTCTTTTATAATTTCCCCCAACCCCAAATCAACTTGGATTTTCTTGGAGTTCTCACAGCATTCAGTTTATGTCCTATTCTTACCCTTGTGTTACTGATATTCACGAAATTGCTCAGTCCTTTCAAGAGATTGCTTAAGGACAAAGACTTCTTACTCAACTCTGCAATATTGGCTACACATAGCTGACTTAATAAATAGTCCCTTGACTGGTATAAGCTGACGTTACAAAAACTGGTAATTCCGAAACCACTCATACTGGACTTATTAAATAATCCCTCAACTGGTACAGACTGACATTACAAAAACGGATTAATTCAGAGATCACTGAACACCCAAAACACTCAGATTCTTATAACTATGATTCAGTAAATATGTGTGGAATGCCTATCTTACCAGGTGACTATGTTAGGCGCTGCATGAGATATAAGATGAAAACAAGGTTCCCATTTTCCAGGGAAGAATACTGGAGTGGAAAACGCAGAGGATACCACAACAGGAGAGCTATTTCCGATTAGCGGCCGCCACTGCTGAGCTATGTGACCCTGAGCAAGTCACTTCTTAGGTCTCCGTTTCTCTGTCAAGGAGAGATAGAAAAAGAACCTATTTCACAGGTTCAAACCTACCTCAAGAAAAAATAGTTGTGGGGAATGCGTCACGAGACCTAGAAAACGGTACAAAACCCTCGGGGGGCCGCTGTTTCTGACCTAGCGAGTGGCCCGACCCGGACAAAATGCCTCTTCCTCGAGGAGGCGGCGACGAGCCCAGCAACAGCTCGAGCACGGCCGGCCGGGCCGCGGGAAGCCCGAGAACGCGGCGCGCGCAGCTGGGAGGCGACCCTTACCCGGCGAGGCTCCCGGGACCAAACGCCGCCCGACAGCCACGCAGAACAGACGCGGCAGTGCGACGCCTCCCCCACTGGGGACACGAGACAGCGACAGCCACGCGGTGAGCCGGTACAAGGCCCTCTAGGCTTCAGCGGGTCTGGATACTCGGTGGCATTAACCCTTCCCTACCGCCGGGGAAGACAGCAGTTTCTCTGGCGAGGAAGTAGGCCGGGCTCAGGCGCCTTAGCCAGAGGGCGGGCCTGCGCCACCCTCGGAAAGCGTCACTTCCACTTCCGGCCGGCGCTCTGGCTCTGTACCTGGACAGGGCTGCGGTAGGCCAGCGGTGGGCTGGCGGTTGCGCTCCTCAGATCGGCGGCCTTTCGGGCGGTGGCTTGCGTTTGAGCCTCAGAAAGCGAGGAGCGGCCTCCACGGAAGCCAAGCTGGCCGAGGTAACCGAGAAGCGGCTTCCCCTATGGCTTCGACCCTGGAGCCGCTGGAGCGGCGGCGGCCGCAGGGAGGCAGCCATTTTCCGTAGGCGGTGGCCGCGGCGCTTCCGGGCCGCGCGGCTGGAGCCTGAGGCGGGGCCACCGTCGGGCACGAGAAACCATTCTCTCCCCGCTTTTCGCAGCTGTATCCCAGAGGCGCGGCTGAAGCTCGCTGGGACACTGCCCGCTTGCCCAGTGCCCACGGGCACGCCTGTCGCAGACACAGGCTGTGGCGAATCCGAGTGCTGGCGGGCAGCAGTGCCTGCAGCTGCGCCCGCAGACTCTTTCCCGCCTCCGCCGGCATTTCCGTGTCCGGCCGATGTCATGCGGTCGGTTGAGCCTCAGGGCTAGCAGCTTCTACTGATGCAAAAACATAGGAAGTGTCTCTTTGCTTCTGGAACCGGGGTGGGCAGCAAGGAGCTGGCCACTTCTTTGAATACCGGTGGCATCCTGGGCAGAATTTCGGTGCCGTTTCTGCTGGCTCACTTCAGGAAAAGTGAGGCTCACGGCTCTCCTCAGCCCCCCTTAGAAGTCTAAATGACCTTTGGAGAAATACAAAGTCAGCAGAAAGTTTCACTTTCATCGTCACCAACTCCTGTTGGAGTTGATATTTCATAAACATCAGCGACAGAAAGAAAATACGACTTGATATTTTGTAAATAAAATATCCTTTTTTACAAGTTGATATTTTGTAAACAGAGGTCAGCTGTAATTTTCTCCAGATCAAGTAAGCACAGTTAAAAATTCATATAGGCCTGGCGCGGTGTTTGACGCCTGTAATCCCAGCACTTTGGGAGGCCAAGATGGGTGGATCACGAGGTCAGGAGATCGAGACCACCCTGGCCAAGATGGTGAAACCCTGTCTCTACTAAAAACACAAAAATTAGCCGGGCATGGTGGCACGCGCCTGTAATCCCAGCTAGTCGGGAGGCTGAGGCAGGAGAATGGCTTCAACCGGGGAGGTGGAAGTTGCAGTGAGCTGAGATCACGCCACTGCACTCCAGCCTGGGTGACAGGGCGAGACTCCATCTCAAAAAAAAAAACAAAATTCGTATAAATCATCTGCATGGCACCCTTTATGTGTGTTGCAAAGAATGATGAGCATCTTGTTGCTTACTTGGGAGACATTGTCTGAAAATAGGCTACTTTTTTACTTTCTGTAGTACCCCCTCCCCCCACTGTATCTGGGTTTCACTTACCCGCTGTCAACTGCCATCCAAAAAATATTAAATGGAAAACTCCAGAAATAAACAGTTCATAAGTTTTAAATAACTTTTTTTTTTTTTTTTGGAGATGGAATCTCGTTTTGCTGCCCTGGCTGGAGTGCCGTGGCACAGTCTGAGCTCACTGCAGCCTTCACCTCCCGGGTTCAAACAATTTTCCTGCCTCAGCCTCCTGGGTAGCTGGGACTACAGGCGCGCACTACCACACCTGGCTAATTTTTGTGTTTACAATAAAGAAGGTTTCACCATGTTGGCCAGGCTGGTCTTGAAGTCCTGGTCTCAGGTGATCCACCCACGTCAGGCCTCCCAAAGTGCTGGGATTACAGGCATGAGCCACGGCGCACCGCCAGTTTTAAATAACTCTTACTACAGTGTTTTATTGTTAATCTCTTATTGTACCTAATTTATAAATTAAGGTATCATAGCTATGTATACATAGAGAAAATAGTATAATGCAGTTAGATGCTGTTGGGGGTTTTAGGTATTCACAGAATGTACTGGAACTTACCCCCCTTGGAGAAGGGATACTACTGTATTTTGATCTCACCGTCTCAGCTCTTTTGCCAGTATTCCTACAATGGAAAATCTAAAATGTTGTTTTTTAAGGTGCCTTTATTTTTAGTTTTTAAATTAGAGACAAAGTCTTGCTCTAACTCCCAGGCTGGAGTGCAGTGATGAGGTCATGGCTCACTGCAACCTTGAATTCCTGGGCTCAGGCGACTCTCCCACCTCAGCCTCCTGAGCTAGAACTACTGGTGTGCTCTACCATCCTGGCTATTTTTTTTTTTTTTCTTCAAATTTTGTGTTTTGTAGAGACGGGGTCTCGCTATGTTGCTCAGGCTGGTCTGAAACTCCTGGCTCAAGTGATCCTCCCACCTCGGTCTCCAAAAGTGCTGGGAATGCAGGCATGAGCCACTGCACCTGGCCTAAAATATTTTTAAAGTGAAGGCTTCCATCTTCACAAGAGGATGAAGGGTCATAAAAGTTGTACTCCCCTTACTAGAGACAGACTGGGATGATCTGTTGAAATTTAAGAGAATCTCAGAATGTTTTCCTAATCTTATTTTCTCCTATTCTTTTCTTATGGGGAAGATGGGATAGGAGGCACACCAGTTAAATCCTTGGAAAATCCCAAAATACCTTTCAGCCAGTGGGTGCCAATTTTCTTACCCACCAATCTTTCCTAAATTGTTTTCTTTTTTATAAAAAAGACAGTTGTCCACTGACATTTGTGTGTTTTGTGCTGTGCTTCAGCTGAATAATAGAAAAGGAGAAAAACAAAGGGCCTGCTAGTTGATTTTGAAGGGAAGACAGGACACCTTTTCTGTTCTTCTTTCTCTCATAAGTCGCAAGTGATGAGGTTCATGTGAGTTTCTTATTGATACATACTTTTCTTTTTCTTGTCCTCAGTGCTTTTAGGAAGAAGATCCTTTTATTGCTTTTGTACAAGACCAGACAGGATCTCATTTGTTAAACGTGGTACCAATTGGGTGTCTTAACACAGGAGCAGAACTTCCTAGAGCAGAATGATGATGGTAGATCTGAAAGTGGCTGCGTACTTGGACCCTCAGATCAGGGCTTTGTGGGAGACCAAGGGGCCTGCAAGAGAGAGCTCCGGTCAGAGTAAAAAATCTCCTCAAATGGACTGTCTCGATCCTAAGAGCTCTTGCTGGCACTTCCGGAATTTCACCTATGATGAAGCAGGTGGACCCCGTGAGGCTGTCAGCAAACTTCAAGAATTATGTCATCTATGGCTGAAGCCAGAGATCCACTCAAAAGAGCAGATACTGGAACTGCTGGTGCTGGAGCAGTTCCTGACTATTCTGCCCAGGGAGACACAGACCCAGATGCAGAAGCACCATCCACAGAGCATTGAGGAGGCTGTGGCTCTGGTAGAACACTTGCAGAGGGAATCTGGTCAAACATGGAATGGGGTGAGAAGAAAGATTCCTGACATGTACAGTGAAATAGGATGCAGGTGGATATAGTAGAGATGGTGGCAGTTAGTTGAGAAATTAGATGGATTAGGTAGGTCATTGTTTGGTTTTTTTTTTAAGGACAGTTAAGGTGGGACTTGAAACTACAGGCCCACAGAAAAGTTCACAGGTTTCAGAGATTGTGGTAGATACTTCCCTGGCCTTAGAGAAAGAGAGTTGCTTTTGCCCTCTTTGGAGCCAGGGTGAATTGAGGGTGTTGGGCCTAGTCTGGCTTGGCCAAGGAGACAGGACTTAAGTACTTAGAAACAGAATAAAAGGTAATAAAGAGTCAGGGAGGCTGGATGCAGTGGCTCACACCTGTAATCTCAGCACTTTAGGAGGCTGAGGCGGGTAGATCACCTGAGGTCAGGAGTTCAAGACCAGCCTGGACAGCATGGTGGAACCCTCTCTCTACAAAAATAAACAAATTAGCTGGGCATGATGACCGGTGCCTGTAATCCCGGCTATCCTCGAGGCTGAGGAGGGAGAATCATTTGAACCTGGGAGGTTGCAGTGAGCCGAGATCGCACCATTGCACTCCAGCCTGGGCAACACAGCAAGACTCCATCTCACAAAAAAAAAAAAAACAAAAAAAACAAAAAAAAAACGGGCCGGGTGCAGTGACTCACACCTGTAATTCCAGCACTTTGAGAGGCCAAGGCAGACAGATCCCCTGAGCCCAGCCTGGGCAACATGGTGAAACCCCGTCTCTACAAAAAACATGAAAATTAGCCAGGCATGGTGGCACACACCTGTGGTCCCAGTTACTTGGGAGGCTGAGTCAGGAGAATCACCTGAGCCCAGGAGGTGGAGGTTGCAGTGAGCTGAGATGGCACCATTGCACTCCCTTGGGTGACAGAGTGAGAACCTGTCAAAAAAAAAAAAAAAAGGCAGATCCACAAGGAGAACACAGGAAAACAAGGACACTTAAAGAAAAGGAGAAATTGGCCAGGTTCGGTGGCTCATGCCTATATTTCGAACACTTTAGGGGGTCGCGGTGGGAGGACTGCTTGAGACCAGCCTGGGGAACATAGTGTGACCTTGTTGCTATGAAAAAAAAAAAGAAAATAAGCCAGGCTGATGGCACATGCCTCTAGTCCCAGCTTCACAAGAGGTTGAGGTGAGAGAATTGCTTGACCCAGAAGTTTGAGGCTACAGTGAGTTATTATTGCAGCATTGTACTCTGGCCTGGGCAACAGAGTGAGACCTTGTCTCTTAAAAAAAAAAATGTTTTAGGCCAGGCGTGGTGGCTCACATCTGTGATCTCAGCACTTTGGGAGGCTGAGGCGGGCGGATCACAAGGTCAGGAGTTCAAAACCAGCCTGACCAACATGCTGAAACCCTGTCTCTACTAAAAATACATAAACTAGCTGAGCATGGTGGCGTGTGCCCGTAATCCCAGCTACTCAGAAGGCTGAGGCAGGAGAATGGCTTGAACTCGGGAGGCAGAGGCTGCAGTGAGCTGAGATTGCACCACTGCACTCCAGCCAGGGCAACTGAGCGAGACTCCATGTGAAAAAAAAAATGTTTTTAAAAATTAGGAAAAATCCAGCCTGGGCAACATGGTGAAGCTCAGTCTCTACAAAAAATACAAAAATCAGCTGGGCATGGTGGCGTGTGCCTGTAGTCCCAGCCACTCGGGAGGCTGAGGTGGGAGGATCACCTGAGCCTGGGGAGGATGAGACTGCAGTGAGCCATGATTGTACCACTGTACCCCAGCCTGGGTGACAGAGTGAGACCCCCGTCTCAAAACAAAACAAACAAACAAAAAAAACAACTAGGGGAAGACTGCACAAGAAAAGAAAACATAGAAAAAAGGGAAACAAAGATTTGGAAAAAAGAAAAATCCCAACAGAATAGCCAAGGACAGGAAATGCACTGATGGGTAATGTCCTCCCTATAGTAGATGAAAGTCTCTACTGCCTTCCCTTAATGCTTGTTCCTTGGCTCTGCTGACAAGTTGGGAGCCAGGGTATGAACTTGGTGGGTGGCGACACATCTGCTGACCTCGGGTCTGCTGGGAAGAATACAGGGCAGGACCTATGTTTGGTGTCAGAATCATCTGGAGGTAGGTTGGAGCCACTCCCCTTTTTTCTCCATTCTATCCCCATTCTCTGAAAACCTTCGCTGGCTATAGGGATAATCAGGCTGACAGGAAAACTTTTAAATTCATTTATTTGAATTTTAGAGAAAACTAGAAGACAGAAAACCACAACTGTGGGATTGAAGTCAACAGAAAAGGCCTGACAAGACAGTATTAGAATGAGTGGCCTGCCTGGCTGGGCACAATGGCTCACACCTATAATCCCAGCACTTTGGGAGGCTGAGGTGGGCAGATTACCTGAGTTTGGGAGTTTGAGACCAGCTTGACCAACATGAAGAAACCCCGTCTCTACTAAAAATGCAAAAATTAGCCAGGCGTGGTGGTGCATACCTGTAATCCCAGCTACTTGGAAGGCTGAGGCAGGAGAATCACTTGAACCCAGGAGGCAGAGGTAGCAGTGAGCCGAGATTATGCCTTTGCACCCCAGCCTGGGCAACAAGAGCAAAACTCATCTCAAAAAAAAAAAAAAAAATGAGTGGGCTGCCCAACCCTGCCAGTGGCCTGACCTAGACCGTATACAGAGGAGTAGAAGCTGCTGTGTTAAAGGGCTGGCAGGCACCACAGTTTGTTTCCTTTCACCCTAGTTTTCTCATATTTGTGTATAGTCATTTGTGGAGCATTGGTGGCCCAGTATCTCTTTAAGCCTTTTTTTGTCATTTTTTTTAGTGTCTTATACTACCCACAATGTGGGCTGTACACCTGTCGCTCTGCCTCCACCCCCACAAACCAAAAGTAAGTTCTGTGGTAACAAGGATGGGAATTATTTCTAGGTTGCAGTCCATGAGCTGGGAAAGGAGGCAGTGCTCTTGGGAGAAACAGCAGAGGCCTCAAGTTTCGGGCTGAAGCCAACAGAGTCCCAACCAGTGGGCGTATCCCAAGATGAAGAATTTTGGAATACATACGAGGGTCTGCAAGAACAGCTCAGCAGGAATACTCATAAAGAGACTGAGCCTGTGTATGAGAGGGGTAAGGAGCTTCATGATAATTTTCTTCTCCTGGGAGCTGTGATAATAGTTTATTCACCCAAAATGTCATGGGCATTTTTTGAATACCCTGCTCTGTGGATTTGTAAAACCAGCCTTGATAGCAACTATGATGTCCTTCCAGGCAGCAGTAGAAATGCCAACTGTGGATGAAAGTGGGAGTAGGCCTAGAGAACAGAAATATCTAAACCACAGAACTCTTGGTAATAACAGTGTGAACTCTGTTCCTTAGACTAGTGGAGAGGAAGGAAAGAAATGGAGTGGGAAGGCTTGGGGCCACTTCATCCTTGTAAAATACAGAAGGAATTGAGATCAGATGGGCTGTTAGTGGCAGAATGTGAAAACAGTTGTGTACCAGGAAAAACATAATAAAAGACAAAAAACTTCATCTCCTACCATACAGTGGAGTCCCTGAGTACTTCATTTTAAGATATCTTTAATTTTTGCCTAACTCAGAAAAATATGAGAGGAAAAAGGGATTTCCCTTTTATTTCTCTGATGAAAACTGAGGAAACATTTAGTTGGGGAACTAGTTCTAGGGGCTGGTGGATATTTGATTCTTATTTATGAAGAGACTGCTTCAGGCATCACACACACCACACGTGTAAAGGTGTCCCATCTGTACTTAAAAAGTCAGGATCAGTGTTTTAGAAATGAGCTCAGGATGTTTATAGATAAAAGAGATTTCTTCTGGCTCTTTTCCCCCCACAGCTGTGCCTACTCAACAGATTCTAGCTTTTCCTGAGCAAACAAACACCAAAGACTGGACAGTGACACCTGAGCACGTCTTGCCTGAGTCCCAGGTGAGCTGTGCTTTCCAGCTGTTGAGGGCTACCTTTCTCTGCTATGTATGATTAATACTGTCCAGGAGGGGTTCAGAGGTGTGTTAGTCCCGGGTGTTCTCTGGGCAACTGGGTACCTCCCAGGCTGTGGGCTGACGCCTTTTCTCCTTTTTTTCTGCCTTCTCACTTAAAAAAATCATGTTCTTTTAATTCCTTTATCGCCTGGCCAATTCATAGCCAGGTGGCTAGGCTGCTTCTGTACAGTGGCAGGTTCTGAGCTGAAGTCCATTCTCTTCTTTAGAGCTTGTTGACATTTGAAGAAGTGGCCATGTATTTTTCCCAGGAAGAATGGGAGTTATTGGATCCCACTCAGAAGGCCCTCTACAATGATGTAATGCAGGAAAACTATGAGACTGTCATCTCTCTAGGTAAAGATTTTCCCTTCCCTTTATGTAGTTGAGTACTCTATTCTTGGCTTACTGAGAAGGAACCCCAGTGAGGGGTGTCTTACTGTTCCAGGAGCTGGTTGATTCTCATCTAGATGGTATAGGGGAGGGTGTAGGTAGTGTATCCAGATCACCTGTGGAGCTTTTTCCAAATGTACATGCCGATTGCTTATCCCACATTGAGTCCTTTATCCTTTCCTTCTCTTTTCCACCAAACTTCCTCTTCTGTGTCTTACTTATCTCAGTAAGGGGCACATTCATTATCCAGTGGCTCAAGGCATACAAAGTAACAGTTTTCCTTTATTCTGATCTTGTCATCATACCCCACTGTTAATTCATTAGCAAGTTTTCTTAGCTTTACTTTGACATATCCTGACTGCAACAATGTCTCATCTTCTTGCACTGTTAGCATCCTGGTGTAAGCCAGTGTCATCTTGAACCAGGCATACATGCGTAGCTTTTTAACAGGTGCGCCTGCATCTCCTTGTGCCCTTCCACAGTCTGTTTTCTATACAGAAGCTAGATTGATCTTTTAAAAACCTAATCAGATCATGACATTTCCTTTCCTCAAAAGCATGTGGTCACTTACATTCAGAAAAAAAAGTCTGATATTACCAGGGCTCCAGGACACTCTACAGTCTGGTTCCTGCTCATCTGTCTGCCCTCATTTGCTACTGAAGCCCTTGCTCAGTCCTCACCAGCCACTTAGCTAGTCTCCTTGCTGTTAATTGAATTTGTCAAGTTCATTTTTACCCTCTTGTTTCATTTTATTTGGCACACTGGGCTTCCTGAATACTTCATTTTCAAATTGAGTACATCTAAGTTTTGCTCAACTCAGAAAAATGTATATCATGCAAGGGGAAAAAACGCTATATATATATATCTTTTTATTAACTTTCCTCTTGAAAACTGAGGATAATCATCTGGGGAACCGGTTCTAGGGGCTGGTAGACACTTGGTTCTAATTTACAAAGAACCAAGTGGTTACCATACACACTCTTAAAAAGGTGTCCTATCTTTCCAGAAAGAATCAGGATTTTCTGTATTTTAGAAATGAGCTAAGGATGATCATAGAAACAAGAGAAATATCCTCTGGCTCTTTTCCACCCACAGCTGTGCCTGCTCAACAGATTTTAGTCTTTCCTGAGCAGACAAACACCAAAGACTGGACAGTGGCACCTGAGCTCCTCTTGCCTCAGTCCCAGTTGAGCTGTGCTTTCCAGCAGTGTAGGGCTACCTGAGCATGACCTTATCTGCCTTTCCCTGCTGCCCAAGACCCACACTGCCCAGCATGTGCCCTGAGGCATGTTAGCCCCAGAGGTTCTACCCTGGACAATTAGGCTTGGCCCAGAGGGAACTGGGTACCTCCTAGGCTGTTTGCTGATCCCTTGGCTCCTTTTCTTCTGCCTTCGCCCCCGTGGGCCCCCGCCTTTTTTTTTCTTAAATCGTATTCTGTTAATTTCTTTAGCACCTGGCCTACCATGCAGTTCATACGCAGTTAGGCTGCTTCTGCAGTGGCAAGTTCAGAGCTGAAGTCCATTCTCTTCTTTAGAGCTTGTTGACATTTGAAGAAGTGGCCATATATTTTTCTCAGGAAGAATTGGAGTTACTGGATTACACTCAGAAGGCCCTCTACAATGATGTAATGCAGGAAAACTGTAAGACTGTCATTTGTCTAGGTAAAGATTCTCCCTTCTTTTTGTGTAGAAGTTGAGCAATCTGTTCTCAGTTTACTGAGAATGAACCTCTGTGAGAGGGTCTCAGTGTTCCAGGAGCTGGTTGATTCTCAACTAGATAGTGTAGCGGAGGGTGTAGGTGGTGTATCCAGATCACCTGGGGAGCTTTTCCAGATGTACGTGCTCATTCCTTGTCCTACGTGGAGATCTTGATCCCTTCCCTTTCCCTTTCCCCAAACCTTCTCCATCATGTTTTTCCCATCTCAGTAAGGGGCATCAGCATTATCCAGTTGCTCAGGGCAAACAAAGTACTGTCATGTTTTTTTTTTTTTTTTTTTTTGAGATGGAGCCTCGCTCTGTCGCCCAGGCTGGAGTGCAGTGGTGCGATCTCAGCTCAGTGCAAGCTCTGCCTCCCGGGTTCATGCCATTCTCCTGCGTCAGCCTCCCAAGTAGCTGAGACTACAGGTGCCCGCCACCATGCCCAGCTAATTTTTTTTGTATTTTTTTAGTAGAGATAGGGTTTCATCATGTTAACCAGGATGGTCTCCATCTCCTGACCTTGTGATCCACCTGCCTTGGCCTCCCAAAGTGCTGGGATTATAGGCGTGAGCCACCGTGCCCAGCTAGTACTGTCATCTTTTACCCTGATCTTGCCATCATACCCCACTGTTAATTCATTAGCAAGTTTTCTTAGCTCTACTTTGACATATCCTGACTGCAACCATGTTTCAGCCCCTTGCACTGCCAGCATCCTGATCTAAGCCAGTGTCATCTTGAAGCAGATCAATGTCAGTAGCTTTCTAACAGGTCCCCCTGCCTTCGCTCTTGTCCTCCCACAGTCTGTTTTCTACACAGAACCCCAACTGATTTTTTGAAAACCTGATCAGATCGTTGCATTTCCTTGTTTCAGAAGCCTGTGGTTACTTCCTAACCATATTTGGAGAAAAATCTAAACTTCTTACCAAGGCCTCAGGACCCTCCATGGTCTGGCTCCTATGGAGTTCTTTGCACATGTGTCCTGCTACTGGTGCGCTTGTGCACTCAGTCCTTAGCCACACTGGTTGTCTTTCTGTTACTTGAACTCGCCAGGCTCATTTCTACTTTTCCTTTGCCTTGCATACTTTTCTGCCATGTGACAAAACTCACTTTTAGGTTTCTGCTCAAGTATTACTTTCTCAAAGAGGTGTCCCACAAGACCTTATCTAAAATAGCTTTACAGGAGCAGAATCTTAAATACTCTTTACCGTGATTTAATTTTCTTTAAAACATTTATCACTCCCTGACATTATTTTGTTTATTGATTGATTGTGCCATCCCTCTACTGTAATGTAAAGTCCGTGAAATCAGGGGTCTTCTTCACTACTATATCCCTAGCCCTCGAGCAGTGCCTAACACACCATAGCCACTCAATACATGTTTGTTGAATGAATGAGTGAGAGAGTTTCATACCTTGTAATCCGTAATTAGAGAAACTTCACCAAGTGATTTTGGTCTATTTCTTCTACCTGCATATGAACCAGTAATCTATAGGAATGGTAGAAATCTATCCTAGTTGAGGGCCAGTGGCTAAGGAATAAAGGCTAAATAAAAAGTAGCTGTAATTATAATAGTAATCACTTGTGCTTATGATACTCAAGTCAGCGTCCTTCACATTGGCTTTGCCATACCTGGTCTTATCCAGGCTGAGTCCTTCTGAAGAGTTAATAAGACCAGCTTATATTCCCTGCAACTTCTGGAGCTTGGTTCCCCCTTGGTTGGATATAGGGTATTGATGGCAAAAGAGAGAGAACATGTACTGGATTCCCATTCCCTATATCCTTTTCATTGATCCACCGTAGATTTATTTCTTAGTCTCTGCTTTGCATAGCTACCTATAAGTATAACATAGTATAAACGTGATACTTAATCTTGGAGTCTATCCATTTAACCATTTGGAGTAACAAATTGTAAAATGTCTTTGGTCATCCTGAAACAGTCTGGGATTAGTGGACCAGTTCACTGTTAAGTTACCAGTCCTTGACCTCATTTTGTCCATTTGACAGCATTGTTTGTGCTCCCCAAACCTAAAGTGATCTCCTGTCTAGAGCAAGGGGAAGAGCCATGGGTTCAAGTATCCCCGGAGTTTAAGGATAGTGCCGGAAAATCTCCTACAGGTAAATATACCATGGGAAGTGGAGAAATGTGCCTTGATGTGAACTTTTGCAAGGGCTTAACATTTTAAGATTTTGTTCCTTTTTTTTTTAATCATTGAATTTTTCTTTTTATTCCTGTGATTTGCTTGTTCTGGGATACAGATGTGTGATTATGTTTATTCCAACAGGGTTAAAGCTCAAAAACGACACTGAAAATCATCAGCCTGTGTCTCTTTCTGACTTAGAAATACAAGCATCAGCAGGCGTCATATCAAAAAAGGCCAAAGTAAAAGTTCCCCAGAAAACAGCAGGCAAAGAAAATCATTTTGATATGCACAGAGTGGGAAAATGGCACCAAGATTTTCCAGTGAAGAAAAGAAAGAAACTTTCAACCTGGAAACAAGAGCTGCTCAAACTTATGGATCGTCACAAGAAAGATTGTGCAAGAGAGAAGCCTTTTAAATGTCAGGAATGTGGGAAAACCTTCAGAGTTAGCTCTGACCTTATTAAGCACCAAAGAATTCACACTGAAGAGAAACCCTATAAATGTCAACAGTGTGATAAGAGGTTTAGATGGAGTTCAGATCTTAATAAGCACTTAACAACACACCAAGGAATAAAACCATATAAATGTTCATGGTGTGGGAAAAGCTTCAGTCAAAATACAAATTTACATACACACCAAAGAACTCATACAGGAGAAAAGCCCTTCACATGTCATGAATGTGGAAAAAAATTCAGTCAGAACTCCCACCTTATTAAACACCGGAGAACCCACACAGGTGAGCAGCCATATACTTGTAGCATATGCAGGAGAAACTTCAGCAGGCGGTCAAGCCTTCTTAGACACCAGAAACTCCACCTGTGAAGAGAAGCTTGTCCAGTGTCCTCATTCTGAAGACATTCACCAAATGGAGCTTGGCACTAAAATTTATGTAAAAGAAAAATCACAAACCTTGAAAAATTTTACATCAGAAAATGGGATAAACATACATTTCACAGAAAATAATCAAGACTTGCTCTGCAGCCACTCAGTAGTCTTCTGTGGTCACAGAAGTAAACATTGTTGGCTTTGTATTGATCTCTCCAGTCATTTTTGAACACATCCAATAGAAACATTGGCAGCATGGTCTTCCAAAACAAAAAGCAGTAACATGCATGTTTAATTGCATACCATTCTCTTCACAGTAGCAGGCTTACCAATTTCCATAGTCTCATGAGGCCGAAATGAATTACAATGTAAAGTGTTCCAGGAACCAAATTGGATTTTCTTTCTTTTGTCATTGGACACGGTTTGCAAAGTTGGACATCACTTGAGTTCCTTCTTAAACTTTTCGGCAACTTCTCTTGGATCCTGTTATCACAGTTTTTTACTGTGATGAAATCTTGTTAACCACCACTAGGGAATCTCCAGATGAACTATTAATGCACTGTCTTATGCCTCTCATTGGTGATGTTTGGAAAATAGAAGACATCTCTAATGGAATCATGGGGGAAACGGGTTGGAATTTGTAGCCATGGAATATATATTAGATGTAAAGAATTTTCTGCAATAAAAGAAACTAGACTTGTTAATCCCTGCCTTGCAATGTCAGTAGGATAAAGCAGCTATAAAAATTAGTACTTGCCCAAGGCCTGAAAGAGAATTAGTGGGAATTAAGATCAACTTCTCAGTTTTGTTTGTTTACTTTTTAATTGGCTTTTCTTTGTTGTTAAGAATGAGAGACTTAATTTCCATGGGAGTTGGAGTGTGTGTGCTGCAGGCAGGATCCTGTGGCTCATTTGGCATGGAGACCTGGACATGTAGTCAGCAGGAGACGGTTCCCTAAATAAAAGATTTGGGCACTGGTGCTAAGTGTTGGGCGAGGATGAGCAAATCTACATCCATGTTGTTCTGTCCTGTCCTGTAAGCTCTACCTGTCTTTGTTCTTTCCAGCACAGCATTTAACAGCAGCCTCAGGTGATAAATTTGATGGATTGCCAAAAGTCTGTATAGCCTATGGATTTTCTTACAACTTGCTTGTTTAGCTACAGCAGTGACTCAGGTGCATTCCTTTTAGAGCTCTTAGGTATATCAGGAAAGGGGTTAAATAACTGACCTCTTCCAAACCTCTTATTTTATTTTTTTTGAGACAGAGTTTCGCTCTTGTCACTCAGGCTGGAGTGCAATGGTGTGATCTCAGCTCATTGCATCCTCCACCTCCCAGATTCAAGCAATTCTTCTGCCTCAGCCTCCAGAGTAGCTGGGATTACAGGCACCCACCACCACGCCTGGCTAATTTTTTGTATTTTTAGTAGAGACGGGGTTTCACCATGTTGAGCAGGCTGGTCTCGAACTCCTGACCTCAAGTGATCCACCCGCCTCGGCCTCCCAAAGTGCTGGGATTACATGCATGAGCCACTGTGCCCAGCCTATACTAATTGTTTCTTAAGTACAGCCAACTCTGGAGCTCTGGTCTACATAGCTCTTACCCAGCACCACCTTAACTTAAGACCTCCAGGATTCTGTTTCTTCTCCCAGATCATGTGTGGCTTTCTTTCTGGCCCTACATTCATTCATTCTGTTCAATTTAATGAAGGCCTATGATGTGTCAGGCACTGTCCTATACTCTGAGGACACAGGAGTGGCCAAGAGACAAAATTGCATCCCCTCATGGAACTTGTATTCCAGTGAACAGTAAGAAGAATGGTTTTGCTTTCCTGCTCCTTGCTCTAAGACGGGTATGAGATAGTTTTGGTCAATGAGTTGTGAGCATTGTGAGCCTCTGGCTGAAGCTTTTCATTTTTTTTTTTTTATTTTTTTTTTTATTTTTTTGCTGGTACAAGGCCAGTGCTCTCCTTTCCTGCCTTAATCATGGAACCACATACAGAGAGAGCAGCCATGAAATCAAAGCAGTCCAGAACACTGAGCCACTGCATGGAGGGCGGCTATTCCCAAGAGTCTCCAGACCTATAGTGAACTTTGTGAGAACAAGAAATAAACATTTGTTCTGTTAAATCACTGAGACATTGGTGCTATGTGTTTCTGTAGCATAACCTGCCCTATCTTTTTTTTTTTTCTTGAGACGGAGTCTCGCTCTGTTGCCCAGGCTGGAGTGCAGTGGCGCAATGTCAGCTCACTGCAAGCTCCGCCTCCTGGGTTCATGCCATTCTCCTGCCTCAGCCTCCCAAGTTGCTGGGACTACAGGTACCCGCCACCACGCCTGGCTAATTTTTGTATTTTTAGTAGAGATGGGGTTTCACCTTGTTAGCCAGGATGGTCTTGGTCTCCTGACCTCGTGATCCACCCGCCTCGGCCTCCCAAAGTGCCGGGATTACAGGCGTGAGCCACCGCACCTGGCCAACCTGGCCTATCTTAATAGAGCTTGGAAAAGGGCAGCTGGGGGAGTGACTGTTTTGCTGGAGCTCTGGACCTTTCCATTTTCATTCTGCCTAGCCTTTGGCCCTCAAAAGAGACCTGGCTTCCCGTGGATACTAAACTGAGCTGATGCAACACTAATGGGACCACTTAAGACCTCCCAAGACTGTAGATGATAGGGAAGAAAGACATTGCTGTCTTGGACAAATCTTATGGGAGGTCAGTTCAAGGGGACAAGGCAACCCTCCTTCCCTATCTGGCCTTATTCCACTTCCCTTATTCTTTGTCTCCCTGCGCGTTGCCTCATGCACAAAACAGGCATTGCTATTGATGAATGGGCTATGGTGGGGGTTAGGGGGTAGGGATTGCCTTCCTCATATGCATGCAGGAGATTTCAAAGAATGGTTTGTTAACTACCTCTGTTGTATCTTCAGTGAGTTGTGCCTCAGAAAACAGATGAGATATAGGGCAAAAGCAAATTTGTCCAGATCAGTGTAGACAGTAAGGTGGCTATCTTCCTGGACTAAGGGATGACGGACAACTGGGGAGAAACTTGGGCAGGGAGGCAGGAGCAAGACAGTTCCACCTGTGGAGTGAGAATCCTCCAGGGGGAAAGTCGTAGCTTAGCCAGTACCCAGCTGCTGCACATAACATGATGTCTCATAACAACCTTGGAATTTGTGGGGTGGGGAGTGGAAGAAGGGATTTCTGTAGCTTGAGATGAGATTGGATTACTAAAATGATATCAGATGATATGAGAACAAATTACTTAAACCATGATATTAAAATCTATTGAGGCTTGCTTTAAAAATGAAATGAGAGACACATAATCCTAGGTTTAGCCTTAAACATTAGTACTAAATGCACTAATTAGTACTAAATGCACAAATATGTCCTCCATAAACCGGCAGATGATTTCCAGGAAACAAGAAGGATGCTTTATTTTAGCATGTTCAGATAGCAGCCTTACCGTGGCTTCACGGTTATTTCAGAGAACTGTATCATTGACCCCGTCTAGTCTCCTGACCTGTCCCCTGCACTAGTCTAAGTTCAGTGCTGGGACCATCCCAGACCTAGAGTTCTCCCTGCCGTTAAGCAGACTGGACCTTGAGCTCACCTTGAGAACCTCAGATATATTTTATTTTTGAGACAAGGGTCTCTGTTGCCCAGGCTGGGGCTCACCACAGCCTCGATCTCCCAGTCTCAAGCAATCCTCCCACCTCAGCCTTCTGAGTATCTGGGACTCCAGGCACGTGCCACCATGCCTGGGTTATTATTTTTTTACTTTTAGTAGAGATGAGGTCTTGCTATGTTGCCCAGGCTGATCTTGAACTCCTAAGCTCAAGTGATCCTCCTGCATTGGCCTCCCAAAGTACTGAGATTACAGGCATGAGCCACCATGCCCAACCTCAGATATCTTTTAACTGGAGGGGAAGAACAGGAGGGGCTTAGAATCAAAGTAAATCTCAAAACTAAAACTCCTAGGGTTTCTGTTAACTTTTGGAACTACTGAGAACAGTGTTTAATTTCCCAGGTAAGTTTGAGGAAGAACGCCCAGCAGCCTCTTTTATCCAAATGGACAATTGGTAACAAAAGATGGGAGTTCATAAAGGATTTTCCAAATATTTGTTGAGTCATGCCACTGAAGCATTTACTCCAGCATTTCCTGGTCACTCCTCCCTGTCATGTGTGATGAAGGCTGCCCTGTTACTCTTCTCTTGGAGGTTTTCTAGTGCATAAATACTTGCTGAAGCTCTCCCCACATTCTCTGTGGACTGAATTCTCTCCTATGTAGACTCTCTGAAGTCCCCTCAAGTGGGAAACAAAGTTTTGCCCATACTTCACGTTTCTACTGTTTGTCCCAGTAGAAATCCACCCAAACAAAAAGCATACTTTTGTTTCTGAATCTTTTCTACACCTGTCACTTTTTCTTGTGTGGGTTCACTGGGGACCGAGATGAGGGCACTGTTTGAAACATCAACCAAATTTGCTACATGCCTAGGTTTCCTTCATGTATTAATCCTCCACTGGGCAATGGTAGTTGGGCTGTACTGAAATGCCTTCTTCAGTCGAGCGTCTGTAAGGCTTTTCTCCTGTACGATTCACCCAAATCTGATAATGCGTGTACTTTGCCTAAAGCAGTTCGCCTAGTCTGAATCCCTCCTGTGAAAGGAATTAAGCAAGCTACCTTTTGCATTGCATTTCAGATTTAAGAAAACTATCTGAATCACTTTTCATTTCTGCCACAGTTCAGATAATGAATCTTGAGTTGCACCAATCTTAGCGCTGACATTAAAAATCAAGCTTTACAGTGTTTGGATATGATGCACCTTTTAGGAGAAACTAAGAAAGCTTACTGTTGAAATTTTTTTTTTTGACAAGTTAACATTTATTTTTGGGCCTTTCTTCCTATGTGTATTTCAAGTCTTTTTCAAAACAAGGACCCAGGAATCTCCAGATTCAATTATGTCCCTGGGCTTGGTCGACTGCTCCCGGAGTCTTAGGAAGCCTTGTACAAATGCTAGAGTTACTCATTCACCAACATTAAACCCTAGGATAGAAGATTCAACAAAGCAGGACTACTTCCGCCGACAAGGAGGCAGCCAATGTAGAAAATGCTGGAATTTTTCCTTGGAACTGGACTGTGATGAGAGGTACTTGCCATGAACCTAAGCTACTGTCTTTTTTTTTAACCCTTCCTTTCCAGTTTTTGAAGATAAAGCAGGAAATAGTCTTTGAAGATACTTGATAAAAAAAATCTCAAAAAAACAAAAACACATGCTTCCACTTCATTGATAAAAATTTACTGCAGTTTGGCACCTGGGTCTAGTTCAGCTGGCAGATGAGCTGATTGATGCATTCACCCCAATAGCCAGATGTGCCCATCTCCTTGAGGAAGCCCACTGTATTTTTGGTAGCATGATGGACCACTGAGAGGTGGAAAGGGCAAAAGAACCATGAGATCTCCTGGAAATGCTTCACTGGGAGGCAATTTCATGAATGAGGTCTTCCAAGCAAATGACACCAAACTTCCCCAGGTGCTCCTCAATCACTGTGTTGTCTGTCAGAGGGATGGTGTTCTTATTGACCTTGGCTTGTCCATGTTTCAGAATGAATTCCCGGACAGACTTCAGATTTGGAAATCCCCAGATCACATAAGGTTCCACTATACGCAGCATTTTTAGGTTCTGGGGGGTGACTTTTACAAAGACACCACTAAAAATTTTCTTAAGATGAAGTCTTGCAATGGCTGTCTGCACCAGTAGACTCACGCCAACAATCCTTTTGCTGCATACAACAAAGGCCAAGGAATGTTTATCTGGCAATTCCAAGGCACGAGGTTTCATTTCTAGTCATCTGAGACACACCTTGTCACATTTCTGCCACCAGGAATTATGTAGGAATGATTCCAGTCCCTTAAACCTGAGCCCTTTTCCTTTCCGCTGCTCCTTCTTTGCCAAAAGTGCCTGCTTTGTCTGAGTGGCTTTGAGGACTTGATAAGCCTTCCTCTTTTTCAGGAGATTTTCTGGAACCAAAGGGATTTTTCTTTGCTTTTGCTCTGCCATCTTTCTAGTGTTGTAGCTGCTGATCCTTACTGTTGAATTTTTAAAACCAATAGGTATACTTCCAACATAATTTTCACACTAAGCATTTGCCCATGATTTGTACAATCAACTGAATGATTTCAAAGCATTTGAAACAATCAAAAAGTAAAAGATCTTTACTGTTCACAAAGACAAAATTAAATATTTGTAGCATTAGAAAAATTCCTAAAATATTTAGTAGCATAGGGAACAACAGCTTGTTACACAGAAGAGTTAGGAAAAAAAATTTTTTATTTTATTTTTTGGAGACAGAGCCTCACTCTATCCCCCAGGCTGGAGTGCAGTTGCCCGGTCTCGGCTCACTGCAACCTCCTCCCCAGTTCAAGCAATTCTCGGGCCTCATGCTTCCCAAGTAGCTGGCACCACAGGTGTGCACCACCACACCTGGCTAATTTTTTGTGTTTTAATAGAGATAGGGTTTCAACGTGTTTCCCAGGCTGGTCTCGAACTCCTGAGCTCAGGCAATTCACCTGCATAGCAGAGTTAATAGATGGGCAAAGGCCATTGAGTTGAAGAAAGCACATTATGATGCATCAGCCTCATGTTCTGGGACCAAATCAAAGTACTCACTCTACTGAATTGACCAAGCAACCATGAGAAAAATATCTAACTAAACTGCTCAGTGTTGTAATGGATTTCTCTCTACGTATGTTTGTTTTATAAATATGTTAGAGATGGGAGTCTTGATATGTTGCCCAGGCTGGCCTCGAACTCCTGGACTCAAGTGATCCTCCTGCCTAAACCTCCCCAAATCTGGGACTGCAGGTGCATGCCATCACACCTAGCTCCTACACACACACACACGTATATATATGTACATACATACATATACATACTTACATATACATATATATGCTTACCTCAAATATATTGCAGGTTTGGTTCCAGGCCCATGCAATAACATGAATATCAGAATGAAGTGAGTCACACAAATTTTTTGGTTTTCCAGTACATATAAAAAAGTTATATTTACACTGTACTGTAGTCTTTTTTATTTTTCAGTTTTGTATTGTATTGTATTGTGTTTTATGTTTTGAGACAGAGCCTCACTCTGTCACCCAGACTGGAGTGCAATGGCATGATCTCAGTTCCCTGCAACCTCTGCCTCCCAGGTTCAAGTGGTTCTTTTGTCTCAGCCTCTGAAGTAGCTGGGATTACAGGCACCTGCCACCAGGCCCAGCTAATTTTTTTATTTTTAGTAGAGATGGGGTTTCACCATGTTGGCCAGGCTGGTCTTGAACTCCTGGCCTCAACCGATTAGCCACCCTCAGCCTCCCAATGTGCTGGGATTACAGGCCTGAGCCACTGTGCCCAGCCTATTTACTTATTTTTTAATAGAGATAGGGGTCTTACTATGTCGCCCAGGCTGGTCTCAAACTCGTGGGCTTAAGTGATCCTCCTGCCTTGGCTTCCCAAAGTGCTGGGATTACAAGTATGAGCCATCACACCTGGCCTGTAGTATAGTCTTTAAGGGTGTAATTGCATTATGTCTAAAAATATATATATATATATATATATATATATATATATATATATATATACACTTTAAAAATACTGGCATGGAGATATGAAGTGAGTGTGTGCTGTTGGAAAAATGGCAGCGATAGACTTGCTCATCACAGGCTTGCCACAAACCTTCAATTCATAAAAAATACAATATCTGTGAAGTGTCACAAAGTAAGGCACAATAAGGTATGCCTGTATATTAATACATATGTGAATAAACTCTATGGATACCTATATCTCATATAGGTAGATATCTTAAGTGTATATATTTTTAAATATTAAGATGTTTTTCACTATGTTTTTGCTTTGTTGGTGTAAAAGGGAAAAAATGTAAAAATATAAAATATTTCTCAAATTGCCATGCTAAATGAGGCATGTAGGTGCCTGATGTGAGTATTAGTGATGGAGATTATCTCCAAAGCATGGAGGTATTATACTGCAAGAGTGCTCAAGTGCATTCTTTTTTTTTTTTTTTTTTTAGGCAAAGTCTCACTCTGTTGCCCAGGCTGGAGTGCAGTGGTGCGATCTCGGCTCAATGCAAGCTCTGTCTCCTGGGTTCAAGCAATTCTCCTGCCTCAGTCTCCTGAGTAGCTGGGATTACAGATGTGCGCCACCAAGCCTGGCTAATTTTTTTATTTTTAGTAGAGACAGGGTTTCACCATGTTTGTCAGGCTGGTCTTAAACTCCAGACCTCGTGATTGGCCCGCCTCGCCCTCCCAAAGTGCTGGGATTACAGGCGTGAGCCACCGTGCCTGGCTCAAGTGCATTCTTATGATGACAGCCTGGGACGCCGAGAACAAACCCAGCACTCACCCTACACCAGGCAAAATGATGTCTTTCTTTCGGAAGTAAATACACTCTCCAAAATGAAGCACATTACCCTCTCAAAACCATTCCCATCCACACCAGACACTGCCTTAAGGAAATCTTCCACTTCTACAGACCATCCAGGTCCCTGATCTCTGACCACAGATTCACACCTCTATTGCAGTTTTAGAAGATATGGTTCAGTGCCCTCTGTTCTATTCAACTAGAAGCTTTACACTTGGGGAGTGTAGCAGACATTTGTTGACTGCCTCCTAACATCCGTTTCACCCTTTTTCCTCTCTGTCAATCCTGATTCCATTTGGAGATCTGAGAGGTTCCTGATCCTGGTTTCCAGGAATGGAGAATGTGACCCAACCTCAGTAAGAGAAAGATTCTACCTCCTTGGTTAGACAATGGCTCAGGGTTAGGCATATGGCCTTAAGCTGGTCCTATTGGGACTTTTCTTGGAGATGCTAGAACAAATCCAGCTCTTGCTGGATGACGCATGTAACCCAGTAGCTGTTCACAATCTTCTTGAAACTGGGACATAGATGAGCCTTAGGATGAAATCAGCATCATAGAAAGCAGAATAGAGTGATAGAAATTCAGTCCTTGGTAACATCATTGAGCTGTAGGATCAAGCATCACCTCATACCTAGAACTGCCCAGTACTTTTCAGCTACGTGAATCTATACATTCCCTTTATTGTTTAAGCCAATGTGAATTGGGGTTTCTGTTCATTGTAACCGAAATAATTCTAATAAATACATAGAGTAATAACTGATTTAAAATAATATATATAGGAAATGGACAATCCTTTTATATGTACCCACTTAGAGGTTTTTCTTATGGAAGTTATCAAACATATATATAATTATAAAGAGAATAGTATAATGAACCCCCTCAAGGCCTTAAAAATCACCAACATTTTGCCAATCTTGTTTCATTTATCCCCTCCAGTTTTTTTATTTTTTGCATTTAGAGGGTTGTTGGTTTACTTTGGAGTATTTTAAAGTAAATCTCAGACATTCTAACATTTCACCCTTAAATAGTTCAGTTTGTAAGAGATAATTCTTGACAATCTCTGCCCTAAACCATCTTTGGGGAACAGTTCCTACTCAGTGGAGGACCTCTGTCCCATAGGAGCAAAGCTCATTGAGAACACAGGAGCTGCCTTTCCCTTCCCCAGAGGGTGACCAAAAAACTTTACTGACAACTTCTCAAGATGGCTTTGTAAGAAGACCCTCTTGACCTCCTCCCTGGAGTATCCATTTATGAGAACACCAGGCATCCCAGATGCCTCGTAATGAGAGTGGTCCGGAAGGGATACTAGATGCCCGTGATGATCCCTGGAGCAAGTTATTACTAACTTGAAACTAAGTAATCTACTCCTGCACTTTTAACAAGCCTCAGAGTGCTTCATTCATTAAGAGTTCAGTGGCATCGGTTAATTAGTGGTTTCCTGAAAGCCTACTGAACAAAAAACTAATAATAATTACACCAGGCATCTCCCCAGGAGTTCAAAGTGCCCTCAGAAGAGTTTCTCATTTACTCACTTGCATTGGCTTTAATTTTTTTTTTCTTGAAACAATGTGTAAATAAATATTCAAAGCATTAAAATTTCATTATAGTTCACCTCCCTCTTAGTAAACCTGCTTGATTTTATTTTGTTTTAATTAGCATTTGACCATCCCATTTGGGTAACTTCTAAGAAGAAAAATGAACCTCAAAATTTAATATCCCTATTCTACTTTCTTCCTCATTTGTTATCATGCTTCCTTGTAATGAGGAATTTTCTCTCCTTTACCCTGGTTAGTGTTCCTTCCTTACCTTGATCCTCTGTCTGGAGTTTTTCTAAAGTAGTTACTCTATGCTTTAACACCCAGTGTCCTGATAGTCAAGAAGTGTGCTACAAACTGCTGTGAAAGATCCTTTATGGCCAGTTAATACTTGCCATAATTTATCAGTGTGGTCTTATAAAAACATACTTAGCCAAACAAGAGTTCTTTGCAACCAGAATTCCTCGTGCCATAAGCTACTGTTTATTACCTTCTGCAAGTCTCAAATCAACACTTAAATTAACCTGCTGACAAAAATTCATTCTGTTCTTATCTCTGCCTAAGGATTACTCCGCCTAAGTTTACTCCCTAAAACTTTTTGAGAATTATGTACGCTGTGTGCTCATTCATTCATTCAACATTGGGAAGATATTTATTGGTCACTTTTTATGTATCAGCCTGTCAAAACTGTGAGACAGGAAAAACAACCAAAAACCTAGCACCTGTCTCCTGGGAGGACAATGTAAGCTTGGATAGGTAGCCAGACTAGGATGGAGAGCAGAAAATAACTGGTGTAGGAAATTGGCTCCCCTTTGGGGTTCTGTGCTCACCCTCCCTCTCCTTATCCCAACAACTCTCTTGAAAAGAACATACCCAAATCAGAAGCATACCACGTTAACTGAAGGCAGGGTCCCTGGTGGAGCAATGACAAACAGGGTTGACAAATAGGAAGAGTTCAAGCCCAGAGAGTGTTGCCAGAAGTACTATGCTCTGAGGGTGTTGCCCCACGCCCTGTCTAAACTTGCCTGGTGGAGAACAGCCAGGGCCTGACCTTTGGTCTTTCCTTCACTTACTTTATCACCAAGGTAGCTGATGTGCACAGGGAATAGTAAACACAACACATGAAATAAAACAGTTGGGTGGACTAGGAAAATTAATTAATTAATTAATTAATTTGAAGCAGGGTCTCACTTTGTCACCCAGGCAGGAGTACAATGGCATGATCTTGGCTCACTGACGGAGCCAAAGGATACAGTCAAATAAGGAATCAGTAAGCAGAAAGATCAGAAAGAGGAACACCTCTAGAAGGCATCAGGAAGGGATGGGAGGGAAGACACACACACACACACACACACACACACACACACACACACACACAGCTTAGCTATGGAGCGGGAAGAAGAAATGGAAACATTCTGCCTGCATTTGTGTGAGAAGGAGTATCAGAAGGAGAGAAAAATAAACAATAATTAATATAGAAAATATCTGAAGAATGACCAAGAATGTCCCAGGATTAAAGACAAAAGAACACCACGAAAAGAGTTTATAGGATAGATAAGAATAAAGGCCAAAAAGGGGGAAAAACATGCATACCTAGAAACATTACAGTAAATTATTATTATTATTATTTTGAGACAGAGTCTCGCTCTGTCGCCCAGGCTGGAGTGCAGTGGCGCGATCTCAGCTCACTGCAAGCTCCGCTTCCCAGGTTCATGCCATTCTCCTGCCTCAGCCTCCTGAGTAGCTGGGACTACAGATGCCCGCCACCACACCCGGCTAATTTTTTGTATTTTTAGTAGAGATGGGGTTTCACTGTGTTAGCCAGGATGGTCTCAATCTCCTGACCTCATGATCCACCCACCTCGGCCTCCCAAAGTGCTGGGATTACAGGCGTGAGCCACGGCGCCCGGCCTTTTTTTTTTTTTTTTTTTTTTTTGAGGTGGAGTCTCACTCTGTTGCCCAGGCTGGAGTGCAGTGGCGCAATCTCAGCTCACTGTAACCTCTGCTTCCCGGGTTCAAGTGATTCCCCTGCCTCAGCCTCCTGAGTAGCTGGGATTACAGGTGCCCGCCATTATGCCTGGCTAATTTTTGTATTTTTAGTAGAGATGGGGTTTCACCATATTGACCAGGCTGGTCTCAAACTCCTGACCTTGTGATCCGCCCGCCTCGGCCTCCCAAAGTGCTGGGATTACAGGCATGAGCCACCGCGCCTGGCCTTAAAATTTAACAACATCAAAGAAAAAGTGTGTTTGTTTTTGTTTTTTTGTTTTGTTTGTTTGTTTTGTTTTGAGATGGTGTCTCGCTCTGTTGCCCAGGCTGGAGTGCAGTGGTGAGATCTCGGCCCACTGCAAGCTCTGCCTTCCAGGTTCACGCCATTCTCCTGCCTCAACCTCCCGAGTAGCTGGGACTATAGGCGCCCGCCACCACACCCAGCTAATTTTTTGTATTTTTTTTCTTTTTTAGTAGAGACAGGGTTTCATCGTGTTATCCAGGATGGTCTCGATCTCCTGACCTCGTGATCCACCCGCCTCAGCCTCCCGAAGTGCTGGGATTACAGATGTGAGCCACCATGCCCGGCTGATTTTAAGACTTTTTCTAAAGCTACATTAATCAAAACAGTGTGCTATTTGTAAAGGGATAGACACATAGATCAATGGAACAGAATGGAGAGTCCAGAAATAGACCCGCATAGATAAAGCCAAAGAGTTTTACATAGGTAACTTTTTTTTGCCTTGTGAACCATCATAATCTTTATTTTTTATTGATACATAATATATGTATGTATGTGATGATTGAATACATTCATATAATGTGTAAACATCAAATGAGAGTAATTAGTATATCTGTCACATTAAATATTTATATTTTCTTTATGCTAAGAACATTTGAATTATTCTCTTCTAGCTATTTATTTTTATTTTTTAGAGACAGAGTCTTATTTTGTAGCCCAGGCTGCATGCAGTGGCACAGTCACAGCTCACTGCCATTTCAAATTCCTGGGCTCAAGAGATCATCCTGCCTCAACCTCCTGAGTGGCTAGGACTACAGGTGTGCACCACTAGGCCCAGCTAATTTGTAATTAAAAATTTTTTTTTTCTAGTTCTAGATCCCTGAGGAATAGCCACACTGACTTCCACAATGGTTGAACTAGTTTACAGTCCCACCAATAGTGTAAAAGTGTTGCTATTTCTCCACATCCTCTCCAGCACCTGTTGTTTCCTGACTTTTTAATGATTGCCATTCTAACTGGTGTGAGATGGTATCTCATTGTGGTTTTGATTTGCATTTCTCTGATGGCCAATGATGGTGAGCATTTTTTCATGTGTGTTTCGGCTGCATAAATGTCTTCTTTTGAGAAGTGTCTGTTTATGTCCTTCGCCCACTTTTTGATGGGGTTGTTTGTTTTTTTCTTGTAAATTTGTTTGGGTTCATTGTAGATTCTGGATATCAGCCCTTTGTCAGATGAGTAGGTTGCGAAAATTTTCTCCCATTTTGTAGGTTGCCTGTTCACTCTGATGGTAGTTTCTTTTGCTGTGCAGAAGCTCTTTAGTTTAATTAGATCCCATTTGTCAATTTTGGCTTTGGTTGCCATTGCTTTTGGTGTTTTAGACATGAAGTCCTTGCCCATGCCTATGTCCTGAATGGTAATGCCTAGGTTTTCTTCTAGGGTTTTTATGGTTTTAGGTCTAACGTTTAAGTCTTTAATCCATCTTGAATTGATTTTTGTATAAGGTGTAAGGAAGGGATCCAGTTTCAGCTTTCTCCATATGGCTAGCCAGTTTTCCCAGCACCATTTATTAAATAGAGAATCCTTTCCCCATTGCTTGTTTTTGTCAGGTTTGTCAAAGATCAGATAGTTGTAGATTTGACCCAGCCATCCCATTACTGGGTATATTCCCAAAGGACTATAAATCATGCTGCTATAAAGGCACATGCACACGTATGTTTATTGCGGCATTATTCACAATAGCAAAGACTTGGAACCAACCCAAATGTCCAACAATGATAGACTGGATTAAGAAAATGTGGCACATATACACCATGGAATACTATGCAGCCATAAAAAATGATGAGTTCACGTCCTTTGTAGGGACATGGATGAAATTGGAAATCATCATTCTCATTAAACTATCATAAGAACAAAAAACCAAACACTGCATATTTTCACTCATAGGTGGGAATTGAACAATGAGAACACAAGGACACAGGAAGGGGAACATCTCACTCTGGGGCCTGTTGTGGGGTGGGGGGAGGGGGGAGGGATAGCACTGGGAGATATACCTAATGCTAGATGACGAGTTAGTGGGTGCAGCGCACCAGCATGGCACATGTATACATATGTAACTAACCTGCACATTGTGCACATGTACCCTAAAACTTAAAGTATAATAATAATCAATTAAAAAAATAAATAAATAATAAAATAAAAATTTTTTTTTTGTAGAGACAGGGTCTTGCCATATTGCCCAGGATGGTCTTGAATTCCTGGACTCAAGTCATCCTCCTGACTCAGCCTCCCAAAGCGCTGGGATTACAGACGTTCTTCTAGCTATTTTGAAAAGTGTAATAGATTATTGTTGACTATAGTCACCTTAGTGACCTATTGAACACTAGTTCTTATTTTTTCTACCTAACTGTATATTTGTACCAATTAATCAACCTCTTTTTATCCTCCCCCCCACTACCCTTCCTGGCCTTTGCTAACCTTCTCAGGCTTCATGAGATTCACTTTATCAGCACCCACATGTGAGTGAAAACGTGTGATATTTGTGTTTCTGTGCTTGACTTATTTCACTTACAGTAATGACTTTCAGTTCCATCTGTGATGCTACAAATGACAAGATTTGTGTTCTTTTTTATGGCTGAATAATAATATTCTATTGCATATATATATATGTATGCACATATACATACACCACATTTTCTTTATCCATTCATCCATTGATGGACGCTTAGGTCGGTTTCACATTATGGCTTTTATGAATAGTGTTGCAATAAACATGGGAACTCAGATATCTCTTCAATATATTGACTTCCTTTCTTTTGAATATATATCCAGTAGTGGAATTGCTAGATCACATGGTAGTTCTATTTTTAGTTTTTTTGAGGAACTTCCAACAGTTTTCCATACTGGCTGTACTAATTTACATTCCCAACAACAGCGTACAAGGGTTCACCTTTCTCCACATCCTCGCCAGCAGCTGTTATTTTCTGTCTTTTTAAATTAAAGCCATTTTTAACTGGGGTGAGATATATCTCATTGTGGTTTTGATTTGCATTTCTCTGATGATTGATGATATTGAACATTTTTTCATATGCCTGTAGGCCATATTTATGTCTTCATTTGAGAAATGTGTATTCGGATCTTTTGCCCATTTTTTTTTTTTTTTTTTTTTTTTTTTTTTTTTTTTTGCTATTGAGTTGTTTGAGTGCCTTATATTATTGGTTTTTAGTTTCTTGTCAGAGGGAGAGTTTACAAATATTTTCTTTTTTTATTTTATTTTAGTTTAGTTTATTTGAGACGGAGTCTCCCTCTGTTGCCCAGGCTGGAGTGCGTGGCACGATCTCGGCTCACTGCAAGCTCCGCCTCCCGGGTTCGCGCCATTCTCCTGCCTCAGCCTCCCCAGTAGCTGGTACTACAGGCACCCACTACCGCGCCCGGCTAGTTTTTTGTATTTTTAGTAGAGACGGGGTTTCACCGTGTTAGCCAGGATGGTCTCAATCTCCTGACCTCGTGATCCGCCCGGCTCGGCCTCCCAAAGTGCTGGGATTACAGGCGTGGGCCACTGTGCCCAGCCAAGTTTACAAATATTTTCTATGGGTTGTCTCTTCACTTTATTGTTTCCTTTGATGTACAAAAGATTTTTAGTTGGATGTAATTCATTTGTCTTGTTGCCTGTGCTTTTGAGATCTTACACAAAAATATCTTTGCCTAGATCAATGTCCTGGAGCATTTTCCCCATGATTTCTTCTAGTAATTTCATAGTTTCAGGTCTTAGATTTAAGTCTTTAATCCATTTTGAGTTGATTTTTGTATATGGTGAGAGACAGGGGGCTAGTTTTATTATTCTACCTATGTATATCCACTTTCCCAAGCACCATTTATTGAAGAGATTGTCCTTTCCCCATTATATATTCTTTTTGGGGTGGTGGGGGGACAGGGTCTCACTCTGTCACCCAGGCTAGAGTGCAGTGGCACAATCTTGGCTCACTGCAACCTTCTCCTCCTGGACTTGGGTTATCTTCCTAACTCAGCCTTCTGAGTAGCTGGAACTACGCGTGTGCCCCACCATGCTTTGCTAATTTTTTTTTTTTTTTTTCAGATGGAGTATCACTCTCTCCCCAGGCTGAAGTGCAGTGGTGCAACTTCAGCTCACTGCAACTTCCGCCTCCCGGGTTCCAGTGATTCTCCCGCCTCAGCCTCCCGAGTAGCTGGGACGACAGGCACGTACCACCATGCCCAGCTAATTTTTGTATTTTTAGTAGAGACGGGGTTTCACCATGTTGGCCAGGATGGTCTCGATCTCTTGACCTTGTGATCCGCCTGCCTCGGCTTCCCAAAGTGCTGGGATTACAGACTTGAGTCACCTCAGCACAGCCTGCTAATTTTTTTTAAGTTTTTGTACAGACAGGGTTTTACCATGTTGCCCAGGCTGGTCTCGAACTCCTGGACTCAAGCAATCTGCCCAACTCAGCCTCCCAAAGTGCAGGTATTGGGAGGCCAAGCTGGGCAGATTGCTTGAGTCTAAACTATTCCCAAAGTACAGGGATTACAGGCAAGAGCCACCACGCCCAGCCTTCCCATTGTATATTCTTGACACCTTTGTTGAAAATGAGTTGGTTATAAATGCATGGATTTAATCTGTGTTCTCTATTCTGCTCCATTGGCCTATGTGTCTGTTTTTATGCCAGTACCATGCTGATTTGGTTATTATAGCTTTGTAGTATACTTTGAAGAAAGCTAGCATGATGCTTCCACTTTGTTCTTTTTTTTTTTTTAAGACAGAGTCTCACTCTTGTTGCCCAGGCTGGAGTGCAATGGCTTGATCTCGGCTCACTGCAGCCTCCGCCTCCCGAGTTCAAGTGATTCTCCTGCCTTAGCCTCCCCAGTAGCTGGGATTATAGGTGTGTGCCACCATGCCTGGCTAATTTTTATATCTTTAGTAGAGACGGGGTTTCACCATGTTGGCCAGGCTGGTCTTGAGCTCCTGACCTCAGGTGATCTGCCCGCCTCAGCCTCCCAAAGTGCTGGGATTACAGGCGTGAGCCACCATGCCTGTCTCCACTTAGTTCTTTATACTCAGGATTACTTTTACTATTAGTGGTCTTTTGTGGGTCTGTATAACTTTTAGGATTTTCTTTTCTTATTTCTGTGAAGAATGTCATTGGCATTTTGATAGAGATTGCATTGAATCTGTAAATTGCTTTGGGTAGTATTGTCATTTTAACAATTTTAAATCTTCCAATACATGAGTATGGAATATGTTTCCATTTTTTGGTGTGTATGCTCTTCAGTGTCTTTCACCAGTGTTTTATAGTTATCTTTGTATAATCTTTTACTTGTTTGGTTAAATTGATTCCTAGGTGTTATATATTATTTGAAGCTATTGCAAGTGGGATTGCTTTCTTTATTTCTTTTTCATGTTTCAGATTGTGTGTTATTGGCATATATAAATGCTACTGCTTTTTTTTTTTTTTTTTTTTTTTTGAGATTGAGTCTCGCTCTATTGCCCAGGCTGGAGTGCAGTAGCGCAATATTGGCTCACTGCAACCTCCACCTCCTGGGTTCAAGTGAGTCTTATGCCTCAGCCTCCCCAGTAGCTGGGATTACAGGCGCCCACCACCACATCCAGCTAATTTTTGTATTTTTAATAGAGACTAGGTTGCATCATGTTGGCAAGACTGGGCTACTACTTTTTATTTTGATTTTGTATCTACCAACTTTACTGAACTTGCTTATTAGTTCTAAAAATTTTTTTGTGGAGTCTTTAGGTTTTTCTAAATGTAAGATCATGTCATGTGCAAACAAGACTAACTTCGCTTCTTCCTTTCTAATTTGGAAGCCCTTTATTTCTTTCTTTTTGCCTAATTACTCTGGTCAGGATTTCCAGTATTATGTTGAAGACAAGTGGTAAAAGTGGATATGCTTGTCTTATTCCAGATCTTAGAGGAAAGGCTTTCAGTTTTTCCCCATATCAATATGATGTTAGCTGTGGGTTTGTCATATATGGACTTTATTATTTTGAGGTGTATGCCTTCTATACCTAGGTGGTGAGAGTTTTTATCATAAAGAGATGTTGAATTATGTCAAATGCTTTTTCAGAAAGTATTGAAATGATAATATGGTTTTTATTCTTCATTCTGTTAATATGATGCATTATGTTTATTGATTTGTATCCCTGGGATGAATCCCACTTGATCATGGTGAACGATCTTTTTAATGTGTTACTGAGTTTGGTTTGCTAACATTTTTTTGAGAATTTTTATGTTCATCAGGAATATTGGCCTGTAGTTTTCTTTTTCTTTCTTTCTTTCTTTTTTTTGAGATTGAGTCTCGCTCTGTTGCTCAGGCTGCAGTGCAGTGGCGTGATCTTGGCTGACTGCAACCTCTGCCTCCTGGTTTCAAGCAATTCTCCTGCCTCAGCCTCCTGAGTAGCTGGGACTACAGGCACTTGCCACCATGCCTGGCTAATTTTGTGTTTTTAGTAGAGATGGAGTTTCGCCATGTTGACCAGGCTGGTCTTGAACTCCTGACCTCAGGTGATCTGACTGCCTCGGCCTCCCAAAGTGCTGGGATTACAGGTGCGAGCTACCACACCCGGCCCTAGTTTCTTTTTCTTTTTTTTTTTTTCTATTTTCTTTTCTTTCTTTCTTTCTTTTTTTTTTTTTGAGACAGAGTTTCGCTCTTGTTGC
Source organism: Homo sapiens (assembly GCF_000001405.40). NCBI lineage: Eukaryota > Metazoa > Chordata > Mammalia > Primates > Hominidae > Homo > Homo sapiens. The sequence goes on from NC_000016.10 coordinate 3,336,750, forward strand.
CCAGGCTGGAGTGCAGTGGCATGATCTCTGCTCACTGCAACCTCCGTCTCCCAGGTTCAAGCGATTCTTCTTCTTCAGCCTCCCGCGTAGCTGGGATTATAGGCATGTGCCACCACACCTGGCTAATTTTGTAATTTTAGTAGAGACAGGGTTTCTATATGTTGGTCAGGCTGGTCTCGAACTCCCGACCTCAGGTGATCCGCCCATCTTGGCCTCCCAAAGTGCTGGGATTACAGGCATGAGCCACTGCGCCTGGCCCATGCCTGGCTAATTTTTTGTATTTATAGTAGAGACAGAGTTTCTCCATGTTGGTCAGGCTGGTCTCGAACTCCTGACCTCAGGTGATCCACCTGCCTCAGCCTCCCAAAGTGCTAAGATTACAGGCATGAGCCATTGTGTCCGGCCTTTTTTTTTCTTTTTTTGGAGACAGAGGCTTGCTCTGTCTCCCAGGCTGGAGTGCAGTGGTGCAATCTCTGCTCACTGCAACCTGCACCTCCTGGGTTCAAGCAATTCTTATGCCTCAGCCTCCCAAGTAGCTGGGATTACCAGTGAGGGCCACCATGCCCAGCTAATTTTTTAATTTTTTTGTTTGTATTTTTAATAGAGACGGGGTTTCACCATGTTGCCTGGGCTGGTCTCGAACTCCTGAGCTCAGGCAATCCACCTGCCTCAGCCTCCCAAAGTGCTGGGATTACAAGCATGGACCACCACGCCCATCCCTGACTGTGTATTTTAAAATAGCCTGTCTCTCCTCTGCTTGATCCATTCTGCTGTTGAGAGTCTCTAATGAAAATTTTAATTCGGCAAGTGTTATTTCTCATTTCCAAGATTCCTGTTTGATTTTTTTTAAATTACCTCAGTCTTTTTGTTATATTTCTCAGATACATTTTTGAATTGTTTTCCTGTATTATCTTGATGACCATTGAGTTTCCTTAGAAATGCTATTTTGAATTCTGGGTCAGAGAGCTCACATATTGCTATCTTGTTAGGGACGGTCCTGGTCCCATCCTTTGTTCATTCGTGAAGGTCAGGTTTCCCTGTTTGCTGTTGATTCTTGTGGATGTCTGTCTGTCTTTGCATTGAAGGACTAGTTATTTATTCTGGTCTTCTCTGTCTGGCTTGCTTTGATTTTCATTGAATGTGTTTTCTTAGGGATTCTTTGTAATTTATCTGTTGAATTTATTTCTCCCCCATGCCTCCCCACAAGCTGCCCCCAACCCTAGGTAGGTCACTGCGTCCTTTTTGGCAGTAGACGGTGCCTTAAGCCCAGGTTTGCCTTGGCTCTAGTGAATGATTGCAGCACTGACCTTTCTGAATGGGGAAGGTCCCAAAGTGCTTATCCCAGTAGTGTGGGAAGGCTGGCTAAGGTTTGGGTCCAGAGCACCCGTGGAATGCACTTGCTGCAGCATGGTGCAGCTAAGCAATCACTCTGATTTGGTGTCTCCTTTGACTGAGTTACACAGCAGAGATTTCAGGGTTGGGAATGGTAGTTCCACTTACCCTCTTTGACTCTGACATTTCTCAGGGATATTTCTCCCTTAAGGCACTCATGATGCTTCCTGTGTGTTGAGGAAAGGACAGGTCTCCTGCCAGGTGACCCAAGATGGTGAGGAAGCTGGTTGTCCACCTTGATCTTTTATCTTCCAGTGTAGAAACCATGAGTTAGGGGAGATTTTTCCATGTGCTTGGTGCTGGGCAGATTGGGGGAAAGGGGCATCATGGATATGGAATTCTGATTCTCTTGGTTTTGGTTTTCTGTGGGGCTGGACAGGAGTCAAGTATAGGTACCTTTTTTTTTTTTTTTTTGAAACGGAGTCTTGCTCTGTCGCCCCGGCTGGAGTGCAGTGGCGCGCTCTCGGCTCACTGCAAGCTCCGCCTTGCGGGTTCACGCCATTCCCCTTCCTCACCCTCCCAAGTAGCTGAGATTACAGGCGCCCGCCAGCACGCCTGGCTAATTTTTTGTATTTTTAGTAGAGACGGGGTTTCACGTGTTAGCCAGGATGGTCTCGATCTCCTGACCTTGTGATCCGCCCGCCTCGGCCTCCCAAAGTGCTGGGATTACGGGCTTGAGCCACCGCGCCCGGCCTAGGCAACTTTTTAAATAAGGTGATATTCACATAAAATAAAATTAACCATTTTAAGTGAAGAATTTAATGACATTTAGTACATACACAATGTTGTTTAACCACCAGCTTCATCTAGTTCCAAAATATTTTAATCACCCTGAAAGAAATTCCTTATTTGTTAGGTAATTAACTCCCTGTTTTCCCCTCCCCACAGTCCTTGGAAACCACAAATCGGCCTTTTGGTCCTATGGGTTTAAATATTCTGAATAATAAACATAAATGGAATTACACAATATGTGACCTTTTGGGTCTGGCTTCTCTCATTTAGCCTAATGTTTTTCAGGCTCGTCTACATTGTAGCATATATCAGTACTTTGTTCATTTTTGGGCTGAATAATGTTCTATAGCATTTCAATCTACCACAATTTGTTTATCCACTCATCTGTTGATGAACATTAGTTTTTTTTTTTTTTTCATCTTTTGGCTAAATGAATAGTGTTGCTATAAATATGCATGTACATGTTTGAGTACCTGTTTTCAATTCTTTTGGGTATATAACTTGGAGTGGAATTGTGGGGTTGTATGGTAATTCTGTTTATTTTTTGAGAAACTGCCAAACTGTTTTCTACAGTGGCTGAACCATTTTACTTTTTGTTTTTGAGATGGAGTCTTGCTCTGTCGCCCAGGCTGGAGTGCAGTGGTGCAATCTCAGCTCACAATTAGCTCCGCCTCCTGGGTTTACGACATTCTCCTACCTCAGCCTCACAAGTAGCTGGGACTACAGACGCCCACCACTATGCCCGGCTAATTTTTTGTATTTTTAGTAGACATGGGGTTTCACCGCTTTAGCCAGGATGGTCTCGATCTCTTGACCTCGTGATCCACCCGCCTCGGCCTCCCAAAGTGTTGGGATTACAGGCATGAGCCACCGCACCCGGCCCCATTTTACTTTCATATCAGCAATGCATGAGAGTTCTGATTTCTCTACACTTATTATTTTCCTATTTCATATATTATCATTATAGCCATTTAATGATTGTGAAGTAGGATTTTATTGTGGTTTTGACTTGCATTTCCCCAATGACTAATGATCTTTAGCATCTTTTTATGTACTTTTGGGCCATGTCTCTTCTTTGGGGAAATTTCTATCCAAGTATTTTCCCATTTTAAAAATGAGTTGTGGCTGGGTGCAGTAGCTCACGCCTGTAATCCCAGCACTTTGGGAGGCCAAAGCGGGCAGATCACCTGAGGTCAGGAGTTCGAGACCAACCTGGCCAACATGGTGAAACCCCATCTCTACTAAAAATACAAAAATTAGCCAGGCATGGTGGCAGGCACCTGTAATTCCAGCTACTCGGGAGGCTGAGGTGGGAGAATTGCTTGAACCCAGGAGGTGGAGGTTGCAGTGAGCCAAGATCACACCACTGCACTCCAGCCTGTGCAAAAGAGCAAAACTCTGTCTCAAAAAAAAAGAGAGAGAAAGAAAAAAGGAAAGAGTTGTTTGTCTTTTTGTTTTGAGTTGTAGTCTTTTATATATTCTAGATATTAAACTCTCATCCTATATGTGATTCACAAGTATTTTCTCTACCTCTATAGATTTTCTTTTTTCTCATAATAATGCCCTATGATACACAATGGTTTTTAATTTTAATGAGGTCCAATTTATGTATTCTTTATTTGGTGTCATATCTAAGAATCCATTGCCAAATCCAAGGTCATGAAGATTTACCCGTGTTTCCTTCTAAGAGTTCACAGTTTTGGCTCTGTTTTTTAGGTAATAGATTCATTTTTTGTCAACTTTGTGTATCTTGTGAGATGGGGGTCCAACTTGATTCTTTTGCATGTGGTTATACAGTTGTCTCAGCAGCATTTATTGAAGAGACTATTCTTTCCCTCACTGACATTGTCACCCTTATGGAAAATAAGTTGTCCATAGGGGGTTATTTATGGCTATATAGGTTTATTTCTGGAACCTCAATTCTATTCCAGTAGTTTATGTATCTGTTCTTATGTCAGTACTTCACAATTTTAGTTAATGTAGATTTATATTAAATTTTGAATTTGGGCAGTGTGACTCCTCCCACTTTGTTTTTTTTCAAGATTCTTTTGGCTAATCAGGGTCCCTTGCAGTCCCTTATGAATCTGAAGATCAGCTTTTCCTTCCTGCAAAAAAAAAAGACCACTGAAAATTTTTTTAGGGATGCATTGAACTTGTAGATCACTTTGGGGAGTATTGTCATATTACCAATATTAAGGCTTTCCAACTATAATTACAAGATGTCTTTCCTTTTATTTATGTTTTTCTTTCAGCAGTGTTTTGTAATTTTCAGTGTACAAGTCTTTCATCTACTTGGTTGAATTTATTCCTAGGTATTTTATTATTTTGGATGTTATTGTAAATTAAATTATTTTTATAATTTCCTTTTTAATTTGTTTATTGATGATATATTGAAACACAACTAATTTTTCTATGTTGCTCTTATATCCTGCAACTTTGCTGAATTAATTTATTAGTTTTAGTAGTTTTTATGTGGGTTCTTTGGGATTTTCTGTATATATGATCATGCTATTTATGAATAGAGATAGTTTTACTTCTTTCTAATTTGGTTGCTTTAATTTCTTTTTCTTGCCTAATTACCCTACATAAAACTTCTAGTATAATGCTAAGGGGTAAAAGTGGTTTCCTTCTTTTCTTCCTGAATTCAGTCAGAAAACATTAAAACTTCTGATCAACCAGCTATAAATTGAAGATTTTCACAACCCCCTCCTAAGATTCAATCATTTTCTAGAATGGCTCACAAAATTCTAGTTTATTGTAAAAGATATTATGAAGGATACAGATGATAGCCAGATTAAGAGGTATATAGGGTAAGGTCTGCAAAGTTCCTGAGTATGAGCTCTGTCACTGTGGAGTTGTGGTGTGCCATCTTCCTGGCACATGGATGTGTTCACCAACCCCATATTTTAGGGATTGTTAGGGAGGCTTCATGATGTAGGCGCGATTGATTATTAGCTCCGTATTCAGCTCCTCTCTCCTCCATGGAGAATGGGGCTGGGGCTGAAAGTTCCAAGCTTCAAAGCATGTCTTGGTCTTTCTTTCCATGAAACCCAACAAGAGTACACTTGGGCATTTATCCTAGAGGAATAAAAGCTTATATTCACACAAAAATCTGTACATCAATGTTCATAACAGCCATATTTACAATAGCCAAAAGTGGAAATATACCAGATGTCCTTTTATGGATCAGTATTGAAACAAACCCCATCTCTACTAAAAATACAAAATTTAGCTAGGCGTGGTGGCACACGTCTGTAGTCCCAGCTGCCTGGGAGGCTGAGGAGGGAGAATCACTTGAACTCAGGGGGCAGAAGTTGCTGTGAGCTAAGATCATGCCACTGCACTCCAGCCTGGGCAACAGAGCGAGACCCTGCCTCAAAAAATAAAATAAAACCCTAAAAGCACAAACCAACATTAAGACAGAAAATGTACTAAATAGATTATGTCAATATTAAGGATTTCTGTTCAAAAAAGGTCAACATAGACCAAATTAGGGGGAAATATTTGTGATGTCTGTAACTGCCAAAGTTTATCTCGACTGGCCTAAGAACTATTGCAAATGGGCCGGGTGCAATGGCTCACACTTGTAATCCCAGCACTTTGGGAGGCCAATGTGGGTGGATCACTTGAGGTCAGGAGTTCGAGACCAGTCAGGCCAACATGGCAAAACCCCATCTCTGCTTATCTATCTATACCATGGAATAATACTGAACAATAAAAACGAGGCCGGGCGCAGTGACTCACGCCCGTAATGCTAGCACTTTGAGAGGCTGAGGTGGGTGGATCATGAGGTCGGGAGTTCGAGATCAGCCTGGCCAACATGGTGAAACCCTGTCTCTACTAAAAATTCAAAAATTACCAGGCGCAGTGGCAGGCGCTTGTAATCCCAGTTACTCGGGAGGCTGAGGCAGGAGAATCACTTGAACCCGGGAGGTACAGGTTGCAGTGAGCCGAGATCGCTGCACTCTAGACTGGGCAACAAAGCAAGACACTGTCTCAAAAAACAAAAACGAAAACGAAAACATGAATGAACTATTTATACATGAAAGAAGTCAGATGGATCTCCAGTGAATTATGCTGAGTGATAATAGCCAATCCAAGAAGGTTACATACTGTGCAGCTTTATTTACATTAATTTTTGAAATGACAAAATTTTACAAATGACAAATAAAATAGATGAATGGTATCAACATTAATGTGAGGGCAGGAGGTAGGTGGGTGTGGTTATAAAAGGGCAAACTGAGTGGTCTTTATGTTGATAAAATTTTTCTTTATCTTGCTGTAGTGGCAGATACACAGACCTACACATGTGATAAAATTATAAAGAAATAAATATACCTATGCACATACACACACAAATCAGCACAAGTACAACAAAGGAAATCTTCAGCTAACTTTTGTATTTTTTTGTAGAGACAGTCTTTCTGTGTTGCCCAGGCTGGTCTTGAACTCCTGGGCTCAAGCGATCCTTTTGCCTCCCAAAGTGCTGTGATTACAGGCATGAGCCACCGTGTCTAGCCTCTGTATTATTTCTTACAACTTTACGTGGACATACATTTACCTCAATACATTTTTCATTTAAAATTGGCCAAAATTGGCCGGGCGCGGTGGCTCACGCCTGTGATCCTAACACTTTGGGAGGCTGAGGCGGGCAGATCACCTGAGGTCAGTAGTTTGAGAACAGCCTGGCCAATGTGGTGAATCCCCGTCTCTACTAAAAATACAAAAATTAGCCAGGTGTGGTGGTGGGCGCCTGTAGTCCCAGCTGCCTGGGAGGCTAAGCAGGGAGAATTGCTTGAACTCAGCGGGCAGAAGTTGCTGTGAGCTAAGATCGTGCCACTGCACTCCAGCCTGGGCAACAGAGCAAGACCCTGTCTCAAAAAATAAAATAAAACCCTAAAAGCACAAACCAACATTAAGACAGAAAATTTACTAAATAGATTATATCAATATTAAGGATTTCTGTTCAATAAAGGTCAGCATAGACCAAATTAGGGGGAAATATTTCTAATTTCTATAACTGGCAAAGTTTATCTCGACTGGCTTAAGAAGGATTGCAAATGGGCTGGGCGCAATGGCTCATGCTTGTAATCCCAGCACTTTGGGAGGCCAATGTGGGGGGATCACTTGAGGTCAGGAGTTTGAGACCAGCCAGGCCAACATGGCAAAACCCCATCACTACTTAAAATACAAAAACATTAGTCGAGTGTGGTGGCGTGCACCTGTAATTCCAGCTACTTGGTAGGCCGAGGCACGAGAATCACTTGAACCCAGGAGGTGGAGGTTTCAGTGAGCCGAGATCGCACCACTGCACTCCAGCCTGGGTGACAAGAGTGAGACTCCATTTAAAAAAAACAAAACAAAACAGAACTATTATAAATAAACAAGAAAAACAGAAAAATGAAGAGAAAAGTAAGCAGAGGATATGAATGGGCAATTTACAGAAGGAGAAATAAAAATAGCTAACATATTTATTTTACAATGTCCAACCTCATTAGTAATCAGAGAAATGCAAATAAACTTGAGATAACATTTTATGCTCATCAGATTGGCATACATTAGAAAATTTGATGGCCGGGCACGGTGGCTCACGCCCGTAATCCCAGCACTTTGGGAGGCCGAGGCGGGTGGATCACGAGGTCAGGAGATCGAGACCATCCTGGCTAACATGGTGAAACCCCATCTCTACTAAAAATACAAAAAATTAGCCGGGCATGGTGGCGGGCGCCTGTAGTCCCAGCTACTCGGGAGGCTGAGGCAGGAGAATCGCTTGAACCCAGGAGGCAGAGGTTGCAGTGAGCCGAGATCGGCGCCACTGCACTCCAGCCTGGGCGACAGAGTGAGACTCTGTCTCAAAAAAAAAATTTTTTTTGATTATACTAAGTGTTGGGTAGAACGTGGGAAAACCAGGAACCTCCCTCTATAGCTGGTGGGAATTGTAGACTGCTACAACCCCTTTGGGACAGTCTGTTGGTGCATCTGGGTATATCTCTATTATTCAGCATTGTCAATTATCCGTTATGGACTCCCCTTTATGGACCAGGATGAGAGTCTATCACATATATGTATGTGTGTATATATATATGTATAAATATACATATATAAATATGCTCATTACAGCATTGTTGTCATTGTAGGAAATTAAAGACAAGCTATATGTTCATCCCTAGTGTAATGGACAAATAAAATATGATAGATGCATATCAATCATTAGAAACATGAAACTAAACATACACACAACAACCTGGACGTACCTTTGAACACATAAGTGAAAACATTGTGGAGGAAAAAGTGAATTAAAAAGTAAGAAATAGGCTGGGCGCGGTGGTTCATGCCTGTAATCCCAGCACTTTGGGAGGCCGAGGTGGGCAGATCATGAGGTCGGCAGATCACGAGGTCAACAGTTCGAGACCATCCTGGCTAACATGGTGAAACCCCGTCTCTACTAAAAAAATACAAAAAATTAGCCGGGCGTGATGGCGGGCACCTGTAGTCCCAGCTACTCGGGAGGCTGAGGCAGGAGAATGACGTGAACCCAGGAGGCAGAGCTTGCAGTGAACGGAGATCGCAGCACTGCACTCCAGCCTGGGTGACAGAGTGAGACTCTGTCTCAAAAAAAAAAAAAAGTAAGAAATAAAATAAGAGGTATGGCACTATATGTTTTACAAGGATACACATACACATGGTATATATACACACACACATATATTTGTTTGGATGCACATATATGTATCATTCATGTACATATCCAAAGAATTACATATCAAACACATCAATAGAGTAGGTGCCTATGAGGGAGTAGAGAGAAATAAGCATGGGGATTCTTTCCCTTTCCTTCCTTCCCTCCCTCCCTTCTTCCCTTCCTCTCTTTCTTCCTCTCTCTCGTTCTCTCTTTCTCTCCCTCTTTCTTTTTTCTTTCTCTCTTTCTCTTTTCTCTCCTTCCTTCCTTCCTTCCTTCCCTCCTTCCTTCCTCCCTCCCTCCCTCCCTCTCTCTTTCGCTTTCAGACTGGAGTGCAGTTGTGTGACCATGGCTCACTGTAGCCTCGAGCTCCTGGGCTCAAGTGATCCTCCTGCCTCAGCATCCCATGTAGCTGGGACTATAGGTGTGCACCACCACGTCTAACTAATTTTTAAAATTTTCTGTAGAGACAAGATCTCACTATGTTGCCCAGGCTGGTCTTGAACTCCTGACTCAAGTAGTCCTCCTGCCTTGGCCTCCCAAAGTGCTCGGATTGCAGGCCTGAGCCACTGTGCTCAGCCTGATTTTTCTTCATAACATTTACCATCACTTGATATATTATAGACTTTGCTTTGCTGTGTGTGTGTGTGTGTATGTTCTGACTCTTTACAATCAGATTGCAAACTCCCTGAGGGCATGGACTATATCCCAAGTGACTAAGACATGACTAGGAATGTAGGGGTTACTGAGAAAATGATTGTTGAATGAATAAATAAATAGGAAAAGGTAACCAACCTTAAAGGCAAAGTACAAAGTCTAGAGGATCTCAGAGGAGATGCAAGTACGTCCAGCTGGACTCTGAGGTTGGCTTGAAAGTCAGTCCAGTCTGCCATTAACCAGACCTATGGTCCCCTTGAGTGGGCCACCCAGTGTTCCAGCAACCTCAACTGGAAACAAACAAACAAAAAAACCTAGATGATATCTGAGGGTTCCGTCTTGCTCTGAATTTTAAAAAATGTTTAACTTAAACTCTTTGTCACTTAAAATATTTTAATGAAAATGTCCATGCATCTTTTTTTTTTTTTTTTTGAGATGGAGTCTTCCTCTCACTCTGTCATCCAGGCTGGAGTGCAGTGGCGCAATCTTGGCTCATTGCAACCTCTGCCTCCTGGGTTCAATCAATTTTCCTGCCTCAGCCTCCTGAGCAGCTGGGACTACAGACACCCGCCACCACGCTCGACTAATTTTTGTATTTTTTAAGTAGAGACAAGGTTTCATCATGTTGGCCAGGCTAGTCTCGAACTCTTGGCCTCAAGTGATCTGCCCACCTCAGGCTCCCAAAGTGCTGGGATTACAGGTGTAAGCCACCACCCCTGGCCTCCTTTATAATTTAAAAAATGTAAAAGGTGAGGCCAGTCGCGGTGGCTCACACCTGTAATCCCAGCAGTTTGGGAGGCTGAGGTGGGCAGATCATTTGAGGCCAGGAGTTCAAGACCAGCCTGGCCAACATGATGAAACCTCATCTCTACTAAAGAAGTACAAAAATTAGCTGGGCACAGTGGTGCGTGCCTGTAGTCCCAGCTGCTCAGGAGGCTGAGGCAGGTGAATCACTTGAACCCGGGAGGCAGAGGTTGCAGTGAGCCAAGATGGTGCCACTGCACTCCAACCTGGGTGACAGACCAGGACTCTGTCTCAAAAAAAAAAAAAAAAAAAAAGGAGCCAAGGATGGTGGCTCAGGAGGCTGAGGAGGGAGGATAGCCTGAGCCCAGGAATTGGAGGCTTCTGTGAGCTAGGATTGCACCACTGCACTCCAGCCTAGGTGATAGAGCCAGACCCTGTCTCTAATTAAATTAAACTAATTAAATTATCAAGGTAATGCAGGTTTACTGTGAGATATTCAAACAACACACATACTTTTTTTTTTTTTGAGACGGAGTTTTGCTCTGTTGCCCAGGCTGGAGTGCAGTGTCCCCTCCTCCGTCCACACCTCCACTCCTCATAACAACTGCTTGCTTTTTTCTTTCCTTCCAGAGATTCCTGTTTGCAGACAAACAAATATGTACATATATGTTGTTTTTCTCAGAAAATGAGATCATACGATGTGCATTGCTCTGCAACTGGCTTTTATCACTTAGCAATATGCCTAGGATGTTCTTCCATGTGAGAACCTGCAAATCTAGCCCTTAAAGGAGTACACACACACGCACACATATGAACACACATGCACACACGCACACACACATGCACACACGCACGTGCACACACGAACACACATGCACACACATACACACATGCACACGCACACACGCGCACACACACACGCACATGCACACATGCACACACCCACTATAGCATTTTCTTATGGTAGGTGGAAATTAAAGGCAAGTTATATATTCATCCCTAATTAAATGGATAAATAGATTATGATAGATGCATATTTAGCATACAAACATTAAGTGCGTCCCTAACAACGTAGATGTCTATTCAAACAAAGTGAAAAAGTTTTGAAAAGGTAAGAAACGGAATGAGGGCTACTAGTGTAAATTAAAACATGCACAGACACAAAATAACACTATATATTCTAAAAGGACACATATCTGTCCAAACACTAATAGACCAAATGCGTTAGATGCCTATGGGACAGTGCAGAGGAATGAGAATGGCGAGTGGGAATAAAGTGGAAAAAGTGAATAAAATATAGTATTTAAGAGAGGACTTGCAGAGACCAATGATGACAGTGAGCACAGCATTCCATGGAGGGGTCATAATTTACCGAATTCCCCTACTGATAGACAATGAGATTATCCAGTTCCTCGTAAGTATGGATTTGGGAGTTAGACCTCATTTCAGTGGCTGTGCAGTTTACTAGCCATTTGCCCTTGGAGAAATTACTGAATACCTCTCAGCCTGAGTTCCTCTATTGTAAAACAGGAATAATAACCCCTGCCTGGTGTGATGGTTGTGATCATGTTTATAAACCGCTGGGCACAGTGACCAGCACACAGCACAAGCCAGCAAGCAGTTCTATGATCAGGAGAGACTTGCTGGGGCCAGGCCCACAGGACAGTGGGCCCCACTGGGCAGAAGCCAGACTGATCCTGCTCACCCTGTACCCCACCTGCACCTGGCATACTCTCCACCCTTAGAGTGTCTTGAATGAATGTGGTTTCTAAGTCAGTAGTTTCAGGGTAATTCATCTTCTGTGACATCTAACGGCCTAATCAGGTTACCAGGCACCTGTTACGTGTTTATTGAATAGTGGCTGTAAGTTCTTGCTTCTCACAGGGTGCCCTGTGAGTGTCTAAGGCTCATGTCCCTGATTTGTGGTTTATGTTGGAACCAGAGAACTGGGACTCCCCCTCTCTGCCCTTGCCCCTCAAAAGAACAAACACTCAAGGATGACAGCTCTCAGATTATGAGTCAAAAATAGCAACTTCCTCCGCATAGGATGGCCATCACAGGAGTCAGGTCACTCCTGTGTGACCCTGAGCCTGTCATGTAACCACTATATGTTCAATTTACTCCTCTGCTAAGAGGAGATAAGGCCACCTGCCTTCCACCACCCCCCTCCCCCACGTTGTATAGTGTTTTAGGAACTAAGTTTGATAATGTCACAGCACCTTGAAAAGAATAAAGTCATATAATTAGCAATTATTTAAGAAATGCTGTCATTTTTATTACTAGTTCGATTACTAATCTGTGTTTGGGGAGGGAGTTCAGGTGACAGACTGAGTCGGTTCTTCAGGGACAGCTTTTTCCTGTGTTCCGGCCACACTGGCGCTTTGTGCTAATTGCTTGTGCGGGCGTGGAGATCTACCCTTGGGCGCTGCAGAGCCAGCCACAGCAAGCCAGGCTTCCAACTGCGACCCAGTGCTACTCCAGGGCCAGAAGAGCCCCGAGGTTAAAAGCTGTGGCCCCAGTTCGCGGACAGGAGGAGCGCAGCACAGCCTCCCTCTCGGTCCCATGCCTGCCCTCTCTCCTTGATTCACTAAGCATGGAGACAGAGGATGGATGTGGGGGAATCTCAAAGCCAAAGGTACATTTCCATAAACAATCCCTAGACTGATTATTAAAGAATCCAGGATATAAGAGAGAGAGGCGAACAGGGGGGAAAAAAGATGGGAAAAGGAAAATAGCAGAGACAGAGAAGGAGAGAGAAAAGGGAGAGTGTTAAATAGCTTTTTAAAGGCACTGATTTTGGGGGCCAGGCGTGGTGGTACATGCCTGTAATCCCAGCTACTAGGGAGGCAGAGGCAGGAGAATAGCTTGAACCCAGGAGGCGGAGGTTGCAGTGAGCCAAGATCGTGCCACTGCACTCCAGCCTGGGCAACAAAGCGAGATTCCGTCTCAAAAAAAAAATTCACTGTTTTATGGCTTCTTCCTTTAGGCGAAAGGTTGGCGGTGACATGGTATTAGAGCCCAAGCCCGTTTATACAGAGGTCTGTGACCTCTGTCAGCAAGAAGAGTCAGGAAGGAAAAATACTCAAACTGTAAAAGGGAATCTTTTTTTTTTTTTTTTTTTTGAGGTGGAGTCTCTCTGTCGCCCAGGCTAGAGTGCAATGGCAAGATCTCGGCTCACTGCAACCACCGCCTTCCAGGTTCAAGCGATTCTCCCGCCTCAACCTCCCAAGCAGCTGGAATTACAGGCGCCTGCCACCACGCCCGGCTAATTTTTGTATTTTTAGTAGAGAGGGGGTTTCCCATGTTGGCCAGTCTGGTCTCGAACTCCTGACCTCAGATGATCCACCTGCCTCGGACTCCCAAAGTGCTGAGATTACAGGCGTGAGCCACCGCGCCCAGCCCAAAGGGAAATTTTTTGTTTGGTTGGTTGGTTGGTTGGTTTTTTTGTTTTTTTGTTTTTTTTGTGTTTTTTTTTTGAGATGGAGTCTTGCTCTGTCGCCCAGGCTGGAGTGCAGTGGCGCGATCTTGGATTGCTGCAAGCTCCACCTTCCGGGTTCACGCCATTCTCCTGCCTCAGCCTCCCGAGTAGCTGGGACTACAGGCGCCTGCCTCCGTGCCCGGCTAATTTTTTGTATTTTTACTGGAGACGGGGTTTCACTGTGTTAGCCAGGATGGTCTCGATCTCCTGACCTTGTGATCCTCCCGCCTCGGCCTCCCAAAGTGCTGGGATTACAGGCTTGAGCCACGTGCCCGGCCCCAAAGGGAAGTTTTAAAACAACAATTTTAAGAACCCCTTCACAAAAGTCATCTCTGGAATGGTCCAGGAGAGAAGCTGGGAAATTCTTAACATACAAACAAACAAAAGCCCTTTTGCATGCACAACTCTGTTCTGGGAACAGAGTCCTCAAGCAGAAAAGGATCATAAAAGACTTCAGGTATAGGCTGGGTGCAGTGGCTCATGCCTGTGAACCTAACACTTTGAGAGGCTGAGGCGGGAGGATTGCTTCAGCCTGGGAGGTTGAGGCTGCAGTGAGCTATCATTGCACACTCCAGCCTGGGTGACACAGTGAGACCCTGACTCAAAAAAAAAAAAAAAAAAAAGAACTTAAGATATATTCAGTGCCTTCAGGCAGGCAAATCTCTAAGCATACCTTATTTTTCTCTTGCCAAAGAATTTAATCAATATTTTATCACACCAACACCTCAAAATGCCCTATCGTAATTTCTCCTGCTCTGAATTTAAGTCTTTTTTCTTTTTTTCTTTTTCTTTTTCTTTTTTTTTTTTTTTTTTTGAGACAGAGTTTTGCTCTGTTGCCCAGGCTGGAGTGCAGTGGCATGATTTCGGCTTACCACGGCCTCTGCCTCCCAGGTTCAAGCAATTCTCCTGCCTCAGCCTCCCTATTTTTTTTGCTTTCCATAGAGAAGGAGAAGGAGAGCACCTGCTTATGAAGCACACATTTTTAAAATCTCCTCATAATAGTGAAGACATTAATTGGAAGAAAATTTGTTATGGAGAATGGTCTGAGAAAAAAATAATTGGAAGTAAAAAACCCACTTCTCCCTTTAACTATTTCCTCCTAAGCAAGTCTCCCGTCTTGGCCATACTTCATAGGACCTATGTCCTCCTTCTCCCTGTTCTCTAAAAATCTGTGTACTCCATTATCCTTTTTAAAATGCTAGGCAAATCAGGTAAGACCCTCGGATAAGGAATTGCTAATACAGTACACAGCAGAAAGCTTACTCCCCAGCCCTTACATGGAACCTCCTTTTGTTCATTTTTCTCTCTGGGACACCCATTGCAAGTTGCCTTCAGCTTGCAGAGATGTAACCTTGAGAGCTACTCCTGGGATACTTGTGCTTCTCTAGCCTTTTCCAGTCTAAATTTGTGCTGTTGAATTTTTGTACTTATTTGATGTATTGCCAAGCATTTAGTCTTTTTTTTTTTTTTTTTTCGTATTTTGTAAGATCCTGGGCTTATTAGAACTGCCACCTTGGCTCAGCCCATGGTCCATTCAGCCAGAATTGTTTCTTTGACAGCAGAATTAGAAAATACATTTTAAAGGAGCTTGATTGTTTTCCCTGATGCAAGCATCAGAAGTTAAAGTCCCTTCCGAGTGGCCTAGATTTCCTTAATCATGCATTGTATCTGTGTTTGTTAAATTTAAATTTTAATTTTTTTTTGAGACAGAGTCTCCCTCTGTCGCCCAGGCTGGAGTGCAGTGGTGCAATCTTGGCTCACTGCAAGCTCCGCCTCCCAGGTTCAAGCCATTCTCCTGCCTCAGCCTCCCGAGTAGCTGGGACTACAGGCGCCCACCACCACGCCCGCCTAATTTTTGTATTTTTAGTAGAGACGGGGTTTCACTTTGTTCGCCAGGATGGTCTTGGTTTCCTGACCTCGTGATCCACCCGCCTCGGCCTCCCAAAGTGTTGGGATTACAGGCGCGAGCCACCATGCCTGGCCAAATTTTAATGTTTTTAAACTTATGATGTTTTAATGTTTTTAAATTTTAATGTTTTTAAACTTATGAGTTTGAATGTTTTTAAACTTACTGATGTCTCTTAGAAGTAATAATTTACATAAATTTACTATTAACTATGTATTTTTTTCTTTCATTCATCCTTAATTGACTTTTTCTAAGATTCAAACTCCCCCATTTCTAGTTCTTGAATTCTAAGATTTGGGGAGGGGAAAAATCCCTGTTCACTTTGTCTAATACCAGCCCCCCACAGACCAAACAACTTTGGAAGAAGATGAGCAGTGTCTTTCTGTCTGTTTCTTTCTTTCTTTTTTTTTTTTTTTTTTCTGAGGTAGAGTTTCACTCTTGTTGCCCAGGCTGGAGTGCAATGGCATTATCTCAGCTCACTGCAAACTCCGCCTCCTGGGTTCAAGTGATTCTCCTGCCTCAGCCTCCTGAGTAGCTGGGATTACAGACATGTAGCACCACGCCCGGATAATTTTTTTTTATTTTTAGTAGAGACATGTTTCACCATGTTGGCCAGGATGGTCTCGAACTCCCGACCTCAAGTGATCTGCCTGCCTCGGCCTCCCAAAGTGTTGAGATTACAGGCGTCAGCCACTGCGCCCGGCCCTGTCTATTTCTTTGCCCTAAAGGGACACAAGGGAACAAGCACCTGAACTGGCAGGAGGTAGTAGAATGGGTTTCAGGAAGAACTTCTGAAAAGAAAGATGAGCTGATTATCCGGTTAGTAACTCAGTTCCTCAGCTCTCTTAAGTCCTAGATGAAAAGAATAAGTAGGCCGGTCGCGGTGGCTCACGCCTGTAATCCCAGCACTTTGGGAGGCTGAGGCGGGCAGATCACGAGGTCAAGAGATCGAAACCATCCTGGCCAACATGGTCAAAACCCCATCTCTACTAAAAACACAAAAATGAGCTGGGGATGGTGGTGTGCACCTGTAGTCCCAGCTACTTGAGAGGCTGAGGCAGGAGAATTGCTTGAACTCAGGAGGTGGAGGTTGCAGTGAGCCGAGATCCCGCCACTGCACTCCAGCCTGGTGACAGAGCGAGACTCCGTCTCAAAAAAAAAAAAAAAAAAAAGAATAAGTAGGCCGGGAATGGTAGCTCATGCTTGTAATCCCAACACTTTGGGAGGCCAAGGTAGGCAGATAACCTGAGGCCAGGAGTTCAAGACCAGCCTGGCCAACATGGTGAAACCCCGCCTCTACTAAAAATACAAAAATTAGTCAGGCGTGGTGGTGCACTCCTGTAATCCCAGCTACTTGGTTGGCTGAGGCAGGAGAATCGCTTGAACCTGGGAGGCAGAGGTTGCAGTGAGCTGAGATCACGCCACTGCACTCCAGCCTGGGTGACACTGCTAGACTCCATCTCAAAAAAAGAGAAAGAAGGAAGGAAGGAAGGAAGGAAGGGGAAGGGCTGTGGTTTATGATCTTCAGAAAAGTTGAGATCCTGGCCAAGGAAAGGGGATGGTGATTGGCCCATTATTAACAAGAGCTGATTTTTTTGTTCATGAGATGGGTTTTTTGTTTGTTTGTTTGTTTTTCTTTTCTTTTCTTTTTTTTTTTTTTTTTTGAGACAGAGTCTAGCTCTGTTGCCCAGGCTGAAGTGTAGTAGTGCAATCTCAACTCACTGCAACTTCCGCCTCCCTGTTTCAAGTGTTTCTGCTGCCTCAGCCTCCTGAGTAGCTGGGGCTGCAGGCGCCCGCCACCATGCCCGACAAATTTTTTGTATTATTAGTAGAGACGGGGTTTCACCATGTTGGCCAGGCTGATCTCAAACTCTTGGCCTCAAGTGATCTGCCCACTTTGACCTCCCAAAGTGTTGGGATTACAGGCGTGAGCCACTGTACCCGGTCTCATGAGATGTTAAGAATTATTTGATGATTTAGACGTGGACACAGTAGTTATATACCTCAAAAGAGGGATCTCCTCTGTAAATCTTCTAATTTCCCTTACTAATTATGAATACCCATTAACTATTTTAACCCCTTTTTGTGTAACCTCTGTTTATATCTTTTGCCTTTTCCACCTAAACTTATTTAAGCTTAAGTGAAGTTTTGTTTGCTCTACATTGACCTCCTCTTAAATTGTACATTCCCAGCTTCTGTATTTGGAGCATAAGTCTGTATCTACTCTTTCCATTATTTCTGTGACTTTATAGATTCATCATGTTATTCCTCAAACATCATCTTTCTAGATCCAGCACTGAGGTAAAACTCAGAGGGGAGGGATGTAGAAGAGAGCAGAGGAAATTTAACAGAAAATTCTGGGGAGCTTTTCCAAATACAATGTGTCTGCTTCCCCCCTTCCCTGAGCGTATCAGAATCTTGGCTGGGGAAATGTGTTGTTGCTGTTGTTTTCAAGAGATAGGGTCTCCCTCTGTCACTCAGGCATTGGAGTACAGGGGCTCACTGCTGCCTTGAACACTGGGGCTCAAGAGATCCTCCCACCTCAGCCTCTTAAAATGCTGGGATTACAGGTGTGAGCCACCATGCCTGACTGAAATTTCAGTCTGACTGAAAGTTTTTGAGAACTTTCACATCTAATTCTAATGGTCAACTCTCTCTATCCCGTCATAGCCATTGTTCTGAACTGAAGGGCTCTTCAGTTCTTGGGGTCTTTTGGTTTTGTCATCATGAGGCACTTCCTTCATTTCCGTGTTAGCTCATACCTGACATTCTGATGGAATCAACTTTTCCATTCGGTGTGTAACCAACAGTAGATGGGGATTACAACAGAAGTTTGAAATCTAGGCCACGCACGGTGGCTCACACCTGTAATCCCAGCTTTTTGAGAGGCTGAGGCTGGCATATCACGAGGTCAGGAGTTCGAGACCAGCCTGGCCAACATGGTGAAACCCCGTCTCTACTAAAACAAAAATTAGCCAGGCATGGTGGTGCATGCCTGTAGTCCCAGCTACTCGTGAGGCTGAGGCAGGAGAATTGCTTGCACCTGGGAGGCGGAAGTTGCAATGAGCCGAGATTGCACCACTGCACTCCAGCCTGGGTGACAGAGCGAGACTCTGTCTCAAAAAAAAAAAAAAAGCTTGCAATCTTAAAAAGTAAGTTGGAGTCCAGGTGCAGTGGTTCATGCCTGTAATCCCAGCACTTTGGGAGGCTGAGGCAGATGGATCACTTGAGCCCAAGAGTTGGAGACAACCCTGGGCAACATGGCAAAACCCCATCTCTACAAAAAATACAAAAGTTATTTGGATGTGGTGGCACACACCTGTGGTCACAGTTACTTGGGAGGCTGAGACAAGAGGATTGCTTGAGCCAGGGAGAAGGAGGTTGCAGTGAGCTGAGATTGTGCCACTGCACTCCAACCTGGGTGACAGTGAGAGACTCTGTCTCAAAAAACAAACAAAAAATAGGTTGTTACTTAACTATGGATCCCAGAGAACTATTAGACCGTTCCTGATGCAAATCCACCTCATCCAACAGCTTTTTCTTGACTTTTCTTCCAGCAGCTTGCGCTAAATGAATTCATCAAGTGACTGAAGACAACCAGTGATGGACGGGGTGAATGATAGCTCCTTGCAGGGCTTTGTTCTGATGGGCATATCAGACCATCCCCAGCTGGAGATGATCTTTTTTATAGCCATCCTCTTCTCCTATTTGCTGACCCTACTTGGGAACTCAACCATCATCTTGCTTTCCCGCCTGGAGGCCCGGCTCCATACACCCATGTACTTCTTCCTCAGCAACCTCTCCTCCTTGGACCTTGCTTTCGCTACTAGTTCAGTCCCCCAAATGCTGATCAATTTATGGGGACCAGGCAAGACCATCAGCTATGGTGGCTGCATAACCCAGCTCTATGTCTTCCTTTGGCTGGGGGCCACCGAGTGCATCCTGCTGGTGGTGATGGCATTTGACCGCTACGTGGCAGTGTGCCGGCCCCTCCGCTACACCGCCATCATGAACCCCCAGCTCTGCTGGCTGCTGGCTGTGATTGCCTGCCTGGGTGGCTTGGGCAACTCTGTGATCCAGTCAACATTCACTCTGCAGCTCCCATTGTGTGGGCACCGGAGGGTGGAGGGATTCCTCTGCGAGGTGCCTGCCATGATCAAACTGGCCTGTGGCGACACAAGTCTCAACCAGGCTGTGCTCAATGGTGTCTGCACCTTCTTCACTGCAGTCCCACTAAGCATCATCGTGATCTCCTACTGCCTCATTGCTCAGGCAGTGCTGAAAATCCGCTCTGCAGAGGGGAGGCGAAAGGCGTTCAATACGTGCCTCTCCCATCTGCTGGTGGTGTTCCTCTTCTATGGCTCAGCCAGCTATGGGTATCTGCTTCCGGCCAAGAACAGCAAACAGGACCAGGGCAAGTTCATTTCCCTGTTCTACTCGTTGGTCACACCCATGGTGAATCCCCTCATCTACACGCTGCGGAACATGGAAGTGAAGGGCGCACTGAGGAGGTTGCTGGGGAAAGGAAGAGAAGTTGGCTGAGAGAACACTCCTTCGTTATTTATTGCGTCTTCATCTCTACATGCGTTTCTCATTAACTCTCTCTGGCCAGGTGAACATGAGGAATACTAATTCCGGTAAAACCAAGGCATGTTCCTGACAGCCCTAAGCTGACAGCCCTAAGCTGTTGGGAACATGGTTAGTGTTATTCGTAATGTTCTACACTTATTTACCAAAAATCCTACTGTGGACTACCGATAGCAGGGGAGACATGTTGTTGAGGGCTCAGAGGTTATTGACCTGTGACAGACCTGTCTCACTGTCTCTGTCTCTGTTGCCCACATGTTATTTAATATGCCTTATATTTCTGCAGAATTCTGTACTTTTCTAAGCAAAGCACCTCCACTTGCAGTATCTTACATAATGTTACTATAATTCCATAAAATCAAGCCATGTATTATTAACTTCATATGAAGACCCAAACAATTCATGTTTTTACCCTATCTGTCATTATCTTTGCCTACCTCTTTTTGTCTCTTCTTCATTTTTTTTAAGAGTTGGAGTCTTGCTCTGTTGCCCAGGCTGAAGTAGAGTGGCATGATCTTAGCTCACTGCAGCCTTCAACTCCTGGGCTCAAGCAATCCTTCAGTCTTCTGAGTAGCTGGGACTATAGGCACATGCTACCACACCTAACTAATTTTTATTTTTATTTTTTACAGATGGGGTCTCACTCTGTTAACAGCCCAGGCTGGTCTAGAATTCTTGGCCTCAAGTAATCTTCCTGCCTTGACTTCCCCAAGTGCTGGGATTATGGGTGTGATCTACCGCACCTGGCCTGTCTCTTCTTAATAATGCAGTATACCACTGGGTGCAGTGGCTCACACCTGTAATCCCAGCACTTTGGGAGGCCGAGGCGGGTGGATCACCTGAGGTCAGGAGTTCGGGACCAGCCTGACCAACATGGAGAAACACTGTCTCCACTAAAAATACAAAATTAGCCTTGCATCGTGGCACATGCCTGTAATCCCAGCTACTCGGGAGGCTGAGGCAGGAGAATCGCTTGAACTCGGGAGGCAGAGGTTGTGGTGAGCTGAGATCGTGCCATTGCACTCCAGCCTGGGTAACGAGCAAAACTCCGTCTCAATAATAATAATAATAACAATAATAATAATGTAGTATATCTGTCCATACTTTCCATCCATATATCTCTCCATCATCTTGTTTACCCTCTCCCTTATGCCTATATTCCAATTTCTCTTCTACTAATCTATTATTTAATAATAAAAGATTAAGCCAGGCACGGTGGCTCACGCCTGTAATCCCAGCACTTTGGGAGGCCGAGGTGGGTGGATCACGAGGTCAGCAGTTCGAGACCAGCCTGACCAACACGGTGAAACCCCGTCTCTACTAAAAATATGAAAAAAATTAGTTGGGCATGGTGGTGGGTGCCTGTAACCCCAGCGACTTGGGAGGCTGAGGCAGGAGAATCATTTGAAGCTGGAGGGTGGAGGTTGCCGTGAGACGAGATTGCACTACTGCACTCTAGCCTGGGCAATAAGAGCGAAACTCCATCTCAAAAAAAAAAAAAAAAAAAAAAAAAAAAGAAAGAAAAGATTAAAAAGGTCATTTGCAGCTGGGCACAGTGGCTCATGCCTGTAATCTCAGCACTTTGGGAGGCTGAGGTGGGTGGGTCACCTGAGGTCAGGAGTTTGAGCCAGCCTGGCCAACATAGTGAAACCCCATTTCTACCAAAAATACAAAAATTAGCCAGGTGTGGTGGTGCACACCTATAGTCCAGCTACTTGGGAGGCTGAGGCAGGAGACTTGCTTGAACCCGGGAGGTGGAGGTTGCAGTGAACTAAGGTTGCAGTGAGCTGAGATTGCACAACTGCACTTCAGCCTGGGTGACAAGAGCAAGACTCTGTCTCCAAAAATAAAACAAAACAAAACAAAAAGGTCATTTGCCTTTTGATTCTAGCCAAAGAGGGTCCCTTGCTACTCTCTTATTGAAATCATCCCATCCAAAAGTCCCAGACATCAGATGTCTTACCAGCATTTGGGTATGCTAGTCTGGTCAGTGGATAATGGAATGTCCTAAGATTCCTTATGCAAATTTAAGACCCCAGGAAAGATCATCCATCCATAAAGTATGTTCTCTGCCTCAAGATCTAGTCTTGAAGCCCTGCAGTTCCTAAAATTCAGCAATCAGTTCAGCACACAATTAATTACTCATCTTTCAGGAACTCACATGTTGGGATCAGAATGCCAATTTGTGATTCTGCACATTCCTAGAATTGCCAAAGGGATCCCCACCTGTTACCACGATTCATTTACTATTTTCCCAGACAGAGAAGCTAGGTTAATATAAGAAAGTTGCATGACAACTACATTACCATAGAAAAGGGAATCAATAGGTTTTAGAACTAGTTCAAAAGGGGCTTTGGCTTTGTGTCCCCATAATTTTGAAACACATGCCTTATACATAGTAGATACTCAATAAGTGTTTAGCAAATATAATTAATAAGCTTCATGAGTCCTCCTTTATCTTGCTAAGAACTAAATTTGTCAAATGGACCGTCTTCATGTTTGCCACTTTGGGGTCATCCCATCCCTTGGACAGCATTGAACAAACAATGATAAATGTTCCCTTTTCCACATTACCATAATTCCTTCCAAAGACATCTAATCATACTGTCCTGTCATGAGTTTGTTTTTCCAATAGCAGATCAAAGCCATTTTGCCAGTTCCTCATACAGCAATACTCAAATACGTCTCCAGAAGTAGACAACTGTTAACATTATCTTGGCGAATTTATTAAAGTCCAGAGTCTTGCAGGCTCAACACTGGTTTTGTTTTGTTTTGTTTTGTTTTGTTTGAGACAGAGCCTTGCTCGGTTGCCCAGGCTGGAGTGCAGTGGCGATCTCAGCTCACTGCAACCTCTGTCTCCTGGGTTCAAGCAATTCTTGTGCCTCAGCCTCCTGAGTATCTGGGATTACAGGTGTATGCCACCATGCCAGGCCAATTTTTTTTTTTTTTTTTGGTGGAGACAGGGTTTCACCATGTTGGCTAGCTGGTCTCAAACCCCTGGTCTCAAGCGATTCACCCTCCTCAGCCTCCCAAAATGCTGGGATTACAGGTGTGAGTCATTGCACATGGCCAGGCTCAACATTTTCATTGATCAGTACACTCAGATTAGGTCAAGTTCTCAAGAAGTAGGTTCACAATGACCAAGTTCCTAAAGCTGTTATATAAACCAAAATGCCAGCTGATTACGTTATGAGAACAGTACCAAGAGACTGAACAGTTGCATCCTCCAGTCAATTCATTTAAGTTGTGAAATAACTTGGGAGGAAATAGGAAGAAAATGGACAGGTATTCCTGAGACATATGAGTGCTGTAGAGCCTCCATATGGAAAAAATTGGACATTTTGTAACTAACACAGAGTTCTGGGTGTGGTAAGACACAGGGAATTAGAGGAAGAAGAACAAGCTGACTGGCTATGGTGAGGAAATGAATACATCACAGGGATCGCATATAACTTCGTCAACACACATACGCTTATGTTCCATTCTCAATGGTGTTCATGAAACAAGGTCAAAATTTGGGAGGAAAAGAAGCAAATATAAAGCAAGCTCCTTGTTATTGAGGGTTTGGAGTCCTATTTCTAGGTGTCCAGGAAAAAAATATGTTTGGTGTCTTGTTCAGTTGGAAATTCAGGAAATGACAGACAAAACCACCACCAAGGGCCGGGCACAATGGCTTACGCCTGTAATCCCAGCACTTTGGGAGAATGAGGTAGGCAGATCACTTGAGGTCAGGAGTTCAAGACCAGCCTGGCCAACATGAGACTCTGTCTAAAAAACAAACAAACAAACAAACAACAACAAAACACTAAAACCACCAAGACCTATGAAAGACTCACCAACCTTAGTAAAATAGAAATGAAAAGCATTTGAATATGCTCATCTGCTCACTGGATTTAAGTGAGTTTGAGAGCCCATCGCATAGAGCCCTTCTCAGAGTCTGTCTGGATCCCATACCTTTCCGTTTAAGGTATCAAAGGCTGCCTGAATACCTCAAATGAGCAAATTCTGAAGCTGCCAATGAAGACAGTCAATCCTTTTCCATTCTTCTCAGCCTTCAGGCTCAAGTCCAGGAAAGATTAGGAAAGATTAGAATCAAGGAACCGGGAAGAAATAGAAGTTGAAAAGTGACTTTGGCTTGCTGCATATACACTTTAGTATGTGAGCTCTGAATTAGAGACTATGGTAGGACGCAGTGGCTCACACACCCGTAATCCCAGCACTTTGGGAGCCCGAGGAGGGAGGATCGCTTGAACCCAGGAGTTTAACACCAGCCTGGGCAACATACTGAGATCCCGTCTCTACTAGAAATTTAAAAATTAGCTGAGTGTAGTGGTGCTTGCCTATATCCCCAGCTACTCAGGATGGTGAGGCAGGAGGAACGTTTGAGCCCAGGAGTTCAAGACTACAGCGAACCGTGATTCCATCACAACACTCCAGCCTGGGAGACACAGTGAGGTTCTGTCTCAAATAGATACATAATTAAATAATAGACTAATTTGGAAGCTCTATTAATGACTTTGCAAAAAGGTCTAGTGTATTTGACCAACGGTGGCTAAGTGTACTGAGTATTCACCATTTGCTAGATGAGGATCTAAACTCTACACACTTCCACTCATTCAATCCTCACAATCCATGGGCCACCTGCTATTATGCTTGTCCTCTTTTTTTTTTTTTTTTTTTTGAGACAGAGTCTCGCTCTGCCGCCCAGGCTAGAGTGCAGTGGCGTGATCTCGGCTTACTGCATATGCTAGTCCTCATTTTAAGATGAGGACACTGCAGCATAAAAGGAAACTTGCCCAAGATCATGCTTTGGTAGGGTAGGGAATCAAAGCATAATCGTCTTGACTCTAAAGCTGTGCGTACTCTTTTTTGTAAAAACAATCGCAAACTTACAGAAAAGTTGGAAGCATGAAACAAAGACTTCCCCTGACCTCCAATTATTTGAGAGTAAGTTAGCAACCTGACACCCTGTCTTCCCCAAATATCTTGTGGTGTGTTTTCAACAAACAAGGACATTATCCTACAGAGCCACAATATAACCATCAAAATTAGAAAAATGGGCCAGGTACAGTGGTTCACACTTGTAACCCTAGCACTTTGGGAGGCCGAGGTGGGCAGATCACCTGAGGTCAGGGGTTCAAGACAAGCCTGGCCAACATAGTGAAACCCCATCTCTACTAAAAATACAAAAAGTAGCTGGGCATGGTGGGACATGCCTATAATCCCAGCTACCCGGGAGGCTGAGGCAAGAGAATTGCTTGAACCCAGGAGGTAGAGGCTGCGGTGAGCCAAGATCATGCCACTGCACTCCAGCCTGGGCAACAGAGTGAGACTCCATCTCAAAAAAAAATTTTTTTTAATGAACATTAATACATTTCATTATCTAATCTGCAGACCCCGTTCAATGTTTGCCAACTGTCCCAACGATGCCTTTCATAGCGAAAGAATTTTCTTCACAATCACACATTGCATTTAGTTGTCATGTCTCTAGTCTTTGTCAGTCTGAGATGGTTCTTCAGTTTTTTTCTTGACTTTCATGATTGCCACACTATAAAAGATTGTTAGCCAGTTATCTGGTAGACAATGTCTCCATTTGGGTTTGAAGTTTCTTCACATATAGACTCAGGTTAGCATCTTTGGCAGGAATATCACAGATGGGAGGTTGCATTCTTCTCATTGTGTCCTATCAGGGGGTGTATATTTCAGTTGTTTTCATTTCTAATGGTGTTACGTGGATCACTAAATGAAGATTGTGTTGACCAGCTTTCCCATTGTTTCCCTCTTTGTAATTAATAAGTGTCTTATGGGGAAGTACTTTGAAACTATGTAAATATCCTGCTACTAATTAAACTCAATTTGTTCATTTATTTGGTTCTATCTTATGCAATTAAGGTTTTCTGTTTTATTTAATGGTTTATAATAAGGGTATCCAACCCACAGGCCACAGAGAGAAAGAGAAATACATATGTGTGTATATATATGTATATACTTATATCTGACATGCAAAGCAGTGCTCTGCCCTTGCTTTTTCCCACACTCAGGCTCTGCTTTCTCTTTCTCTCTCTCTTTTCTGTCCATTTAGTCATCTACTACCCTGCCCTCTGAATAGAAAGGCAGCAAGGTGCCTCAGAAAGTTCAACACTCTGGGAGTCAAGAACTTGAGTATTTGGGTGCACTCTGCAACTAATTAGTTAGGGTAGTCAGTGGCTCTTTATAGCACTCTGTCTCATCATCTGTAAAATGACTATAACAGGTGGCAGGAACATTGTAGGAATCAAAATAGATAATCCACATAAGAAATGCATGTGTTTAAAAAACTCCTCCATGGTTATTCTTAATCAAAGATGGCATACTTTTCTTAGAAGTGTCATCAACCTATTTCACATCCCACTCCCTGTATTTATATCCTGATGAGGTACTACTCCTTTGTGCTACCAGGGCCTTCATAAATGATGGATGAATGAAGGGGGGCAAGACTGAAGGCAGAAAGACTACATAGAAGCCTTAGTATGATCCTCCACTCTTCTTTCTCTCACACTCCACATCTCAATCTAGTAGCTCCCTCTTCAAAATATACCCAGAATACCCAATCCGGAATCACACACACGTGAAAATTAGAAAAGTATTTGTATGTCCACCAAAAGAGGAATGGTCGATTATATATATTGTGGTGGGGGGAGGTGGGGAGCAGCATGGAAAAACATTTTAAAAAGAATATGCATGGTGGTACATGCCTAAATGCAGCTTTAAAAAATTATATATATATATAAACGAAAAGAAAAAAACAAAAATTATATATATAAATGGAAAAAACCGACAAGAATTAGTAAATGTAAAAAAAATTATATATTAAGAACCAGAAAGATATACACACTAGTAATGTTACTAGTGGAGGGTGTCCAGGTTCTTGGCGTTTGGAACGAAGAACTGGACAAAACACACAAACAAGGCAAGGAAAAAAATGAAGCAACAAAAGCACAGATTTATTGAAAACAAAAGTACACTCCACAAGGTGGCAGCCCGCAGAGCATAGGGGCTCAACAGGCATGTGCCAGAATTTTTCTGGGGTTTAAACACCCTCTACAGGTTTCCTATTGGTCACTTGGTGTACACCCTATGTAAATGAAGTAGTGGCCCGTAATCGGCCCTAGGTTCCCTTAGGTTGCTTTGTGCAACCAGAGGCTGAAGTGAAGTTACAAAGGTTACACGCTATGCAAGCATCTGATACTTTCAAATTTTTGTCTGCCACGCAGAAGAGGTGATGGAGTTTGTAAAGGGAGTAGCCTCCAGTCCTTTCAGTGGGTCCTTTCCTTACTTAGGTGGGGAAAGGGAAAGTTGGGGTTTTCCTTTTGATTTAGTTCTAGGAAGTCAGCGTGAATCAGTTAGGTTTCCTGCCTCCAGACCCTATTCCTCTGCCTCAGTAACAGTTATTTTCTCTAGGGAGGGAGTGTAATTTCAGAGGCAAAGTATGAATATATTTTGTTAATCATTTGTATTTATTTATTATTTATTTATTTTGAGACAATCTCGCTCAGCCGCCCAGGCTGGAGTGCAGTGGCAATTACCTCTCACTGCAGCATCGAACTCCTGGACTCAAGTGATCCTCCCGCCTCGGCCTCCCAAAATGCTGGGATTACTGGCGTGGAGACTTCAGTTTTAAGTGAGAACGTTTTGCAGTACTTACTTAATATTAAGAAATAAAAACAACTTAGAGTGGGGGGAAAAAAAGCCACTGGATTAGATACGAGTTCTAGTCAACGAAAGTCACTTAAACTCTGTTTTGGCTTCCTCGTCTGGAAGATGAAAATGGTAATATAACTGACTGAGTAGGGTTGCTGTAAGTATGAGTTAGTGTGTAAATGTTTACAATTACGCAGGGCACACAGCAAGCGCCACGTTTTCTATCAGGGCTACTCTCACCTAACGCGTAAAACAGGATGGCATGCCCAGCGGGATCCGGGCCCTGGGTTCTCAGGCATTGTGATTGGTCTCAGCATATGACGCAAGGCGGGCTTCATTAATGAAATTGCTGTCAATTAGCGAAGGGCGGAAACCAGGCGAAGAGGGCGGTCCTTTAGAACCACACTCGCGCGACTGGCTCCTCTCTTTACAGGCTTAGCTACTGCGCATGCCTCTGGCCCTCTTGAGGTCCCGGCGTGCCCCGCAACAGCTTCCGGCGTGCTCCGCAACAGCTTCCGGCGTGACGCAGTAGAAAAGGTGGCGTGGCTGGCGATTCGTGTTCGTGAGGGCCTTTTCTGGTGAGGCGGGGCTTAAGGGTTGTGGCTCTGCTCTCTGTCCTGAGACTTTCAGATTGCACTCTGGGTTCCTGGACGCAAAAACTCGGAGTGGCTGCGTGATGCAGAGTGAACTGGGTCCTCTGGGGACGCGTGGGGAACGTGGCAGTCCGGAGTGCCGGCTTTGTTGCCCTTC
Source organism: Homo sapiens (assembly GCF_000001405.40). NCBI lineage: Eukaryota > Metazoa > Chordata > Mammalia > Primates > Hominidae > Homo > Homo sapiens. The sequence continues at coordinate 3,365,355 of NC_000016.10, forward strand.
GGAGCTCCAGTCCGTTCAGGTTCCCCAGTGAGGCCTCCTTTGAAGGGCTGGGTGCCTTTTGCCCTTCACGCTAAGAAAACACTCGTTTCCTAAAGCTCGATTGCGCCCTTGTGCTGAGCGGTGGGGACACGAAGACAGCACAGAAACGCTGTTTACTTTCAGCGAGCCCCCAGACTGTTGGAGTGGATAAACCCACCAGAAACAAATTACAGCGTTAGGCGGGTTAAGATGGAGCACCCTGAGAGGTTACAGACAGGACCGGAGAGTTCAGAGGATTAGGATGCTTCAAGAAGATGGGGGTAGTGGCGTCATCAATCCTCATCCTGGGGTTTTTGTCTTTGATGGTGCACTCCTTGAGGACATGAAATTTTTCTTCCACATTTCCGATACCTAGGCTCAGGTGCCCTTCCATGGTTGGGAGGGATAGAGACCAGCTGTCTCTCGTGTTTATTATCTATGGAAAGGATGAATTAGGTCTTGGGGACTTCAGGAGGGAAAATTTTGGTGAGCAAAGGCACTAATATGTCCCTAGACCAGGGGTTCTCAACCAGCGCCCCCCTGCCAGAGCACAATTGACACTGTCTGGAGACAGTTTTGTTGTCACTACCGAGGGGTGCTACTGACGTCTAGTGGGTGGAGGCCAGGGATGCAGCTAAACATTCTACAAGGTCCACGGGGTTCCCACCCCACTCCCCATCCCCAAGAACTCAAAAAACGATCTGGCTCAAAATGTCAGTGTGCTGAGGTTCTGAAACCCTACCCTGGAATGACAGCGGAAATGGAGAGACAGCAGATGTTGGAGACATCTCAGCGGAAGACTAGTTTTGTCTCTTTTTTTCTTTTTTTGTTTTTTTGAGACCGTGTCTCGCTCTGTTGCCGAGGCTGGAGTGCAGTGGCGCAATCTCGGCTTCACTGCAAGCTCCGCCTCCCGGGTTCCCGTTATTCTCCCGCCTCAGCCTCCGGAGTAGCTGGGACTACAGGCGCCTGCCATCATACCCGACTAATTTTTTGTTTTTGTATTTTTAGTAGAGACAGGGCTTCACCATGTTAGCCAGGATGGTCTCGATCTCCTGACCTCGTGATTGGCCCGCCTCAGCCTCCCAAAGTGCTGAGATTACAGGCGTGGGCCACCTCGCCCGGCCTCATTTTGTGTTCTTTATAATGCTTAAGTATTTGATGCGCAGTTGGTTAATCAGGTCTGATGAGCCCAGTCTTCCTCTTATTTTTTTCACCCATTCATTTGCCAGATATCTGTTTAGCACTAAACACTATTCAAGATGCTAGAATTCAGCTTTGAGCTGAAAAACCTCACATTCTTGCGGGGGGTGACAGACGTTAAACTTACATGTCAAGTAGTAATATATGCTATGAAGTTCCTGCAAGTTGGGGTTTCTCTTACTACCATCAGGTACCATTTATTTACTTCCGAGTGCCAAGCACTGGACTAGATACTTTACTAATATTTCTACTCTTTTCCTGTGTCCTGCAAAGTGGGTATTATTTATTTATTATTTATTTTTTTTGAGAGGGAGTCTCGCTCTGTCCCCCAGGCTGAACTGCAGTGGCGCAATCTCGGCTCACTGCAACCTCGACTTCCTGGGTCCAAACGATTTTTCTGCCTCATTCTCCCGAGTAGCTGTGTTTACAGGCACCCGCCACCACGCCCTGGTAATCTTTTTTGTATTTTTAGTAAAGACGGGAGTTTCACCATGTTGGCCAGGCTGGTCTCGAACTCCTGACCTCAAATGATCCAGCCGCCTCGGCCTCCCAAAGTACTGGGATTACAGGTGTGAGCCACCGCGCCCAGCCCTGCAAGGTGGCTGTTATTATCTTCAGATGATAAAAAGCAGATCACAGGAGTTGAATAATTTGCCCCAAATCACTTAGTATGGAGTTGAGCTTGGACTCAAACCAGATTCACCTGAAGGATAAAGTCTGTATTATTTCCACTGGTTAACATTGTGTCCCATATACGCAGCTGGACTGAATGGCATGAGAAATCTATACCTTCTTTCCTAGGGTTAAGAAAGTGAAGTAGAAACGAACTGACACTGACCTCATTCTGTTTCCAGAGTAGAGTTTTTATCAGACCTAGCAGGAGGTGATTCTAAAGAGTTGCAGCAACTGAATTAGGAAAATAATTATAAGAGTGTGGTCATGGAAAGTGAGTAGTTCTTCTATAATAGGGGATGTAGCGTCTTGAAGGCCTAACTGAACTGGGTGAGCCATTAAGACATACAGGGTTTATCCTATATCTTAACTTTGACAAAGTTATGTAATGATTTTACTAATATCGAGAAAGTCATACAGGTTATGGGATTGGCTTGAAATCAGTTTCTGGAGGTTCAATTCCTTTTTCGTTTAGGTTTTCACATAGATTGGCTCTTCGAATGTGTGGTAAGGTGGTGGACAGCTGTAAAGTCACTGTTAATTAGTAGATGCTTGTTCAATTGTTAGAACTTTTCGTTTTGAAGCAAAGGCTTCTCAGATTATGAAAATTATTAATATGACTGCTGTTAATGAGATAAATGAGCCTACTGATGAGATAACATTTCATGTGGTGTATGTATCAGGTTAATCAGAGTAACGTCGACGCACACCAACAGGCCGAGGAAGTGCTGTGGGGAAAAGGTTAAATTAACACCTATAAATATAATGATGAAGTGGATTTTAGCATACGTCTGATTAAGTATATAACCTGAAAATAGGGGGAATCAGTGGACAAAGCCTCCTGTGATGGCAAATACCGCTCCTATTGATAGAACATAGTGGAAATGGGCCACACCATAATATATGTCTTGTAAAATAATGTCTAATGATGAATTAGCTAGTATAATGCCAGTTAAACCTCCTACTGTTAATGGGAAAATGAATCCTAGGTGCTCAGAATATTGTGGGAGATCATTTGATACTACTGCCGTGCAGTGTAGCTAATCAGCTAAAGACCTTGACTCCAGTAGGGATAGCAATAATTATAGTGGCGGAGGTGAAGTATGCTCGTGTGTCTACATCCATTCCTACTGTAAATGTATGGTGAGCCCGTATGATAAATCCTAAGAAGCCAGTTGATATTATGGCTCATACTATGCCCATATACTCAAATGGTTCCTTTTTTCCAGAGTAATAGGTTACGATATGGGAGATTATCCCAAAGCCTGGTAGGATAAGGTTATAGACTTCAGGATGACCAAAGAATCAGAATAAATGTTGATACAAAATAGGGTTACCCCTGCCAGCAGGGTCAAAAAAAGTAGTATTGAGGTTACGGTCAGTTAATAATATGGCAATGCCAGCGGCTAGGACTGGGAGAGAAAGGAGGAGAAGGACTGCCAGAATGAGGACTGATCAGATGAAAAGGGGTGGTTGATATTGGGATAAGGCTGGGGGTTTTATGTTAATAACTGTAATAAAGTTAATGGCCGCTAAAATAGAAGAAACACCTGCCAAGTGGAGTGAGAAGATGGTTAGATCCACAGAGGCTCCTGCTAGGTTTCCTGCTAAAGGGGGATAAACTGTCCAGCCGGTTCCAGCGCTGGCTTCTACTACTGAAGATGCAAGTAGGAGTAGAAAAGATGGGGGGAGAAGTCAGAAGCTCATATTATTTATCCGGGGGAATGCCGTATCAGGTGCACCAATCATCAGAGGGACTAGCCAGTTGCCAACACCCCCAAATATGATTGGTATTACCATAAAGACAAATTATGACGAATGTGTGGGCGGTAACAGTAACATCGTAAATCTGATCATCTCCTAGCAGAGTTCCTGGTTGGCCTAATTCTGCTTGAATTAGAAGGCTTAAGGTGGTGCCCGCTATTCCCTCTGATGCGCCGAATACTAAATATAGTATTCTGATGTCTTTGTGGTTAGTTGAAAACAATCAACGATTAATGAACTTAAGTGGGAAAAGGGTAAAATGGCTGAGTAAGCATTAGACTGTAAATCTTTTTTTGTTTGTTTATTTGAGACGGAGTCTTGCTCTGTCCTCAGGCTGGAGTGCAGTGGCTCGATTTCAGCTCACTGCAACCTCCGCCTCCTGGGTTCAAGCGATTCTCCTGTCTCACCCTCCTGAGTAGCTGGGACTATAGGCATTCGCCACCACGTCCAGCTAATTTTTTTATTTTTGGTAGAGACGGGCTTTCACCACGTTGGCCAGGATGGTCTCAATCTCTTGACCTTGTGATCCACGCGCCTTGGCCTCCCAAAGTGCTGGGATTACAGGCGTGAGCCACTGCGCCTGGCTGAATTTATCTTTTTAATTAAGATTGGGATAAGAGCTAGTATGTTCATTTCTAGGCCTGTTCAGATGAGAAATCTATGTGAGCCTAGCATTGTGGTAAGAGTTCCTGTGAAAACAGTAAGGGAAATAATAAGTTGAGCTAATGGGTTTATTAGTACAGTAAGGGTATAACTAACATTTTTGGAGTATGAGCCCGATAGCTTAGTTAGCCAACCTTACTTTAGGACTTGGTGTAATGGGTAGCACAGAGAATTTTGGATTCTCAGGGGTGGGTTCAATTCCTTTCGTCCTAGAAATGAGAGGATTTAAACCTTTATTGTTTACTCTATCAAAGTAATTCTTGTGTCGGACATATTTCCTATATTTGGGGTGGGATGCTGGAAATTAGAATAGGCATTGAGATACATCATATGCAGAGTGCTAGTGTAAGCGGTAGGAAATTTTTTCATAGAAGATATATAAGTTGGTCATAGCGGAATTGGAGATATGCTGTTTGAATTCATAAAAACAGGGTGGTTAAAGAAAGGTCTTGGTAATGAAATTTGTGGTATAGAGTTCTGGTGAATATATAGTGTGTAGTGCTCCTAGAAAAATGGTAATAGTTAAGTCATTTATTACGATAATATTCATATATTCTGCTATAAAGAAGAGGGCAAATGAACCTGTGGCATATTCGATGTTAAAGCCTGAGACTGACTCTGATTCTCCTTCTGTTAGTTCAAAAGGGGCTCGGTTTGTTTCTGCTAGTGTGGAGATAAATCATATTATGGCTAGGGGTTATGATGGTAGAAGCAGTCAGAGGAATTCTTGCGTTGTGATAAATGCATGTAAGTTAAATGAGCCACTTATTAGTAGAACTGATAAAAGGATAATGGCTAGAGTGACTTGATATGAAATTGTCTGGGCTACAGCTTGTAATGTGCCGATTAGTGTGTAATTTGAATTAGATGCTCATCCTGATCATAGGATAGAGTAGATGGCTAGGCTTGATGTGGCTAGTATAAATAGGAGGCCTATATTAAAATTAATTAGAGCATCTGGTATGCGGAGGGGAGTTCACAAGAGGAGAGCGATCAAAACAGCTAGGGTTGGAGCAGTAGTATAAAAGGTAATAGTAGACGCTGAGGGACGTAAGGGTTCTTTGACGAAAAGTTTTATTGCATCAGCGAATGGTTGAAGCAGTCCATGGGGACCTACAATGTTAGGTCCTTTGCGTAATTGTATGTAGCCTAAGAGTTTTCATTCAATGAGTGTAAGGAATACTATAGCGATTAAAGTGGTAATAATAAGTAGGAGAAGATTGATTATAGGCATATTGTTAAGAAGAGGAGTTGAACCTCTGATTTTAAAGTTTTAAGTCTTAGGTAATTGCCGGGGTCTGCCATCTTAAACACTGTTTAAGATGGTAGAGTGTGTGATGATTTGTTAGATTGAGACAGCATCATTTATGGTGGCAAGGGTGCTTTGTGAAATGGGCCCTGCTTCTCTTGTCCTTTTGTACTAGGAGAAATGTTAAATAGTTAGAAACCGACCTGGATTACTCCGATCTGAACTGAGATCACATGGGACTTTAATAGTTGAAAAAACGAACCCTTAATAGCGGCTACACTATTAGGATGTCCTGATCCAGCATTGAAGCTGTAAACCCTGTTGTTGATATGGACCCTAGAATAGGATTGTGCCGTTATCCCTAGGATAACTTATTCCGTTGATCAAATTATTGGGTCAGTGTGTGTTAACTTGCTTAGACTAGTGCGGTCTTAGTTTAGGTAGTTTGGAGGTTGAATTATGCTCTGAAATAAAAGAAAATTTTTATTTTTTTTGTTTTTTATTTATTTATTTTTTAAGACAGAGTCTGGCTCTGTTGCCAGGCTGGAGTGCAGTGGCACGATCTTGGCTCACTGCTATCTCCACCTCCCGGGTTAAAGCCATTCTCCTGCCTCAGTCTCCTGAGTAGCTGGGATTACAGGCACATACCACCACACCCAGCTAATTTTTGTATTTTTAGTAGAGACGGGATTTCACCATATTGGCCGGGATGGTCTCGATCTCCTGACCTCGTGATCTGCCTGTCTCAGCCTCCCAAAGTGCTGGGATTATAGGCGTGAGCCACCACGCCGGGCACCCCAACCAAAATTTTTAATGCAAAGATAGTAGGCTAGGGCCTGTAGGCTTTTTTTGAGTTTCTATTTGCATTAATGAATTAAAGCTCTATAGAGTCTTCTCATCTTATTTGTTTATACTGCCTCTTCATGGATAGGTCAATTTCACTGACTGAAAGTAAGAGACAGCTGAACCCTTGTGTGGCCATTCATACAAGTCCCTATTTAGGGAACAAGTGATTATGCTACCTTTACAATGTCAGGATACCGCAGCTGTTGAACATATGTCACTGGGCAGGCGGTGCCTCTAATACTGGTGAAGCCAGAGGTGATGTTTTTGGTAAACAGGTGGGGTAAGATTTCCCGAGTTCCTTATACTTTTTGTAATCTTTCCTTAGAGCATACCTGTGTTGGATTAATGGTATAAATAATAGGGTATTTATTCTTTATTAATATTAGGCTGTTAACTATCAGTGGATTCTGGTTTGATATAAGCTTATGCAATGGAGAATGTCTTCGTGTTACTAATATTAACATTATTGCTTCTATTAAGTAATAGATTAGTCTAATGTAATGTTAGGAGTTCAATAGAGTGATTAGGATTTAAAATAATTGGATGTTGAGCTTGAAAGCTTTCTTTTTTTCTTTTTTCTTTTTTTTTTGAGACGGAGTTTCGCTTTTGTTGTCCAGGCTGGAGTGCAGTGACGCAATCTTGGCTCACTGCAACCTCCGAGTCCCGGGTTCAAGCGATTCTCCTGCCTCAGTCTCCCGAGTAGCTGGGATCACAGGCATGCACCACCATGCCTGGCTAATTTTGTATTTTTAGTAGAGATGGAGTTTCTCCATGTTGGTCAGGCTGGTCTCAATCTGCTGACCTCAGATGATCTGCCCACCTCGGTCTCCCAAAGTGCTGGGATTACAGGTGTGAGCCACCGCACCTGGCCTTGAATGCTTTCTTAATCGGTAGCTGCTTTTGGGCCAACTACGGTGGTAATATTTTTTACTCTCTGGAGGAAGGTTATTTCCTAGGGTCTAAACAGCTGTCCCAAAGAGGGACAATATTAAGGATGGGAGATTTGTCTCCTGTAAAATGCATCCTTTCTCCTCTGCAGGTTATGTTCACCTGGTCCTACTCTGAATGAGAATCTGCTGGTTTTTGAAAGGCCTGCTCTGTGATGGAGGGATTGCAATGCCCAGCAAGGTGTGGGCACTTTAGTTAAGTCCTCAGTGTCTGAGTCACACCTCTCCCCCAGACAGATCAATACAGCTGGCTTTCTGCTCGAGAGACGGCCAGAGGCCAGGCGCAGTGGCTCACGCCTGTAATCCCAGCACTTTGGGAGGCCCAGGCAGGTGGATCACGAGGTCAGGAGTTTGAGACCAGCCTGACCAACATGGTGAAACCCCGTCTCTACTGAAAATACAAAAATTAGCCGGGTGTGGGTGGCGCGTGCCTGTAATCCTAGCTACTCAGGAGACTGAGGCAGGAGAATCGCTTGAATCCGGGAGGCGGAGGTTGCAGTGAGCCGAGATCGCACCGCTATACTCCAGCCTGGGTGACAGAGTGAGACTCCATCTCAAAAAAAAAAAAAAAAAAAAGAGAGAGAGGGAGGGGGCCAAAGTGGGACCAGCTTGGGGCTGGGTACTGTGCTGCACGGTGTGACAGCTGTGGATCTGGGGTGGGAGCAGCCACAGACCTTCCTGCACTGCCCTAAGCCAACAGGACCCTGATGTGCTCTGTGTCCCTGGCAGCTGTGGTGCTGAGACCTTGACTGTCGAGGGGGTTTGGTTTACAGATTATTTTGTCACCGAGGTAATGAGCATAGTATCCAATAGGTAGTTTTCCAGTCCTCACCCTCCTCCCACTCTCTACCCTCTAGTAGGCCCCAGTGTCTGCTGTTCCCCTCTTTGTATCCATGTGTACTTCTAAGCTCCCGGTTACAAGTGAGAACACGTGTTATTTGGGTTTCTCTTCCATTGTTAATTCGCTTAAAATAATGGCCTCCAGCTCCATCCATGTTGGTGCAAAGGACATGATTTAATTCTTTTTTATGGTGGTGTAGTATCCCATGGTGTATATGTATGACATTTTGTTTATCTACTTCACCATTGATGGGCATCTAGATTGATTCCATGTCTTTGCTATTGTGAATAGCGCTACAATGAACATATGTGTGCGTGTGTCTTTTTGGTAGAACGATTATTCCTTTGGCTGTATGCCCAGTAATGGGATTGCTGGGTTGAATGGTAGCTCTAAGTTCTTTGAGAAATCTCCAAACTGATTTCCACAGTGGCTGAACTAATGTACATTCCCACCAGCAGTGTATAAGCATTCCCTTTTCTCTGCATCCTCACCAGCATCTGTCATTTTTTGACATTTTAGTAATAGCCATTCTGACTGCTTTGAGATGGTATCTCATGGGGATTTTGATTTGCATTTCTCTTATGATTAGTGATGAGTATTTTTTCACGTGCTTCTTGGCCACATGAATATCTGACTGCTCTTCTAATTCTGTTCTGCTCAGCTGCACTTGCCCCGCTCCACGTTCAAGTGTTTAGCTCTGGCTTTCAGGAATCTCTGTTACCATACCTCTGCTCTCTGAGCCCATACAGGGATTTCTGAAGGGATGAGGTAGGGTGTCAGTGATAGGGTTTTTTTTTCTCTGGGATTATGGGGGGAGTTGCCAAGCTCCTATTAGAGCCAATGAAGCCCCCTTCCTCAGGGACTTTCCCAAGAGAAGAGCCAGAGCTCATACTCAGGACCATTCAGACCATAAGGCCTTATAGAGGAACCCAGTGACTCCAAGAAATGGTGAGACACAAAAGAGTCTCAGGCTGGAAGGGGAAGAATCCAGGGATGAGAGCTCATCAGTGCCTGTGACATCATAGACATGACCGTACAGTTCTGTCATGACCAGAATTGGGGGAAAGAAGCAGGTGAAATGGTGGTGCAGCTGCCAGACTGAGACAGCTCAGTTCCTTATCTAAGCTTTGTCATGTCCTCCAGTCCTCCCTTCAGAAAGGCCCATATTCCATGATAGCCCCTAGAAGGGTCATGTCTTGGTGTTTTACACAGAACTCTTTGGGTTTCTCCATTAACTTAGCTACTGTGCCCAGCAGCCACCAGAGGCCCCAGAAGAAGAAACCAGCAGGGGATCTGGCTGCCTGGGTTCCTCGGGGGTGGTCTCACCATCAGGGGTGGGTGAGACCACCACAGCCACACTGTGAAAGTTTCAGAGTTTTCACTACTTACAGATCCTCAAGATAGGCAGGGTGACCAGAGAGAGGCAGACAGCAGTCCTCAGTTCCAGGTCTTATGTAGTGACAGCAGCTGCACACTTGTGGGAGAGGACTTCTGTTAAAGGCTTATTTGGGGGTAGGATGTCCTAATTTCATGGAATTACTTTCCACTGAGTCCTTCAACCACTTCTAGCACCAAAGGTAGTTGAGCAGTTTGGCATGAGGCTGGAGTTAAAACAGGGCTCTGCAGAGCAACTTCTTGTCTATCTTGGTCAGCCCTTGCCAGGCAACAATCAACTGTGGTTTCTTCATTACTCCTCAGACACTTGGGACATTCATGGTGACCTATTGGCACCCAAGGAAGAGAACCTGATTTTAATTTGGACTGATAAGCAAGTTTTCTGAACAGGTTTATAGGGATTAGTTTAGTCTGGACAGAGTGAGCCGGAATCAAAAGATACTGTTAATACCAGAGGACTAGAAGATCCCATGTGGAGATGTCAGGTGGCTTAGCCATTGAGAAAGAATGACAGTAGATCTGAAATGGTCCAGAGCCCAGATATTCAACAAAGGCTAAGAGCCAAGGTGAGAGGGTAAAGGGAAGGTGTGAACGAACGGGTGAAGCCCCACTGTGTGCTTGGCCAGCCCCACAGAGCTCTCTGCTGGTGCTTGGGGGTATGAATTCTACTTCTGACATGTCAATTTATGTCACCATCTCCTGTGCCTGGGTCTAAAGTCTTGACTTGTAAAAGAAAAAAAAACCAACTGGGGATTCCAACAGACACTACCTTGATGGTAGGTAAGCGGGGCTGGGTAACAAGTGAGATCTCTGATTCCTTCCTTCCTTCCTTCTCTCTCCCCTTTTCTTTTCTTTTCTTTTTTCCTTCCTTCCCTCTCTCCCTTTCCTTTCCTTCCTTCCTCCCCCTCCCTCCTTCCCTTTCCTCCTTCCTTCCTTCTTTCTTTCCTTCCTTCCCCTCCCTCCTTTCCTTCCTCCCTTCCTCCCTTCCTTTCTCCCTCCCTTCCTTCCTCCCTTCCTTTCCTTTCTTTCCTTTCTTTCTGACAGACTCTTACTCTGTCCCCAGGCTGGAGTGCAGTGGCGTGATCTCAGCTCACTGCAACCTCCGCCTCCCAGATTCAAGCGATTCTCCGGCCTCAGCCTCCTGAGTAGCTGGAATTACAGGCGCACGCCAACAGGCCCAGCTAATTTTTGTATTTTTAGTAGAGATGGGTTTTCACCATGTTGACCAGGCTGGTCTCAAACTCCTGACCCCAGGTGATCTGCCTGCCTTGGCCTCCCAAAGTGGTGGGATTACAGGCTTGAGCCATCACGCCTAGCTCTTTCTTTCTTTTTAAATGGGTCTCTTTTTGCCTTTTCTACCTTTAGACTGTAAAAACTGAGTGAAAGTGAAATGGAAGTAATGAAAGGTTTTGGAATTGATTTGACCTATGTTCAAAATCTAGCTCCTCTCCCTTGGGGCAGTGACCAGGTCTTCCATATCTCTCTTTGCCTGGCACATTATAAACATACCTGGGCAAAATAAATATCAGTTTTATCATACTGTATTTAATGAACAAATGAACTCACTGACCGACTGAAGAATATGGTGTTGGGAGAGTTGTAGATGTAGCCATCAGTAATGCCTGTTGGAGGTTGTTTGGCGCTTGTTTATCCTGCCTGGTAAAACTCAAGACATATCCAGTAATAGCTGGCATATGTGAAGCTTTTACAGTGTGGTTGGTTACATGTAAATGGCTTCCACACATGAAAGCACTTAACCCTTTAAACCCCTCTGAGAGGTAGACATTGTCATCACTGACTGTAAGATGAAGAGGCTGGGCTCAGAAAGGTTAAGTACTTGTGTACTTACTTACCTACTTACGTAAGTGTCCAAAGACACACAGCAATAGGTTATAACAAAATTAGAAGTTAAACCCGGTTTGTCTCACTCCAAAGCCCTCACTACAGCACCATACTAACACTTTTTGTTGGAATCTGCAGAGCTGGAGGTTCATTCGTTGTCTGATACTGACCTTAGGCCCCAGTGTCCTCTCTCTCTAAGAAAGGGGTTCATGTCTCTCAAACAGGCATAAGCACACAAAAGCACTTGGAAAACTGCCCCAGACTGACAAATCAGAATCTCTGGTGGTGGCATCTAGGAATCCTCATTTAAGAGAAATTACAGATGAGGGGAAAATGTCCAGCTCTTTCATTTAGTCACTGTGCAAGTCACCTAACCTAGGAGGGCAGGTATGAATTGGGGCTACCAGGAAACCAAGACTTTACTTACAAATCTCCATAAATCTTAAATCTATGAAAAACTCCAGACTTGCTCCTGGAATGGCCAACTGTAAGGGTAGTGGCTGAGCTGCTGCAGGAGTACAGCTTCCTCCAGATGCCACACAGGTCAACACCAAGTTCACAGCTTTCAGGCTGACTACGATGGGGAATGGTGGGGCCGCTTGCTAGAGTCCCATATTCTCTGTAAGTGAAGAACACTCAGTCCTTCTCTTGGTCTCTACCCAGAAACCAAGTTACGGTTGAGTCTATTTCCAGGACTGTGAGGAGCCAAGGATTCTGCCTGTGATGAAGTCAGCTATGAAATGGGTGCGTTTTTGTGCCAGGATCCCAGAAGTTCTGGGCTGTTTCCAGACTGAACTCACAAGAGAAGCAGCAGAGAGGTAGCCAGAGGAAAGGTGAATGAGGCGCCCAGCTCTTGTTTGGCTCTGACCGTCTGACAGCCACTGTCAGCTGAGAGGAGCCATGGTAGAACTATGGACCAGTGACGGCCAGTAGGCTCTGCCCAACTTCTCTGGGTTGTAGCGAGACGATTGATCCAGTCTACAGGGACTGGTTAGGAATCTTTGGAAAAAAGGAATAGTGTCAATTGAAAAAAAATTATATCAACTAGTTAAAATGTTTCAGTGAGGGAAGGAGGTATGGAAACAGTGTAGAGAGCCCACTGTGTAACTTACCAGGGAATGACCTGGTTTTTTAATGGGCCTCTGAAGGGCTGCACCAATCCTGGAGGGTAGTATTAGACATAAGAGGAAATCTGTAGACTTGGGGTCTTGCCTTTTGTACAACATACTTCCAATACATTCTCAAGTGGTTAGTGTTGTATTGGGCTTGTTAAGCAATGGAAAGTCAAATAGTGAGGGCCTGTGGTCAATTGACTGAGAGAAACAGCCCTGAACTGTCATTCTGAGTGTACCCTCCTGGTGGAAGGTATGCACTAGGGTGCTGAAGAAACAAAGACCTTCCTCACCATCCTTGATAAACAGCAGTTTAGTGAAAATACCTAACCTGGTACTGATAATGCAAGGTGCCCAAAACAATAGCTGTGCAGCCTGAGGAGCTGGGTTATTTGCACATCCAGAGCTGTGTCACAGCAAGTTGAAGTGTCTCCAGATGAACGTCACAAGGAGAGCAGCAGCCATGTGCCAAAGCCCTGTCCCCTCCATGAAGAAATGGACCAGAGGACATTGAGGAGCCAACCTGGCTGGACTCCTAGCCCCCAAGACCCAGCCCAAAAGCTAAGTGGTAGTAAACATTCCCTCCTAGAAGAGTTACATAAAAGACTTAGTAAGAAGAGAGCCCTCTGCACCCTGGGAAACCTGGATTATAATTCTGTCTTTACTGTGGATTGAGCCAAAGACTGTTGTGTGCCCATCCTTCCTCCCTCTAAGAAGTATTTCCATTTCTAGAAGAGAGATGATAATCTACTCTCCCTCTCAAAGATACCACTTAGAGGGCCTGCTTTCCATGTGGGGTTGTATCTCTCCTTTCTTTCTGTGAGTTACTTTTCCCTCTCTGACCTCCACTTATTTGAGTTTCACCCATTGACCCAGATAATAATAGGAAATCCCTAGTAATAGACATAGATGAGAACTCTCTCCTTCACCTCCATAACTAATCTATCACCGCTACATTATGTTGACTATGCGCCCAAAATGTACAAAACCCATCCACTTTTTTCTGTATCCACTGCCATCACTAGACTAGACAACTGAGTTTCTAGACCTCACAGCTAAGAAAGTCTTACCTGGTCTCTTTGCTAGCACTTTTTTTTTTTTTTTTTTTGAGATGGAGTCTCACTCTTTTGCCCAGGCTGGAGTATAGTGACCTGATCTCGGCTCACCGCAAGCTCTGCCTCCCGGGTTCACGCCATTCTCCTGCCTCAGCCTCCCGAGTAGCTGGGACTACAGGCACCCACCACCATGCCCAGCTAACTTTTTGTATTTTTAGTAGAGACAGGTTTCACCCTGTTAGCCAGGGTGGTATCGATCTCCTGACCTCATGATCCGCCCGCCTCAGCCTCCCCAAGTGCTGGGATTACAGGCGTGAGCCACCGCGCCCTGCCCCTTGCTACCACTTTTAGCTCTTCTGACCTATTCTCCACACAGCAGCCAGAATAAGAGAATTGTGTCTTTCCCTGCCTAATTATTCAGTGGCTTCCCATTATACTTATCATAAAATCCAAACTCTTAGCATCACATGTGATAATAAAGTCCAGTCAGGAAAACAGAAACCATTCTTGATGTTTCAAAGAGGGGACTTAATGTAAAGAATTTGTAAAGTGGGTGTGGTAGAATTGAAAAAAAAAGTGTAAAGGGAAAACTGCAGTGACAGAGATAGTAACTGTAGGAAACAGCTACCACACATGGGGTCTGGATAGAGAAAGGGTTGGGTTTACCAGACCTTGGAAGCTTGGAAGAGAGGCCCCGCAGAGCTGGGACTTGGATTTGGCGAGGGTGCTGGGGGTTGGGAGCTGGGAGCTGGGCAGTGTTGCCTGACTGGTGCTGATACCTCTGAAGAGTCCAATGAGGCTGCTTCTGGAAGAAGCTTTGTTCACTGCTTTTTTTTTCCGCTTAACATGGGGAATCTTGCACGCTGGAGTGCAGTGGTGTGATCTTGGCTTACTGTAACCTCTGCCTCCTGGGCTCAAGCCATCCTCCCACCTCAGCCTTTCGAATAGCTGCAAGCACGTACCACCACTCCAGGCTAATTTTTTATATTTTTTTGTAGAGATGGGGCTTTGCCATGTTGCCCAGGCTGGTCTCAAACTTCTGAGCTCAAGCGATCGGCCCACCTCAGCCTCCCAAAGTGCTGGGATGACAGGTGTGAGCCACCACCCCTGGCCCTGTTCACTGCTTTATATTTGGCTCCAGTACCTCATATATTATAGGCAATCACATGTTTCCGGAATAAATGAATGGATTCTCCCAACCCTTACCTGTCTACTTCAGGTCATCTAGAGTGGCTGACAGGCATGGATTGGAGACTCTAACGGTACTTGTTTTCATTTTTCTGCCCAGCAGACTAGAGGACAAAGCAGCCTGGAGGGCAGAGGCAACCTAAACATGCAAGGAGTTCAACAGTTGTACCCCCATTTACCTGGCCACGGTAGGCCCAGGAATGGGAGGAGCCTACTAGTGAGGCCCCGAAGTGTCTCACTTTCCTTATCTCTTCCGTTGACTTGCACTGGCTCTCCTCATTTATCCAGCCACCTTCTCTGAGCTGATAATCCAAAGCCCATCAGTAACTAGTCCACTCCTGTCTCCTCTTCTCCACCATGAATCACCAATGAAGTCATGGTGTCCCAAATAGGTCACATTCCAGCCCACCTCTTTGTCGAGGCCCTTTGAAGATGTTTTTTTCTGAGTTGAGCAGAGGCTGTGAAATATGTGACTTTCGGAGCTGTCCTGCAGAGCTTCTCCTTAGGGGCATGGTCGAGGACAGCAAATGCAGAGAGAAGCAGTGGCCCAGGCAGAGCTCAATAAAGAAACAAAAGTATATTCTCCTCTTCTGCCTTTGCTTCTCCTTCGTCCCCTTAAATTCTTTTTCTTCTGGATTTGAGGTAGAAAGCACATTCTCCTTTGCTCATATTTAACTTTTCTCACTTAGAAAAAAAGTGAAGCTCGCTGCCAGCACTCATTTAATTTCATATAAACATGCTCTCTGAGGGTGAAGCAAATGTGACTGATTTTCAATGTGAAAATAAAATATAAAAACTGTTCTTGGAGTTATTTCTAAACAGAAATAACATTAGAATTGCCTGAATCATCAGAATTGTCTTTCAGAAAAATCAGATTCATCAAATAGATCTTTGGCTTACAACTGTTAGAGAATGATGTTATCATATGTAAGAATGCTATGTTTTCTAGGATTTGACATTTTCAGCGATTGAGAATTACTGTATTTTGTAAAAGGAAATACCACTACTAAATGCTGTAAATAGAATGATGTCTTTTGTTTCCAAAGTTGATATACTAGAGCAATGCGAAAATAATAAAAGAGAGATGGCCAGGAGCAGTGGCTCACACCTGTAATCCCAACACTTTGGGATGCTGAGGCAGGAGGATCACTTGAGGCCAGTTCAAGACCAGCCTGGTCAACATGGCAAAACCCTGTTAGTTGGGCATGGTGGTGCAGGCCTGTAGTCACAGCTACTTGGGAGGCTGAGGCACGAGAATTGCTTTAACCTGGAATGCAGAGGTTGCAGTGACCTGAGATCGCACCACTGCACTCCAGTCTGGGCGACAGAGAGAGACCCTGTCTCAAAAAATAATAAAAGCAAGCTATTTTGTAGCAAAGTTATCTCAGGGTAAACACTGCAGCTGCCAGTGCTGCTGGCAAGTATTCTTGGGGCAAATGCTTAACTTTTCAAAAAGCTCAAGAGACCATGATGCTTGTTTTGCACCATACCTTAGAAAACGTCCTACTACCTTGTGTGCACCAGCCAACAACCATAGACAAATGTACCTATCTTCTACCACTTTTTATCCATGGCAATTTCATAAAAGTTTAACTATCTGTGACTCATCACAGATGAATTTTAAGTTTAGTTCCTAGTGTTTCTCATATCCATCCTTCCTTTCACCTACCATTCTCATCTACTAAACTCTTCAGGAGTCAGAATCTCTTGATGAACCTTGTTTTTCCCTTGTTTCTGTGATCTTCCCTCTCATGATGGCACAAACCCTTCCCAATCCAATTAATTCCCTCTTCCCCATTTCCTACCCCTATTCCTTCTCTGCATGTCCTACTGCCCTGAAGCAGGCTCTACACTTACATACATCATTTTCAGGACCCTGCAGGCTTCTGCACGAGTATAGTTTCTGATGGAGAAAATTACAACCAAAGGCCAAGGAAGTGGAGGGAGAAACAACTTTATTTTCATCAGAAATTAGTAATGTTTATAAATTTGTTTATAGTAGTTTGTAAATTATTATCAGAAATAGTAATGTCTATAAACCACTTACTTTAAGAGACAATCAGGAACTATGATGAGGGCAATAATAAAAGGAGAAATCTTACAAAAAATTAACCTGGATGTTGTGCTTGCTCTAAGGTTAAGTCACTTAGGGAAACAGATTCAGTATTATCCAATGGCTTAACCATCCTTCCTTCTTTCTGTTTGCTTTTTGGTGGTGGCTGGGTTACAAAGAGCAGTGTCTTCTGCCCTGAAGGTAGCAGTATTACGGTGGGTGCCTAGAGGTCAATTATTGGTTTAGAAGAGATTCAGGCCCTTAACTTTTACATGTGCTTTCCAGGAAAGGAGACACTTTCTTTCTCAGCCCTGTGTGAGGACTATGTTAGCCCAGAAAGTGTTCTTGGACCACTGGGTGCCCATTCTCAGTGCTAGGAACAGGAAGACCCTGGTTTCCTGGTAGAATTTATGGATCCTACAGCTTTCTCTCCATCAAACTTTAAGTCACAGTAAGATAGGACTCTGGAGTCACAGGCACAGCCAGGAGAGGTCAGCGTCCTTATGCTGACTCCTGGTCCTAGACATGGGTCTTAAGATCCAGTAGTCAGTAGGTCTGTTGCAAAGTCAGGGACTGGCTAGATCTCTCCACAGCAGAAGAAAGCTCATACATGCTGACCTGAGGAACTTAATCTGACAGTTTACCGACACACTCATAACGCATCTCTTCCTTCCTGTGATGAGAGTACTGCTTTCATGTGTACTGTCTGATGACGGGTGAGGGCAGAGTTCTTAGTGAAGCCTCTCTCACAGTGAGAACACCTGTAAGGCTTTTCACCAGTGTGGGTTTTTCGGTGGGCACTGAAGTGGGAGCTATTGTTGAAGATTTTCCCACACACTGCACACTTGTATGGGCTCTCCCCAGTGTGGATGCGCCGGTGAGCACTGAACTGGGAACTGTTGTTGAATCTCTTTCCACAGACAATGCACTGGTAAGGCTTTTCCCCGGTATGGGTCCTCTGGTGGACAATGAGGCTGGAACTCTGGTTGAAGCTTTTCCCACATTGCCCACACTGATAGGGCCTCTCCCCTGTGTGAGTTCGTAGGTGGGCAGTGAGGTTGGAGCGCTCACTAAAGCCCTTCCCGCACTCACTGCACTTGTGAGGCTTCTCGCCTGTGTGGATTCTTTGATGCCGAACAAGATAAGAACTTCGGCTAAAGGTTTTCCCACATTCAGGACATTGAGATACTTTTTCCAGTTTGAGCGCTGGCTTGTGGGGAGAGTGCACACTCTGAGAGCAGTTTTTCCCACAGAGGATATGTGTACAGGCTTTGTCCCTGGCACAAAAACTCTGGTGACTCATCTTCTCCTGGGATGGGGTTTTCTCCTCACTCTCCCCTGGAGAATTTCTACATTGCCTTCTTGATGTTGGCTCACTCTCCAAGCCTTTTTGTAGCTCAGAGTGCCAATAAACTCCTCTGGACTTTCTCTGTAAAGCCTTGTTTATTTCTACTTCCTCTGAATCATCCCATTTTAGATTTTCTTTTTTAATCTCGTTCTTGAACTCAAAACCTGAAAAAAAAAAACCCCACAGAAATACAATGGACTATAGAGAAGGAAAACAATGGAATGCAAAGTTATAACTATACTACGTAGAAGAAATATCTAATTGAAATTCTTCATGTGATTAAGTCTCCTGCTAATTAATAGCTTTTTATTTTCTCATTGTAATATTTTTGAGCTCCAAATTATTACAGGAAAATTATGCCCTAAACTCCAACTTTTCTCCTATCTTTTTTCGGATGTTCTGACACAATGACAAACTGAGGCAAGACATTAAGCACTATATCATCTGCCAGTCTGTTTATAGGTGTACCCTCAATTCTTGAATGTTCTAACTTCTAGCAGCAGAATAACAAAAGGCAACCCTGGGCTTGGCCAGCTCAAACAGGAAGAAAGCAAGGTGCTAAGTACCCAGCCAGCATAGGCTCAGGCTGTGAAAGGCAAGGCCATGCTAGAGAAAAAGGGAGAAGATGGACCTGGTCTGGAGGCCTAACCAGCAGTCTGACAATGCATAGTGAAACTCCATGGGAAAAGATGACATGAACTTAGTTGAAAGAGGTTGGCAAATGCAAAATCAGGGCTGTAAAATGCAAGGGGAATAACCTTTAACTCCATGAAAACCAAAACTTGGATAGGGTCACACATCAAGATGATGATGATGCCAGGATCAGTGACAGCTCCTACTCAACTGCTAGGCTAATGGCCTCTAAAGTGGACTTTGCCATCCTTTGACCATCAGAGCCAAGGGAGTCTTACCAAGTCTGTTTGGGAACAGCACTGGCAGGTCTAGTTTCCTGACTTCCTGGCCAGGATTCCTGAAGTCCTTTTCATCCCTGTCTGCACCATCCACAGTGCCATCTTCTACCTCCGTGGGTTCCCCATTCTGGTGATTCAGCTCTCCAGCCTCAATATCACTTCCTTCTTGGCCAGGAACAGCATCGCTTGCCATAGGAGGTGCAGAGGCCCAGGAGCCTGAAAGAGCATTCATTTCCTCATAAAAGATACAAGGCTCAGGCACACGGCCTCTCCTCACTTTGCGGTAACTCAACTGTAGGCTTTTGAACTTGGTGCGACACTGTTCTGGGGTCCGCAGAAAACCCTGCTCCCAGAGTCCTTCCGCCATGGCCCTGTAGATCTGGCTGTTCTGCTGACAGGTCTGGAGTTTTCCATAAAATTGAGAACTACTAAGAATAGCCAGGAGCGTCTTGGTCTCTTCATAGCCCCAGGGCACACCTGTTGCTGGGGGACAAAGAATAGGTCAATTAGATCTGTCAGTTAGATCATGGAGGACTGTACATACTGCAGTGTGCAGTTTTGGCAGCTTAAAAAGTTACATCCTAGGCTGGATGCGGTGGCTCACACCTGTAATCCCAGCACTTTGGGAGGCCAAGGCGGGCAGATCATGAGGTCAAGAGATCGAGACCATCCTGGCCAACATGGTGAAACCCCGTCTCTACTAAAAATACAACAAAAAATAGCTGGGTGTGGTGCCGTGTGCCTGTAGTCCCAGCTACTCAGGAGGCTGAGGAAGAAGAATCACTTGAACCCAGGAGGCAGAGGTTGCAGTGAGCTGAGATTGTGCCACTGCACTCCAGCCTGATGACAGAGAGAGAATGCCATGCTCATGGGTAGGAAAAATCAATATCGTGAAAATGGCCATACTGCTCAAGGTAATTTATAGATTCAATGCCATCCCCATCAAGCTACCAATGACTTTCTTCACAGAATTGGAAAAAACTACTTTAAAGTTTATATGGAACCAAAAAAGAGCCCGCATTGCCAAGTCAATCCTAAGCCAAAAGAACAAAGCTGGAGGCATCACGCTACCTGACTTCAAACTATACTACAAGGCTACAGTAACCAAAACAGCATGGTACTGGTACAAAAACAGAGAAATAGACCAATGGAACAGCACAGAGCCCTCAGAAATAATGCCGCATATCTACAACCATCTGATCTTTGACAAACCTGACAAAAACAAGCAATGGGGAAAGGATTCCCTATTTAATAAATGGTGCTGGGAAACCTGGCTAGCCATATGTAGAAAGCTGAAACTGGATCCCTTCCTTACACCTTATACAAAAATTAATTCAAGAAGGATTAAAGACTTAAACGTTAGACCTAAAACCATAAAAACCCTAGAAGAAAACCTAGGCATTACCATTCAGGACATAGGCATGGGCAAGGACTTCATGTCTAAAACACCAAAAGCAATGGCAACCAAAGCCAAAATTGACAAATGGGATCTAATTAAACCAAAGAGCTTCTGCACAGCAAAAGAAACTACCATCAGAGTGAACAGGCAACCTACAGAATGGGAGAAAATTTTTGCAATCTACTCATCTGACAAAGGGCTAATATCCAGAATCTACAATGAACTCTAACAAATTTACAAGAAAAAAACAACCCCATCAAAAAGTGGGCAAAGGATATGAACAGACACTTCTCAAAAGAAGACATTTATGCAGCCAAAAGACACATGAAAAAATGCTCATCATCACTGGCCATCAGAGAAATGCAAATCAAAACTACAATGAGATACCATCTCACACCAGTTAGAATGGCAATCATTAAAAAGTCAGGAAACAACAGGTGCTGGAGAGGATGTGGAGAAATAGGAACACTTTTACACTGTTGGTGGGACTGTAAACTAGTTCAACCATTGTGGAAGTCAGTGTCGCGATTCCTCAGGGATCTAGAACCAGAAATACCATTTGACCCAGCAATCCCATTACTAGGTGTATACCCAAAGGATTATAAATCATGCTGCTATAAAGACACATGCACACGTATGTTTATTGCGGCACTATTCACAACAGCAAAGACTTGGAACCAAGCCAAATGTCCAACAATGATAGACTGGATTAAGAAAATGTGGCATGTATACACCATGGAATACTATGCAACCATAAAAAATGATGAGTTCATGTCCTTTGTAGGGACATGGATGAAGCTGGAAACCATCATTCTCAGCAAACTATTGCGAGGACAAAAAACCAAATACCACATGTTGTCACTCATAGGTTGTAACTGAACAGTGAGAACACATGGACACAGGTAGGGGAACATCACACACGGAGGCCTGTTGTGGGGTGGGGAGAGAGGGGAGGGATAGCATTTGGAGATATACCTAATGTTAAATGACGAGTTCATGGGTGCAGCACACCAACATGGCACATGTATACATATGTAACTAACCTGCACTTTGTGCACATGTACCTTAAAGCTTAAAGTATAAAAAAAAAAAAAAAAAAAGTTACATCCTGGTTTCTCAAACCGTGCCACAACTGGCTATTGTTATTTCTAGGAAGAAATCTCACTGTGGCTTTTTGTCTAAAACATGAAAACTTTTAGTATAATACAAAAGACATTCCCTCCACTGATAATGACTTATAGGGTTATTTACTAAAGCTGCCTATTTAATTTCTCGTTAATTATCCTCAATCCTACTCATTCCTCCTGGAGAGGTGGCTGGCAATAAGGGTAGTGGCTTGCCTGCCTTGACAGTTGTGGGACTTCCTGAGGGTGGCCACATAAGAGGACACAGTGAACAGGTGATACTCAAGGAAAGCAAAGATTCAGGGGACAGAGGAGCTGGTTGTAACGATATATCTGCCTGTTCCCTCCCTGATACAGGA
Organism: Homo sapiens; assembly: GCF_000001405.40. Lineage (NCBI taxonomy): Eukaryota > Metazoa > Chordata > Mammalia > Primates > Hominidae > Homo > Homo sapiens. The sequence continues at coordinate 3,387,341 of NC_000016.10, forward strand.
ATACCTCCTCAGCCAGCCCATCTCTATCTGTTTATATCTCCTGTCATCCTTGTAGATACAGGAAACTAAATGACAGCAGTTAACACACCAAGGTAAGAATAAGTAGTAAACATCTGAGAAGAGCAGTTCAGGATGGCTGGCTACTAAATAACCCTCACCACACACACCTGCTGCCCATCTGGGCCAGTTCATGAGGACCGATTTGACTAGAGCTGTCCCAGCAAGTGCATTCCAACATCTGGTCATGATGCTCTGAAGCGCACCAGCCTCTTCTTGTCACCCCCTCTTCTCCACACTGAGCCACCATCACCTCATGCCTGGATCACTGCCATAGCCTATCTGGTCTTCTTGCTTCCACTCTGGACCTTCTACGGTCTACTTTCAACCCAACAGCCAGAGGGAGTCCCCTCCTTTGTTATTCAATTTAACTAACACTGAGTGCCTACAATGCCAGTTTCTGAGAAATATAAATATTACATGAACCCTGCCTTCAAGGAGGTCACAGTCCTATAGAAGTCTCTCCAGCAAAAAGAGACACAAATAAATGTTTACGTAGAGTTAAGTGCCAAATAAAGTGACATACTCAAAGTGGTCCTTTTAAAACTATTACTCCTCTGCCCAGAACCGCACAAGGCTCCCCCATTTCACTCAGAAGAAAAAAGTCCTTCATGTAGGGCCTCATGATCCCATATTAGTACTTCTCAAATTATCTATGAAGGACAGGAGTCTTGTGCTTATTTCTTTTGTAAAATACAATAAAAATGCAACCGAATAGTGCAGCAGTGTCAAATTGTTATAAAAGTTTCTAATTGCTCCCTCTCAGTCTCAGCTAGCAGCACTCATTTGATCTGGCTTTCTGAGCTCGTTTTCTCATTACTCATGGGTGTACTCTGTGCCAGTGAACTGGCATGCCCACCTCGCTCCAGCCCAAGTCATTGCGTCTGTCTTACACTCTTCCTCCATGTAGGATATGGCTGCATAGCTCATCCCTCCTCCTTCAGCAAGTCTTTTCAAATGTCATTTTCTCAGTGAGGGCGACCCTGAGGACCCAAACTGAAAACTGCAAACCAACCTCTGCCCTAGCACTCCCATCACGCTGCTCTGCTGCTGCTTCTCTCCCATTGCGCTTATCGCCCTCTAACATCTTCTGCCGCTTACTGATTATGCTATGGTCTGTCTCTTCCCACAGGGCAGGAATCTTTATCTGTTTGTTCACTGTTGTATCCCTAACGACCTAGAACTAGGTCTGAGATACTGTAGGCACTAAATTAATATTTGTGGAAAGAATGACTTGTCCTCTCACATTCTGTCTCAACTCTTACCTCTAATTTTAAAGGATCCTCAATGGTTGACAAGAAACCAAAAGTGTGTGGGGAATACAAGCCCTCATTCAATAAGCCTAATGTTGTAGCAGTTAAAATTACAGGTACCATTACATGAAATATTCAGAATAGCTCAATCCACAGAGACAGAATGAAGACTGGTGTCTGCAAAGGGCTTGCAGGGGAAGGACGGGGAGAAACTGCTGGATGGTTGTGGGACCTTACTTTGGAGAGATGGAAAGGTTCTGGAACTGGACGTGGTGGTAATTATACAACACTCTGAAAGTGCTAGAGGCCAAAGAATTGTTCACTTTACAGTGGTTAATTTTATGTCATGTGAATTTCACCTAATAAGTTAAAAATCACAAGTACAAAAATATTTATATCTCACCTTATTGTATTATCCATATATACTTAGTAATACAAATCTCAATACAGAGCTCAAAAAGACACTATACTCTCCTGCAACTGGACAGAGATGAGGTGCAGAAGCCTGAAGCAGCAGCAAGAAATGGCACATGATGAAGCCAGGAAACTGGGAGTTCCTGGCAAAGGAGGGGAGGGATGGCAGGGGCAGAGCAGGGAAAAACCACACACCACTGGGGAGGGCAACATTGTAGAGTGAGGCGGGGCACTGTCACAGGGCCTGTGTTCACAGCCTTGTGTAGTCCCTCCCACCCTGGGCTTAGCCAGGAGTACCCTGCATGTGAAGCAGCAGAGGAGAAATCTAGGCCCAGTGAGCTGCAGTGTCTGTCTCTGAATCTGCATGGTCAGGGAGGCTGCTCTGAGGAGGAGGCATTTGGCCCAGATGGGACAGAACTGATTTGAGAAAGGCAAGAGAGCGGTCTGCTTGGCAGAACCTTCCCCAAGTGTCCTGAGATGCTGGGAAAGGGCCTGGTTCCTCCCGGAAGGCCTGGGCATAGTAGACTGTCCTGGTTGGGTGGTTTTATTTGTTAATCTCCTCTGCCACTGGGGAAACTCGGGAGCGACTACTGCTACCTGTGTGCATGAGCGCACATTCAGCATGAACACATCTGTGCTCCTGGTGGCCACCTGTCTGGCTCCGGCTCTGGACTACTTGTTCTGACTCTGTCTCACTAACATTTTGCTTCTCCACCGCCTCACCCTTCACCTCCCATGTTCTTGACTGCCGGTCACACATGCTGCCCCTTTCTTTTGATCTCTGCCTGTGTCTCTCTGGCCTGCTCTGGTTCCCCATTTACTTCCTCCTTTCCCTCCACCCAACAGTCTCCCCACTCCCTCTGTCTCCCTCCCTCTCAAGTCCTTTCAGCCTCTCTGAACAACTGAACACATCCACCTTGACCTGGAGGGAAGATGGATCCTTACCCAGCGAGACGTGACTGTCCTTCCTCTGGGTGGCACCCCTGTAGAGGGCCCTTTGTGCAGGGCCTGGGCACATCCATTCTTGCTGACAGAGGGATACAGCTCTGTTGTCACGCATGGCTGGTCCCTGTAACAACACTGGAGCTGCTGCTACCGATAAAATAGCACCACTCTAGCCTGGGGTGGGGGCAGAGACAGGATCACAGTTGTCAGATCAGGGGCAAGGCAAAGGCAGGGGAGGTCAGCTCCCAGTGGGACAGGTTCTGAGCCATGTGATGATGTCAGAGTGGACAGAATCAAAATAACCCGAGAAGCCCCATGGACCACACAGAATCTTTCTCATGTCTCTGGAAAGGAGGAGGGTTTTGGGGTGAGAGTGGGTACTCAAGAGACAGAAGGCATCAACCACAGCTCACCTGGGACCCAGCTGTCCAGACCACAGCACCTGTCTCCTGGTCGTGGAGACCTGTGTTTTGAGGCAGGTTCCTGGGAGCCTGAGGAGCAAGCCAGGCTGGGGGAAAAAACAGCCGCTATTAGAGGGCGGCTTCCACACAACAGCACAGAGCAGAAGCTCTCAAAGTGGGCTCCTGGGCCAGCCGCATCAGCAGCCCCTGGCAACCCATCAGAAATACAAATTCTGGGGCCCCACCTCAGATCTTCTGAATCGGAAATTCTGGAGGTGGGGCCTAGGACTCTGTTTTATCACTCTCCCACCTCCGAATGAGTCTGAGGCAAACTCAAGTTTGAGAACCACTGCCAGCGCTCACGGCCTCTGTGAGTTGAGAAGTTCCTTTCATGAGATTCCTCTTGGCATAAGAGCTTTAATTTTTTTTTCATTTTAAAGAAAAATATACATGTCAGGGAAAAAAAGAGAATCGTAGTGGGCAAACAAAAATCTCTCCATAGCCCTGCCACCCAAAGATAACCAGAGTACTCTTTAAAATACCACAGTAACAGAAACCCTTCATATTTTTCACACCAAGATAATACATTTTTTCTCAAGTCTCCAACTTCAAGAATTGTACAAATATGACTGTGACATCGCTTAAAAATACAGGAAAATTAAAAAAATTGTACAAATAAAATGAATCATGTCTATGACTTATTAATGGAACTTCAGTGGCAACTCAGAGGTATGTGACCCTTCGGGAGGTGACAACACTCCAGATCTGTGAGTGGCCCATGGGCCTGGGAAGAGCGGGAGCCTAGCCTGGAAGGCAGCAAGTCCTGCTTCTCTTTACTTACAGCCCCCTGCTGTCCCAAAGCCTTGGAAATCACACACAGAGAACACAGGTGTTCCCAAGGATTAAAAGGAAATAAATGCTAAGTGGCAAAGTTTATAAAGATGTTGACAAGAGTATTAACTTTGCTTAAAAAAAAACTAAAATCAGCCGGGCGCGGTGGCTCACGCCTGTAATCCCAGCACTTTGGGAGGCCGAGGCAGGCAGATCACCTGAGGTCAGGAGTTCGAGACCAGCCTGCCCAACATGGCGAAACCCTGTCTCTACTAAAAATACAAAAAATTAGCCGGGCGTGGTGGCAGGCGCCTGTAATCCCAGCTACTCAGGACGCTGAGGCAAGAGAATCACTTGAACCCAGGAGGCAGAGGTTGCAGTGAGCCAACATCATGCCGCTACACTCCAGCCTGGGCGACAAGAGTGAAACTCCATCTCAAAAAAAAAAAAAAAAAACAAAATACTAAAATCTCTTAGACAATTTTCCAGTTTATCAACACAGGTTTGCCAACTTAAACATCATCAAGACACACTGTTTTTCAGGCTGGATGTGGTGGCACATGCCTGTATTCCCAGCACTTTGGGAGGCTGAGGCAGGAGGACTGCTTGAACCTAGCAGTTTGAGGCAGCAGTGAACTATGATGCCACCACTGCACTCCAGCCTGGGCAACAGAGCAAGACCCTGTCTCTTAAAAAAACTTACCTAGCAACCTGTAATGGCAGCTTCCAATTAAACAGAAAAGGCAGCAAGTATCTAGCCAAATTACTTTATGGAAAAAGACTTATAAAAATATAGACCCTTGGAATATCCATGCAATGGAATATTCAGCCATCAAAAGGAACAAAGTACTGATACATGCTCAAAACATGAAAAGTGAAAGAAGGCAGACACAAAACGTCACATAATACATGTGATTCAACTTATATGAAATGTCCACAACAGGTAAATCCATGGAAACAGAATGGGGAGCAACTGTTTAATGGGTACAGGGTTTCCTTTTCGGGAGGATAAAAATGTTTTGAAACTAGACAGAGGTGATGGCTGCATAACACTGTGAATGTACTAAGCATAACTGAATTGTTCATTGAAATGGTTAATTTTATGTTATGTGACCTTCACCTCAATTAAAACAATTTTTTTTTTTTTTTTTTGGTAGAGACAGGATCTTGTTATGTTGCCCAGGTTGGTCTCGACTCCTAGGCTCAAGCTATCCTCCCGCTTCAGCCTCCCAAAGTGCTGAGGTTACAGGCATAAGCCATTGTACCCAGCCAAGATAATTTTTTTAGTTTAAAAAGTTTTCTAAGGCCAGGCGTGGTGGCTCATGCCTGTAATCCCAGCACTTTGGGAGGCCGAGGCAGGTGGATCACGAGGTCAGGAGATCGAGACCATCCTGGCTAACACGATGAAACGCCGTCTCTACTAAAAATTCAAAAAATTAGCCGGGCATGGTGGCGGGTGCTTTAGTCCCAGCTACTTGGGAGGCTGAGGCAGGAGAATGGCGTGAACCTGGGAGGCAGAGCTTGCAGTAAGCCAAGATCGCATTACTGCACTCCAGCCTGGGCGACAGAGCAAGACTCCGTCTCAAAAAACAAAGAAACAAAAAAAGTTTTCTAAAAAAATTAAGACAAGTAAAAACAAAAAATAGAGCTCTGGAAGAAAAGCAAAAATAATAAAAATGTATTCTGGAAAAGATTAAGTTGGATGGGGAAGGGGATTTAATGTCTTCAAGTATATGAAAAACTGCTGTGCAGAAGGTGAAGGTAACCATGTTCACCTTTAATGACACCTGATTCTTTAGTAACAGAATTGTAATAAAAAAGAATTATGCTAACACATAAAGAATCTCTGTTCCTACTTTAAGTGCTATTACCCTCAACTGAAATTTGTAATCTTGCTTTTGGATATGGAGAGAGATATATATATATTTCTATATATATATTTCTATATTTATATATATATTTATATTTATATATATATATATATATAAATTTATATATTTTATATATATATATATTTTTTGTTTTCTTTGAGACAGCCCAGGCTGGAATACAGTGGTGCGATCTTGGCTGACTGCAACCTTCACCTCCTGGGTTCAAGCAGTTCTCCTGACTCAGCCTCCTGAGTAGCTGGGATTACCATGCCCAGCTAATTTTTTGTATTTTTAGTAGAAACGGGGTTTCACGATGTTAGCAAGACTGGTCTCGAACTCCTGACCTCAGGTGATCCGCCTGTCTGGTCTTCCAAGGTGCTGGGATTACAGGCGTGAGCCAACACGCCCTGCCGGTTTTTGGATGTATTTCAAAGGCATTTAGTCTGGAACCCTTGGGTGGACTCAGTTCAGACCTTTGTTTCCAGTAAATGATTGTTCCTCACCTGCCTCAGGTGAGGACAGAGGCTTCTGCTTACCTTCTGACTGTTCCCCTGGTCTTTGGTGTGAGCTCTGTGATCCCTTAAAAGTCGGTTCCTCTGGCTGAACCTCCTGTTTCCATTGGGATCTCAGTGATTCTCTGGTTGCTCCCAAAGGGGCCATCTCCTTCATGAGTACTTTCAAGTCCTTCTCAGAATCTAGAACCTGAGAACAGACCCCATTATCTATCACTACAAATTCCTGCCTAAGCTGGACTTTACAACTCCTAAGAGTGGCATTAAAAAATGTGTAACATAAGGAAGCAGAAGAGAAAAATCTAGGAGCCACTGTATTGCTGCTGTAATAAAATAAAAATTAATAGAATTAGGTATTTGAGGGGCAGTAGCTTACGCCTGTAATCCCAGCACTTTGGGAGGCCGAGGCAGGTGGATCACGTGAGGTCAGGAGTTCAAGGCCAGCCTGGCAACAAGGTGAAAGAAACCCCGTCTCTACTAAAAATACAAACATTAGCTGGGTGTAGTGGTGTGAATCTGTAACCCCAGCTATTTGGGAGGCTGAGGCAGGAGAATCACTTGAACCCAGGAGGCGGAGGTTGCAGTGATCCAAGATCACGCCACTGCACTCCAGCGTGGACAACACAGCAAGACTCTGTCTCAAAAACAAAAAAAAACTCTTTGAAGTGGTTAAGATTATTTATATGACAGCACCTAGCATAGAGCCTGACACACCAGAACTGTTAAAAACTGAAATATATTTGTCAGAAGAGAGAATGTCAGCTTTCACTTTAGCAAACCCCCATGACTTCAGCACTAGGCCATTTCCTCTGCCCCCCAAATCCAGTATCAGTTCTGTCTTCAAAAGAGACCTCGCATTGGTCCTCTCTCTTCACCTCATGGCTCCATCAGGGTCCAGGACACTATCTGCTGTCTGCATCCTCTCTACTGCTGGACCCTCCAATCCATTCTCTCTACATGGAACCCAGTGTGATCTTTTTAAAATCTAGAGTCCTGTCCCTCCGTAGTAACAGCACTCTTCAGTGGCTTCCCACTGCACACAGAATAAAATCCAGACTCCTCTTTGCAGCCTAAAAGGCCCAGCATCATTCTGCCCGGCCTCCTCCCTTTCTCTCACAGCACTCTTCCCCAGTCTCTGAGCTCCAGCCACAAGCCCTCCCTTCTTCCTCTCAAACCCGCCCAGTCTTTTCCCACCTTAGGCTCTTGGTATGTGCTGTGCCCTCTGTCTGGAGTACTCTCCTCCCAGCTCTTGGGACAACTGGTTCCTTCTCCTCCTTCAGTGTCACCTCAGAGAAGTCCTGCCTCACAGCCTATCTCCCAACACTCCAGTTATCACATCACTCTGCTCATTTCCTTCCAAGCACTCATCTGAAACGATCTTTATGGTTTACTTTTGATTTATGATTGTCTGTTTCCCCCATGGACCGCGGGCTCCAGCAGGCCAGGGGCCGTGCCTGTCCTGTTCACTGTAAAATCCTCAATATCAACGGTCACTGAAAATCAACTTTTGTCTTTCAGAGCCATCTTCATTCTTTAAGTCCCATGCTTATAACAAACACCCTTAAAGGGAATGAAGAGAGGTACTGAGAGGCAAGTGGGGTCCTGAGAAATTATATCAACCTCTATTACTACTACCCACCTCCACTTCTTGCTCTCTCCTTCACTTTCATGATAGGTAATAAGGTTTGGCTGTGTCCCCACCCAAATCTCATCTTCAGTTGTAGTTCCCATAATCCCCACGTGTCATGGGAAGGACCCGGTGGACGTAATTGAATCATGGGGGCAGTTTCCTCCATGCTACTCTAGTGATAGTAAGTTCTCATGGCTTCCCCCTTCACTCAGTTCTCATTCTTCTCTTTCCTGCTGCCATGTGAAGGAGGACATGTTTGCTTCCCCTTCCGCCATGACTGTAAGTTTCCTGAGGCCTCCACAGCCATGCAGAACTGTGAGTCAATTAAACCTCTTCTCTTTATAAATTATCCAGTCTCGGGTATGTCCTTATAGCAGTGTGAGAACGGACTAATAAATTAGGTTTCAAATAGGTGTTTAACCTATACACTCCTGCACTGTTTTCTTTTATATTAAGAGTGTGGGCCGGGCACAATGGTTCACACCTGTATTCCCAACACTTTGGGAGGCTGAGGTGGGTGGACTGCCTGAGCTCAGAAGGTCAAGACCAGCCTAAGCAACATGGCAAAACCTCACCTGTAATAAAAAACAAAAATTAGTTGGGCATGGTGGTGTGCACCTGTAGTCCCAGCTACTTGGGGGGCTGAGGCAAGAGGATCGCTTGAACCCAGGAGGCTGAGACTGCAGTGAGCCGCATTCATGCCACTGCACTCCAACCTAAGTGACAGACCAAGACCCTTTCAAAAAATAAATAAATAAAATAAACATAAGTGTGATTCCGACATGGTTAAGGATAAGAAGAGGAGAGACCATCAAACAGAGTGATGGAAGGGGAACTGGGCTAGGATGACTCTTGGCATACTGGGATTCCCACTCTATTTATAATAGTTCAGTTCTCCAAGTTCTACCTTCATACAAGTGCTACTGCACCTCTCCATTCAATCTTACTTATGAATAAGAGTCCCAATCCCACAGATTTCAGACTAATTTCCTGAACTTCTTCCCTGATGCATCACCATCAAGCTGCTCTTCCCCTCTCTAAATTAAGTCAAAAGTACTAACTCTTCAATCCTACCAAATTTCATCTATATCCCCCTTCACCCATTCCTCTTCCCACAGCCCGTGCACATCCCTACCTCCTCACTGGGAAACACAAGTATATCTGCTGCCTAGGGCCTTCCCATTCCAGCCATGCAGACTCTGGCACCCAGCAAGCTGCTTCCTGCTCTGATCACAGACCCACTCAGGCTGACCAACGTTCCTCTGACCTGTGCCCTCCATTACTCTAGGCCTCTCCCAGACTTACCCAATTTCAGTTGCCTTCCTCCTACCAACTCTTCCACAACCGAAGCTGGTATGTTACTTTTCCTCTTCCTGTGCCTTTCCCACCTCCCTGCTCCAAGAAAATATAAGCTGGTTACACCAATCAGATCTCAGACCTAGTCCTGACCGTAAGAGGATATTTTATGAATCCATCAGTGTCCCAAACTGAACACTTAATCCCGGCATCAAGAACTAGAGCAAGGCCTGGCTCTAATATAATTTTGTTGAGTGTACAACACATGTCACTCTGCCCTCAAAGAAGCTCCTAGCATGAAACTAGATTTTCATTCACTAGCATCTCTAGTTTTCCTCCATCCCCTGAGTGAAGGAGAGTTGTCCTTTCCCTGGCCTTGTTTTCGAGAATTTTTCTGAGTGTTTTTACCACCTTAATTAGGGACTTCAAATATTATTAAATATATGAATGTCTAGCAGCTGTATCCACAGATGAGAAATTCTTCCCGTATTATAAGGGCATAGGACCAATCCAAGACAGCCAAGACCTTCTGTGGGCAGCAGAGGGCTACTGTGTGTTTCTCAACCAAGCACCTCTCCAGTAACTGGATTCCCCGACAACTTCATAACCAAAACCACAAAGTTCCGACTTCCTTTTCTCACCTGTTGTCCAGGAGCTCTCTGTACATCCTCAACCAGAGCCACAGCTTCCTCGCCGTTTTCTGGATGCTGCTCCCTCACCCAGGTCTGGATCTCCTCTGGCAAGATAGTCAGAAACTGCTCCAAAACCAGCAGCTCCAGGATTTCCTCTTTTGAGTGGGTCTTCGGCCTCAGCCACTGACAACAGAGTTCCCAGAGTTTGCTAAAAGCTTCATGTGGGCCAGTTACCTCCTGGTAGCAAAACTGCCTGAAGCGCTGACGGGAGGCCTCGGAGTCAGGGCTGTTACCCTGGAGGGCTGATTTCTGGCCCTGTGTGGGATCCTTGTTTGAGGATGGGTGTGCCTCGGTACTCTTCACTGCAGCCATCATTTGCTTCAACGAACTGGCTTACTCTGGTTGCCACTTCTACCCTGGAGATCAGAGTCCATCTTTCCCACATCACTGGGAAGCCATGTTCTCCTGCAAGGAATGTCTTTCTGTAATCCGTGGGACATGAGAGTGTCAGACATGTGTAGAGACTCACAGCGGAAAAAAAGGGCTCAACTTTGAAGGATGTCTGAAGAGGATGGAAAAAGACAATATAAACCTATCAAACATTCCTTCACTCTGGTTCTTGTGATTTACTTCCTATCCCTTTCCTTTACTCCCTCCACAAATCTACACCAAGGATCCAAAACACTAGAAATAGATCTAGACCATCCTGGCTAACTGCCTTTGCAAAAACCATTAACAGTGAGAAGATTATGACACTAAAAGAGATAGGATCTAACCAACTCCATCTTGCTTTTAACCTCCAAACTGCCGTTGGTCATTCCTGGGTGTGGGCCAAGCTAGCTTTGGGAGAAATTTAGTTTATAGTTTGAATGATAATAACCCTTCCCAAAACTAAACTGCCTTTGTAAAACTAATTAAAGACAACTAGGTTAGGAGGATGAGAGGGGCCTGAATTCTGCTAAGATGCAGGCATAATGAAATGATTATCCAGAGGTCACAAGATTTGCAACTTCCCCAATTAAATAACATCACGATTGTAGAACCTAAGATTGGCCTTTTGAGATGCCTTTTCAGGCCTCTGCTTTCTGACAACCAGATGGCTCCACCTAGACCAGGGACTCCTCTGTGGCTCCCACCCAAAATCGCACTCAGCACACAAAAACCGTTTTCCACAGCCCTATGAATGCATCCCCAACCAGTCAGCATTCCCTGTTCCCTACCCAACTGCGTGCCAAAGCCCTAGCCTCTGAATTTCCGGGGAGGCTGACTTGAGTAATAAAACTTTAGTCTCCCATTTAGCCGGTTCTGTGCGTATTAAACTCTTTCTCTATTGCAGTTCCCCTGTCTTGACAAACTGGCTTTATCTAGGCAGTGGGCAAGATGAACCCACTGGGCAGTTACAGTACCAAAAAATATAGTCTTCTCCCAGCCAAGATTCTGTGTCTGCTGACGAATTACTCAAACTGTTCCTGACGATATAGTTCACCTGTTCCTTCCCTTCTTCCCTCACACACCTAGGTCTTTTTCCTGTCCTTCCCTATCCTCAAGAAGCCTGAATTCATGTTCCCAATTGCTACCCTCTCCTCGGGGGAGAACTGGTGTGTGTGTGCTTCTTGATTAACTTCTTCATTACTATTACTCCACACACACACAACGTGGATAAGTGACTGTTCGGGTTTGCTGTATGTTTTTATTTTCCAGCATTCCTTTCCCACTTCTAGTAGCAGCATCTTCTTCCTTTGTGAAAAAGTCCCCCTCGACCAGGCGTGGTGGCTCACGCTTGCAATCCCAGCACTTTGAGAGGCCAAGGCGGGCGGATCACGTGGTCAGGAGATCTAGACCATCCTGGCTAACAAGATGAAACTCCGTCTCTACTAAAAATACAAAAAAATTAGCTGGGCATGGTGGCACGCACCTGTAGTCGCAGCTACTCGGGAGGCTGAGGCAGGAGAATCGCTTGAACCCGGGAGGCGGAGGTTGCAGTGAGCTGTGATCACGCCATTGCACTCCAGCCTGGGCAACAAGAGCGAGACTGTCTCAAAAAAAGAAAAAGTCCCTCTCATTGGTTCTGGTGGGGATATTAATTACAATACCCACTTCCCCAGAAGTGGGCATATGACACACAGCTAGGCCTATCAAAATTCTTTTCTCAGATTTTACATGAGAGGTAGGGAAAGCTCTTCATTTTCTAGGAATTGGTAAATTGGGCAAATGTAAGATCAGAGTTGTCTCCAACTATGTCCCACTCTCTACTCCACTCTTCCATCACAGGAGTGAGCCTGTTTACAAGAGGACAATATACTCAAGTCTTGACAACATGTTTGGATCTCCAAGGCCAGTTTATGTAAGGCAATATTTTTTTAAGAGTTAATTTTAAAAATAGTTTTATATAATTTAAAATTAATAAATAACTTTTAAAAATAATTTTATTTGTTTTTTTATCTTTAGAGATGGAGTCTCACTCTGTTGCCCAGGCTGGTCTCAAACTCCTGAACTCAAGCAATCCTCCCACCTCAACCTCCCAAAGTGTTAGGATTACAAGTATAAGCCACCATGCCCGACCTTAAAAATAATTTTAAATAGAAGCTAACTTTTGTATTTTTTGTAGAGGTGGAGTTTCACTATGTTGCCCAGGCTGGTCTCAAACTCCTGTGCTCAAGTGATCCTCCCACCTTGGCCTCCCAAAGTGCTGGGATTACAGGTGTGAGCCACTGCACCCGCGAAGGCAGTCTTTTTTAATGAGTTTGTGTTGGTTTTTATCTACTTAAAACACAGATTAAAGCAGATCGTAATTTACATTTTCTCCAGGGGCTGATACACCCTCACCATGTGGTATTAAAATGGATCCAGCATGCACAACAAGATGAATATACTCAGGACTACTGAGCTGTACACTTAAAAATGGTTATGATGGTAAATGTTTTTTAAAAATTAAAGAAATTTTTTTATATTTTAAAAATGGATTTGGGTTCCCTTTTCTCAAGGAACTTGAACTGCCTTCACTTAAATTCTCTTTACATTTCAGTGCTTCTAGAGATAGAGAAATCAAGGGCATTATTATTGTTAGCACTGCTTTCTAGCCAAAAAGAAACTGAGAGCGATGAAGTATCTTGCCTAAAGCATCACACAGCACAGCTCCTAGGCAGCAAGGCCAGGACTAGAACCAGCACCCCTTGCCTTCATTATGTTCATCCTGTGCCTTACCTGGCTGAAGAAGAATTTAATAAAAGCTCTTCTAACTTCATGCAGAAGGCGGAACCTGCACCCTTCTTGACCCCTTTTGACCCCTTACCTCCCACTCATCGTTAAATTTTAAAATGCTGTTCTCTGAAAATTTTACTTCACTCTAGCGATGGCCCAAACACTCGGAAAAAAATGTAGCATGAGGATGGGGAGCCAGGTTGATAGGTTTTTCACTTAGTTAACTATTTATTGAGTACTCAGAACGCACTCGGTGCCAGGGCTAGGCACTGTGGATGAGTAGGGAGTGGGCGAGACAGGGACGAGATGAGCAGGGTCAAGGCCAGGGGGTCCCGGGGCGCCGGCGCTCAGGCTCGGGGTGATCCGCACGGTGGGAGCGGGGCACGGTGATCGCGGCGCGTCTGGGGACGCCCGGCCTGAGGGAGGCTGCCTGTCCCAAGGAGACGCCCATCGGGGCCGGACCCGAACGCCTCGGAGAAGACTCCCAGCGGGGAGGGGCTCCTCGGCCGTCGCAGGGCCCAGCGGCTAATCCCGCCGGCCGCAAGGAAGCGGAGAACTCACCGGACACCAGCACTCGCGACTCCACAAACTCCCTCAGCCTCCGGGCCGGAAGTCAGCGGCGCGATTCGCTCCGCCCATTACGCACGCCCCTGCGCAGGCCCGCAAGCCGAATTGCCGGACTGCAGCTCCCGGGATGCACTGCGACGGTATTGACAGGCGCAGCAACCAATAGACGGTAGAGAATGCCCTTGGCAGGAGGCGGGCCCTGTCAGTAGTTGTCCTCAGCAGCTAGTGGGCGTCTCCGCAGCGAGTGGCATCGGCCCCGCCCCCAGCCCGTGCTCGCCGGTGTCGGGTCCTAAGTCCCTCGGTCTTGGGTTCCCGGAGAGGTGAGTCGGCTGCAGGTGGGTGCGGGGCGCCGGGCTGTTCGGGGTACCGGTGTCGCAGTCGCCAGTCCGAGCTCACACCGGGCGTGGAGTTCAGCTGCGCATCGGGTTGCGGCAGCTTCGCCAGGCCTGGGGCTGGCTGGGCCGCGGGGCCGCCCTGGAGGCCGGAGCCACTGGGCCTGCGGCGCCTCGGCAGCGAGCAGCCGCTTTGCTCGCGTGCAGGAGGCTGTTCGCTACCTCACACCCCCGGCTGGCGCTGTGGCCTCGCTTAGCTCTACCGTTTAGCACCCGGCGACATGCACCCGGTCGGTTTCCGCCAGGATGCGGGAGAGTTGGGGCAAGCTACCTGCGACAGCTTGAACTTTTCCTAGGGATTCCGCTCCACCCGCCGGTTAGAGCGTATTGCTCATTAAATCCGAGACCTGTGTGCTTGCTACTGAAATAAAAGAAGTATTTTTTCCCCAGAGTCCTTTTAGGACGTTATGACTTTTCTCCTTTGCAAGACTGCAAAAAACTGACAAGAAGACAAAACTCTTCCCACTCCCAGGGACCGCGTTGTCTTGAGTTTGGCTAGTAAAGGCTAGCAAGTGAGGCTTTGTCTCTGCATCCCGTTCCCCCTAACATCCTCAGAGAACCTTCGTTTCTAGAATCTTTCTAGTATTCAGAGACTTCTCCAGGGTCATGATCCCAAAGGCTTAACCCGTTTACAAGGAGAGAGTTGTCTCCTGACGCCCAAAATGGCAGCTAAAATGGAGATAACTTTAAGCTCCAACACTGAAGCTTCCTCCAAGCAAGAGAGACACATAATAGCCAAACTAGAAGAGAAACGGGGCCCTCCTCTGCAAAAAAACTGCCCAGATCCTGAGCTCTGCCGCCAGAGCTTCAGACGCTTTTGTTATCAAGAGGTGTCTGGACCCCAAGAGGCTCTCTCCCAGCTCCGACAGCTCTGCCGTCAGTGGTTGCAACCCGAGCTGCACACCAAGGAGCAGATTTTGGAGCTTCTGGTGATGGAGCAGTTCCTGACCATCCTGCCCCCGGAGATCCAGGCTCGGGTCAGGCATCGATGTCCAATGAGCAGCAAGGAGATTGTGACCCTCGTGGAAGATTTTCACAGAGCATCCAAGAAACCAAAGCAGTGGGTAAGGAGGGTCCTCTCCCATCATCCTGGGGATTTCTTTTTCTTTTCTTTTTTTTTTTTTTTCTTTTTTTGAGACGGAATCTTGCTCTTTCGCCCAGGCCCGAGTGCAGTGGCGCTATCTCGGCTCACTGCAAGCTCCGCCTCCCGGGTTCACGCCATTCTCCTGCCTCAGCCTCCCGAGTAGCTGGGACTACAGGCGCCCGCCACCGCGCCCGGCTAATTTTTTGTATTTTTAGTAGAGACAGGGTTTCACCGTGTTAGCCAGGATGGTCTCGATCTCCTGACCTCGTGATCCGCCCGCCTCGGCCTCCCAAAGTGCTGGGACTACAGGTGTGAGCCACCGTGCCCGGCCGATTTCTTTTTCATCTGGGTAATGTTTGGTATCTGGATCTCTCCCTATTTAAGTCTCAGAAGTGGACTGGATGGCTTCAGAAGTTGCTTCCAGCCTCTATCTGGGAACCTATCCTGAGTTATTAACAGGTTTTTAGAAAATCCAACTACTGATACCCAGTGAGGCAACAGAGGACCAAGGTTCTTACCATTCCTTTATGCACCTTGTGTCACCAGAAGTAATTGTAAGGTTCTTAAATCCCTTCTGTCAGCTCTTCCCCCACCCAACTTAGTTTTCCTACTAGCAGAATTCTTAGCAGATAGGGTCACCCTGTTGGGTAGCAGTTGGACTTTGGGGAACTTCATTTCATTGGAAGTTCTAGCTTATTGTCTTTCCAGTGTTTAGCTTATAGTCTTTTTTTTTTTTTTTTTTTTTTTTTTTTTTTTTTTTTGAGATGGAGTCTTGCTGTGTTTCCCAAGCTGGAGTGCAGTGGTGCCATTTCAGCCCACTGCAACCTCTGCACCCCAGGTTCAAGCGATTCTCAGGTCTCAGCCTCCTGAGTAGCTGGGTTTACAGGTGCCTGCCACCACGCCCAGCTAATTTTTGTACTTTTTAGTAGAGAGGGGGTTTCACTATGTTGGCCAGGCTAGTCTCGAACTCCTGACCTCAAGTGATCCTCCCGCCTTGGCCTCTCAAAGTGCTGGGATTACAGGCGTGAGCCACCACACCTGGCCTAGCTTTTTGTCTTTGATTTTTTTTTTTTTTTTTGAGACTGGGTCTCACTGTGTTGCTGAGGCTGGAGGGCAGTGGCACGATCTCAGCTCGCTGCAACCTCCATGTCCAGCTCAAGTGTTCCTCACACCTCAGCCTCTCAAGTAGCTGGGACTGCAGGTACATGCCACCATGCGTGGCTAATTTTTGTACTTTTGTAGAGACAGGGTTTCTCCACATTGCCCAGGCTGGTCTTGAACTCTTCTTGGGCCCAGGCGATCCGCCCGTCTTGACCTCCCAAAGTGCTGGGATTACAGGAGTGAGCCACACAATGCCTGACTAGCTTATTGTCTTTGGATCAGGAAGTTACAGTTCAACTGGCCAGCGTTGCCATTGCTTGCCACTCCCCGCCCCGAAGTCAGACCCCAGTCAGGACCTAGGCAAGAAGCAAACGGCAGGTACTTCGGAAAATAGAACTTGTTAGGGAATGAAGGTGGGGTGGTCCTCTTAGACCCCTACTACTACTGGGATCTCCTTACCAGGAAAGCCTTTGGCAGAACAATGTATTAGGTAAGAAGGACTTTTAACAGCCCCTCACCATACTGCTTCCTGTTCCTACAGGGCCTATTTCCAGCAGAAGTAGGTGGGGGGTGGTGTGTAGAGTAGGCATCTGATGGCCCAGTGTTGTGACTGACCCTGATATTTGTGCCAGCAACTACCCTGATGACTTTGACTCTGGCCCTTGAGAAAGGCCCAAGCTTTAGGGGAAGCCACTCGGCTGATTTGTAGCATCCTCATTCCTGTCATTCTTCACGTTCTCCCCTTTACTTCCTTTGAGGGTTTCAGTGGTTTCTATGAAAGTTGACCTCTAGATGGTTATCAGCAATTCCCAAGGTAAACGGGTCATTATACAACAGTGAGAGATCAAGCTTCCCTCAGTCCTGATGGATGGAATTAATGGATGGGGCTTGTTCCTAGGTGGCCGTTTGTATGCAGGGGCAAAAGGTGCTCTTGGAGAAAACTGGATCTCAGCTTGGAGAACAGGAACTGCCAGACTTTCAACCGCAGACTCCTAGGAGAGATCTCAGGGAGAGCTCTCCAGCAGAGCCTTCCCAGGCAGGAGCTTATGACCGGCTGAGCCCCCATCATTGGGAGAAATCCCCACTCCTCCAAGAACCAACCCCCAAATTGGCTGGGACAGGTAAACACTCTGCCTTTTCTCTCCCTCTCATCAGCCCTTTATCTCCATCAATGTATCTCATGGTTCTGCAAAGGCATAGACCACATGTGTGTGTTTTTTTAAATGTTATATATAATAGTAGATGATTATTCACTAAACAAATTTCACTAATTAGGATGGTGGTGATACTACAAGTAAGTATGTTTTTATCGTTTTCTGTTAATGAAAATTTAAGAATCCAGTGCATGACAGGGTTGTACCTACTTTTCTGTCCGTTTCAGAACTTCTTATAGAAAAGACAGATCCAAATATGGCCACAGATGAACTTCCATGCAAGCTATGGCTGAGTTTCATTGCTTAAAATGCTCCTCTGTTTAGAGGGGCCTGGTAGAAATAAAAACCCACCCTATATCTTATATCTTTGTCCTCCTCTGTGATGTTGCTTGTACTTTAGATCCTCAAATCTATTTCCCTTTCTCTGGTGTGATACTTGTGTAACTGCTGGCCTTGTTCTACACAGTCCTGTGATCTCTAAGCCTGAATGACAGTGACATTTTGGCCAAGCCTGGTGATGTGAATACAAGATACAGTGAGCACGTTAGGGAGGAGGGTTACAAGACGACAAAAATCCTCAGTTTCTTAATATTTGCTACATCCAATGAGGTACTTCGTGTTTTAGTCTGTTCAGGCTGCTAATATAAAATGCTAGAGACTAGGTAGTTTATAAACAACAGGAGTTTATTTCTCACAGTTCTAGAGGCTAGGAAGTCTGAGTTCAAGGTGCCAGCATGGTTGGGTTCCAGTGAGGCCCCTCTTCCAGGTCACAGACTGCCTACTTCTCAGTCCTCATGTGGCAGAAGGGGAAGACAGGCTCCCGTGGGGCTCTTTCATGAAGGCACTAATCCCATTCCAGTGAGGGCAGCACCCTCATGACCTAATCACCTCCCAAAGGCCCCATGTCCTAACACTATTACCTTGGGAGTTAGAATTTCATATGAATTTGGAGGAACATAAACATTTAGCCCCTGGCAACCACAGTCTACTTTTTGTCTCTAGAATTGCTTATTCTGAACATTTTATACAAATGGAATCACACAGGCCGGGCACAGTGGCTCACGCCTGTAATCCCAGCACTTTGGGAGGCCAAGGCAGGCGGATCACTTAGGCTCAGGAGTTCGAGACCAGCCTGGGCAACATGGCGAAATCCTGTCTCTACAAAAAATGCAAAAATTAGCGGGGCATGGTGCTGCACACCTGTAATCCCAGCTGCTTGGGGGAGCTGAGGCAGGAGGATCACTTCAACCTGGGAGGTCGAGGCTGCAGTGAACTGAGATCGTGCCACTGCACTCTAGCCTATGTGACAAAGTAAGACCCTGTCTCAAAAATAAATAAATAAATAAATTGAATCACACAATATGTGGTCTTTTGTGTGTGGCTTCTTTCACTGAGCATGTTTTCAAGTTTTATCCATGCTGTAGCATCAATCAGTGCTTCATTCCTTTTCTGTGGCTGAATAATAGGCATTGTACGGATATATTACATGTTGGTTTTCTGTTCATGTTGGTTCATCTGTTCATAGATTTTTGGGTTGTTTCTACTTTTTGGTTATTATGAAGAATGCTGCTATAAATGTGTGTTTTTGTGTAGACATGTTTTCATTTCTCTTGAGTATATACCTAGGAGTGGAATTACCATATGCTAGGTCATGTGGTAATTCCATGTTTAACTTATGAGGAACTACCAGACTGTTTTCCAAAGCAGCTACACCATTTTACATCCCCACCAATACTGTGTGAGGATTCCGATTTCTCCACATTCTTGCTAGCACTTGTTATTGTCTTATACCCATCCTATTCGGTGAGAAATTTTGATTTGAGGTTTTGATTTACATTTCCCTAGTGACTAATGGTGTTGAACATCTTTTCATGTGCTTATTATCCAGTTACATATCTTGTGTGGAAAAATATCTGTTCAGATCCTTTGGTCATTTTTAAATTAGGTTATTTGTCTTTATTTTTTATAAGAGTCCTTTATGTATTCTAGATACTAGACCCTTATGTGTAATTTGCAAATCTTTTCTCTCATTTTGTGGGTTGTCTCACTTTCTTGACAGTGTCCTTTGACGCACACGTTTTTCATTTTGCTGCAGTCTAATTTATCTATTTTTTTCTTTCTTTATGCTTTGGTGTCATATGTAAAATAGCACTGCCTAATCCAAGGGCACAAATATGTACAGCTATGGTTTCTTCAAGGAGACATAGATTTAGCTCTTACTTTCAGCTATTTGGTCCATTTTAAGTTTATTTTTTCCCCATACATAAACAAGTCAATTTTTATATAGGTTTTGAGGTAGGGGTCTGTCAATCTGATCAGGGGTCTGTCTTAATCTGATCAGGCTCTTACAACAAATTGCCTTAGACTAGGTAATTTATAAACAACAGAAATTTGTTGCTCATAGTTCCTGGATACTGGGAAGTTCAAGATCAAGGTGCCAGCAGATTTGGTGTCTGGCGAGGGCCCATTCCTCATAAATGGTGCCTGCTATGAGTCCCCACATGGTAGTCTCTTGGGTTTCTTTTATAAGGACACTAATCCCATTTATGAGGACCCCACCCTCATAACCTAATCACCTCCCAGATGCCCCACCTCCCAAGACCACTGCACTGGGGACTGTCAATATATGTGTGTCAGGGGACAGGGGGGATAAACATTCAGACCATAGCAGGGTCCAACTTCATTCTCTTGTATGTGGAAATCCAGTAGTCCTAGAATCCTTTATGAAAAAGACTATTCTTTTCCCATTGAATTGTCTTGTCAAAAAGCAATTGACCCTGATTGTATAGGCTGATTATTTACATTTGAATTTAAATGAATTAAAATTAAAAAAAAATTTAAAATTAAGTTCCTTAGTCACAGTAGTCACATTTCAAGTACCCAGTAGCCACATAGTCACATGTGGCTAGTGGCTGCCATATTGAACAACGTGCATGTGCCTGTGCATGCACGTGTGCACACACACATTTTCCACATCACAAGGGATCCTTCTCCAGATCCTGTGATTTCCCATAGGCCGTTCCAGCTCATCTCCATCCAGACTGTCAATCCTTCTGTAATTAGGATACATGGCTAAGCCCTGATTCCAGTTTCTGAACTCATATACTGTCAAATTTGTAATGAAAGAAAACATCACAGTCTCTGAACTTACCATCTTTTGAAGAGAAGGTGGTTGTCAATTAGTGTTTACTAAGTGAGGGGTATTTGTTGAAATAGCTCAGGCATTGGACTACAGCAGTAAAATTTGCAATGTTGAGATTTCACCTCTCTTCCTTCTTCATTAGATACCCAATTCTGATGGGTTTGCTTTTCCCTGTTCTTCATTTCCTAAACCTTTCCCTAAAGGGAGAAAGGAAGAAGGAGGATGGAGAACTTGGTTCCTAAATTTAATATAAATCACAGTCACCCCAGGAGCCTGCTAACTGTGCAGATTATCAGGCCCAACCCCCCGAGATTCTGACCCAGCAGCTCTGGGGGAAGGGTGAAGAGCCTGCTTGTTTAACAAGTGCTCCAGATGAGTCTAATGCAAGTTGCCAGCGGAGGGCCACCCTTTGAGAAACCTCTCAGAGTATTTCATAACTCTTGCTGAAGTTATTTCTTCCAAGTGCAGAAAATGAAGCATTTTCTTTCTAATTATAGAGGCCCCCAGAATGAGAAGTGACAACAAGGAAAATCCACAACAGGAAGGGGCTAAAGGAGCAAAGCCATGTGCAGTGTCAGCTGGCAGATCCAAAGGGAATGGTCTGCAGAATCCTGAACCAAGAGGGGCAAATATGAGTGAACCTCGGTTGTCACGGAGGCAGGTCAGCTCCCCAAATGCTCAAAAGCCATTTGCTCACTACCAGAGACATTGCAGGGTGGAATACATCAGCAGCCCCCTAAAAAGCCACCCACTGAGAGAGCTAAAGAAAAGCAAAGGAGGTAAACGGAGTCTGAGCAACCGTTTGCAACATCTTGGTCACCAGCCCACCCGCTCAGCAAAGAAACCCTACAAATGTGATGACTGTGGGAAAAGCTTCACGTGGAATTCAGAGCTGAAGAGACACAAGAGAGTCCACACAGGAGAGAGACCCTACACGTGCGGAGAGTGTGGAAACTGCTTTGGGCGGCAGTCAACCCTGAAGCTGCACCAGAGGATCCACACTGGAGAGAAGCCATACCAGTGTGGCCAGTGTGGGAAAAGCTTTCGCCAGAGCTCAAACCTTCACCAGCATCACCGACTTCACCATGGGGACTAAAAGGAGCACTCCATGCTTTAGATTCACACGGAAGGTGTTTGTGTTTCTCCTCCCCCTTACTTGCATGTAAATCACAAAAACTGTGTGACTTACAAGGAAAGCACGAGGCCCTTGAGGAATGATGATGCACATTCTGCTGTGAGGAGGCCCAGAAAAGGCCAACCAGGGCCCAACCGTGCATGATGACAGGGTGAAGAGAAGGCAGGTCTGGGCACTGGGGCAAAGAGAACTTAAGTCTCTGCAGAGAGCAAGGAGTAACTACTGAGAGAGAATCAGGACAATCCTGCAGGTGGCCCGCTTACTGTTAAATCGTCCCTCTGTTGCTTTATCCTCTAAAATATGTTAAGGGATAAATTCTATATATATAGTTATGCATTTGCTGTCATACCAGACAATTTTTTATCATGAGCACACTTCTTTAATAAAGATGAGTGATCTACCAGAATTTCAAGGCAAAGTTAATTGGAAAATAGATCCCTCATATTCTTTCTGTAATTACTAGCTGTTTATAGCAAAGGATGAATTAAATGAGAATATGCACGTTTGTGCGAGAAGAGTTTCCAAGTAGTTAGATGGTGCTTTTACAAAAAGAAAAGAAAATTACATTTGAGGGATCTTTTTTGTATCAAAGCACCTTTTTTTTTTCCTTTTTATTTTTTGAGACAGGGTCTCGCTATGTTGCCCAGGCTGGTCTCGAACTCCTGGGCTCAAGCAATGCTCCTGCCTTGGCATCCCAAAGTGCTGGGATTGCAAGTGTGAACCACCGTGCCTGTTCTCAAAGCACCTTTGATTGAGAAAAAAAAAATCTACACAGTTGCTGCAACCCCAGCCTAACACATAAGGAAAAGCTACAGTGAGAAGCAAGTAGTGGACAAAGAGTACTAAGGAGATATAAAAGGGAATTCTTCCCACTCTCCTTTCTCACTTAGCCCATTAGCTTTAAGAATAACAAAATGCAATGGGGGTACAGTGGCTCACACATGTAATCCTAGCACTTTGAGAGGCTGAGGCAGGGTGATCGAGCCCAGGAGTTTGAGACCAGCCTGGGCAATGTAGCTAAATCCTGTCTCTACAAAAAATACAAAAATTAGCCAGGCATGATGGTGCATGCCTATAATCCCAGCTAGCTACTCTTGGAGGCTGAGGCAAAAGTATTGTTTGAGCCCAGGAGTTAGAGGCTGCAGTGAGCTATGATTGCACCACTCCACTCTAGCCTGGATGACAGAGTGAGACTCTGTCTCAGGAAAAAAAAAAAATAGCAAAAGGATTGGGGTAATGAAAATATTCTAAGACTGGATTACAGTGATGGTTGCACAACTCAGTAAATTTACTAAAAATAATTGAAATGGGCTAATTTTATGATATGTAAATTGTACCTCAACAGCGTATTTTTAAGTGACAAAATATATTTATATAAAATGAGCCCTGGAAATAAGCCTGAGCGATCATCTAATGCCACCTCCTCGTTTTCTCAAAGCGGAAATTAAAATGCAAATCAGTATACAATTCCTAGCTCATTGCTCAGTTTAGAGAAAACTTTTGGCAGATTAGTGCATTCCTGATGCAGAAAATAAGAAGCAAGTAGCATTTTTTTTTTTTGAGACAGGGTCTCACTCTGTTGCCCAGGCTAGAGTGCACTGGCGTGATCATGCCTCACTATAGCTTCGATCTTCTGGGCTCAAGCAATCCTCCCTCCTCAGCCTCCCGAGCAGTTGGGACTACAGGAATGCACCACCATGCCTGGCTAATTTTTCTATTTTTTTGTAGAGACAGAGTCTCACTGTGTTGCCCAGTCTATCCTCGAACTCCTGGGCTCAAGCCATCCTCTCACTTTAGACTCCCAAAGTGCTGGGATTACAGATGTACGCTCAGCAAGGTAGCATTCTTCACAAAACATCAGTATCATCAAGTAACTACCAGTCACCTCAGGGCTGTGGGCTGAGCTCTTCTGTACCCCCCAAGGAATCTCTTGTCCCTTCTAACTGCCGAGGGACATATGCACACCTATGAGTCCTCTTTGGGGCCTTTGCACACAATTGTTTCCTTTGCCTTTATTTCCTGATGCTCCCCACTCCCTCCTGCCTCCTCCCTCTCACAAGAGTTTCCTTCTCTCAAAGCCTTCCCTGAGGAGCCCTAGGCAGACTTCTGTGAAAATTGGGGTCCAGCCTCTCTGCTAGACCCCATACACCAGGGGTGCTCAAACTGGGAGCCCCCCAGGGGTTGTCGGACAAAGTCCAAAGACACTTTTGGTTGTTAGGACTGGGGAAGGGAGGCTTGTTGCTGGCCTCTAGTGGGTTCTACTGAACCGCCTGCAGTGCCGGGACAGCCAGCCCCCACAGCAATGACCTGGCTCAAAAAATCAGTATCACCAAGGCTGGGAAACTACCATGCACTATAACAGCTCTTTCAAAACAAGAACATTGTTTTTCCATAACTTTAGCTTCTGGACTTTGTCAATAACCAGCCAAGAGAAACAGATGTTCAGTATGTGAACAGTTGAGAATCCCCACTGTACCCACAGGGCCCATGTCTGCCTGAGTTCAGAGATCCTGGTGACAATCTGTTGAATGCACAGGTGAGCTTCTGTCTTTTGGGCAGAGGCTTATTGAAGGCCCAGTGGCCTTCCTTACAGCTTTTGTGGTCCTTTAGGTACTTTAGGCCCTGATCCCATTCCCATCTGTTATGTTAGATCATGAAGAATTTAGCTTCTGTATCCGAGCTGCCCCATACCTGGCTCCATCCTGATACCTCTCCCTGGTCAAGGCCTCTTTCTTCCTCATTGTGTTTCCACCTCACCCTACTGAAACCAGGCTGATTTCACTGTTGTCCCTTAATAACCTCCAAGTCATAGTCACATCTGTATTAGGTACTTTGTGGTGTGGTAACAGATGACCCACCAGCTTAATGGTTTAAAACAACACAAACTGGGGCCGGGCGTGGTGGCTCACACCTGTAATCCCAGCACTTTGGGAGGCCAAGGTTGTGAAAAGTTCACCTGAGGTCAGAAGTTCAAGATCAGCCTGGCCAATATGGTGAAAGCCTGTCTCTACTAAAAATACAAAAATTAACCGGATGTGGTGGTGCACGCCTATAATCCCAGCTACTCGGGAGGCTGAGGCAGAAGAATCACTTGAACATGGGAGGCAGAGGCTGCAGTGGGCCGAGATTGTGCCACTGCACTCCAGCCTGGGCAGCAAGAGTGAAACTTGGACTCAAAAAACAAAAACAAACAAAAAAACACAAAAAGCAAAAAAACCGCCGGGCACGGTGGCTCACGCCTGTAATCCCAGCACTTTGGGAGGCCGAGGTGGGTGGATCACGAGGTCAGAAGATCGAGACCATCCTGGCTAACACAGTGAAACCCCGTCTCTACTAAAAATACAAAAAAAATTAGCTGGGCGTGGTGGCAGGCACCTGTAGTCCCAGCTACTCAGGAGGCTGAGGCAGGAGAGTGGCGTGAACCCAGGAGGTGGAGCTTGCAGTGAGCCGAGTTTGCACCACTGCACTCCAGAGCCTGGGCTACAGAGCAAGACTCCGTCTCAAAAAAAAAAAAAAAAAAAAAAAAAAAAAACCCACAACCTTATCGTTCTAGAGGTCAGAAATCTGAAATTGATTTCACTCAGCCAAAATCAAGCTGTCGGCAAGGCTGGTTCCTCTGAAGGCTCTGAGGGGTGAATCTCTTGCCTTGACTTTTTCAGCTTCTAACAGCCACCCACATCCTTTGGCCTCCACCCTCAAAGTGCATCACTCCAATCTCATTCCACCGCATTCTCCTCTGACTATGACCTTCCTGCTTGCCTTGTATAAGGACCGTTATGATGTTGGGCCCACCGGCATAATCCAGAATAATCTCCCTATCTCAAGATCCTTAACTTAATAACATCTGCAAAGCCCCTTTTGCCATATAAGGTAAACTTAATGGGTTCCAAGTATTAGGATGTGGACACATTTGGGGTGCCATGACTCAACCCACCGCACATATCCATCTTGAATCAAGTTAGTCAAAGAGCATCTCTCCTAAAAGAGAAGGACCATAGATTTCTACTTAATTATAAGGGTTGGGGTCAGGCGCAGTGGCTCACACCTGCAATCCCAGGACTTTGGGAGGCCGAGGCAGGCGGATCATTTGAGGCCAGGAGTTCAAAACCAGCCTGGCCAACATGGTGAAATCCTGTCTGTACCAAAAAAAAAAAAAAAAAAAAGAATTAGCCGCGTGTGGTGGTGTGCGCCTGTAGTCCCAGCTACTCACGAGGCTGAGGCATGAGAATCTCTTGAACCCGGGAGGCGAGGCTGAAGGAAGGTAGAGGTTGCAGTGAGCTGAGATCGCACCATTGCACTCCAGCCTGGGCAACAGACCATCCCCAAGCATAGCCTTCCTTTGGTATAAGGCTCAACTCCAGGCCAAGAGGACCAGGAAGGGTCCAATGGCTACAAGAACCCAAGGTCCTGTACTCAGATGTAAGTTTCCTCTCAGCCCCCGTACCCATGCATGGTCTGCCAGAGGACCTCAGCTGCTCCAATAGATTGTGATTCTCCGTATCCACCAGTCTGTCTCTACAAATTTTGGGGTGGCTGTTTGCCCTGTGACCTCACTTCTCTTACAGAAGAATTGTTGGGTTTTTCGGGTTGTTCAGCTTTTTATTTGTCATTAGAATGGAGTGACAACTTTCAAGCTCCTTATATTTGCAACCAGAGACTGGAAGTCACAAGAGTGAAACACCGTCTCAAAAAAAAGAAAACAGCAGTGAGACAGTGACTCCCTGACCTCACTGGCTAGATGAATTCCTCTTAAACCTTCTCAAAGCAAAACATGGCTCTACTTGGCTGCAGTTGCCCTCTCAATGCAGATCGCAACGAAACCCTCTCAATGCAGATCTCTGCCTTCCCGCCTCAACACTGCACCCGGGAGCCCTCCTCCAAGGGTCAGTGCCCGATAGGTTTGAGGGCAAGCCCCCGCCAGGGTGAAGCCGCCTCCTCCTCTGGGCCTGGGACGTGCTGGGAGGGAGGGAACGCGGTCCCCCGGGGAGTCACATGCCCCCATTCCCGGGGTCACCCAGGGACAACGGGCAGGAATAGACAGGTAAGGACCCTGCAGCTGAGCGAGCCCTGTGGCCGGATGTTCCAGGTAGGCTTTTCCGGAAATCGCCACCGGAGGATAGAACGCTCCTAGGGTGAGGGGCGGGGCCTCGACAGGAAATACCTGAAAGAGTCCCCTCTGAGTGGGCTGCTTGGCGCCCAGCCCGAGGAATTCTCACCTTCCATTGCCTGGCACAGCTGTCAGGGTGAAGAGGAGGCCGGGCAGCCACGGAGCCCTCTGGGAATTGTGGTTTTCGTGGGCTCCACGTACTGCTGAGCTGTTGCTTGCCTGAGACTGTTGAACCTCAAAGGGTGTCCTGGGGTTCATTCATTAAGCTTGTTCACGCAAATGACAAATATTTATTGACTGTCCACAACACGCCAGGCACCAATAGGGGCTGGAGGCAATATGGTGAACCCGGACGATGCTCATGGTCTCTTAGAAAGCCCAGTCTCCAGGCCGGGCGCGGTGGTTCACGCCTGTAATCCCAGTACTTTGGGAGGCTGAGGTGGGCGGATCACCTGAGGTCAAGAGTTCGAGACCAGCCTGGCCTACATGGTGAAACCTCGTCTCTAACAAAAATATAAAAAAAAAAAAAAAAAAAAAAAAAAAAAAATTAGCTGGGCGTGGTGGCGTGCGCTTATAGTCCCAGCTACTCAGGGAGGCTGAGGCAGGAGAATTGCTTGAACCCAGGAGGCGGAAGTTGCAGTGAGCTAAGATCACACCACGGCACTCCAGCCTGGGTGACAGAGGGAGACTGTATCTCGGGGGAAAAAAAAAAGAAAAAAGAAAAAAGCCTAGTCTCCAGCAAGGAACACATCTGAATCAAATAATTACACAAAGGCAAAACTGCAACCACACAGCTCCTAAAAGAAATGTTAAAACAGAAATGGCACAATAACAAGTGACTGAGGAAGGATCTAATTTATAAAGATAGAAAGGTTTTTGTTTTGTTTCGTTTTGTTTTTTTGTTATGTTTTGTGTTTTGTTTTTGAGATGGAGTTTCGTTATTGTTGCCCAGGCTGGAGCGCAATGGCGCGATCTCAGCTCACCGCAACTGCCGCCTCCTGGGTTCAAGCAATTCTCCTGCCTCAGCCTCCCGAGTAGCTGGGATTACACACAACCGGCCAATTTTGTATTTTTAGTAGAGACAGGGTTTCTCCATGTTGGTTAGGCTGGTCTCAAATGGGTGATCTACCCGCCTTGGCCTCCCAAGGTGCAGGGATTACAGGCGTGAGCCACTACGCCCAGCCAAAGGTAGGAAGGTCTTTATGCCACCCCCAAACATTCTCTTGCCAGGGCGATCACTTGATGACGACAGCGATTCCTCACAGAGATACAACTGACAGCACATCTGCTTTGACTAGCATATTCGAGATAGACCCTATGATTATCTTCCTGGCATTTGAGGAGACTGAGATTCAATAATGTTTCTGGAGTTTGTACAGCTCATAGGAAGTTGAGAGATGTAACAACACACCTCCAGTGCACCTTCCATCCTGTCTCCTACTGCCTGCCCAACATACCCTACAACCTGGTCCTATATTTTCTGATGTGTGAAATGTGATGATAATGGTGAAATAATCCAGGAAAAGTGCTTAGCATAGGAGGGCTGGCATAGGACCCGCACTTGAATGGTGTTAGCCACTTTTATAACTATTCTAATTACCTCTCTGATTCTCTACTCTGATTTAACTATTATTTTTAACCCAAGCACCCATCCTCTCTTCTCCTTCTTCTCTTTTTTGAGGTAGGGTCTCACTCTGTTGCCCAGGCTGGAGTACAGTGGTACAATCATGGTTCACTGTAGCCCTGAACTCCTGGACTCAAGTGATCCTTCCTTCACACTTAATCCCTGTGATTTTGGTAGAACTGATACCAACTCCAGGACAGCACATGAGAATCCAACCTGAACAGTCTACTCCATCTTCCTGGCCACAGCGTGTACAACACTTAAGATGTACAACATGATATTCTGATATACATATACATAGTGAAATGATTAATATAGTCAAGCAAATTAACATATCCATCTCCTCACACAGTTACCTTAAATTTTTTTCCTCTAGTAAGAATACCTGAAATGTACTCTTATCAAATTTCCAGTACTATATCATTAAGTATAATCATCATATTGTACATCAGCTTTCTAGACTTAGTCATCCTATATAACTGCAACTTTATACCCTCTCACCTACATTTCCCCATTTCCTCCCCCGCCCCCGCCCCCACCACCATTCTACTCTGTTTTTTGTTGGTTTTTTTGGTGAGGATGCAGTCTCGCTCTGTTGCCCAGGCTGGAGTGCAGTGGTGCGATCTCAGTTCACTGCAACCTCCACCTCCCAGGTTCAAGCAAATCTCCTGCCTCAGCCTCCCAAGTAGCTGGGATTACAGGCATGCTGCCACCATGCCCGGCTAATTTTTGTATTTTTAGTAGAGATGGAGTTTCACCATGTTGCCCAGGCTGGTCTCGAACTCCTGACCTGAGGTGATCTGCCTGCTTCGACCTCCCAAAGTGCTGGGGTTACAGGCATGAGCTACCGCACCCACCCTACTCTGCTTTTATGTATTTGACTTTTTTAGATTTTGTATATAAGTGGGATCATGTAGTATTTTTTCTTTCTATGTCTAGCTTACTTCAGTTAGCACAAAGTCCAACAGGTTCATTCATGTTGTTGAAAATGGTAGAATCTTTTTTTTTTTTTTTTTTTTTTGAGACAGAGTCTTGCTCTGTCACCCAGGCTGGAGTGTAGTGGTGCAATCATAGCTCACTGCAGTCACTTGACCTCCCGGAATCAAGTCGTCCTCCCGCCTCAGCCTCCCAAGTAGCTAGGACTACAGGCGTGTGCCATCACACGTGGCTTATTTTGTAAAACATTTTTTTCTGTAGACACGGGGTCTCACTATGTTACCCAGGCTGGTCTCAAACTCCTGGGCTCAAGCAGTCCACCCACCTTGGCCTCCCAAAGTGCTGGGATTACAGGGGTAAGCCACTGCACCTGGCAGATAGATCTCCTTTTTAAGGCTGAATAATGTTCCGCTCTGTGTGTGTGTGTGTGTGTGTGTGTGTGTGTGTATCCATTTATCTACCAGTGGACACTTAGGTTGTTTTCAAGTCTTGGCTACTGTGAATAACGTACCTTAGTTGTATACAGTATCCTCACAGATATTGCAGTTTTGATTCCAGACCCCTACAATAAAGTGAATGTCCCAATAAAATGAGCCACACAAATGTTTTGATTTCCTGGTGAATATAAAACCTATGTTTACACTATACTGTAGTCTATTAAGTGTGGAAAAGCATTACATCAGATAAACAAAATGCTGATAAGTGTGGTGGCTGCAGAGGGTTGGGGTGGCAGGGACAATTTCTTAAAATAACAATGAAGTTTTTCAAATCAGTTGACTCTTCCTTTCACAAAAGATTTCTCCATAGCATGTGATACAGGGTGATAGCATTTTGTCCACAGTAGAACTTTCAAAATCTTCTCAAATCCTGCTGCTCCTTCATTAACTAAGTTTATGTAATATTCTAAATCCTATTGTCATTTCAACAACATTCACAGCATCTTTACCAAGAGTAGATTCCATCTCAAAAAAACACTTTTGGGCTGTGCAAGTGGCTCATGTCTGTAATCCCAGCAATCTGGGAGACCAAGGTGGGAGGACTGCTCTCTGAGCCCAGGAGTTAACACAGGGAAGACCCCAACTCTACAAAACAATTAAAAAATTAGCTGGGCATGGTGGTGCATGCCTGTAGTCCCAGCTACTTGGGAGCCTGAGGTGGGAGGATCACTTGAGCCTAGGAGGTTGAGGCTGCAGTGAGTTGTGATTGTGCCATTTGTACTTCAGCCAGAGTGACAGAGCAAGACCCTGTCTCAAAAAACAAAATGGTTGGGTGTCATGGCTCATACCTGTAATCCTAGCAATTTGGGAGGCTGAGGCACCCAGATCACTTGAGGTCAGGAGTTCCAGACAAGCCTGGCCAACATGGCAAAACCCATCTCCACAAAAATAGAAAAATTAGCTGGGTGTGGTGGCGTGCTCCTGTACTCCCAGCTACTCAGGAGGCTGAGGCAGGAGAATCGCTTGAATCCAGGAGTTGGAGGTTGCAGTGAGCTGAGATCACGCCACTGCACTCCAGCCTGGGAAACACAGTGAGACTGTCTCAAAAAAAACAAAAACAAAAGCAAAAACAAAACAAAACCAAACACTTATGGTTGGGAGCAGTGTCTCATGCCTGTAATCCCAGCACTTTGGGAGGCTGAGGTGGGAGGATCACTTGAGCCCAGGAGTTCAAGACCAGCCTGGGCAACATATCAAGTCCCCATCGCTACAGAGAAAAACATTTTTTTTTGAGACAGAGTCTTGCTGTGTCACCAGGCTGGAGTTCAGTGGTGCAACCTTGGCTCACGGCAACCTCCACCTCCCAGGCTCAAGCAATTCTCCTGCCTCGGCCTCCTGAGTAGCTGGGACTACAGGCACATGCCACCACGCCCGGCAAATTTTTTGTATTTTTAGTAAAGACAGGGTTTTACCGTGTTAGCCAGGATGGTCTTGATCTCCTTACCTTGTGATCTGCCTGCCTTGGCCTCCCAAAGTGTTGGTATTACAGGCGTGAGCCACCACACCCAGCCTACAGAAAAATTTAAAAAATTGGACAAGTGTGGTGGCACATGCTGTAGTCTCAGCTGCTTGGGAGGCCAAGGCAGGAGGATTACTTGAGCCCAGGAGCTAGGCTGCAATGAATTATGATTGTACCACTGCAGTCTAGTCTGGGGGAGTGAGAGCCCATCTCAAAAAAATAAAATGAAATAAAGAGAAGAATGAAATTACTCTTTGATCCATGGGCTGCAGAATAAATGTTGTGTTAGCAGGCATGAAAACATTAACTTCCTTGTATATCTCCATCAGAGCTCTTGGTTGTCCAGGTGCATTGTAATAAACTGTAATATTTGGAAAGGAATATTTTTTTTTCTGAGCAGTAGGTCTCAACAATGGGCTTAAAATATTCAGCAAACCATGCTGTAAACACATAGGTTGTCATCCAGTCTTTGTTGTTCAACTGATAGAGCACAGGCAGAATAAACATAATTCTTAAGGGCTTCAGGATTTTTCAGAATGGTAAATGAGAACTGGCTTCACCAACGGCATTCACCCCAACAAAAGAGTCAGCCTGCCCTTTAAGGCTTTGAAGCCAGGCATTGACTTCTCCTCTCTAGCTACAAAAGTCTTAGATGGCATCTTTCCCCAATAGCAGGCTGTTTTGTCTACATTGAAAATCTGTTCTTATTGTAGCCACTTTCATCAATGATCTTAGCTAGATCTTCTGGATAACATGCTGCAGTTTCTCCATCAGCACTTGAAGCTTCACCTTGCACTTTTATATTATGGAGATGGCTTTTCTCCTTAAACCTCATGAACCAACTTTTGTTACTTCCCAACATTTCTTCTGCACCTTCTTCACCTCTCTCAGCCTTCACAGAACTGAAGAGAGTTTGGGCCTTGCTCTGGATTAGGCTTTAGTTTAAGGGAATGTTGTGGCTGGTTTGATCTTCTATCCACACCACTCAAACTTGCCCCATATCAGCAAAAAGACTGTTTCACTTTTTTATCATTCATGTGTTCACTGGAGTAGCACTTTAAATTTCCTTCAAGAACTTTTCCTTTGAATTCACAATTTGGTTAAACATTTGGCACAAGAAACCTAGCTTTTGGCCTGTCTCAGGTTTTGACATGCCTTTCTCACTAAGCTTAATCATTTCTACCTTTTGATTTAAAGTGAGAGATGGGCCAAGGGGTGGTTCATGCCTGTAATCTCAGCACTTTGGGAGGCTGGGGTGGGTGGATCACAAGGTCAAGAGTTGGAGACCAACCTGGCCAACATGGTGAAACCCCATCTCTACTAATAATACAAAAATTAGCCAGGAGTGGTGGTGCACACCTGTAGTCCTAGCTACTCAGGAGGCTGAGGCAGGAGAATCGCTTGAACCTGGAAGGCAGAGGATGTAGTGAGCCAAGATCACGACACTGCACTCCAGCCTGGGCGACAGAGCGAGACTCCATCTCCAAAAATAAATAAATAAAGTGAGAGATGTGTGACTCTTCCTTTCACTTGAACACTTAGAGGTCATCGT
This sequence comes from Homo sapiens, assembly GCF_000001405.40. Taxonomy (NCBI): domain Eukaryota; kingdom Metazoa; phylum Chordata; class Mammalia; order Primates; family Hominidae; genus Homo; species Homo sapiens. The sequence goes on from NC_000016.10 coordinate 3,420,134, forward strand.
AGAGTTATTAAGTGGTCTAATGTCAATATTTTTGTGTCTCAGGGAAAAGGGAGGTCCAAGGAGAGGAAGAGCGATGGGAGTATGGCTGGTCAGTGGAACAGTATTGAAAGTTCCATGCAGGCTGGGTGCGGTGGCTCATGCCTGTAATCCCAGCACTTTGGGAGGCCAAGGTGGGCAGATCATGAGGTCAGGAGTTCGAGACCAGCCTGGACAATATGACAAAACCCCGTCTCTACTAAAAATACAAAAATTAGCCGGGCATGCTGGCATGCACCTGTAGTCCCAGCTACTCGGGAGGCTGAGGCAGGAGAATCGCTTGAACCGGGGAGGCAGAGGTTGCAGTGAACTGAGGTCCTACCACTGCACTGCAGCAGGGGTTGACAGAGTGAGACTCCATCAAAAAAAAGAAAGAAAGAAACACAGAAAGAGAGAGAGACGAAAGAAAGAGAGAGAGAGAGAGAGAGAGAAAGAAAGAAAGAAAGAAAGAAAGAAAGAAAGAAAGAAAGAAAGAAAGAAAGAAAGAAAGAAAGTTCCGTGCAGTATTTTCTGTTCCTGCCAGTAGTTTCTGGCCTCCAACTCCATCGATATTCCTGCAAAAGACATGATCTCATTCTTTTTTATGGCTGCACGGTATTTCATGGTGTATATGTACGTTTTCTTTATCCAGTCGTCACTGATGGGCCTTTGATTCCACGTCTTTGTTATTGTGAATGGTGCTGCTGTGAACATTCATGTGCATGTGTCTTTACAAGAGAATGATTTATATTTCTCTGGGTACATACCCAGTAATGGGATTGTGGGGTCAAACTGTAGTTCTCTTTTTAGCACTTTGAGGAATCGCCATACTGCTCTCCACAATGGTTGGGCGAAATTTATACTCCCACTAACAGTGTATAAGTGTTCCCTTTTCTCTGCAATCTTGCCAGCATATTTTTTGACTTTTTAATAACAGCCATTATCACTGGTGTGAGATGGTATCTCATTATGGTTTTGATTTGCATTTCTTTAATGATTAGTGATATTGAGCTTTTTTTCTTATGATTGTTGGTTGCATGTATGTCTTCTTTTGAAAATTGTCTGTTCATGTCCTTTGCCTACTTTTTAATGGGGTTGTTTTTCTCTTGCAAATTTGTTTACATTCCTTATAGATGCTGGATATTAGACCTTTGTCAGACGCATATTTGCAAATATTTTCTTCCATTCTGGAGGTTGTCTGTTTACTCTGTTGATAGTTTCTTTTGCTGTGCAGAGGAAGCTCTTTAGTTCAATTAGGTCCCATGTCTCAATTTTTGCTTTTGTTGCAATTGCTTTTGGAGTCTTTGTCATGAAATATTTTCGATCCTATGTCCAAGACGGTATTGCCTCGGTTGTCTTCTAGGGTTTTTATAGCTTTGGATTTTACATTTAAGTCTTTAATCCATCTTGAGTTGATTTTTGTATATGGTGTAAAGAAGGGGTCCAGTTTCAATCTTCTGCATATGGCTAGCCAATTATCCCAGCACCATTTATTGAACAGGGATTCCCTCCACCCACACACCATTGCTTGTTTTTGTCAGCTTTATTGAAGATCAGATGATCTTAGGAGTGTGGCCTTATTTCTGGTCTCTCTATTCTGTTCCATTGGCCTATGTGCCTGTTTTTGTACCAGTACCATGCTGTTTTGGTTACTGTAGCCCTGTAGGACAGTTTGAAGTCAGGTAATGTGATGCCTCCAACTTTGTTCTTTTTGCTTAGGATTGCCTTGGCTATTCAGGCTCTTTTTGGTTCCATGTGAATTTTTTTTTTTTTTTTTTGAGACAGAGTCTTGCTCTGTTGCCCAGGCTGGAGTGCAGTGGCGCAATCTTGGCTCACTGCAAGCTCCGCCTCTCGGGTTCATGCCATTCTTCTGCCTCAGCCTCATGTGTAGCTGGGACTACAGGCACCTGCCACCATGCCCAGCTAATTTTTTTTTTTTTGGTATTTTTAGTAAAGATGGGGTTTCGCCGTGTTAGCCAGGATGGTCTCAATCTCCTGATCTCGTAATCTGCCCATCTCGGCCTCCCAAAGTGCTGGGATTACAGGTGTGAGTCACCGCAGCCAGCTGGTTCCATGTGAATTTTAAAATAGTTTTTTATAATTCTATGAAGAATGTCATTGGTAGTTTGATAGGAATAGCATTGAATCTACAAATTGCTTTGGGCAATATGTCCATTTTAATGATATTTATTCTTCCAATCCATGAGCATGGGATGTTTTTCCATTTGTGTCATCTCTGATTTATTTCAGCTGTGTGCTGTAATTCTCATTGTAGGGATCTTTCACCTCCCTAGTTAGCTGTATTCCTAGGTATTTTATATACTTATTTATTTTTTTGAGATGGAATCTTGCTGGGATTACAGGTGTGAGCCTCCATGCACGGCTTGGTATTTTATTCTTTTTGTGGCAATTGTGAATGGGATTGCCTTCCTGATTTGACTCTCGGCTTGGCTGTTGTATGTGCATAGGAATGCCGGTAATTTTTGTACATTGACTTTGTATCCTGAAACTTTGCTGAAGTTGTTTATCAGCTGAAGGAACTTTTGGGCTGAGACAATGGGGTTTCCTAGATAGAAACATGTCATCTGCAAACAGGGAGAGTCTGACTTCTTTTCTTCCTATTTGGATGCCTTTTCTTTCTTTCTCTTGCCTCATTATTCTGGCCAGGACTTCCAATACTACGTTGAATAAAAGTGGTGAGAGAGGGCATTATTGACTTGTGCCAGTTTTCAAAGGGAATCCATCCTGCTTTTCCTCATTCAATGTGTTGGTTATTTTATGTTTTCTTTAGAAAAATGTCCATTCAAATTCATTGCCCATTTTTTAATTGGGCTATTTGGTTAATTTGTTTTTGAGTTGTGTGAGTTCCTCATATATTTGATGACTTTATCAGATATATTATTTGCAGGTATTTTCTTTTAATCCATAGTCTACCTTTTCATTTTGTTGACTGCCTCCTTTGCTTTGCAGCAGTTTTATAGCTTGATGTAATCCTACTTGTTTCTTGTGTCTTGCTTTGTTTTTTTTTTTGCCTCAGCTTTTGGTGTGATATTCAAAAAATCATTGCTGGCTGAGTGCAGTGGGTTACATTTGCAATCCCAGCACTTTGGGAGGCTGAGGCAGGCGGATCACCTGAGGTCAGGAGTTCGAGACCAGCCTGGCCAACATGGCAAAACCCCGTCTCTACTAAAAGTACAAAAATTAGCTGGGTATGGTGGTACACACTGTAATCCCAGCTACTTGGGAGGCTGAGGCAGGAGAATTGCTTGAGCCCGAGAGGTGGAGGTTGCAGTGAGTCAAGATAGCACCACTGCACTCCAGCTGGGTGAGACAGAGCAAGACTCTGTCTCAAAAACAAAAAACAAAAACAACAACAAACAAAACATAAAATAAAAAATAAGGAAAGATTTACTATTGATATTTTGTTACTTATTTCTGTTAGTCTTATAGTCCTTCTGTCCCTTTCTCTTGCTGTTTTCTTTTGTATTTCACTGTTTTTTTTTTTTTTTTTTTTTTGAGATGGAGTCTTGCTCTGTCACCCAGGCTGGAGGGCAATGGCACAATCTCGGCTCACTGCAACCTTCGCCTTCTGGTTCAAGCAATTCTCCTGCCTCAGCCTTCCAAGTAGCTGGGATTACAAGTGTGCAGCACCACACCTGGCTAATTTTTCTATTTTTAGTAGAGATGGGGTTTTGCCATGTTGGACAGGCTAGTCTCGAACTCCTGGCCTATGTTTTCATTATTTTCTCCTTTTCTTTAATTCTATAGGCATTTTCTTTGTAGTTACCAAGTGTTTACATAAAATCTCTTATAATAGTCTACTTTAAGCTGATAACAACTTAACTTCCCTTGCATGTCAGAACTTTGCTTTTATCTCTCTTCCCCTGGCTTATATGCTATTGATATCACCACTAACACCTATTTATATTGTACCAATTAACATAATATAGTTGTTTTACTACTTTTGTCTTTTAACTTTTATAAGAGAACTAAAATTGATTTACCCACTACTGTTATAGTAATACACTATTGGTTTTGACTATATATTTACCTTTGCCAATGAGTTTCATACTTCGTGTGCTCCTGTTACTGTTTTCCATACTTTTGTTTTAACCTTAAGAACTCTCTTTAGCATTTCTTATAAGGCAGGTCTAGTGGTGATAATCTCCCTCAGCTTTTGTTTGAGAAAGTCTTTATTTCCCTCTCATTTTTGAAGTATGGGTTTGTTGGATATAGCATTCTTGACTGGAAGTTTTTTTCTTTCAGCACTTTGTATCTATTGTCCCACTCCTTTCTGGCCCACAAGGTTTATGCTGGAAACTCTGTTAATAGTTTTATTAGGGGACCCTTGTACACAGAAGTTGCTTTTCCCTTGGCTGCTTTCAAAATTCTGTCTCTAACTTTTGACAATTTGATTGTAATGTATGTCAGTGTGGATCTCTTTGGATTCATCTTATTTTTTTTTTTTTTGAGACAGTCTCGCTCTGTCGCTCAGGCTGGAGTGCTATGGCATGATCTAGGCTCACTGCAACCTCCACCTCCCAGGTTCAAGCCATTCTCCTGCCTCAGCCTCCTGAGTAGCTGGCATTACAGGCACATGCCACCGCGCGCGGCTAATTTTTATATTTTTAGCAGAGACGGGGTTTCACCATGTTGGCCAGGCTGGTCTCGAACTCCTGACCTCAAGTGATCCACCTGCCTCGGCCTCCCAAAGGGCTGGGATTACAGGCATGAGCCACCGCACCTGGCAGGATTCATCTTATTTCATGTCCCTTGGACTTCTTGGGTCTTGATTTCTATTTCATTCCCCAGTTTTGGAAGGGTTTCAGCCACTGTTTGTTTGAATATGCTTTCTGTCCGTTTTGCTCTCTCTGCCTTCTGAAAATCCACTAATGCATACATTAGTCTACTCGATGGTGTCCCTTAAGTACCTTAATCTATCCTCACTCTTTCTTTTTTTCTCATTTTTGCCCCTCTGGTTGGATAATTTCCAATGGCTGGTCTTCAAATTCACTGACTCTTTTTTCTGCTTGACCTAGTCTGTGAGTGAAACCCTCTAGAGAATTTTTCAGATGAGTTATTATGTACTTCAGATCTATAACTTCTGTTTGGTATGTTTTTAAATTTTCTCCTTTTTCTGAGACAGGGTCTCACTCAGTCACCCAGGCTGGAGTGCAGTGGTGTGATAACAGCTCACTGCAGCCTTGGCATCCCAGGCTGAAGTGATCCTCCCACCTCAGCCCCCAGAGGAGCTGGGACCACAGGCGTATGCCACCATGCCAGGCTAATTTTTAATTTTTTGTAGACATGGGGTCTTACTATGTAAACCAGGCTGGTCTTGAACTCCTAACCTCAAGCAATCCTCCCACCTTGGCCTCCCAAAGTGCTGGGATGACAGTGTGAGCCACCATGCCAACCCTTGTTTTTGTATTTTCTCTTTGTTGAAAGTCTCGGTTTGTTCATACATTATACTCCTGACATCAGTGAGCATATTTATGATTATTTTTAATTCTCTTTTTTTTTTTTTGAGAGGACGTTTTGCTCTGTTGCCTAGGCTGGAGTGCAATGACACGATCTTGGTTCACTGCAACCTCCACCTCCCAGGTTCAAGCGATTCTCCTGTCTCAGCCTTCCGAGTAGCTGGGATTACAGGTGCCCGCCACCACGCCTGGCTGATTTCTGTATTTTTAGTAGAGATGAGGTTTCACCATGTTGGCCAGGCTAGTCTCGAACATCTGACCTCAGGTGATCCACCCGCCTCGGTCTCCCACAGTGCTAGGATTACAGGCATGAGCCACTGCACCCAGCCTATTTTTAATTCTCTAATAGGTAAAATCACTGATCTGTATTTCATTGGAATTGGTTTCTGGAGATTTCTTCATCTTTTGTTTGGAACGTATTTTCTATTTCTTGATTTTTTTGTTGACTGTGTTGATTTTCATGCATTAGATAAGACAACTCTCTTTCCAAGTCTTAATATCTGATTTTTCGTAGGAGATGAACCTCACCAATCAACCCAACCAGATTCTAGGCACCTCTCAAACTTTTGTGCTTGTACAAACTGCTGTCTTTGTTCTTAGTAGCCCCAAGAGATTGGGGTGCACCAAATGCCATCAGTGCCCCAAGACTGGTGATATTGAAGCCAGTTACTGAAATTTAGCTAGAAAAGTTGGGGTGTTATATGTGTTCCAGTTCCTTCTATCCTCAAGGAGAAGCTGGGAACTGGTGTTGATCTCCCACTTGCCCTGTACTAAGCTGGGGAGATAATCCCAAGCAAATGCCTGCATTCTCATTCAGACCACATACTCTTTCAACCCATTGCCTAATGTGTTGTTACCCCCAGGGGCCTAGTCAATTGCAGCTCCCATCTACTGTCCAGGACAGATGGATTGTTCAGAGGCTTGGCTCCATCTCTAGAGTGAGCCTGCAAAAGGAATTGCGGGAAGCAACTGCATGCCCATTCAGGCTCCCAGAGGACTACTTATTGCCTGCCCTGTCAGTGCCCAGATATAGGCTAGAGGCCTGACTCATGGACAGCGGCTGGGAAAGTTGGGACGTTAGGTGTGCAGTCAAACCCCTTCCTGGGGGTAAACTGGGAACTGGGTGTTTTTGTCTGCTCGCTTTGTACTGAGTTAGGGGAAACGGATGCTAGAACTGCTCAAACACTCTTTTAAAATCACTTTTCTTCTCTGTAGTCTAGGGGGACTTGTGAATGCAGTCTTATCAATTCCCAGAGACAGATGATTTAGGAGCTTAGAAGCTGGTCCCTTGGGTGGAAGCTGTAAAAGTTGGGGTACACTGTCCAGGAAGAAGCTAGAAGCCTAGTTTTTTTTTGTTTTGTTGTTTTATTTTTGAGACAGAGTCTCACTCTGTCACCCAGGCAGAAGTAGAGTGGCACAATCTCAGCTCACTGCCACCTCTGCCTCCTGAGTTCAAGCCATTCTCCTGCCTCAGCCTCCGGAGTAGCTGGGATTACAGGTGCACCTCCCTGACAACCCCCAACCATGCCCAGGTAACTTTTTGTATTTTTTAACAGAGAGAGGGTTTCACCATGTTGACCAGGCTGGTCTTGAACTCCTGACCTCCACTGATCCACCTGCCTTGGCCACCCAAAGTGCTGGGATTACAGGGGTGAGCCACCGTGCCTGGCCCCTAGTTTTATCTCTGAATGGAGTAGTGGCAGAGGGGAGAACGACAGTGAAGTTCCCACATGCCTGTTCATGCTCCTGGAGGTCTATTGTTTACCAGCCCTATCAGCTACTCGATGTAGGCTACTTAGAAGCCCAGCGTTCAGGCAGCAGTTGGGAAAAATGTGTAGATAAATCCCTTTTAGGGAGACTGTGGAACTGCTTTTTTAAATTCTTTTGTTTCTTTTCTTTTTTTTTAGAGACAGGGTCTCACTCTGCCACCTAGGCTGTAACGCAGTGGCTCCATCATAGCTCAGTGCAACCCTGAATCTTGGGCTCAAGCGATCATCCTGCCTCAGCATCCTGAGTAGCTAGGACTATAGGCATATGTCACCACACCTGGCTAATTAAAAAAAATTTTTTTTTGTTTTGGTAGAGGCAGGGTGTTTGTATGTTCCCCAGGCTGTTTTCAAACTCCTGGCCTCAAGTGATCCTCTGCCTCAGCATCTCAAAGCACTGGGATTACAGGCATGAGCCATGGTGCCCAGCAGATGGTGCATTTCTGCCTGCTTGCTCTGCACTGACCCTGGGGGACAGCCGCTGAAAGTGCTCACATACCTGTTTAAAATGTCCTCTTATGGCTGGGCATGGTGGCTCACACCTGTAATCCCAGCACTTTGGGAGGCTGAGGCGGGTGGATCACAAGATCAGGAGATCGAGACCATCCTAACACTGTGAAACCCCATCTCTACTAAAAATACAAAAAATTAGCCAGGCATGGTGGCAAGTGCCTGTAGTCCCAGCTACTCGAGAGGCTGAGGCAGGAGAATCGCTTGAACCCAGGAGGCAGAGGTTGCAGTGAGTTGAGATTGCGCCACTGCACTCCAACCTGGGCAACAGAGAGAGACTCTGTCTCAAAAAAAACAAACAAACAAAAAAAAAAAACCCCACAAAATTAGCTGGGCATGGTGGTGTGCGCCTGTAATCCCGCCTACTCTATAGCCTAAGGCAGGAGAATCGCTTGAGCCCAGGAGGCGGAAGTTGCAGTAAGCCAATATTGTGCCATTGCACTACAACCTGGGTGAAAAAAGCAAAACTCTGTCTCTAAATAAATAAATAAATAAATAAATAAATAAAATGTCCTTTTTTCTCAGGGGACTCACAAATACTAAACCCTGCCATTCCCGGGATAAGAAGATTTAGGAGCCAAACTCTCACGTGGAAACTGTTTAAGTTTGGGAGCGATATGTCTGGCCTCAACCCTTCATTCTTCAAAAATCTGGTATTTCGGGATTCCTTCCCAATTGTAAGATACTGTGCCCAGGTTTTTGGTTTACATTGTGTCTCAATTTGTTGGTATCCATTTTGATGTGGATATATTATCAGTTGCCAGTGTGTGGGAGTCTCAACTAGTTTCTATATTTCTCTCAGAGAGAACTGATCCATGTGTAGATACTTATTCAGTGCATCCATGGAAGGAAAGAAAGTCAGGAGTCTCCCATTCTGTATCTTGTTGATGCCCAATCAGTGAAATGAAACTTTTTTTTTGGGCAGGGAGGGAGTTCTCATTCTGTCACCCAGGGTGAGTACGGTGGAACAATCACAGCTCACTACAGCCTCCACCCAGGCTCAAGTGATCCTATCACCTTAGCCTCCTGAGTAGCTGGGACTACAGGCATGTGCCACTACGCCCGGCTTTTTTTTTTTTTTTTTCAGACAGAGTCTCCCTTTGTCCCCCAGGCTGGAGTGCAGTGGCGCGATCTTGGCTCACTGCAACCTCCACCTCCTGGGTTCAAGCAATTCTCCTGTGTCAGCCTCCCAAGTAGCTGGGACTACAGGTGCGTGCCACCATGACCAGCTATTTTTGTTTTGTATTTTTAGTAGAGATGGGGTTTCACCATGTTGGCCAGGATGGTCTCAATCTCTTGACCCCGTGATCTGCCTGCCTTGGTCTCCCAAAGGGCTGGGATTACAGGCGTGAGCCACTGTGCCCGGCCTAATTTTTAAATTTTTGGTAGAGATGGGTCTTATTATGTTGCCCAGGCTGGTCTGGAACTTCTGGCCTCAAGTAATCCTCCTGCCTTGACCTCCCAAAGTGCTGGGATTACAGGTGTGAGCCACTGCACCGGCCATCTTTGCTAAATTATTACCTTCAAGCCTATAAGGTATCATTATATATTTATCCTGGAAGCTTTCTTAGTTTTTTTCTAAACTCCTTACAGCTTCTTTGGGTACACTGTTACACCTCTTGCCTACTAGTAAGTGACAGCACCAGTATCTATTCTCCTTTCTTTTTTTTTTTTTTTTTGACAAAGTCTCACTCTGTTGCCCAGGCTGGAGTGCAGTGGCACAATCTCGGCTCACTGCAACTTCCGCCTCCTGGGTTCAAGCGATTCTCCTGCCTCAGCCTCCCAACTAGCTGCGACTACAGATGCGCACCACCATGCCCGGCTAATTTTTGTATTTTTTTTAGTAGAGATGGGGTTTCACCATATTGGCCAGGCTGGTCTCGAACTCCTGACCTCGTAATCTGCCCACCTCGGCCTCCCAAAGTGCTGGGATCACAGGCATGAGCCACTGCACCCGGCCCTCTGTCAGTCTTTAAGCTGAAACCAATGGTATAAAAGTGACAGAGCCGTAGTAGTTTCAATCAGTGCATAATTTTAAGCATCTACCATGTTCCTGGTCTCTCCTCCCATGGAGACAATGAAATTTTATTAGTTACATAATTAATATTCAATTACAAGCATATTGCTATAAGGAGGGTAAAACAAAGAATGTAGGAATTGAAAGGGATGTTCCAAGTAAAAGGAAAAGTATGTGCACAATTCTCAAAGAGCTTGGTATGTTTGATGAATTGAGAGAAAGTGTAGCTGGAGAGGGGTAAGAGAAAAAGAACAGCTGGAGTTGACACTGGCAGGGAAGTAATGACTAGGAAGGTCATGTTGAAAATTTAAATGTCCCTAAGGACAATGGGAAGCCAATGGAAGGTGTCAAATTGGATGATGAAATCATCATAATCATCTGGTACCTGGCCCTCTAGTTCTGTGCAGCAAAGACTGGAAAGATGAACATCTAGTGTTGTCTTCCCGCAATAATGCTGGAATTTTCTGCTGAGTTTCAGGGAGCAAACATTTTTTAATACTTCTTTTATTAAATGGCAGTGTGTTAGCTGTGTTGACAGAGAACAAGTGTGATATGAAAGTCATCAGCGGGCTCTTTCAGGTAACCCAGGTGAGTACTGTTGGATAGGATGGGGACAGGGGAGACAGAAACATTCAGGTTTTGGTGATACTTTTGAGGTAGAATCCATGAGACTTGATGATTGAGTGGATGTGATGTCTTAGTCTGTTCTGGCTTCTATAAAAAGTTACCATAAGCCAGGTAGTTTATAAACAACAGAAATTTTTTTCTCATAGTTCTAGAGGCTAGGAAACCCAGATCAAGGTGCTGGCAGATTCATTGTCTGGTGAGGGCCATTTCCACAATGGCACCTTCTTGCTGGGTCCTCACAGGCTCGAGTACAGTGGGCCAATCATAGTTCACTGTAACCTCAACTTCCTGGGCTCAAGCAATCCTCCTGCCTCAGCCTCCCAAGTAGCTAGGACTACAAGCACCAGCCACCACACCGGGCTAAATAAATTTTTTGAAAAGATGGCGTGTCGCTATGTTTCCCAGGCCGGTCTTGAACTCCTGGCTTTAAGCAATTCTCACACCTTGGCCTCCCAAAGCACTGGGATTACAGACGTAAGCCACCACACCCGGCCTGCAGTCTCTTTTATAAGGACACTAATCCCAATCATGAGGGGTCTGCCAAAGTCCCCACCTCCTAATAACATCAGTTTAAGTGTTAGAATTCCAACACATGAATTTTTAGGGTACACAAATATTCAAGCCATAGCAAGAGGAAAGAGGGAGTGTTTGTTGATAGCATGAGCAATTGTATGGATGTGGCCCCACATACTGGAGGCAAACAGATCAGGGGCTAAAAGCATGAGTTAAGGGCATGTGTTTTGATGCCTGAGAGACATCTAAAAGACGACTCCTGTAGGCACCTGAATGTAGGAATCTGGAGTACATAGAAAAGAAATTGGAGCTAGACCTAAAATGAGGTCTTTGTAGCCATGGAAGTGGCTAAGCTCACCTGGGGAGATACCATTTACCAAAGGTAAGCCGAGGGTACATTCCAGCTAAGTAGAAGCATGTTAGAATTTGGCTGCAGAGAATGCCAAAAGCCTAAGAGATTGGTACTGGTTCTAAAGAAAAGACACTCTACCCAGCACAAGTGAGATGTACAAAGTGCCCATTTCAACAAGCCAGAGACACACGTGGTAGTCAGGCCCACAGCTCTGCATTGCCTAAGTGAGATTAGAGCTGGGACGGTGGCCCGGAGCTGCTTCTCCAGTCCTAACGCCTAGAATCATGGGATGGAGATTCGTGTTAGTGCCCGACAGTCACACCCATGATACCCTCCTGCTGATGCGGAGGAAGAGACCTGAGGAGTTCCTCCGCAAACACTCTTACCCGTACTGCTAGATTTACACGGAGATCACCTAGCGATATGCAGTGGATATGGCCAGGCACATGGCCAAACCCCACCACTGGATCTCCACCGTTCACCACAGTCCACTTGCCCCAGGAATGCGCAGGCGCTACCGGAAGCGGGCACCGGAAGTGGCTCGGCTCGTGGCTTCCGGTTCCTCACCAGTGTGCCGCTGTAGCGCAAGTCATCTCGTTGACACTTCCGCTGACCCGTGCAGTTGGTGGCCAAGCTGGAGACCCAGGATCTCCCTGAGGCCGCGCGAGGTCTTCTGGGAGTCCTACTCACCACATCCGCTACTCGGAATCCAAGCTTTAAGTGGCAACCCGTGCCAGGCAGTAGCTGCTCCGTGAAGACAGAGGTCCTTGCCCCTGTACTTCTGTGTACAGCAAAGACGAAAGGAAATTGAGGTCTAGCGCTAGCTTCCCAGAATGACCCAGAATTTTCTGCTGAGTTCCAGGGAGCAAGCGATTTTACTTCCCTTATTAAGTAGCACGAAGTCCTTCACTCTCTGTCTCTAAACCAGAATCCTAACAGTCTTCAAAATTAACCTGATTGCCACCTAAAACCACGTATTTTTTTTAAAAAGTTCACTTCATTGCCATCATCATAAAATAGCATTTAATAGAAGCCAAATTGCACATTAGACGTAATCAATAACTTCAGAGCTTGCAAACTAGAGTGAAGACTGATGAGAATACGTCAAAAAGAGTAAGACCCAAAACATTGAATAAACAGTATAAGTGTATACAATAAATAGAATTCTGAGGTATCCAAAGGAACTGGAGATTACAGCACATTCTTACGTTTACACAGAAGAATATTTATATTGTATTCCCCCCCTACAGACTTAATGCAAAGAGGACTGTCAATTTTAAAAGACAAAACACCTGTACTACTTAGATGGGCCTTGGAAAGATGGGTAATGGTTATCTTTGAATCAGATCAATAGCTCTTCTAAATTACAAAACTAAACCAGATGAATACATACACTTCTAATGTAATGAACATCATTTTGTTAAACAGATGGTCAAAGCAAATACACTTTCCTACTAAAATCCCACAGGGATAACAAGTTTAATGAACATTCAAAATAGACTATTCATATAAACTATAACCTGCTATGTCTCCCTTTGTACACATAGGCAGTAAATTGCAGATTACTTTGATCAAACTCTGCAGTTTCAGATTGTATGACATCTTATGCTGCAGTCACTAGAACATTGCCACTTAATTATATGGAAACTCAGGAGGCAAAGACTCAAAATGGCATTTGCTGTGAAATGTCATTTGAGTTTTAACTCCCTGAATTATTGGGTTAGTCATTTTCTATGTTAAATGAGGAGGTGTCAATAGACTACCACCTGTAGCAACAAAGCTCTAAATAAAACTATTCTGAGTCGACCTCATTCAAAACAACTACATTCCACAATTTCTTAAATTATAAAATGTAAACTGCTGACATCTGAATTCCATTGGAAAAATGCTGTTTTCATCAATGACGACTGTTTAAAAGACTGTTTAACTATTCCAGCAATCATGTTAAGGAACTGTTGGATATACATTTTCATCACTGCATCAACGACAAAAACGGAGAAATTTGTCTGAGTCAATTTATTCAGCACAAAGTTTTCACTCTCATAGTGTGTTGATTTCCATGCTGCAAAATGCAGTTAACCAATCATTCATAGCAATAAACTCTTGCATTTAGTTTTTCATTCCCATATTAACTTTTATCCAGTATTTGTGAATAGCACCTAACATGGAAGGCTAGTATCTGAGTTAATGACAATTTTATGGAATTTATCTCCATCAGTTGACACTGTAAACAGAAGGGTGAAATGCCATCATCATAAAAAGCCTGAAGCTCACCAGCAGATATATCTTTTCCTTCAATTCCCTGGGGGTAAAGCAGCTTGAATTACATCTAGCAAATGTATTTAAGTACAACTGCACAATAAGCACAACTGAAAATATGCCTCTTTCACAGTAACTGACACTTCCGGGGTTTTCATTTTTTTCTGCATACTAATCATTAACAGTATTATACCAAAAAGCCATTTTAGTTCTACCCACACGTATGTTAATGTTTCTGAAAAGGGCTATTTTTTCTAATCTTTTAGGAAGTTTGTCGTAATCTTCCAAAATCTGGAGAAAACTGCAAAAAAAAAAATTAGAGGTTAATTGTGAAGGAAGACTCGTGTGGAAAGGCAAACTTCCATATTAAGGTGCAGAACAGGATGTATGGCACAAATTCTCACTTTCTGCTATATTTTCTAGGAGCCAAAACAAAAATGACAGCATACATCTTTTATATCACCCCCATTCTGTCCAAGTGCCTTCTAAGATATTCCCCTCTACTTCTTTCTGCAGCAACTCTGCTAATCCAGACCTTTCCCAATTTCATCCCCCATCCTGTGACTCATTAGATCTTTGACTGAACTCTTAGGGCCCCTGATATGTGCTGATGAGGCTCCTGCCAGTTTCTCCCACTGAGGGCAGAAGCAGGAGAGCAAGGAGGTGGTGTTCTTGTTATTTAACAAAGGTCATGGTATCTCAGAGTTGCCTAATAAGTAATCTAACTGGAGACTATCTTTCTACACATTTCAAAGCACCTCAGAGAAACCTGGAAGCTGGTGTCCTGTCTCCTAAGAGTGGAGACATCAGAAACAAACAGCCAAAGTCTGACCTTGACATACAGAGCAGCACATTGTCTCAACTGTGGATCTGCAAACAAGAAACAAGACAAGAATGACAAAGAGAGAGAAACTCTCTCTGGGTTAGGGATGTTTTTGTTAGTTTCAGTTTTTCTCTCACCTGAACAGTATCTTCCTGCCTCTACTCAGTAATAAGAGCTTAGCTGAGTAGCCAGCATTTTTTGTATATTTAGTCCTCAATCTGCTGTTCTGTAGGACCACCTTCTGCTACCTTCCATATAATTAGTCCTCAAGAGTCCTTTATCTTTTCTCCCAGCAAAAATTCCCAGCAACAATTCAATTTTAGCAAATATTGTACTTTTATACTGTCTATTTAAATAGAATGAGAGCATTCTTCCATCCTAATCAAAACCCATGTAAATATTGTTTTGCTGATAGGCATACAATCGACTTTAATGAGAAATTGTATATGAATCTATATTTACAACATTCTGTGGTTCTTTAACATTAATAACCATACCATTTAATAATATTTTGCTCCAGTATTTATCTATAATAGCAATATCTAAAGATCTATATATTATCAAGTATTTTGGTTAAAATCTAACAATTTTCTATATGCATTTTCTTTGGAGATGGAGAGGAAATGTTATGGGTGTTTTTTAAAAAACCAAAACCCAGTTAAGACCTTCAGTATTGTACTCTGCCAAGTGTGAAATCTCTCATCTGATTAGAGGGACAAGAATTCAAACCTGAAGTCCTGGAGAGTCTTCTGCTGCTTTGTAACTGTATATGTTAGTCAGGCTTTGGGTACAGCACAAAGGGAATGAAGGGGTTCCAGGATGCAAGCACACAGAATCGCCTCCATGAGGACCACCCTCACCTATCTCAGCTCCCCTTTCCCTGGCTGCCTGCAGTGCTACTACGTGGTGCAAATGCCAACAAATGCCGCAGTCTTGCAGACTGCATGGCCTTTGGAGTCAGAGAAACCCAAGCTTAATGTCAGTTTCACCACAATGTGATTTGTGTGCTGGGCAAAGAACTGACTTTACCCTCTGAGGACTTCAGTTTCCTCGTTTATGAAACAAAGATTTTTTTTCTCTGTCACAGATTCTGAAGATTAAATTACATAATATATCTAAAGTAGCTAGCATGCTCACTGAGAAACAATTACAATTATTCATAGTAAGACAGGTAATGTGCTTCAGTAGCAATTTGGAGGCAAATCTTAGAAAAGAGCAAGTACTTCTCCCCCTCCCCAAGTCAAGTCCAGCCTCCAGAAAAGGGCTGCAGTTAGACTTCCAAAACTCCTTGCAAACAATTGGGTCCTAAATGCCAGTATGTGCCCCTGGCATCAGAACCATGACAGAGAACTCCGGATACTAATGGCCATCAAAATATAAACTAGTCTACCCATTTGGGAACTTTTACAGGGCAGAAAAAAACTTCTGAACGCCTGTGGGAATTCACATGTAGAACAGCAATCTTATACAAGTATTACATTCAAATAGTTATAGCAAAAAAAAGTATAAAACATATAAAAGCATTTACTTTCCTAGATATGTCTGCAGAACTGGCAAAATATAAATAAATTCTCCTCCTTCTAAAAGTCAGAAACTACGTAAACAAAATTAAAATAACTTTAGCAAGAGCCTTCATTTTAATGAAAATTGAATTTAAACAAAAGTTGTGTATCTTCTTCTGGCTCACAGTTGTACAGTAACTGAGTTCAAATCCTGGGTTCATTCACTAGTTTAGTGACACGGATTTTGCATCCCTACTTATAAAATGGAAATGATACTGCCTAAATCACGGTTGTGCTGAGAATTAAGTATTACATGGGAATGTGTGTAAAGTGCTTAGCACATTGCCTGGGACATATACAGTAACTGCTTCCCACCATACAGATACTGAAAAGCCCAATCACTAATAACAATTTGTTATATTTACTTTACGTGGTGTTTTTTATGTGAGTTCGCTTATGAGTAATGAGATGCAAATTCGACTTGAAAGTTTTCCCACACACGGTACATTTAAAAGGTTCCGCTAGCATGTGGCTCTTCTGGTGGCATGCAAGTTCTGAGTCCAAAGCAAAACTTTCCTCGCATGTTTTGCACTTATGGGGCCTTTCCTCTGTATGAATGTTCTGATGGGAAATAAGCTCAGAGAAACAAGGAAAGGTCATGTCACAGTCAGGACACTGTAAGGGCTTGAATTTTGAGAATGAGAAGAAATTGTCCCCATCATCGCTGCAGCGTTCAGAGTCCTCGTCGTGGCTCTTCTCGGAAAGGGCAGGATATAAGGACTGCCTGAAGCTCTTCATGCACTTAGTGTGCTGGTACTGGGGGCCTGATACGAATGTTTCCTCAGGCAAAGCAAGATTTGGTTTCTCATTAAAATGTTTATCACAGTTAGTAGATTCGTAGGTGTTTTCAGCACTGTGGCTTTTCTGATGCTGTGCCAATCCTGGGAGCCACATAAAACCTCTACCACATATGCTACATGTATAGGGCTTCTCCTTTACGTGGCTATTCATGTGTCGGGATAGATGAGAGTGCTGGCGAAAGCTGGCACTGCACTTGGCACACTTATAAGGTTTCTCACCAGTATGGATTCTCCTGTGTGTCCTCAGGTTGGCTCTATGATTGAAGATCTTTCCACAGTCACCACATTTATGTTTTTTCTCTCCTGAATGAATTTTCTGATGCAAAACTAGGTATGAATGATCGCTGAAGTTTTGGTCACACTCAGGACATTTGTACACATTTTTGGCTCCTTCCCAGGGAGAATCAAGAATTTCAGAAAGTGTGTTGGTTCCTAAATATTCAGAGAGTTCTACTAATGGGGTGTGGTTTTCAATGGTAACTAAAAGGCTGATGACCCTTCTCTTGTAAGTGGGAGTTCCACTTAATATTTTCGCTTCAGGGTTTCCAACTCCATCCTCAGAGGATTTTTCTGGGTAAGGGACAAGGGGTGCAGCAATGGGGTACTTTTCTAAGGCAAGCTCGTCAAGTTCCATAGACTCTAGGCTTAACTGCTGATTAATCTCAGGCTTGCCTTCCTCTCCTGTTGATAAAAACAAAAGAAAGCAAAACATAGACAATATCTTCAAGGGATACTGGGGAAAAAGTAAGCTAAGGTAGTTACAAACAGGACCAGGAAACCTTAGAAGGGTTATTCTATAACCCAGACACTAACCACACAAAATCAGGACCAAGCAGACTCTCCTGGCCTCCCAGAAGATCCAGTTTTGGGTGAATATCCAAAGGTAAGGAGAGAATAGCTATAACTAAGTCAGAGTCCAGTGGGATAGGTACTAAGGACAATCTCAGTAGCAGCTATCTAGAGGTGAACTTTTCCATCTAATCTATTTAGGCCTCAAGAGCCTTTCATTTTTGAAGCTATCTCAAGTGACAGCAGAACAATTAACAATTGGAAAAAAGATTAGGATTCATATTTATCAACAAAGAGAGGGGTTGGGCAGTGTCTCACGTCTGTAATCTCAGCACTTTGGGAAGCTGAGGTGGGAGCATCACTTGAGGCTAGGAGTTTGAGACCAGTCTGGGCAACACAGTGAGACCCCATCTGTACAAAAAATAATTTTTAAAAATTAGCCAGGCATGGTGGCACATGCCTATAGTCCTAGATACTCAGGAGGCTGAGACAGGAGGATCACTTGAGCTCAGGAGTTTGAGATGTGCCATTGCACTCCAGCCTAGGTGACAGAGCCAGAACTTGTTTCTTAAAAAAAAAAAAAAAAGATGACAGCAAGAATGAGTGGGAAAGAAAATAATTTTTAAAAAGAGGCTGGGCACGGTGGCTCACACCTGTGATCCCAGCACTTTGGGAGGCCGAGGCGGGTGGATCACGAGATCAGGAGATCAAGACCATCCTGGCTAACACGGTGAAACCCCATCTCTACTAAAAAAAAATACAGAAAATTAGCTGGGCGTGGTGGCCTGCGCCTGTCGTCCCAGCTACTCGGGAGGCTGAGGCAGGAGAATGGCGTGAACCCAGGAGGCGGAGCTTGCAGTGAGCCGAGATCGCGCCACTGCACTCCAGCCTGGGCGACAGAGCAAGACTCTGTCTCAAAAAAAAATAATAATAATAATTAAAAAAGAAAAAAGAAAAAAAAGCAATCAAGTGAGCATTTTTCTTCCATAACAAAGAAACACACGGGTTATCAGAAATAGTTTTATTATCACCAGGAGAACTCTCCAAAATCTCTTTACTCCTCACTGAGGAAAGATCAAGGTAGAAGGCTGTGTGTACTGCATGAAAATAACAGCCAATCTACTTACAAGAATGGCTGACAAAACTAACATTCCTGTGTAATATTTTCCAAGTATTCTTCAGTTATAAAGCAAATATATCAATACAAAAGGAACTTTTCTTTCCAGAGAAACAAAGTTCTACAGTTTTCCCAACTCACTGACTAGAAAGGGCTGCAGTATAGTTCATGGGAATCCAAACAGTACCAAGTGGTTTTGCTGATTTGAGGGGACTGAGTTCAGAGATCAGGGATGCCAAGGCAGCTAGAATTTGAAAGCAAAACAGCAAAGAGGCAGCTGTTCAGAAAGAGAGCTCAGGTCATCTACATGGGGTCCCCTTAAGACTTTCCTGAGGCTAGGTACAGTGGCTCAAACCTGTAATCCCAGCACATTGGGAGGCTGAGGTGGGAGAATTGCTTGAGCCACGGAGCTCGAGACCAGCCTGGGCAACATGGCAAAGCCCCATCCCTACAAAAAAAAAACAACAAAAAAAGACAAGCATGGTAGTGCATGCCTGTAGTCCCAGCTACTTGGGAGGCTGAGGTGGGAGGACTGCTTGAGCCTGGGAGGTCAGGGCTGCAGTGAGCCGTGATTGTGCCACTGCACTCCAGCCTGGGTGACAGATCAAGATACTGTATCAAAAAAAAAATAACCCCACAACTTTGGCTGAGTAGTAATCTACAAGTGCATGAAGAAACTACCCAATGCCGTGGAAAGAACCACCTAAAAGGAATAACAGAGCAATAACCAGTTCATGTTGCCTCCAGCCAAAGTGGAAAGACATAAGACATTGAGCAGCAACGTCCACAGAAAAAAACTGCCTTAGCAGTAACTCAAATAAGTCCTAGCAGAAAGGTTGATCTGAACCTATCCTAACAAAGCAAAAAAAAAAAGCACACCTTGAAACAGTCAAACTGACTCCAAGTAACTTAACTGCCTCCCACAACAAAGTCCAAAATATTTTTAAAAATACAACGAAATCCCGGGTCCAACAACATAAAATTCTTAATCTAACATCCGACCAAAATTTACCCAGGAAGTAAAGAAAATATAGAAAATATAACCCATAACTAGAAGACAAATCAATCAATAGAAACAGACCCAGAAATGACATCAATGTTAAAACTAGCAAGAAAAAAAAGTTTAAATAACCATTATAAATATACTCCATACATTTACGCAGACAGAAGACAACATGAACATGATGAAGAGAGAAGTGGAAGAAACAAAATATGAGTTATTCAGAATAACTAGTTACTCTAGTTATTTTTTTCTGACTAGGATTGAGTATCTCAACTATTCCAAACTATTTAGAATAACTACTTAGAATAGATAGTTTAGATACTCAATCCTAGTCAGAAATAAAATCTAGTCAGGCACAGGAGTCCATCTGTGTATGGTTCCCCTTAGGTGAGTAAGGCATAGCACCCCTTAAGAGTAAATCAATCTCCAGTCTTTAGCAAATGATAGTGATCGATACTAATGGGATTTCCCAAGTAAAATTGTAAACTGCAACAAATGTTTGTGAAAGATTACCAAATACTGCCATCTCTTGTACTAAACCACAGGCACTGTACTAGACTGAATTTTTGTCTTTAAGAGATCATCTCGGCCGGGCTCAGTGGCTCATGCCTGTAATCCCAGCACTTTGGGAGGCCGAGGCGGGTGATCACAAGGTCAGGAGATTGAGACCATCCTGGCTAACACGGTGAAACCCTGTCTCTACTAAAAATACAAAAAATTAGCTGGGCATGGTGGCAGGCGGCTGTAGTCCCAGCTACTCGGGAGGCTGAGGCAGGAGAATGGCGTGAACCTGGGAGGCGCGGTTTGCAGTGAGCAGAGATCGTGCCACTGCACTCCAGCCTGGGCAACAGAGCGAGAGTCTGTCTCAAAAAAAAAAAATCATCTCATATTTTAAAACTTTTTCTCTCACACAATTATCACCTCCACATAAATTACTGAGGGACAGGTCCCACTCCACCATACCAACATCTGGATAAAGCATGAAGTTCTCCTCCTAGAATTGACAAAAGTTCCAGATGCAGGAAAAACAATTGCCTTACCCATCAAAGCCGCATCCTCCAAAGACTCTTTTGTACCATCTTTGCTGAGGGACCTCTGGGCAGGGTGCAGAGTCACGCACTCCTCTTGAGAAAAATACACAGCCAGATCCTCAAAGAGTATTGGTCCCTGAAACACAAGAGCCTGTGTCAGCACAAGAGGGTGGAGGGTCAGCCCCTCACTTAACCTAGGAAGGATGAAAAGAGCTAGAAACATCAGATGCACGGGATAAAAGGCTCGGTGTAAAAGGTTCTTGAGCGCAGAAGTAGGGCAAATGGGTTCTAAGGGGTGGGGTGAGGGTTGGGAAGAAGAGAGTAAACATGGACATACATTTTTAGGCAGTGGTACAAGGACGGTGGACTGTGAGAATTATTGTCTATCTTGAAAGAGAAAAGATGAGGGAATGGCTCTTAGGGAGGCAACCATTAAGTGAGGATGCTCTAAGAAAAGGAGAGGTTTGGGGCCGGGTGTGGTGGCTCATGCCTGTAATCCCAACACTTTGGGAGTCTGAGGGGGATGCAGATGACTTGAGGTCAGGTGTTCGAGACCAGCCTGGCCAATATGGTGAAACCCTGTCTCTACTAAAATTACAAAAATTAAGGCTGGGCACAGTGGCTCACGCCTGTAACCCCAGCACTTTGGAAGGTGGAGGCGAGTGGATCACCTGAGGTCAGGAGTTCAAGACCAGCCTGACCAACATGGTGAAATTCTGTCTGCACTAAATACAAAAAATTAGCCAGGTGTGGTGGCGCATGCCTATAATCCCAGCTACTTGGGAGGCTGAGGCAGGAGAATCATTTGAACCTAGGAGAAAGAGGTTGCAGTAAGCCGAGATTGCACCATTGCACTCCAGCCTGGGCAACAAGAGTAAAACTCCGTCTCAAGCAGAGCTTGCAGTGAGCTGAGATCGTGCCACTGCACTCCAGCCTGGGCAACAGAGCGACACTCCATCTCAAAAACAAAAACAAAAACAAAACAACAACAAAAAAAACTCTGTCTCAAAAAATAAATTAAAATAAAATGAAATTAGCCAGATGTGGTGGCATGCGCCTGTAGTCCCAGCTACTTGGGAGGCTGGGCCAGGAGAATCGTTTGAATCCAGGAGGCAGAGATTGCAGTGAGCCGAGATCGCGCCATTGCACTCCAGCCTAGGCGTCGCAGCGAGACTGTCTCAAAAAAAAAAAAAAAAAGAAAAGAAAAGGAGAAAGTTGGGCAGCCCAGGAAGAATCATAAAGAGATAAAGGTTACAGGATTCTCCCAACATCCTTCCCTTTGCTATTTCCTCTCGTCCCCATGACACTCATTGCTAAGCTCACTCCAGCACTTCATCCAGGCCTACCCCACCTTCTCTAACGGTGTGATAAATTAATCACTTGGGATTTATTATTACTCAACGAGTGTGGAGTCTAGAAATGTGCTTAATTTAAAAATTCATTCAAATTGGAGAAGTACCAAATCTGTAATTTTGGGAACCATTCCAGAAAGTCACTTTTAATCCTAGCACTTTGGGGAGCCGAGGTGGGAGGATAGCTGAAGGCCAGGAGTTCCTTGGCAAAGCAGCAAGACTCCATCTCCATAAAGAAGTTTTAGGCCGGGCGCAGTGGCTCACACCTGTAATTCCAGCACTTTGGGAGACCGAGGCGGGCGGATCACAAGGTCAGGAGATTGAGACCATCCTGGCTAACACGGTGAAACCCCGTCTCTACTAAAAATACAAAAAATTAGCAGGGCGTGGCGGCAGGCGCCTGTAGTCCCATCTACTCGGGAGGCTGAGGCAGGAGAATGGCATGAACCCGGGAGGCGGAGCTTGCAGTGAGCCGAGATCGCGCCACTGCACTCCAGCCTGGGCGACAGAGCGAGACTCTGTATCAAAAAAAAAAAAAAAAGAACTTTTAAAAGTAGCCAGACACTGTGGTATGCGCGCCTCTCAGATACTCGAGAGGCTGAGGCGTAAGGATTCCCTGAGTTCCAGACGGAGCTATGATATCAGCACTGCACTCCAGCCAGACAAGCAACACTCCAGCGACAAGGCCAGACCCTATCTCCAAACAAAACAAAACAAACAGATAAGACATTGAGAAACTCTCTCAGAGATTCCTCCACAGGTCCCTGCTCCCAGTTGGTAGTTCTGAAAGAAGGAAGTTGGTAAACCATTATGTGTGTGGTCTTGGAACGAAGAACACTTGGTCAAAGGGCTATTTGGGGCTCAGGAGCACTCCTACCACAACAGGCATGCCCAACTCTCCTCCAAAGGAGGGGGTCAGGCAGAGACCGAAAGCAGCAATAAACTTGGACGAAAAAGGTACCTCGACTCACCTGGGCCTCGGGCGTCGGGGGCATGGACGCCATTTGGCGGGTGGGGAATGCCTTCTTCAAGACGCCACAGGGACTTCGTGACAAAGCTGCGGGGGGAGAGAACAGTTCTTAAAGGGACCAATTCCGCTGCCAAGTTCCTCCACTACCCCTAGCCTCCCTCGATTCCCTCCGAACCCCCCCTTAAAAACCTACGCCGACTGCTCCTCCTCTTGGCCCGGCCTCGAAAGGGGCCCACTTACCGCTCCGCGGTTAATAACAGGCCTCGCGCTCCCTGACAGGAGCTGCAGAAAGCGACGCCCGACCGAGACGCGACGAAGAACGCCACGGCCACTGCAAAACTCCCACGCTCTCATGCTCCTTTACGCAGGAGCTGCGGGAAAAGCCGCCGGAAGCGACCCGCCCTCAGCCCTCTCCGCCATCCTGCCCTTTGATTGGTCGAAGTTCTCCCGAAGGGGAAGTCCTTCTTTTGTGTTGACCAATTGAACACCTTAACCGAGGACCTGTAGCCACTGGGCAGCTGCGAGAGGTAGTTTTCCTCCTTTTCTCTAAGCAACCATTTCCGCTTCCGCTGGCGGGGTCTCCTCCGTGAGCTCCGGGCCTGTTTGCCTGCTGAAGTAGAGTCTTAGGGTGACCCCAGGGGGACGTAATGTTTCCGAGAAGAAGGACAGAAAGAAGACTGGGAGACACCGGAACTCGAAAGAAAATCGGTAACAAAATGTGGGTTCGGCCAACAGTGCCCTGTAGGCCTGAAATTTCGGTCTGGCCAGAGCAAGGTGATTGAGAGGGCGGGGGTTCGGGCCTAGCCTGGGCTTGAGCTGTCCTTTGTGTCTTGAGCGGATGGTGGGGCCGTGGAACATGAAGGAGTATCTTTGTGTACGTTCACAACGTTCACATCGGTGTAGGCCAGGTTGCTGGACTCTGACTCAAAGTGTTATAGAGGCATTACGTATTGTACCCGCAGCTGCAGCCTAAGCGAGCTGCTTCAGCTTCCTAGTCACAGGATCCCACGCGAGAATAGAGCCATAGGTTAGCGTCGCAGGACGTTGTTCGCCCCCGGATACCTCACATGCAGCCTACCCTAGAGCCAGTCATTTCCTATTGTGTGCTGGGGGAGGAGGGAGTGCCCTGGTGTAGGCATTTGGAATTGGAAAATTGAGCTCCTCCCCAAGCTCTGCCACTGATTGGTTGGTAATCTTGGCCAGTTTACAACTTTGCTTTCCTCAGCTGCAAACAGCTCAGAGTGCCTCTCTGGGCTAACTCAGAGGGTAATTTCAAAGATTATAAGATAATGTAAGTGAAAGAAATTGCCAGTTTATAAAGGTGTTTGGGGAAAAAAAAAGACGAAAATGATAGGTACCTTGATAGAAAAGCCTGAAAAGTCTCAACATATTTCCTTATTCCAGTGCCAGGCACATTCCTGTATCTAAAAGCTTAATGAATGGCTGCATGGTTATTAAAACAATATTAGGAGATTTGACAACTTAGGTAATGTGATTTTGTGGAATATCTGATAGGATAGTTTCAGCTACAAGTAACAGAAAACCCACCGAAAGGATGTTCAAAGAGCAGTTACAGGTTGGTTAATTCGGTGGCCCAGTGACAACATCAAGGTCCCAGTGCTTCTCTGCCACCCTAAGCATGTTGGTAACGTTGACAATAGAATCCAGGTAAAATATACAGACATGTATTGTGTCATGTACCCATCCTAAACTAGTTATTACCAAGAATAAATAATTGTTTGGGGCCCATCATGCTTCAGCCCCTGTCACTAGGGGAAGGACCTAGCCTCCCTTGATAATCTACCTGCACAAAATTAGGGCTTTGTTACAAATGAAAAAAAGAGATGTGGAAAATAAGTTAGATAAGAAACTAGCAGTATCTGCCACAAATGATATCTCTTGACAGCTAACTAAGAGCTAGACCTTGTGGGGATGGATCACAAAAGAGGTAGCTGTGAAGTCCCAGTAAAGGTGCTTCCAGGACAGGTGGAAGAATGGTAAGAACAAACTTGCCTACAGGCTAGACCAGTCCAAAGCATATATGTTGAAGAAGAGCTAATAGCCTGTATATGAAGGTGTAAGTAAAGGAGATGTTCATGGTTGAGTCACTGTGGTGTTCACGTAGTCATCTTTCCCTTCTTGGTTTGTGCTTATCTCTTTTTTTTTTTTTTTTTTGAGACAGTCTCACTCTGTAGCCAGACTGGGGTGCAGTGGCACAATCCTGACTCACTGCAACCTCTGCCTCCGGGGTTCAAATGATTCTCCTGCCTAAGCCTCCTGAGTAGCTGGGACTACAGGTGCCCGCCACCACGTCCGGCTAATTTTTTTTTTTTGTATTTTTAGTAGAGATGGGGTTTCATCATGTTGGCCAGGATGGTCTCGATCTCGTGACCTCATGATCCACCTCGGCTTCCCAAAGTGCTGGGATTACAAGCGTGAGCCACCGCGCCCCGCCTATTTAATGCTATTCTTACATCAGCACTGTCTCATTGTGGTCTGAGATTCTCCTTATCTGGATTTGTGGCTCTTTCACCAAGAACAAGAGACTCCCGTGGCTCTCTTCTTTAAATCCTGTTGCCATAATTACAAAGAAATAAACACAGTTTCCAATGCTTTGAAATGAAGCATGTGGTATTAACTCAGTGGATTACCAGAGAGAGAGGGATATACCTGAAATGGGAGAGGAAAAAATCTTCCCTAGACTATCTTTCCTAAGAGCCATCAAAACTATAAACAAGTGGACAAAGAAGGAGGAAGCTTGAAAGCTTTATCTTCCTGAAAATAAAGAGATGACATACAAAGTCCAAGATAGACCAAGATTGAAAAATTAGACCACATTATATCCCTAACTCAATTTTGTAAAAAATCACAAATGCTTGACTGTATACCCACTATATGTTCAAGTAACATGTTTTAATCATCAAAATTTAAAAATCCTTCCACGACAATCTTTTGCAAGTTTTTCCATTTCTGTCTTTAACATGGTACCAGTAATAACAACTACAACCTGTTTGTATTGAAATTATTTCTATAGCCCAGCATCTGCTTTCTCTGAAAATTATCTTTTTAAAAATAGTAAAACTAACATCATTACAAAAGTAGTATATGTGCATTTCAGAAAGTTAGGAAAGGCTGGGTGCGGTGGCTCACGCCTGTAATCCCAGCATTTTGTGAGGCTGAGGTGGGCAGATCACAAGGTCAGGAGATCGAGACCATCCTGGCTAACACGATGAAACCCCATCTATACTAAAAATACAAAAAATTAGCCAGGCGTGGTAGCGGGCACCTGTAGTCCCAGCTACTCGGGAGGCTGAGGCAGGAGAATGGCGTGAACCTGGGAGGCGGAGCTTGCAGTGAGCCGAGATCACACCACTGCACTCCAGCCTGGGTGACAGAGTGAGACTCTGTCTGAAAAAAAAAAAAAAAAGAAAATACAGGGGAAAAAATGGCAACACATTCCTGTCACCCAGAGATCACCACTATTTACTCTTTATTATTTGTTTTTTTTTTTTTGAGACAGTCTCACTGTTGCCCAGGCTGGAGAGCAGTGGTGCGATCTCTGCTCACTGCAACTTCCGCCTCCTGGGTTCAAGTGATTCTTGTGCCTCAGCTACCAGAGTAGATGAGATGATGGGCAGATGCCACCACAACCATTTAATTTTTGTATTTTTAGTAGAGATGCAGTTTTGCCATGTTGGCCAGGCTGGTCTCAAACTCCTGGCCTCAAGTGATCCGCCCATGTCAGCCTCCCAAAGTGCTGGGATTACAGGTATGAGCCACCGCACCTGGCCTGCTCACTGCAACCTCCATCTCCCAGGTTCAAGCAATTCTTCTGGCTCAGCCTCCCGAGTAGCTGGGACTATAGGTGCGTACCACCACACCTGGCGAATTTTTGTATTTTTAGTAGAGGACGGGTTTTCCCCATATTGGCCAGGCTGGTCTCGAACTCCTGACCTTGTGATCTGCCCGCCTTGGCCTCCCAAAGTGCTGGGATTACAGGCGTGAGCCCCTGCCCCCGGCCCCTATTCTTAAGTATATATCTTTTCCCTAGTGATTTTTATGATGATGCAGCTGTATATTGAAACGGAAAGATACTCATTTTTGGGAGTAAAATTGGTTATGAAACAAAAACAATAACAAAGTTGCTTTTGAAGACTATGCGTTAAAATGGTAGTGGTAGTTATATTTTTAATTTTTATGGGTACATAGTAGGTGTATATATTTATGTGGTACATGAAATATTTTGATGCAGGCATGCAATGTGTAATCACTTCAAGGTAAATGGGGTATCTTCCCTGGCGATGTTTAACATGATTTCCAGAATGAATTGCTCACTACGTTTGGTGTGTTTTCCATTCCCAGATGGTACTGCCTTTTAAGGTCTATTACTTAAACATAAGTATGGCTCTGGTTCTTACCGCCTTTACCGTATCCTTCATGGGAAGTTGATACTGATCGGAAACTGACACAGAGCCTTCTCACCTACACTAAGGGGGCCTAGGTAAGCAAGATTATCTTTCTCCCAACTTCAGCAAGAGGTTTTCTTACTGGTGTTCAGAATGCTTGATTGAGCAGTTAGAAAACTGTTGCTACCTAGTCTCCAGTCTTATAAGGGGACAATGGCTGCAAGTCATGCCTGCAAGAACAAGAGGCTCACACAGTTTTGAAATTAGCACAACTTCTAGCTGGATAGGAGTCTTTTTAGTTTCATTTAGCCTTGAGTTGAAACTAATAGGAGTCTTTTAATTAGAAAAAAGCTCAGGGCTCTAAACGTACCTTCAACATGTTAATTCTGTTACCAAAAACTGGCTTGGTCTGTGTTAACTCCCAACAGAATTCTTTTTCAGTCACTGAGGCAGAGGTGCTTCCAGAGAAAGATTCTTGACCTACTCATACTGAATAATTATCGTTACTAGAAGCTGCAACCAAAGACTCCTGGAGGGTAGTAAGAGGTACAGAGAATGCAGGTTAGATACAGTGAGGACAGAGAAGAAAGGATGGGTTGGAGGCTGGGCGTGGTCACTCACACCTATAATTCCAGCTACTTTAGAGGCTGAAGCAAGAGAATCACTTGAGTCCAGGAGTTCGAGGCTGCAGTGAGCTAGCATTGTGCCACTGCACTCCAGCTTGGATGACAGAGCAAGACCTTGTCTCAAAAAAAAAAAAAAAAAAAACATGGGTTGCTTTGTAGTTTAGAGAACTACATGTTTAGATAGTTAATTTTTCCCCAAAAGGGCCCATCAGATTGATACTCTGAGATCCAGGGTTTGTCTGACACTCATTAGCCTATGAGTTGTAGAGATGGGATGGCCAGGAGTGAAGTGATGGCCTTGTGTCTTTCTCCCCTGCAGCATACAGAAAGGCTGTACCTGGAGGAAGGAAGTGCGGAGCCAGCCTGAGTTGGGAGAAGAGCTCCAGAGAGTGAGTCAAAGCGCTCTGTGTCCTGCTATTAATGATGCCCTCATAGTCAGAGGAAGCCTACTTAAGTGAAATCCATTTTTGACCTGTCAAGTATTAAATATTCTCTTAATTTTTAGTACTGAATGATAGAAGGCGCCTAGTGAAACAAATGCTTTCACTTTTTTGCTAGGAGGGTAAATGAGTATATTCTTACGTTAGGTACACAGGGATACAGTACAAGTATGCCAGCCTCTTTAAACTATAAAGAAGTAAACAAGATTTGGTTTAAGCATCAGTCTCTTGTGAGTCTGATGGGTAAGCCCAGTCTCAGGGCACACTGACAATGTTAGTGGAGAACGAGACTCTCCCAGTGTGCTGCCCTGACCCTCTGAGATTGGTCTGTGTAGCCACGTGGTGGTCATCCTGTGCCACCTCTGGTTTGGTTCTAATCAAAGGAAGCAGTATCATCTGTGGTGATCCGTCTTACACACTTGCATCATTTTATACCAAAGGAGAATTTCTTTTGTTAAAAATTTATTTTTCATTATCTACTCATAAAGAAGGAGCCAAAGGGCTGGGCGCAGTGGCTCACGCCTGTAATCCCAGCACTTTAGGAGGTGAGGCGGGTAGATCTCTGGAGGTCAGGAGTTCGAGACCAGCCTGCCCAACATGTTGAAACCCCATCTCTACTAAAAAATACAAAAATGTAGCCGGGTGTGCTGGGCGTGGTGGCTCACGTCTGTAATCCCAGCACTTTGGGAGGCCAAGGCAGGTGGATCATGAGGTCAGGAGATCGAGACCATCCTGGCTAACACGGTGAAACCCCATCTTTACTAAAAATACAAAAAATTAGCTGGGCGTGGTGGTGGGCACCTGTAGTCCCAGCTACTTGGGAGGCTGAGGCAGGAGAATGGTGTGAACCTGGGAGGTGACAGTTGCAGTGAGCCGAGATCACACCACTGTACTCCAGACTGGGCGACAGAGCAAGACTCTGTCTCAGAAAAAAAAAGAAAAATTTAGCCAGGCATGGTGGCGCCCAACTGTAGTCCCAGCTACTCGGGAGGCTAAGGAAGAAGAATTGCTTGAACTCAGGAAATGGAGGTTGCAGTGAGCTGAGATCGCACCACTGCACTCCAGCCTGGGTGACAGAGCGAGACCCCATCTGATATGGTTTGGCTGTGTCCCCACCCAAATCTCATCTGCAATTCCCATATATTATGGGAGGGACCCAGTAGGAGGTAATTGAATCGTGGGGCAGGTCTTTCCCATGCTGTTCTCATGATAGTGAATAAGTCTCACGAGATCTAATGGTTTTTAAAAAGGGGAGTTTCCCTGCACAAGCCCTCTTTTGTCTGCCACCATGTGAGACATGCCTTTTACCTTCCACCGTAATTGTGAGGCCTCCCCAGCCACGTGGAACTGTAAGTCCATTAAACCTCTTTTTTTTGTAAATTGCGCAGTCTCAGGTATGTCTTTATCAGCAGTGTGAAAACAGACTAATACATCGTCTCAAAAAAAGAGAAAAGAAGAAGAAGGAACTAAAGAAGAATTTCTTTGGAAGCAAAATATTTGGAAGCAAAATATTTGGCTCCTGACTGAAAGGGTTTTGATCCATGCATACATTAATAAACCCTTCAGAACCATGAGTTGGGATAATTCACTGTCCCTTGTGCTAGTCTCATGGAGCTTTTCTGCTCTTCTGGGAGTGCTCCTGGGGTGGTCTGGAGGCCTCTCAGGCAGAGCAGAGGCTGGTCAGCAAGCCACAGGGCTTGCCATGAAGTGGTTTGTTCATGATTTGTTTCTGGGACCCTGGGAAAAATGTTCTCAGGGTCTGCCTAGGAAGGCTGGTTTTGGAAGCTTGTGGATTTCTTTCTGGGTGAGTCAGGAAAGTTGTGCTCCTGCTGGGCGCAGTGGCTCATGCCTGTAATCCCAGCACTTTGGGAGGCTGAGGCAGGCGGATCACAAGGTCAGGAGATCGAGACCATCCTGGCTAACATGGTGAAACCCCATCTCTACTAAAAATACAAAAAATTAGCCGAGCGTGGTGGTGGGCACCTGTGGTCCCAGCTACTCGGGAGGCTGAGGCAGGAGAATGGTGTGAACCCGGGAGGCGGAGTTTGCAGTGAGCCGAGATCGTGCCACTGCACTCCAGCCTGGGCGACAGAGTGAGACTCCGTCTCAAAAAAAAAAAAAAAAAAAAAAAAAGAAAGTTGTGATCCAAGGGAAAGCATACAGGTTTTAATGATGAACTAGTTTGTTCCTTTGTCTCCTGGCTTTCATTCTTCATGGCATGTGCTCAGGGCAGCCAGTGGAGAGAGGCATCATTCTGCATGGTATAGAAGCCTTGGGTGGGTGTTTCATCATCTGTAAAATGAGGACAACAATACTGAACTTTCAAGGCCATTGTAAATTAGAATGTACAGTACAAGCATTGTAAGTTAGAAGTCAATTAGAACATGCAGGAGGGATTATAACTCAGTGTTTAGCGTATAGCAGACACTTAGTAAATAATGCATTTACTCTGTTCCATTCTAGAAGCTCCATTGTTGTTTGTACAACAAACACCTCTGTTGCAGTGCTTATCAGATTGTCTTGTAATCACGTAACTCCTCAAAGGCAGGATGTGTGTAATAACACATTTCCTTGGTCACCATTTGTACCCAGAATGGGGAAGGAAGAAATGAAAAGAATCCAGTATCTAAGCCCAGCCTCCATTTCACTTGCACGCCTTTTATTTATGAAAATATAGTACTTGTCCATGTAAATAATATCTCTGAATGGATACCAGGAAAATGGTAAGATGAGTTAGCTGGAGAACTTGGGTACTGAGTTGGAGGGAGGGTAACTTATTTTTCACCAATGTATCCTTTTGTTTTGCTTTAAAATAATTTACCACAGGCATGCATTACTTCTAAAAATAAAAATGTTTACTGTCAGAAAACTCCCCCAAGTTAAACCAAAACCAAAATATGTTAGATACATCTGTAACACTCATTATAAAAGATGACATATAAATGCCTCAAAAATAGAAAAGGTGATCAAACTTACTGAGAAATGTGCATTAAAACAATGAGACCTTTTTCAGTTAGATTGCAGAAAGGTAAAGAATAATACCTGGCCAGGTGTGGTGGCTCACACCTGTAATCCTAACACTTTGGGAGGCCAAGGTGGGTGGATCACCTAAGCTCAGGAGTTGGAGACCAGCCTGGGCAACATGACAAAACCTCGTCTCTACAAAAAATGCAAAAACTAGTGAGGCTTGGTGGTAGGCGCCTGTACTCCCAGCTACTCGGGAGGCTAAGGCAGCGGAATCACTTGAGCCCAGGAGGCAGAAATTGCAGTGAGCTGAGACCACACGACTGCATTCCAGCCTGGGGGACAGAGCAAGACCCTGTCTCAAAAAAAAAAATGAGCATGGTGGCTCACACCAGTAATCCCAGAATCCCAGCACTTTGGGAGGTAAGGTGGTCAGATCACTTGCACCAGGAGTTCGAGACCAGCCTGGGCAATATAGTGAGACTCTGCCTCTACAAAAAATAAAAAATTAGCCAGGTATGGTGGCGCATGCCTGTACTCCCAGCTACTGGGGAGGGTGAGGTGGGAGGATCACTTGAGACCAGGAGGTTGACGCTGCAGTAAGCCGTGATCACGCCACTTTACTCCAACTTGGATGACAGAGTGAGACCTTGTCTCAAAAAAATTAAAAAAGACTAATTCCCTATGTTGGTGAGGCTGCGGGCCATTTGCCCTGCTGTAGTGGGTGTAGAGTCTTCACACTCTTGGTATGAGAATAAATTGGTAAAACTTTCTGGCAGGCAATCTAGGGTTTGTTTCCAAAGTTAAATGTGGTTAATTAAAACTAATTTTACTTATGCCTGTAATCCTAGCACTTTGGGAGGCTGAGGTGGGCAGATTGCCTGAGCTCAGGCATTCAAGACCAGCCTGGGCAACATGGCGAAACTCTATCTCTACTAAAAATACAAAAAATTAACCGGGCATGGTGGCAGGTGCCTGTAGTCCCAGCTACTCAGGAAGCTGAGGCACGAGAATCACTTGAGCCCAGGAGGCAGAAGTTGCAGTGAGCCAAAGATTGTGTCACACTCCAGCCGGAGGGGCAGAGCAAGACCCCGTCTCAAAAAAAAAAAAAGAATGCTTGGTTGAGCATGGTGGCTCACACCAGTAATCCCAGCACTTTGGGAGGTAAGGTGGTCAGCTCACTTGCACCAGGAGTTCGAGACCAGCCTGGGCAACATAGTGAGACTCTGTCTCTACAAAAAAATGAAAAATTAGCCGGGTGTGGTGGTACGTGCCTGTAGTCCCAGCTACTGGGGAGGCTGAGGTGGGAGGATCACTTGAGACCAGGAGGTCGACACTGCAGTAAGCCGTGATCATGCCACTGCACTCCAACTTGGGTGACAGAGTGAGACCTTGTCTCAAAAAAATTAAAAAAGACTAATCCCCTATGTTGGTGAGGCTGCGGGCCGTTTGCCCTGCTATAGTGGGTGTAGAGTCTTCACACTCTTGGTATGAGAATAAATTGGTAAAACTTTCTGGCAGGCAATCTAGGGTTTGTTTCCAAAGTTAAATGTGGTTAATTAAAAATAATTTTACTCACGCCTGTAATCCTAGCACTTTGGGAGGCTGAGGCAGGCAGATTGCCTGAGCTCAGGAGTTCAGGACCAGCCTGGGCAACATGGTGAAACCCTGTCTCTACTAAAAATACAAAAAATTAGCTGGGCATGGTGGCATGCACCTGTAGTCCCATCTACTCAGGAGGCTGGGGCAAGAGAATCGCTTGAACCTGGGAGGTGTAGGCTGCATTGAGCCAAGATCCACTGCACTCCAGCCTGGGCAACAGAGTGAGACTCTGTCTCCAATAATGAAATCATGAAAAAAAATTTTTTTTTTTGAGACAGAGTTTCGCTCTCGTCCAGGCTGGAGTGCAATGGCATGATCTCAGCTCACCACAACCTCTGCCTTCCAGGTTCAAGCGATTCTTCTGCCTTAGCCTCTCAAGTAGCTGGGATTACAGGCACGCACCACCACGCCTGGCTAATTTTGTATTTTTAGTAGAGATGGGGTTTCTCCATGTTGGTCAGGCTGGTCTCGAACTCCCAACCTCAGGTGATCTGCCTGCCTCAGCCTCCGAAAGTGCTGGGATTACAGGTGTGAGCCACTGCACCCAGCTAATAATAATAATTTGAACCAACATTCTAGGCATTTTCCCTAAGGAAATAATCAGAACGTATGCAGATTTGTGTACAAGATTGTAAGTTGCAATATTGTTTTTGACCTGAATGTGTAGGTTTCAGTGGGGAAACCTGATCCCCAGTCCCTGCTCTCCTCCCACCCCAACCCCATCCATCTACTACCTTTCCCAAATAGAGCTTGCGTAGGGCCATTGGTGTCCAGGATCCAGAGCAGGGCATGGGTTTGTGGGAGGTGGTGGTTGGAATCACCTGGGGTTGGATACTGGACTTAGTTCCTCTATGGGTAAATGAGAGCCTGGGGATTGTCGGAAAGAGGCCTAGGGTGAAAATTAAAATGACTTAATTTCAGGAGCAGTCTTGGCCTTGGAGATTCATGGGACTTAAGAGAGGAAGGGCAGAGGCTGACCGTGTAGATGGTAGCTTGTTGCTCTACCTGGGCCAGAGAAGCCTGCTTGCCTCCCTATCTCCAAGGCTGAAAGAGGGTTGTGCAGCTGAAGATACAGGAATTTAGGATACAGGCAAGTGCCATGACCTGGCAGCTTGGTATGTCGCTACACTGCAGGAGCCTGCTGGCTTCCCACCACTGGGAGTGCCGTTAGGTGTCTGTGCTAGACCCATG
Organism: Homo sapiens; assembly: GCF_000001405.40. Classification (NCBI taxonomy): domain Eukaryota; kingdom Metazoa; phylum Chordata; class Mammalia; order Primates; family Hominidae; genus Homo; species Homo sapiens. Next base: position 3,454,349 of record NC_000016.10, read on the forward strand.
GCCAGAGGGTGAAAGGAGGCATGAGTAAATAGGCAAGAGAAAAGCGATAATATGCTGGAAGAGGCCTTAGAGCCAGAGGGAGAAGGAGCAGACAGACTCTCATAAATAAGGAGTTCTGGTGAAACAGAATTTCTGCGAGAGATTCAATTATAGCAAAACTTTATGGAACCAAAAAGCTTAAAAAAAAATCAGAAGTTTAATAGATAAACTGAAGGAGAGAATGGTCAGCACAAACTGAGTAGCCTGTTAGATCAAGTGGAAGAAACACTCAAACACAGCAAAAAAAGAGAGAGAGAAAGGAACCATGAAAGCAAAGAGGTGGAGGACCAATCAGCCCTGAAGTCGATGGTGATCAACCCATTCCTGAACCATCCCTGTGACCGGCAGATGTCCCTCTGCTTGACTTGCTTAGGCAGGGGTCCTCTGAACTCATCACAGAGCCAAGGGAGAATGGGATGACCTTAATGGGTTAAACCAGTTAGGGAACACACTGGAACAAGGGGTAGAGTCTGTGCCACAAACACAAAGAGAAAGGGTGGAAGTTTTTTTAGTGTACAAATAACCTTGAATATCTCCTGTAGTGACACATGGTGCCTAACCGAATGAACCGTTGTGAAGATAAATGAGATCTTGCATAACATGTTTAACACAATGCCTCACACATAAGCCGTGGAGAAATAGTTATTTTCTCATTTGTGTTTTAAAGGAGTATTTTTTTCTTTTTTGAGACTGTCACTTTGTTGCCCAGGCTGGAGTGCAATGGTGCGATCTCGGCTCGCTGCAACCTCGGCCTCCCGGGTTCAAGCCATTCTCATGTCTCAGACTCCCGAATAGCTGGGATTACAGGCATGTACCACCATGCTCAGCAAATTTTTTTTTGTTGTTGTATTTTTAGTAGAGATGGGGTTTCACCATGTTGGCCAGGCTGGTCTGCTGGTCTCGAACCTCTTGACCTCAAGTGATCCACCCGCGTCAGCCTCCCAAAGTGCTGGGATTACAGGCATGAGCCACCGGGCATAGCCAAAAAAGAGTTTTTAGTTTTTTTTTTTTTTTTTTTTTTGAGACGGAGTCTCGCTCTGTCTGTCACCCAGGCTGGAGTGCAGTGGCGCGATCTCAGCTCACTGCAAGCTCCACCTCCTGGGTTCACGCCATTCTCCTGCCTCAGCCTCCCAAGTAGCTGGGACTACAGGCACCTGCCACCACGCCCGGCTAATTTTTCTGTATTTTTAGTAGAGACGGGGTTTCACCGTGTTAGCCAGGATGCTCTTGATCTCCTGACCTCGTGATCCGCCTGCCTTGGCCTCCCAAAGTGCTGGGATTACAGGCGTGAGCCACTGCACCCGGCCCAAGTTTTGGGTTTTTTTGTTTTGTTTTGTTTTGAGAAGGAGTCTTGCTCTGTCCCAGACTGGAGTACAGTGGCGCGATCTCGGCTCACTGCAACCTCCACGTCCTGAGTTCAAGCGATTCTCCCACCTCAGCCTTTTAGTAGCTGGGATTACAGGCACGCACCACTATGCCCAGCTAATTTTTGTATTTTTAGTAGCGACGGGGTTTCACCATGTTGGCCAGGATGGTCTCGATATCTTGACCTCATGGTTCACCCGACTTGACCTCCCAAAGTGCTGGGATTACAGGCATGAGCCACCGCGCCCTGCCCAAAAAAAGAGTAAAGTTTGAAGGGATGTACATGCTGTTCTGTTTGCCAGTTCATCTTAACGGTGCTGTATTTAGAACCCTGGAAACAGCCGGGCACGGTCTCAAAACAAACACACACCCCGTGGAAACAATAGAATGTTGTTACTCTGTTGTTACTTAGGGAGTGTTTTTTCAAACTGTACTGTGCTTGTTACTCACATGGGGGTCTTGTTGAATGCAGATTCTGAATTAAGTGCCCATTCTGACTCAGTCCAACTGAGTCCTGAGGTTCTGCATTTTTAGCAAGCTCCCAGGTGATGCCGCTGCTCCTGGACCGCAGACTGCACTGAGTAGCAGGCACCTGAGTTTTGCCTGTTTTTATGATTGATTGGGCTCCCCACGGCATCCATCTTCTAGCCAGTGGGAAAGGGGAGAGGAAGTACAGAGCGAGCAATTTCCTTTTTTTTTTTAACCCCATCTTTTATTTTGAAAATTTCAAACCTCCTCAATTTTTGAAAGAATAATGCGCTTCACCAGTTGTTAACAATTTAGCAATATTCTTTTAAGCACATGACACAGAAGTTGCCAACATTGTGCTCTCTCTTGTTCACTGGTGAAACTTTTGGCACATAGCCTGATCCTGCTGCAGGAGAGGCTGAGAAATAAAAGCCTAGCTTGACAGTGATCTGCCTGCTGAAGGGGGTGGGATTCTGTTACTACTAGATGATGATAAAGCAGTTATTTTTTAAAAGGAGAAGATGGCAGAGTAGGACAATGGATACTAGGGGACAGTTTGACACGCAGACTCAAATCTTTTTTTTTTTAGATGGAGTTTTGCTTTTGTCGCGCAGGCTGGAGTGCAGTGGCGCAATCTCGGCTCACTGCAGCCTCCACCTCCAGGGTTCAAACGATTCTCCTGCCTCAGCCTCCCAGGTAGGTGGGATTATGGGCACATGCCACCACGCCTGGCTAATTTTTTTGTATTTTTAGTAGAGACAGGGTTTCATCATGTTGGCCAGGCTGGTCTGGAACTCCTGACCTCAGGTGATCCACCCACCTCGGCCTCCGGAAGTGCTAGAATTATAGGCGTGAGCCACCACACCCAGCCAAGACTCGAATCTTATAACCAGTTCTCTTCAAATTGGATTCTGGAAAGCTCGGAGTTGAAATATACAGCCCAGGTTGGTCGTGGTGGCTCACGTCAGTAATCCCAGTATTTTAAGAGGCCCAGGCGGGCAGATCACTTGAGGCCAGGGGTTCAAGACCAGCCTGGGCAACATAATGACATTCCCATCCCTACAAAAAAACAAAAAACCCAAAAAACCTGTTTTTTAATTAGCCAGGCATGGTGGTTCACACCTGTAGTCTCGGCTACTTGGGAGACTGAGGCGGAGGCCAGGAGTTGGAGGCTGCAGTGAGCCGAGATTGCGCCCCAGGCTGGGAGACAGAGACCCTGTCTCAACAACAAAAACTTCGCGTTAGATCTTGCATTATAGAACCCCTACAACCGGAGGGCAGCTTAAGTTGCCTGTTTTACTCAGGGACAGCCCTAAACTGCCTTTCGCCAGAATCGGACGGCTGAGAATCCAGTGTCGTCGCGGGGTGGTGCTGCCAGCTGGCTCCGGGTGGTCGGCCAGGAGCCAGCCTTGTGCACCTGCTTTCAGTTGTTGGCCAGCCCCGGCGCTGCAGGCCCTCGCGAGCTTAGGATGCGCCTGCCAGGGCCTGTGCGGGGGGGCCACTCGGTAGAGCCGCGGGACCTCGGCCCGGAAACCGCGCCACCGGCGTCCGCACACGCTAGGCCGGGGAGCCCAGAGGTCTGGCCGGCCATGTCTCGGCGACCTCCCGGAGCGAGGGACAGGGAAGGAGCCGGCCCTCACCAGTGCCCCGCATACGGGATCCTGGGCCTGGCTTCGCACGGAGCCTGCCCGCTCCCAACCTGCCCGCTCCCAACATGGCGGCAGCGCCGGCCTCAGGGGGCGGGGCCACGTGGGGGCGGCGGCCAATGGGCTTCCGGGCTGCGCTGCCGGCAGGGAGCGGGAGGCGGAAGTGCCGCGGGCTGCCGCCTCCGTCCCGGCTGCGGCCCCTGCCGGTTACATAACTCGTTGCGGGCTCCGCGCGGTCCCACTTCCCGGCTCCCTTCGCCTCCAGGATGCGCTGAGCCCTACAACACCCCCAGCGGCCGCCGGCTCCCCCACGAGGTGAGGTGGCGGGGGGCGGCCGCCGGGGCTCGGACCTGCGGCGGGGCGCCGAGGGGGCGGGGTAGGCGGGGAGGCCGCGCCGGGGTCAGGGGGGCCAGCGCCCACCGGGTACGAGCGCGCTGGTGAGGCAGGCCCGGCCGCGCCCGCGCCCCCGGCGCACGGTCCTCCCGGGAGCCGGTTTCGGGGACGGCGGCGGGGAGTGGGCGCTGGCCAGGGACGAGGGTTGAGGAGGTCGCGGCTCTCATGCTGGGTGGGAGTCGGGCCTTCTGCCTGGGGGTTGCGTCAGTGTCCGACCCCGCGATGAGTGGTCGGGACAATTTGCAACTAGAGGGTGGTCCTCATGGGTACCCTGTGGGGTGTCGCGCGAGGTGAAGGGCCAGGCCATTTCCGTCGGGTCAGCGATTTCCGCCTTCGCCCCGCTCTCGCCTGGCCTGGTCAGGGCCTGTTTTGGTACTTGTTGCGCCGATTGGAGTCATCTGCGACTTGTTTGCCCTCCTCTGAACTCCTGAAAGCCAGGGGCTCCGTCTAGGTCTCCTCCTAGTCTTATTCTCCCAGCTTTCGTTGTTAAGACAAATTCCTTACGTTCCTGGCCCTTTACAGACCGGCCCTACAGAACCCACACCCCCAGCTCCGACTTTCTTCTCCAGATTGGGTACTTCCCAGGGAGTAAAGGGAATCTGTAGCTTTTGTGGTTTGTCCTGCTGGGAAAATTTGGGGGTAAGTGGTGGGCCTTCTCTGGACGACCACCCACAAATCTGTGTGCCCAAACGGAGACAGGACCCAGGGTCTGGACATCAGGCAAGGGGTACTCTGCAGTAAACGTGGACATTGGCCGTTTCGTGGGTTTGTTTTCACTCTGCCAAGTCCTTGAGGCGTACACTTTTGTGTCACTCATTTATCTTGAAAGAAAAGGTTAACAGCCCAACAGAGTAGTTCGCTTTGGTATCTGGAGTGGTAATCAGAGTGCCAGAACTGGAGAGAACATTGCCGTGTACAGATGTTTGCCTTTTACCAGGGCACTGAAGGCATAAAACCCTTAGTTAATGCTTAACTGAGTGAACCATGAAAGTCATGTGACTCCAAAGGTCGACTCTAGAAATGCGGCAGTCCATGTAGCACTGTGATGTAGAAATTCTATGATATATGGGTCAGTGTTCACAGGCAGGGAGAGGGGGAGTCTTCAACATCTTTGAATTAAAAAGCATCTGGGGCAAAAACAAATAAATACACACATATCAGTGAACTGCTTTAAGTTCAGTTAGAGAAGGTGAGATTAAAGACCAGAAGAAACTCGAGGGAGACTGCTGTATAAGTCCCAGTTATCTTTCCAAACAGACAGGTTCATCACAGCAGTGAAGGCTAGTCTTCATCTCCCTTCTTGTGGGATTTTCTACATTAATGTGCAGATCTGCCCTTGGAGAATGGGGCGTGCATGATTGGGCTGTGGTTTGCTGGAGTTTCATCTTACTGAAGTTGCAGACACTGTGGGTTTCTGTGACAATGGTTTACACTGAAAGTAGCAAAGTCAAGGCATGGTCTGGTATCAGCATGCCAGAATAAAACACACAGACAGCTTTTTAAAAGGTCTGTGTCCGTCCTATCTTTAGCCTCTCCTGGTTGTAACTTGAAGTGACTTTGTTGCCGTGTTTGTTTTGACCAGGCCGGGACAGTATGGAGAGTATCTTTAGATGTGACTTATCTGGGTTGCTTAGCAACAGCATGCTTCAGATTAGAATGGAAGAAAGTTCCTGGATGTGAGGAGATTTGAATGATAAAAGATACTTACACCTAAAAGGAGACCAGGAGGGATTGTGCCCTGTTCTTGCTAACTGGGTGCTCGTAACTGGAGACGGGGTGTACCTGTTAGCGGTGGTTAGACGAGGTGGATACAGAATCCAGAATGGTCACATTGCAGCCATAGGGAACAGATAGATGCAGAGAAGAGGCTTCAGCCCTCTGAGTTAGGGCAGTGCATGGCCTTGCTCTGCTGAAATAGCCCAGAGGTCCCATTTGCTTGGTGACATCTCTCACTTGAATAGAAAGCTGGCTGTTTATCAGACACTGTTTTCTTAAATGGCAGCTCCTCCACATCTGCGTCATCTCCATTATCTCCCCTATCCATCTCTTTTTGGAAGGAATCCACGAAGCCCTCATGACTGTTTGTTTGTTTTTGTTTTTTTGTTGTCGTTGTTGTTTTTTGGAGATAGGTTCTCACTCTGTCGCCCAGGCTAGAATGCAGTGGCGTAATCTCGGCTCACCGCAACCTCCACCTCCCAAACTCAAGTGATTCTCCTGCTTCAGCCTCCTGAGTAGCTGGGATTACAGTCATGTGCCACCATGCCTAGCTAATTTTTTTGTATTTTTGGTGGAGACGGGGTTTTGCCATGTTGGCCAGGCTGGTCTTGAACTCCTGACCTCAAGTGATCCGCCGCCTCAGCCTCCCAAAGTTCTGGGATTACAGGCGTGAGCCATTGCATCCAGCCCGCCCTCATGGCTTTTACACCTCTTTTCCTGGTTTGCAGAAAGCAAGGCTGGGGTGTGGACCCTGCATCGAAGCTGGTTCTGCTTATGTCCATGTGAAGTGCTTTCAAGTAAAATGCTGATCTGCAAAAAGATGCTGAAAGTCCTTTGTCTCTTTCTGGCTAAGTTCAAATGCCGAATTTGATTCAGCAAATAGTTGTGAGTGCCTTGAAGTGCAAAGAATGATCCAGGATCAGGACTCCTTCCCTACATATCATTATTTTGATATGTATGTATGTATATATGTTTAGTGACGGAGTCTTGCTGTATCACCCGGGCTGGTCTCAAATTCCTGGCCTCAAGCCATCCTCCAACCTCAGCCTCCTCAGTCGTTGGGGTTACAGGAGTGAGTTTGCCAGGCTCTATATCATTCTTTTTAGCATGACCTCTGATAGGAGGCTGGCAGGACAGTTCAGGACTTATCAGAAGCCCAAATATCTTACACTGCTGATTAAAGAGAGACCTGTGTTTGAAAACCAAACGGGCATATAATAGGATTAACATTCTGCTATGAACACTAAGGCATTTGCGTAGTGCTTGTGGGAGTGATAGGAAGGGGGTCTGAACCGGGGGAGCCAGGGCTTTCTGCAGGAAGTGGTTTGGGGTCCTTGTCAACAGTGAATGCTGCTTAATGGAGCCAGAGTGCCCCCCTGCGGAGGTGGGCAGAGAGGTGCCAGTCACCCCAAGGTGCCACAGCTCTAAGCTGAGATGGTCAGATAGAGGGAAGCAAACAAGGGCCACTCCCTAGTCCCACCTTGTCAGCAGCTCAGACGGGATTCCCCATCTCTATCTCAGCCAGGGAGAAGCCATCGCGAGAACTGGCTATGAGTGCGACAGCTTAGAGATGTTGCAATGTCTCTTCAAGTTAGGAGTGAAATTATTATCCATTTTGCCCCAAAATGGACTCTTAAACCCCCATACACTTGGAATAGCATGTATTTTGTGCTTTGAAGCCAGAAATAAACATTCTAAACAAAGATTTAAAGTTGCAATGAAGAGGAGGTGGTTGTGGACAGACATGCAGAACAAATGTTTGAGAAATGTTCCCTTTGCTTCCACAGAAAAACAAAAGAAAGGCATTTTCTCGTGTTTGACAAACCATGTTAAAAAAATATTCTTGGCCAGGCACAGGGGCCCAGCACTTTGGGAGGCCAAGTGGGCAGATCGCTTGAGCTCACAAGTTCGAGAGCGGCCTGGGCAACATAGCAAAACTCCATCTCTAAAAAAATACAGAAATTAGCCAGGCATGGTGGTGCGCATCTGTCATCCCAGCTACTTGGGAAACTGAGGTGGGAGGATGGCTTGAGCCCAGGAGGTGGAGGTTGCAGTAAGTTGAGATGGTGCCACTGCATTCCAGCCGGAGTGATAGAGCCAGACCTTATATCAAAAAAAAAAAAAAAAAAACCTTTCAGTGCTATTTTTTGTGGTATAGTTACTGTTATTAAAAAGCAAATGGCATTTCTCTTTTTTTGTTTACTGTATTCCTGAAATAGGGTCGATTTGGCCAGCAAAGTATTGACACTGGGGCCCATCTTGAAAACAACTAACTATTGAAGAAAATAATTTCATTTTATAAAATAGTAGTTGGGTAATTCTCCCTTAGGTACCAAAAAGGGCTCTTTTCTGGAAAATGTTAATGCAACAATATTTCCCTCATTCCTTTGGTGTTCATGGGTGTTCTATTGAATGCTGTTCCATTCTTATTTCTTTCTAGAAGATAGCTCATTCTGACTCCTGCTGTAAACTGTTCAGAGATTATTCTTTCCAGAGTCTGTTACATTCAGAATGTCTTGCTAGTCTGTCACTTGCTGCCCTTCTCTTTCTACTTAGTTTCAGATTACTTTGCATCTCCTCTGGCCTCCCGTTTTTAACCTTTTCATTGATGTATACACACAGAAAAGTGCACTGCTTGATGAGTTGACATGGCATGAACATAACCTGTACATCCCCAACGCCAGAAGACCCATGGGCCCCCTTACCAGGCAAGCCCTCTTCTATTAAGAAAAGCGTTTTTCTTGTTGTAAGCACAAGAAACCACTAATAGTAATTATACTAGGGATGGGGCGCATACAGGATTCGGAATTTTTGCTTTGTGTTGCACATGAATTCTTACTTTACTATGAACATGGGTTGCTTTGACAAATTTAAAACAAAGGCCTGAAAGGACTCCCCTTACTCAAGAAAAGGAAAATGCCTTTTTTAAATGTTTTTTTGAAATGGTTGTCTTAAAATTTCTAAATATTTTTTAAAATTAGATTTTATATAGCCACGCAAATTGTTCTTTAATGGTTATGTAGGAATACAGGCTGCTTGGCCTCCCTTGTCCACAGCCTCCTCTTTGTTTCTTTGCGACTTTGACTCTGTGTTTAGAACATTTATTTCCGGGATGAGTGCACAAAACACCATGCTACTCCAAGGCACAGAGTTTCAGAGTCAGCGCTGAGTCTATTTTAGAGCAAAATGGGTAACACTACTCATAATTTGAAAACACACTATTAAATACCCAAGCTGTTGCTAACTAAAAGCAGCCTGTGAGGTTATTTTAATATAAAAATGCAAGCTGAGGCCGGGCCCGGTGGCTCATGCCTATAATCCTAGCACTTTGGGAGGCCGAGGTAGGTGGATCACTTGAGCTCTGGAGTTAGAGACCAGCCTGGCCAACATGGTGAAACCCCGTCTCTACAAAAAAAAAACAAAAATTACCTGAGTGTAGTAACTTAATGTCTGTACTGTCAGCTACTTGCGGAGGCTGAGGCAGGAGGATTACTTGAGCCCAGGAGGTGGAGGTTGCAGTGAGCCAAGATCGTGCCACTGCACTCCAGCCTGAGTGACAGAGTGAGACCCTGTGTTAAAAAAAAAAAAAAAAAAAAAATGCAAGCTGGCGCGGATGCAGTGGCTGAGACCTGTAATCCCAGCTACTTGGGAGGCTGAGGTATGAGGATCCTTTGAGTCCAGGAGTTGGAGACCAGCCTGGACAACATAGGGAGACCCAGTCTCTACTTAAAAAAAAAAAAAAAATTCAACCTAGACTTGGTGGCTTGTGCCTGTAATCCTAGCTATTTGGGAGGCTGAGGTTGAGGGATCCCTTGAACCCTAAAGTTCGAGACCAGCTTGGGCAACATAGTGAGATCCTGTCTCTTAGAGAAAGAAATCTATGTGTGTGTTCGTCATTTTGACATACAACATCTTCACTTTTTTCTGACAATGAAAACAACCCAAGGTTATTGCAAAAAAAAGATCCAGTAATACAGAAACAAGTGATACAGAATGGAACCGTCTGCTGCAATTGCTGGGGCAGATTCAGGCAGAAATTTGGATTACTTTTATTTTATTTTATTTTATTTTATTTTGAGACAGAGTCTCACTCTGTTGCCCAGGCTGGAGTGTAGTGATGAAGTCTCGGCTCACTGCACCCTCCGCCTCCTGGGTTCAAACGATTCTCCTGCCTCAGCCTCCCAAGTAGCTGGGATTACAGCCACCATGCCTGGCTAATTTTTGCATTTTTAGTAGAGATGGGGTTTCCCCATGTTGGAACTCCTGACCTCAAGTGATCTGCCTGCCTCGGCCTCCCAAAGTGCTGGGATTACAGGTGTGAGCCACCACGCCCAGCTAGATTTATATTTGATAGTTATTTGATTCCAGAGGATCTTAAGTGCAAACCCAGAGAAGCAGAGAGTAAAAAGCAAAAAGGCAACAAAACCCAGCAGATGGTGAGGGAAAGGGAAGAAGCCAGGGAGGGGCAAGTGGGGACAGGAAGTGCTCTGAAACCCGACCCTCTCTTGCTGGGCTTTCTCCTTTTAAACTGAGGAGCTGCTGTGTCCATCTCGCCCGCTGCTTCCTAGGCGGTACAGAGGGTTTCCTGTAGCCTTAAGTTTTCTCTCCGAGAACAGACAGATTCTTGGTTGAGCCTTAAACAGGGTCCAGTCTTGGGTGTTAGTCAAGAATGCTGTTCAAGTAAATACGTTTTACTATCATTTGACTCCCATGTGCCCCCAAACCTGGTATTATTTACAGGTAGTTTTGTTGTTGTTTTGTTTTTAAACCAAACAGGTTGACCCATTCACTCAATCTGAGTTAGGAAATATATTCCAGGCACAACCTATCAGGCGGTTGCCTGCAAGATCCCAGCTGAAAGCATCGCTGGGACAAAGGTGATGCTTTGGCAGCCACCCTGTTGGCTCCGTCCAGCCCACACCTCAGTTGTCTCAAGCTGCTCTTTCAGTGGGAATGTGAGATCTGGTAGCAGAGGCTCATTTCACCCCAATTTTCTATTTCAGAAAAAGGGGCCGGGTGCAGTGGCTCAAGCCTGTAATCTCAGTACTTTGGGAGTCTGAGGCGGGTGGATCATGAGGTCAGGAGATTGAGACCATCCTGGCTAACAGGGTGAAACCCCGTCTCTACTAAAAATACAAAAAGTTAGCCGAATGTGGTGGCGGGCGCCTGTAGCCCCAGCTACTCGGGAGGCTGAGACAGGAGAATGGCGTGAACCCGGGAGGCGGAGCTTGCAGTGAGCCGAAATTTTGCCACTGCACTCCAGCCTGGGCGACAGAGCGAGACTCTGTCTCAAAAAAAAAAAAAAAAAGAAAAGAAAAAAGGAAACTCATCCGAAGCAAGAGAGGCAGCCACGGGGTCCCATCTTGGCAGCACATCTTCTGGTCCCCGGTTTAGCGTTCTGTCCTTCTCTTGGGTCATGTTCTTGTCTCTGTTCTTCCTCATCCCTTCTTCGTCCTTGTCATCGCCACTTCTGACACTGACTGAGTGGGGCCACAAAAGGTGAGTCGTCCTTCCGGCTGCCCCCACCACAATCCAGCCCTGGCTCAAGAGCAGGGAAGGTGCTGTCCCCCAGGCTGCAGACGGGGGTTAGTACAGCAACCTCAGACAGCTTCCTCTCTGGGGGGACCCTGCGTGTCTTGGGTGCAGTTTCGAGGAGGATGCAGAGGGATGGATCCCTGCCTTCTTCTGTGTGACCCCTGCGGTGGGGGAGCATCCCTGCTCAGCCCAGGGGATGGCACTTTTCATGTTTGCCGTGAGATTCCTCTAGCAAAAGCAGTGGGTTTTGTGAGTACTTAGGTAATGGTGCCAGAAAGCACCATGACACCCTGGTATGTCCGCCCCATATAATCAGAGAATCTGACTCTGCTCACTGCTGAGACCCCGATACCCAGGGTAGGGCCTGAATTTTCAATGCAATTGCGATAAATTAATGACTAAATGGATTCTCAGTTTGAAATGTAAGGCGTGACAGAACGTTCAACCCAGGGAAGATTGAGTCAGGACCCGGGACCTTGCCGGAACACCTGTGGCCGTTGCTGCTGTTAACTGAGGTGTAATTAACATGCAGCCAAGTGCACAGCTTCACCCAGCAGATCCGTACGTTTTGACAACTGTGAAACAAGACGTAGCACATCGCCATCGCGCTTCTCAGCTCCGCCTTCACCACTCTGGGTGCCAGCACCGGCAATTTGTTTGGCCAGTTCCAGAGTGTCATAAAAACAGAATCCTCCATTGTCACTCCTCTGTCCTTGAAGAGATATGCATCGAGTTGTATGCGGCCACTCTGCGGGCTCCCCTCGGCACATGATGGTCTTCAGAGAGAGGCTGTTTGGAAATAGAGTGGTGGGTGTTTGCTTCTTGTCACCCGGCAAATGATTCATTTTTCTGCTGCTCTGACACTTTGGAAGAAGCCAGGGATGCTGAGGAGATGGCTTGCTCTCACGTGGGCAGCTGCTCCTTTGAGAAACAAGCCATGCGCAGTGTTAGCTGCTGACATCCTCCACTTTTAGCCCTTGAGCCCATTTCACTGATGAGCAAGACAGTGGCCTGTATCTGTCACTAACGTGCTTTTCTTTTTCTCCCCTGTTCCCCAAAGACAGGAGTGTGGAGTTCATGAGTGTTGGATTTTTCAAGCTAGTAAACCTTGCAGCTGCAAGTGGTGTTTAATTCTTGTGGTATGGATGAGCACATGCTAATCTCCCTTGAGCTTCTCTTGAGCAGAAGCCTGGTGTGCTAACGGGCAGGACTGGGGTGGTGCTTTGAGAGGAAGAGGGGGAAGGTGGCCCGAGAGGGAGATCTACTGAGATGTGAGCTGCCTGGAGTTTGGGGTGGGGATTCCTGGAGGGGCTCTGGATTTTGCAGAGGGACAGCTGTTGGTGCACCTTCACCAGTGTGCTGGGACAGAAAGTGGGGTGAGTGGGTGAGTGAGGAATAAGTGTTTGAAGGGCAGGAGTAAAGCAGAAAGGTGGCAGCAGGTGTTGAGCTGCAAGTGGTTCCATTGCCTGGAAAGGAGGTGGCAGGGAGGCCTGCCCAAGATGGGTGCCTGCAGGGTGCGGACAGCCTGTCAGAGGTGCGGAAAGCCTGACATTGAAAATGTCAGACAGTGGGTGCTTGGGCCAGAGAGAAAGAGCCTGAGGAGCTGGACCAGGGGTTGGGGGGCGGCCTTTAGAAGCAGCGTCTCATGCAGCCTTCCCAGCGATCCTGAGGTAGGTGGGAGAATCTTCAGGCCACGGCTGAGAAGCTGAAGCGTGTGGCGGGAGATCCGTCTCAGAACACCTGAGATCCCTGCAGGGTCTGGGAGCATGTTAGGGGCTCAGAGTGCAGGTAGGGACTGGCAGGGAGGAGCTGTGGGCGGGAAGAGAGAGAAGGGAGGGCAGGGCAGTGTGGCCATGGCCAGCTGAACACTGGGAGTCTGCTCCTGAGGTCATGGATGGAGGCCAGGACACCTCTCAAGCCATTAAGAGGGTGGCCTTTCCAAGCGCAGCATGACTTGTTGGTCTTGAAGCAGTGCCTTCGAAGGAGGAGGAGTCCCCCGTGGACTTGGGGCATTAGGACAGGGACTGCCAAGGAGAGAGGGCACTAGGAAACAGGGTTGTTTTTGGCTTTTTTACCTGGGGTGCAAGTGGAGCACCCTGTGGGCATCATGAGGGTGTCAGGAAACCCTTCTGGTAACTGAAACGCAGTCCATTCTGTGTCCCCCAGATTCTGAGTTTTCAGCACCTGACAGTGGCGGGGGATGGCAGACACACCTGTGGGTGCTGGAGACATCTTGGCGGCCCTTCCTCCAGTTTGGCATCATAGTCCCCTGTGGGCTGAGCACATGGGGCTCCTGGACAGTTGTTACCGATGGAGGGTATCCAGGTTCTTGACATCTTGAACAAAGAATTGGACAAAACGGCACAAACAAAGCAAGAAAAAGATGAAGCAACAAAAGCAGATTTATTGAAAACGAAAGTACACTCCATAGGGTGGGAGCAGGCCCTGGTTACAGAATTTTCTGGGGTTTAAATACCCTCTAGAGGTTTCCCATTGGTTATTTGGTGCATGCCCTATGTAAATGAAAGTGACCTGCGATCAGTCTGATTGGTTGAGGAAAGCAGCCAACCAGAGGCTGAAGTGAAGTTACAAAGTTACATCCTATGCAAATATCTGATTCATTGTGGAAAGCAACCAATCAGAGGCTGAAGTGAAATTACAAAGTTGCACTCCTATATAAATGAAGACTTGGCCGGAGACCAGCTTGATTGGTTGCAGGAGGGGACCAATCAGAGGTACTTTCAGTTCTTGATCTGCTTGGTAGAAAAGCAGGTCGGTGTGAAGGGAGTAGCCTCTGGTTCTTTTGTTACTTGGGGATGGAAAGTTGGGGTTTTCCTTTGGATTTAGTTCTAAGAAGTCAGCATGAATTGGCCTTAGGTTCCCTGCCTCCAGACCCTATTCTCCTGCCTCACAGTGATGTTGATCAGGGGGCTCAGCTTGGCTCTGCCAGTTCAGACACCAGCCCCTTCCAGCTACTGCCAGTCCTTGGAGGAAAGCAGTCTTGGTACCGTGTCCGGAGAGGTCATTTCCATGTAAAAGAAATATGAGGTCTACAGGCAGCTCAGGAGCACGGAGTTGGGGGAAGCAGAGAAGGTGTGAGTGCCGAGGCGCAAGCACGGCTTTTGTTTGGGTCAAGCAGGATCAGTGCCTCCCTCCTTGCATCGCTCCACCTCCGGAAGGCGGAGAACTGCGATGCAGACCCAGGAGGCCAGCCAGGAGAGATTTCTCACCCCAGGCTCGAGCCTTTGAAGCTCCAGGTTCTAACTTAAAAATTCAAGGGAGTGGCCGGGCTCGGTAGCTCATGCCTGTAATCCCAGCACTTTGGGAGGCCAAGGCAGGTGGATCACGAGGTTAGGGATCGAGACCATCCTGGCCAACATTGGCCTGACAAGGCCAACAACCTTGTCTCTACTACAAATACAAAAATTACCTGGTTGTGGTGGCACATGCCTGTAATCCCAGCTACTTAGGAGGCTGCGGCGTGAGAATCGCTTGAACTCGGGAGGCAGAAGTTGCAGTGAGCCAAGATCTTGCCACTGCACTCCAGCCTGGGCAACAGAGCCAGACAACATCTCAAAAAAAAAAAAAAAAATTCAAGAGAGTTTCGCATTCTCCCGTGCAATACTTCCCTGCTTGTTGTAGTAGAGATGCGTCCTGTGCCTTTTTAGGAACATGTTCTGAAAGATGGCTTGGGCAACTGTGACTTTAGTGCTCTATCCCCCCAGCACTGCCCTGGTACCCATCCTGTTTAGAGGGCTCAGAGCAGAGAGCACCTGCCTGGCAGGGCCCGTCTCTGACTTTGCCTTGCTGCTCCTCCCAGCACTGCCCTGGTACCCGTCCTGTTTAGAGGGCTCAGAGCAGAGAGCACCTGCCTGGCAGGGCCTGTCTCTGACTTTGCCTTGCTGCTCCCCCCAGCACTGCCCTGGTACCCATCCTGTTTGGAGGGCTCAGAGCAGAGAGCACCTGCCTGGCGGGGCCTGTCTCTGACTTTGCCTTGCTGCTCCGCACAGCACTGCCCTGGTACCCATCCTGTTTGGAGGGCTCAGAGCAGAGAGCACCTGCCTGGTGGGGCCTGTCTCTGACTTTGCCTTGCTGCTCCGCACTGCACTGCCCTGGTACCCGTCCTGTTTGGAGGGCTCAGAGCAGAGAGCACCTGCCTGGCGGGGCCTGTCTCTGACTTTGCCTTGCTGCTCCCTGTTATCAGCACTCTTGTCCCTGTGTCCTCCGGGTGGCCTGCAGGGCAATGGAAGATGAGTACTTAGTAGAAGGTTCTAGGTGGGCACATGAGGGTTCCTTGCCAGCACCAGGGCTTTGTTCACACAGGTGTTGCATGAAGCCATCCAGCCAAGAGCCAGGGCTCCATGCCTCTGAGCCCTCAGGCACTGCATCATGCTGGGCCTCAGCTCCATACCTGCCGCGTGTCTGTCTCACCATCACTGTGCTCAAGGAAGGTCGCCACCAGATGCTCCTCTGTGCGCCGGGCCTGCTGGGGCTGCCCTGGGGCCTGGAAAGTGCTTTAAGCAGGTCCTTTGTCTCGTGTCAGGGGATGGGCTCCAAAGTTAGTGGTTGGAACTAACTTTGCCATCTGCTGGAGGGCTTTGCCCCTGCCATGCCTTGAGCCCACACATACTCCAGGGGTGACTGACACAGTTGGTTTTGCATCAGAATTGGCCATTGCCACCTCTGAGGGGCTGGGAAATGGGTGACCCTGCCCCACAGTGCCTGCACTGCCCCCAGCAGACAATGCTGGGGGAGCAGCTTCCCACCAGGCCTGGCTTGGGGCTTCTCCAGGGAAGCCCAGGTACACCTCCCAGCCTGTAGGTGAAGGTGCCTGGAATGGAACTCGCTATTCCCAGAGGCACAGAGCTCCCGTCACAGCGGCTGGGTGACAGCAGTAATTCTCGCAGATGTTCAGGCCCTGGGACCCCAGAAGTGAAATGACCCAGGGCGTCAGCAGGAAAGGAGGCCCCACTTTTTCAGGACCTCTCCCTCCAACCAGCTCCACGTCCTTCCCAAAGCTGGGCCCAGCGTGGCCCTCATAGCCAGCTCCGTCTCTCTCTCCTTGGGCCTGCTGTGACTGCAGGCACGGATACACTGGGGAGACGGGATGTAG
The DNA here is from genome assembly GCF_000001405.40 of Homo sapiens. Lineage (NCBI taxonomy): Eukaryota > Metazoa > Chordata > Mammalia > Primates > Hominidae > Homo > Homo sapiens. The sequence goes on from NC_000016.10 coordinate 3,470,624, forward strand.
AAAGCTGTGGGAAGAGGGAGCAACGGCAGGGCAGGGGCCAGTGGGGTTGGGGGGGGCCGCTGGCCCTGCCTTTGGATCATCTCCGACTTGATCAGCATGAACCCCTGACTCTAGAGGGAGGCTGATGGGCCAGGGCACATGTGGGTCCCCCTCACTGCCTCCGCAGCAGTGGACCTACAGCCATGCTCTTTGACCCCATCTCTTCCTTTCATGGGCACACAGGTGACCCGAGTCTCTGTTTCGTGCACCTTCCTGCCTCTTCTCTGCCCCTCAGTTGGGCTGAGACACATGAGGTGCTGTGATGCATGCTGCATTTGGCCCTGACTTAGGTGTGACGCGTTTCCATTTTTAAATCGAGTGTAAAGAACTGGCCTCCAGAAACACGGAAGCACTTTTAGTAGGGATTTGAAAATCCGCAGATCGTTGTGTATCTCAGAGCCCAGTGTTTTTCTTGAAATTCACACTGGAAACAAATGAGGATACTGGGGGAAATGTGCAGTCCCAGGACATGAGAGATGCGAGCTTATTACGAATCTGTCTTTGGTACCAAGCCACAATATAGAGATTTGTGAAAATCTTTAAAAATCAACTTGACTGGGCCGGGCGCGGTGCTCACACCTGTAATCCCAGCGCTTTGGGAGGGCAAGGCAGGCGGATCATGAGGTCAGGAGATCGAGACCATCCTGGCTAACAAGGTGAAACCCCATCTCTACTAAAAATACCAAAAAAATTAGCCAGGTGTGGTAGCAGGCCCCTGTGGTCTCAGCTACTCGGGAGGCTGAGGCAGGAGAATGGCGTGAACCCGGGAGGCGGAGCTTGCAGTGAACCGAGATCGCGCCAGTGCACTCCAGCCTTGGGGGGCAGAGCAAGACTCCATCTCAAAAAATAATAATAATAAAAAGATCTGGAACGTTTTCGTCCCCTCAGGAAGTCATCCCTGCCCCAGGCATCCACGGAGGTCAAGGCCTTGCCAACCCCACTTCCTGGGTCCAGCTCTCAGGTGGTTCTCCCTGTGGCCTCCAGACCCGGGCTGTACCGGCTGGTTTCGCAGGTTGCCTGTGCTCATCCTGCCCTCTCCGGTGAGAGCTGAGCCGGTGGTGTTTTTTTCAGAGCCAGCTGGCCCTGCAGGAGCTCAGAAACCTGGGCGGCTGGGCCTATGGGCTCTGGAGTTCTGCCCAGGGTGGCCAGGTGGGCAGCCTTTCCCCCGTGCTGGTTCCTGTAGCAAGGAGGAGGCCGTGTGCTGGGGCCCTTGTGTCAGGAGCTGTCTCTGGAAAGGCTGAATCGAGGAACCAGCCTCTGCCTTGTCCGTCGATGTTGTGGGGTTAGTGGCTTTGTCCCAGAGTTTCAAAGTGTGGGTAAGTGGTTTCTGGGTTTGCCAGTTTTCTTAGCCCTTAGGGGAAAGGGGGTGGGAGCCTGCCCTCAGCTGGCTTCGTAAAAACACAGTATCTGTGCTTGAGTTACACGCCCGGCGTCCTTTTGCGTTTTGAGACCTCAGTGGAGTGTGCGGGCCCTGAGTAGTATGCACCCACTGACAGTGAACCAGATGCTGCCCCCCTGCGGTTCCAGTGTATGTCAGTGCCAGCCACGTGCCCAGGACCCACCGTTCCCAGGGATACAAGATCCCGTGGCCCATGGTGGCAGCTGCGGCACACAGCGCTGCTTTCCAGAGCTCTCAGTGCGGACAACAGAGGCCTTGCATTCAGTCACCTGGAAAACCCACCATCCACATTGGAAACCCAGTCTCTCCGGAATGAGAAATTTGGTTGGTTTTCTTTAGCTTTTTGTTTTTTTGTTTGTTTTGTTTATTTTTTGAGACAGAATCTCACTCTATCGCCCACGCTGGAGTGCAGTGGCACAATCTTGGCTCACTGCAACCTTGGCTCACTGCAACCTCTGCCGCCCAAGTTCAAGCAATTCTGTTGCCTCAGCCTCCTAAGTAACTGGGATTACAGGTGCCTGCCACTGCGCCCAGCTAATTTTTTTGTATTTTTAGTAGAGACAGGGTTTCACCATCTTGGCCAGGCTGGTCTTGAACTCCTGACCTCATGATCGGCCTGCCTTGGCCTCCCAAAGTGCTGGGATTACAGGCATGAGCCACCGCTCCTGGCCCTGGTTGGTTTTAATTAAGAACATTTTCAAACATCCACGTGGCATACCCGTTATCCAGATCTAACGCCCATTAATATTTTGCCACTTTTTTGCTCCAACTAAATTAAACTAAATTCTGGAACATTCTGTCATTTTGCCCCTGCATATTCCACTGTGCATCTGTTAATATAAAATATGGACTTTTTGTACATAACCACAAGACTCTTCTCACACCTGACAAGATTAACACCTTCATCTGTTCTTTTAGAGGTTTTGTTCCTTTGTGTGTTCTTTGTCATCTGTTTTGTTTTGTTTTGTTTTGTTTCGTTTCATTTCGTTTTTGAGTCAGAATCTCACCACGTCACCCAGGCTGGAATGCAATGACACCATCTCAGCTCACTGCAACCTCTGCCACCCGGGTTCAAGCGATTCTTGAACCTCAGCCTCCTGAGTGGCTGGGATGACAGGCACACCACCACGCCTGGCTAATGTTTGTATTTTTAGTAGAGATGGGGTGTGTTAGTCCATTTTCATGCTGCTGATAAAGACACACCAGAGACTGGGTAATTTATAAAGGAACCAGGTTTAATGGACTCACGGTTGTACATGGCTGGGGAGGCCTCACAATCATGGCAGAAGGCAAAAGTCACGTCTTACATGGTGGCAGGCAAGAGAGAATGAGAGCCAAGCAAAAAGGGAAACCCCTTATAAAACCATCAGGTCTCGTGGGACTTATTCACTACCACAAGAACAGTATGGGCGAAACTGCTCCCATGACTCAGTTATCTCCCACCAGGTCCCTCCCAGAACATGTGGGAATTTTGGGAGCTACAATTCAAGATGAGATTTGGGGAGGGACAGAGCCAAACCATATCATAGTGTTTCACCATGTTGGTCAGGCTGGTCTCAAACTCCTGACCTCAAGCAGTCCACCTGCCTGGACCTCCCAAAGTGCTAGGATTACAGGTGCGAGCCACCATGCTTGGCCCCAGCTTTTTGTTGTTGTTGTTGTTGTTGTTGTTGTTGTTGTTGTTGTTTTTTGAGATGGAGTCTTGCACTGTTGCCCAGCCTGGAGTGCAGTGGTGCGATCTTGGCTCACTGCAACCTCTGCTTCTTGGGTTCAAGTGATTCTTCCACCTCAGCCTCCTGAGTAGCCGGGATTATAGGCACCTGCCATCATGCCTGGCTAATTTTTATATTTTTGTAGAGACAGGGTTTTATCATGTTGGCCAGGCTGGTCTTGAACTACTGACCTCAGGTGATCCACCAGCCTTGGCCTTCCAAAGTGCTCATATTACAGGCATGAGCCACCATTCCCGGCCTATTTTTAAAGGGTCTGGAGTCAACAGTGCATGGATCCAGAACCGTGGGAACAAAGGGGTGGGCACAAGGGCGGGGTGGGGGGTGTGAGTTTAGAGAGGCTTCTCCCTATAAAGCTGAGCATGAACTACTTGGCACACCTGACGTTGAACCAGGAGCTGAGAACCACACAAGTTAGGAGTCAGAGCAGAGCTGCTCAGGACGTCAGTGCTGGCCCTGTCCCAGGTCAAGGGGATACCCCGGGAAGTGGCTGGACTGAGCCAAGTATCAGCTAGTAGTGGGTGCTCAAGGCTGGTGTAGAGGGGCACCGCCTCCCTGCCAGCACTGTCCTGACACTTGGACCCCATCAGCTCGTTCCAGCAGAGAACCACCCTGGGGAGGGGCCTAGCTATCTCCACTCCGCAGAGAAGGCTCCAGGAATCTGATTAACTAAGGCTGAGCCAGCAGAGAGACCAGATTCAGCGTCTAAATTCCTCCCCTTGTCAGGAAAGGGAAGGTTGTGCAGAAACCTGGACAGTGGACGCCGCGGGCACTTCCCACCCATGGCAGCAGGAGGGCGGGAGCTCAGAGAGGCTGGGCTCGCCCTGCCAGTGGAGTGGGGACTGCCAGATAAAAGACGAGGTCTTTCCTGGGCAGTGAGTGAGTCCTGGGGGCCCAGGGGCTTGCCTCCACACCTTGCACCTGCCCCCAGCAGCTTTCAGCTGCGGATTTCACGGCCTTTCCTGATTGTTGTTTGACTCCGTCATTTCTGTTGGTGATTCCAAAATGGTGACTTTCTAATTCAGTCATTATTTCTACTTTTATTAGCTGGCATTCTTCTGTAAAGAACTTTCCTCAACGCTGAGATGAACTACGCAGTTCCTCCTAAAAAAGGAGGATGAATGCAGCATCTTTTCCCATTTATTTATGGGTTTGTTTATTTATTTATTTTTAGAGACAGGGTCTTGCTATGTTGCCCAGGCTGATCTCAAACTCCTGGGTTCAGGCGATCCTCCCACCTCAGCCTTCCAAAGTGCTGGGATTACAGGCATGAGCCACCACACCCAGCCTTCCATCCTTTCCTTTTTTTTTTTTTTGAGATGGAGTCTCACTCTGTTGCCCAGGCTGGAGTGCAGTGGCGCAGTCTTGGCTCACTGCAGCCTCCACCTCCCGGGTTCAAGCGATTCTCCTGCCTCAGCCTCCACAGTAACTGGGATTACAGTTGCCCGCCACCAAGCCTGGTTAATTTTTGTATTTTTTGTAGAGACAGGGTTTTGCCATGTTGGCCAGGCTGGTCCTGAACTCCTGACCTCAGGCAGTCCACCCACCTTGGCCTCGCAAAGTGCTGGGATTACAGGCGTGAGCCATCACACCAGGCCCCATCCTTTCCTTTTAACGACTAATTTCCAACTTAAAGAACCAAGGCTTCTGTTTTCCCCTTCTCGGTGCCCAGCACTTGGCCGGCCAGCCTTCCTCCCTCCATTCCTCTCTTCCTTTCTATACAAACTTCCTTGTTAAATAAAACAGGGGGGCTGCTCCTCCCGCCCCTGGATTGGATGCACTTTCCTGATTTAAAGGAGTCCTTGGCCACTCGTGACCCCGACTTGAACTGTGGTGTCCCCCAAAGTCTCTTTCTTTCCGCCCAGGAGTGTTCACTTGCTGGGCGGGGAGGAGAAATTGGGGTGTGACCCACTCAGCACAAACCCACGCCCTGGTCATAAAGCCGCACCATTTCCCCTGCAAATCCAGCCGTTCACTGCCCCGGCCACCGGGCTGCTTTGAAGGGGGATGAGGCATGGGGGCTGCTGAACCCACAACTGTCACTGGCAGCCACTGGCTGGAGTTGAGAGAAGTCAGGCTGGCTGGGGCCGTTGACCCTCGGAAGGACCACTGTCATAAGATGTGAGACCAGTCAGGGGCAGCTCAGATGGGGAGAGAGGCTGGCCAGGGCTTCCTTCAGCTGGGGCTGAGCAGTGGAGGGCCTGGTTCCCCATCCTGCCTGCCCTCCTGGGCCTGGGTCTTCCCAGCGATGGGGGCGACTGCAGCGCCTCTTGGGAGGGCGATCGTGAGAGGCAGAGGCCTCTGAGTGCTGGCTGAGGGGTGTCCACCCGTGGGACATGCTCCGTGCTCTTCTGTCTCGCCTGCCTCACAAGCTGAGCATGAGGAAGACCAGGCTGTGAGGTGACGCGTCCCCCCCACCCTTCCCCACAGGTGTGAATGACAGAGGTGGTGCCATCCAGCGCGCTCAGCGAGGTCAGCCTGCGCCTCCTCTGCCACGATGACATAGACACTGTGAAGCACCTGTGTGGCGACTGGTTCCCCATCGAGTAAGTGGAGCGGATTGCAGGGTTGGGGAGAGCCCGTGAGCCTCAGGTGCAGAAGCTGGGCGGCGGGGGTGGGGGCCTCTTGGGCCCTTAGGACCGTGCTGCAAAGATGGGAATGGCCTGGAGGGGCCACAGGGGTCCCAGGTTACCCACCTCATCTAGGGACCCCTGCTGCTGGGCTCTTTCCACCTCTCAGGGTGTGCAGAGTTCCCCAGAAGGGCTCTGTGAGAAATTTCAGTTACAGAGCTATCGGGTGTGGTGCTATTTATAATTCAGAAAATTTAGAAGCCACTCAAGTATCTTCACAGCAAGGAGTTGGTTACATGCATTAGAGTAATTAGAGTATGTGCATATAAAAGTGCAATATTATTCAGCCGGGAAAAAAAAACCTGTCAAAGAGTTATATTTTTTGATAGAGAAATCTTTTTTACAAGATATTAAAGGAGCCTGTAATCCCAGCAGTTTGGGAGGCCAAGGAGGGCAGATCACCTGAGGTCAGGAGTTCAAGACCAGCCTGACCAACATGGAGAAACCCCGTCTCTACTAAAAATACAAAATTAGCCAGGTGTGGTGGTGCGTGCCTGTAATCCTAGCTACTTGGGAGACTGAGGCAGGAGAATCACTTGAACCCAGGCGGTGGAGGTTGCGGTGAGCCGAGATTGCGCCATTGCACTCCAGCCTGGGCAACAAGAGCGATATTCCGTTTCAAAAAAAAGAAAGAAAGATATTAAAGGAAAAAAGTCAGTCTAGAAAATAGTATGTACCACGATCCTATTTTTATTTGAAAACATGTACAAGATAAAATTTTATAATGATAGGTATGAACTGAGCGGGGGTGAAAAAAATTTTACAAGGGGGTATGTACCATTTAACAGTGTTTCAGTATTTGAGGTGGGTAGATTAATATTAGGCCCTATGATTGTTTCTTCTTGTCTGTCTTGCCTACAATATATGCACATACAGCTTTTTTGATGAAAAAAGTTGACACAAACTTTGAAAATGGAAAATAAACAAGATCTTGCCAGCCACCAGCATTTCCTTGAGTGTTCACCTCAGACTGACTGAACCTCATGCTCTTGGCAGGGCGGTGGCAGGGACCCCTGTGCGTCTTTGTGGAAGCGGGAACTGTCACAGTCCAGGTGATGTGGGCTGGCGGTGGCAACATGAGTTAAAAAACTGTTCTTGGCTGGGCGCAGTGGCTCACGCCTGTAATCCCAGCACTTTGGGAGGCCAAGGTGGGTGGATCACCTGAGGTCAGGAGTTCGAGACCAGCCTGGCCAACATGGTGAAACCTCATCTCTATTAAAAATACAAAAATTGGGCCGGGCGCAGTGGCTCACGCCTGTAATCCCAGCACTTTGGGAGGCCAAGGCAGGCCTGAGGTCAGGAGTTCGAGACCAGCCTGGCCAACATGGTGAAACCTCATCTCTATTAAAAATACAAAAATTGGGCCGGGCGCAGTGGCTCACGCCTGTAATCCCAGCACTTTGGGAGGCCGAGGCGGGTGGATCACGAAGTCAGGAGTTCAAGACCAGCCTGTCCAAGGTGGTGAAACCCCGTCTCTACTAAAAATACAAAAAAATTATCTGGGCATGGTGCAGGCACCTGTAATCCCAGCTACTCGGGAGGCTGAGGCAGGAGAATCGCTTGAACCCAGGTGGCAGAAGTTGCAGTGAGCCAAGATTGTGGCACTGCACCCCAACCTGAGCGACAGTGAGACTCTGTCTCAAAATAATAATAATAATAATAATAATAAATAGGCCTGGTGGCACGCACCTGTAACCCCAGCTACTCGGGAGGCTGAGGCAGGAGAATCACTTGAACCCGCGAGTCAGAGGTTGCAGTGAGCTGAGATCACAACACTGAACTCCAGTCTGGGTGACAGAGTGAGACTCCATCTCAAAATAAAAATAAAAACGTGTTCTTCAGCCCAGCAATTTAACTGCTGGAAACTAATCTAGAGAAATAAAAGCTGCAGTGAGTGCATAGATCAGACTCTGCCCAGGGTTGCCTGAGAGCCAGTGGAGCCACGCTGGACCGTGGGCCTTGGCCATGTGAGCCACCCAGCCTGCCTGTCTCTCCTGCAGTTCTCGTGGGCCTAAGGTCTCAGGTTCCCAAGACTGTGACATGAACCGGGCTGTGAGGCAGCAAAACTAACCCTACACACCCTAGAAACTCCATGTGCCTCTGTCCTCCTGACCTTGTCTCTCTGGGGCTGGGGCTGGATTCGCCTGTTAATGACCATGTCCTGGGCCTTTATGCCCACTGTTTTTTTTGCCTGCTCCGCTCAGAGGGGTCTTGGCCTCATTGTTGATGAGCAGCCGTTAGCAGCCTCAGCCTCACATTCCCCTTAAGGGCGGGTTCCTCCCTGTCAGGGAAGGCATTGTAAACTCAAACGCCTGTCAGCTGTGAACCTGGCTCTTCCTGGAATCACTCCACTCCCCTAGTCTTCAGTGTCCAGAAGTCTCACAGATTCTCGTAGGCACTCCTCCAGTGTCCAAGGGTGAGAAGGGCCCTAAAATCTTCACTCACCTGGTGGAGGAACAGGGCCCTGCTGCTGACTCTCCATGAGTTGCTTCCATGGAGACAGTTTCATGTCGGATAAAATTATTTTTCCCGGGCCAGGCGCGGTGGCTCACACCTGTAATCCCAGTACTTTGGGAGGCCAAGACGGGCAGATCACATGAGGTCAGGAGTTTGAGACCAGCCTGACCAACATGGAGAAACCCCATCTCTACTTAAAAAAAAATACAAAATTAGCCGGGCGTGGTGGCACATACCTGTAATCCCAGCTACTCGGGAGACCGAAGCAGGAGAATCGATTGAACCCAGGAGGCAACGGTTGCAGTGAGCCGAGATCACGCCATTGCACTCCAGCCTGGGCAACAAGAGCAAAACTCCGTCTCAAAAGAAAAAAATTCCCATCAGAGATCCCCAGTCCTGTCTAGACAGATCACTGCTTTAAGAAGGTGGCTGTGACAGTTAGGTAGAGACTTAAGTGATGGGCACACTCCTCGGCAGCCTTAGAGCAGCAGGCAGAAGTGGCCCAGAGCTCCCTGTGGTTCTGATGTCTAGAGCACGACCATAGTTGGACTTGACCTGTGGCAGGTTCACCTGAGTATGTTCTGTTTCTCAGGTACCCAGACTCATGGTATCGTGATATCACATCCAACAAGAAGTTCTTTTCCCTTGCTGCAACCTACAGAGGTGCCATTGTGGGAATGATAGTAGCTGAAATTAAGAACAGGACCAAAATACATAAAGAGGTACGTACGTGTGTGCAGTGAGGACTTGGCAGTCACTGTCATTGGACGGGCCAAGGGGGCTTGCGATGGAATCATGCTGCCTGCTCCACAGCCGTCGTCCAAGGAGCCTGTGACCCAAGGAATCCAAGTGGCCAACGACACTTGTCCCTGGCTGGTGCTTTTCTGTGTGTGTGTGTGTGTGATTTCATGGTGCGTGGGCCTCCAGTCGTGCCCAGCAGCAGGCTTCATAACCACTGTCGTTCTGAAGCAGGCATGAGCGCAGATGATGCATTGAGAATCTGCAGTTACAACGTGCTATGAAAATACCCCTGATTTGTGTTGGCGGCAGTGTCATAGAAACCGCTAAGACTGCTTCAGCTTGTTGAAGGAAATGCTAGTTACAGTTAGAGGTCAGGGAAAGTACAGAGATAATTTTTTTTCCTCTAACTTCACAGAGCCCTTTAAGATCTAAGAACCCTTTGGGCATCCGTGGACCCACCTCAGTCTCACTTCAGGCTAGCAAACCCCAGTCTGAATGTAAACAGTAAGACCATGGCCATATTGTTCCAAATGGTTGAGTTTAGTCAAGATTCTGTGTGATGATGTTGGTCATCCCAGCATCTGAGGTAATGTTTACCACCCGAGGATTTAGCCAAGGAGGGAAAAACCCACCAACAACTGGCAGATGGTTCAATTTGTTTGGCTTGAGGTTATTTCTTTAAAAGTTAGAGAAGGGGCCGGGCGCAGTGGCTCATGCCTGTAATCTCAGCACTTTGGGAGGCCGAGGCGGGCAGATCATCTGAGGTCAGGAGTTCAAGACCAGCCTGGCCAACATGGTGAAACCCCATCTCTACTAAAAATACAAAAATTAGCCGGGCGTGGTGGCAGGCGCCTATAATCCCAGCTATTTGGGAGGCTGAGGCAGGAGAATCGCTTGAACCCACGAGGCAGAGGTTGCAGTGAGCCGAGATCGTGCCATTGCACTCCAGCCCGAGGGACAAAAGCAAGACTTCGTCTAAAAAAAAAAAAAAAGAAGAAGAAGAAAAGTTAGAGAAGGCCTGGGCACAGTGGCTCACACCTATAACCCCGGCATTTTGGGCAGATCACGAGGTCAGGAGTTCGAGACCAGCCTGGCCAACATCGTGAAACCTTGTCTCTACTAAAAGTAAAAAATAAATTAGCCAGGCATGATGGCGCTTGCCTTTAATCCCAGCTACTCAGGAGGCTGAGGCACAAGAATCACTTGAACCCAGGAGGCAGTGGAGGTTGCAGTGAGCGGAGATTGCACTTTTGCACTCCAGCCTGGGTGACAGAGTGAGACTCTGTCTATAAATAAGTAAATAAAAGTGCAAGAAGGCCTGTCTCTCCCTTTAAGGACCCGAATCCACTGGCATCTACCCTGTTTTGCCTGTGGTCATACTCTGTCTGGCACAGCTTTTTTCTCCTGAGTCACTTTTTCTGCCCTAGCTTCCTCCTGAGCTTTTTTCTTTGATTTTTAAGAGCTAAGATGTAGCAGAAAGCAAGTGTCAACATTCTTTTCTCTCCTCTTTTTTTTTTATTGAAACGGAGTCTCACTATCACCCAGGGTGGAGTGCAGTGATGCGATCCTGATCCCGGCTCACTGCAACCTCCGCCTCTCAAGTAGGATTTTAGACGTGCGCCACCACACCAAGCTAATTTTTGTATTTTTAGTGGAGATGGGGTTTCACCATGTTGGCCATGCTGATCTGGAATCCCTGGCCTCAAGTGATCCGCCTGCCTCGCGGGAGTGCTAGGATTACAGGTGTGAGCCACCGTGCCCAGCCTGATCTCTCTTGTTAATGGGACACGTGGTCCCCCCCTTCCCCCAATGACTCATTCCCCTGAACCCCATCCCCCTCCGGGTGGCTTTCCTGAGTGCCCCCTGGTGACTGTGTGCCTGCCCCCAGGTGGCGGCTGGGTCTCTTCCTCCTCTGGAATGTGTTTGTGTTCCCTCGAGGCCGACATGGGGACCCTTTGGCTCATGTTCCCGGCTCTCAGTAGAGGGCCCTCTGGCCTGCACGCTGGCACTCATTCATCTGGCCCCTTCCTCTCAGGCTTAGTGAGTTCAAGGTCAGGGCAAAGTAGACCCTGTTAAGAGATGTCAGCTGGGGAACAGACACCCTTCCTGCAGGCCTGGAGTAACAAGAGTGATAAGGACGCCTTCCTCCCTGGACTGACATATCTGGGTGAACTGTGGCTTGAAGAGGGCTGGGAGAGCAGGGAGCCTGGACAGGCTGACCCCAGCCCAGCACGTGGGAGCAGAAAGGCCTTCTTGTTCTTTACGAGTTGGAAGATGATAAGAGCCTCATGCTGATCAGATTCATGACTCCCACCCGGAATTCCATCTCTAGAACCAAGAGATGGTGGGTGGCTTTACGCAGGTGTGGCGGTGTCCTCTGCCTGTGGGGGCAGCAGAAGGGGTTGGACGGCCGCCCAAGTCTCACTCCTCCAAGATCACCTGGGGCAGCGTGCGATTCTTTAACTGAACCTCTAAAACTTTGCATTTGTCCACTGTCCTGCATCCAGGCCTACCAGGTGACATGCGTGCATTCCCATGAGGCCCGCGTGGTGCTGTGTAGTTGCTGCCTTCATGCCATAACTTTACCTTGTGCTGGCATCAGAGCCTCATTCCCGTCCTTGGCTAGGCCTCCCACACACCCCTAGGAGAAGCTCCTTTTGTGTGTGTTCTTCTTTTCAGCTGTTTTTCACCAGAAGGGCATAAACGCTCTCATTTCCTTGGGGAGTGGGGGCCCCTCTCCAGTACCTCTTGATTCTGCCCCTCCCAGTCGGTGTCCCTCTGGCTGTCGTGGGAAGTCGGTGCGGAGCCCGCCTGGGCCGGGCTGTGCAGTGAGCCGTGCACCAGACGTGTGAGCCTGACTTTCTCTCTGACTCTTCCTCTAGGATGGAGATATTCTAGCATCCAACTTCTCTGTTGACACACAAGTCGCGTACATCCTAAGTCTGGGCGTCGTGAAAGAGTTCAGGAAGCACGGCATAGGTAAGGGCAGCCGGGCCCGCGGCTTGGCGCCCACCCCACCCCCTTGCCCTACCCCACCCCCATCCCATCTGCACCCAGTCTCTTCCCTGGCCCCAACAACTCTGGCTCGTGAACATCCCTCAGTCTCATCTTCCATCCTCGTTCCCGTCTTGGGCCAGACCTTCATCATCCCTCCCCTGCCAGCACACCCACCACCTTCAGCCATCCTCTTTCCACATGCCCCCAGGCCTTTCTGCTGCAGCCTCGCTCAGCCCCCAGGATGGAGCTGAGGAAACTGGCACCTCTCACTTCTGCTGCCGCCACACGCACAACTCGTGTATTCACTGCTCACGATTCAGAGTAGAAAGCGTGAACACGCACGAGGAAGCAACACTCACCGTTTCTCCGATGTCCCACCCCACTCGGCCACACGGCCAGTGAGCGGCAGAGTCTTAATTAATTTTAAACCCAGGCCCATCTAGTCCATGTTTTCCTGGGCTCACATTTACCCTGTTTGTTGTCTGAAAGGGAGTCTCCATGCGGGCCCAGCCCATGGGAGGGCGCTACCAGGCCACCTCTGCAGTCCCTCCCAGCAGTCTGTAGCTACCAGGCTCCATCTGGCCATGAGATTTTAGGGACTTTGACAGTGGTGGTGAAGAAAGGCTGGTCTCTGATACGGTGGGCCGAGACATCTCCGAGAGACTCATGCAAAGCCCCCATCCTAGCCCAGTCATCCTTCCTTCCTAACTGCTCTGCCTGCATTACCTTTACCTCTTCTCCCCAAGGTTCCCTCTTACTTGAAAGTTTAAAGGATCACATATCAACCACCGCCCAGGACCACTGCAAAGCCATTTACCTGCATGTCCTCACCACCAACAACACAGCAATAAACTTCTATGAAAACAGAGACTTCAAGCAGCACCACTATCTCCCCTATTACTACTCCATTCGAGGGGTCCTCAAAGATGGCTTCACCTATGTCCTCTACATCAACGGCGGCCACCCTCCCTGGACGATTTTATATCCTTAACTTCTGGGGGAGAGGGACTGTGGCTTCCTGTCCATAAGGTGGCAGAGCCAGTGAGCAAGTTGGAGCTGTGGTCCCCCTCAGATGATGTTCAGGTGGCCAAGCTTATGGATGCTTCTCTCCCTTACCTGATCGTGTTGTGGGTAAACCTGACACACATTTGGGTAAATCGAGTTGCACATATTACCATGTTGCCCAGGCTGGTCTCGAACTCCTAAGCTCAAATGATCCGCCTGCCGCAGCCTCCCAAATTACTGGGATTATAGGCATGAGCCCTGCACCCAGCTGGAGAGCCTCCTGCTCCACTTGCACTGGGGATCAGCAGTGCACAAAACGGACAGGATCCCCTGTCCTCCCAGAGCCTGTGCTAGCAGAGGGGAAACAAGTGCGGAGAGAAGAGATTTTTACTTTTTTTGAATACTTGGGTTCAAACCTTCCTTATAGGATGCATGACCCAAAGGTATGCCCTTCCCTGCTTCTTCCTCCTTAACTTTCACTGGCCCCTGACAGGTCAGAGGGAAGCCAGGAAACTTTATAATAGTCAGAATGTGGCCCAAAAAAATGCTGTGCGTGTGTGTGTGTGTTTTCAAATTCATGAGTCTAGGATTTATTCATTACATAGAATAATAAGCAGGAAAGAGAGGGGTGACCCCACACTCCACAGGCCGTCTAGCTTATGTGAAGACAGGCATCCAGGGGGTCAGCACTGTTGACCCCCTCCTTGTCATATGGACAGGGCTCTGTCCCTCTTGCTGCCACAAAGGTTGAGAATCTAGGGAGAACCAGAAGCACCTGCCCTTCTGCCAGGCCCCTTCCCCACCCCCCGTGCATCCCTGGGTGTGGTGTCCACATGCCTGCTGCCTCACTCAGAAGGCCCTTCTGTCCCCAGACCCCACCCTCTGTTGTTTTGCACAGCAGAGGCCACTTCGTCTCATGAGCCTTTCCAGCTCTGCAGAGGCTTAGCGGGCTCTCAGCCTCCGAAGCCTGGCTTGCCATCTGCACACAGTCCCACAGGCCACTGCGCGGGCCCCTGATGACTGTGCCCTGGCGAGCGTGGTCAGGGCAAGTCGGAATCTTCCTTAACAGAGCCCCACGGACTACATCCAGCACCTGGGCTCTGCACTAGCCAGCCTGAGCCCCTGCTCCATTCCGCACAGAGTCTACCGCCAGGCCCACAGCCTGCTCTGCAGCTTCCTGCCATGGTCGGGCATCTCTTCCAAGAGTGGCATCGAGTACAGCCGGACCATGTGATGTCGGCTGGGCAGCCGCCACCAGGCCCCACCCTTCGGCCGCCCGCAGAGCCCGCCTTCCTGTCCATCTGACCCCTTCTGTTTTCTGCAAGGAGCTGCCAGCCATCTAACTGGGCTCGTCGGCCTGCCCCAGCTGCAGGCCCGGTGCTACACGGGCTCGGGAACAGAACATCGTGGGCATGCGCAGAGCATGCCCATCCGTGGCAGGTACGCCACAGCAGACACAAAGGTATGGGAGCTTGGTGCCTCCAGCCACAAAAGTGGAAGGCCCTGGATGGGCACAGAGAACGGCAGAGCCGGAAGGGGCCGTGGGGACTGCAGAGTCCACCACCTTATGCACCAGCACAGCCCAGAGGTTTGGTGACTTGTGCCAAGCTAACACAGCAGGCTCCATGGCAACTGGGCTGTGCACCCGACTTTGGATCCATCAGTGCCTTTATTTGTGTGGGGACCGAGAGGCGCCTAGTGGCTGCAGGCAGACACCATGGCCTGGAGAAGGGCTCATGCTCCTGGAGCACCCAGGCCCAGCTGTGTGGCCCATAGGCAGGGTGTGGGGTGGGCAGAGTGTCTCCGCCGGGCCTTCACCCTGCCCTGCTCTTCTCTTTCCCACAGGCTCTTCAGCTCCCCTCCCTGCTTCTGGAAACCTCTGCCTGCTGCCCTGGCCCTGCCCCCCTGCGCATGCACCGTCCCCAGGGCTGACCCAGTGTGGCTGCATTCACTGGGAGGGGCCTGCCCTCACTGGGCCTCTCCCACTCCGCTGCCTGTTCTTGCAGCTCCTTCCTGGAAAGCTGGAGGGGACTTTCTCCTGCAAGGGAGGAACGCAAGTATTATGGACACACTTGACCGTAAAGGCACAGGAGCCTCGGAACAAGGGGGCGCAATAAAGGGAATGGCCCGTCCCCTTCCAGAACCAGCCCAAAGAAGCCTGGGGGGTGAGGAGTGGCCCCCACTCCTCCATGAGGGGCTGATGAGGGGTGGGCAGCCTGGGGGAGGCTTTCCTCGCAAGCACAGAGCTCTGAGGCTCAGCCCCCTGGCACAGGCGGTCACGCATCAGGACGGTTCCTACTCCTCAGCACCTTCCGTGCAGTTACCAGTGCCCTGGGAGGTCACACTGCCCGTCGGACCTTGGCATGCTCCATTCAGCTGACCTGCTGAGGACAGGCATCGCCGAGACTCCTTGGGTCCTCCCCGCCCTCCCTCATGCTGCCACAAGCTGCTGCTCCAAGGCCTGGCCACATGCAGACAGGAGGAAGCTGAGCTCGACATTAGGCCTCAAGGCTGCCATCTGTCTTGTAGGGCCTGGCCTTGTGGGCAGGGGGCAGTCCTGTGCCTTGTGGGCCCTCAGCCTCTGAGGGCAGAGATGCTGTCAGTGCCGCAGGTGCATCACATACTTCTAGCATCCTCTCCACCCTGCATTCCAAATGCTGCTTGCTGCCTGCCCTGCCCTCCGATGCAGGGGTGGGGTGGGGGGCGGAGTCCCGCCCAGCATAGCTGCAGTGTCACAAAGCCATGGCAGAGGGTCCTAGCGGCGCCACCCTGCCCCAGCCTGAGGAGGAGGGAGAGGGAGGAACAACCCTGGGCAGACGGGGCCTCAGGGACCTGTGTCCTTCCGCCTCCAGAGCTGCCCAGCCACGGGCTCTCAGGGTGCTGGGGCAGCCCCAGGTCCCCTCTTGAACTCAGCTGGGGCCAGGGGCCCTCAGAATGAAGGCAGGCACCAGGCAGGAGCAGCATCCCCCTCCTTGACGGTGCTGGCAGGAGGGCCGCGCCATGCTGACTGCTTGAACCTCTGCTGACCTGACAGTGCTGGCGGGAGGGCCGCACCATGCTGACTGCCTGAATCTCTGCTGAGGCTGCCTGCCTGCCGGGCCCAGCTCAGCGCCCTCTCCACTGCGAATCAGTGGCGATCATGTGATTTCTATTTCTGCCCCACAGGGTAAGGGACGAGTCTTCTGGAAGGCTCTGCCATGGACATTTGTCCTCGGGCTCAGAGGCCCCACCCTGCCCCACACCTGCCCCTGATCACTGCAGTGTCCAGCCCAGTGTTGAACAGATTGTAGCGTTCTGTCTCATTACGAGCAAATAAATAGACTTTCATTGGAGTTCGTCACATCCTGTTTCCCGCACCCGCCTGGCTGCACCTCGGGCCTCACCCTGTAGCTGAAGTTGGCCTCGAGCTACTTGTCACTGGCAAGGCCCAAGGATGGCTTCCAGATAAAGGGGACAGTGGTTTTGTGTGATTAACCCTGTCAGAGAATGAGGACCTTTGGCCAGGCACGGTGGCTCACGCCTGTAATTCTAGCACTTTGGGAGGCCGAAGTGGGCGGATCACGAGGTCAGATCGAGACCAGCCTGGCCAACATGGTGAAACCTCATCTCTACTAAAATACAAAAATTAGCCGGGCGTGGTGGTGTGCACGTGTAGCCCCAGCTACTCGGGAGCCTGAGGCAGGAGAGCTTGAACCCAGGAGGCGGAGGTTACAGTGAGCTGAGATGGCGCCATTGCACTCCAGCCTGGTGACAGAGCGAGACTCCAGAAAAAGAATGTGAAACTGGGGAAGAGGTTCTAGAGTTGAGAAGCACATTAGGTCCTTTTTTCACTGGAAGGTCCCCAGCAGCTGCCCTGTCTGGGCATCTCCCTGGCTGTAGGCCTTGAGCTGGGGCCCAGTCCAGGCAGGCGGCTCCAAGGGTGATTTGGTGCACCCTGCTGTGGAGCCTGAGGTGCGTGCCCACCCAGCACAGACCTGGTGCTTCCGTCAGCCTCTCATGGAAACTTCTGGTCACCCTCAAGGGATGATATTGTTCCTCTTAGAGATGAGGAGAACTGGCTCGGGGGCTGGGAGTTACCAAGGAGCCACAGTTTGTGAGTGTTGGGCCCAGGCCTGGGCCACTCTGAAGCCTGCGTGGCTGCTCTGTTACACCATTCCTGTGCCTTTGACCTCATCCAGTGGCCGGGAGACATGCAACTTGCCGAGGGTCCTCCCAGGAGAGGGTCTGAAGCATCTGCAAGATGGAGTAGGGGTGGACGCTGGTGCCCTGGGAGGCCAGGCAGCTGGGCGCGCTGGACCCATGTCCAAAGCCATGGGGTGAGTGAAACCAGATTAACCCGCTGAGCTTGCCCACGGGAGCGTCTGCTGGGGAGACACAGTCTTGGTTACTCCAGCAAGGACAGTTGCACCTTTGCTGATGAGTCAGCTTGCGGTTAAGAGGGTAACTCTTTGGGGCCCTTGGTCAATCGTGTGACCAGTTAGTAACTTGCCCAGGTGGGGCTGCGGCTCCTCAGGCCCTGCTTCAGTGAGGCCAGGCAGGACTGCCACTGCTCCAGGCCTCTCACCATAGCCCCACCGGACCGCAGAGCTGGGACACAAACGCTCGTGCTCCACTGGGGGGCAGAAAGGGAGTGTGGGACCCAGGGAGAGGTAGGACACACACAGGATGCACCTGGACATAGCACGGAGGCCAGCCCTGAACGGAGCTGGCTCTGCCCCAGGCCTGCTCAGGGGTGGAGCCCGAGGCAGCCTTGGGTCTCCCCGCTCCCTGCACACACCACCCAAGGATCTCCTATAGGGTAGGGGTCCTTCATACTTTCAGGACGGAGACAGACTCCTGGTCTTCCATTCCTAGCCCACCGGCGTTCAGGGACTCACGGGGTAAGGGGCGTGCCCAGGGATGGTCAGTGTATTTTCTTTTTTTTTTTTTTTTTTGAGATGGAATCTCATTCTGTTTGCACTCCAGCCTGGGTAACAGAGTGAGATCTTGGCTCACTGCCAGCTTGGCCTCCCGGGTTCACGCCATTCTCCTGTCTCAGCCTCCCGAGTAGCTGGTACAACAGGCGCCTGCCACCATGCCCGGCTATTTTTTTGTATTTTTAGTAGAGACGGGGTTTCACCATGTTAGCCAGGATGGTCTCGATCTCCTGACCGCGTGATCCGCCCGCCTCGGCCTCCCAAAGTGCTGGGATTACAGGCATGAGCCACCGCGTCCGGCTGAGGTCAATGTGTATTTTCATGAGCGTCCGCTTGCTCAGGCCAAGTGCTGCTTTCTCCACATCGACTCCCACCCCAGCGTGCCATGATTGTGGCTTTTTTGCCTCTCAGTCTGTTGGAGTGCTTCTCAAAAAGGCTTTGGGAGGTTTTGCGGGAGGGACTGTCTAGAGGCCAATTTAGGGCCAGTTTTCTTTGGGGCCAGCATGTGGCTGCAGCAGATGTCCTCTCGGGTAAGATCCTGGCTACAGCTGTCTGTGGCTGAGTTACAGACTGTCTTTTTTTTTTTTTTTTTTTTTTTTTTTTTTTTTGAAACGGAACCTGCTCTCTCCCCCAAACTGGCGTCCAGTGGCGTGATCTCGGCTCACTGCAAGCTCCGCCTCCCGGGTTCACACCATTCTCCCGCCTCAGCCTCTGGAGTAGCTGGGACTACAGGGGCCCGCCACCATGCCTGGCTAATTTTTTTTGTATTTTTAGTAGAGATGGGGTTTCACCGTGTTAGCCAGGATGGTCTCGATCTCCTGACCTCGTGATCTGCCCACCTCGGCCTCCCAAAGTGCTGGGATTACAGGCATGAGCCACCGTGCCTGCCGGAGTAACAGACTGTCTTAAAGCTTCACAGCCTAAGCAGGGGCCATTCTGTTTGCTTCCAATTCCAGCTGGGACAGGAGTCAGCAGGGACTCCATGTGGTATTAGCCAGGCAGGCTGGCGGGGCTGGAGGACCTGTGTGAAAGATGGCCCTACCCACAGGGCTGCCCACAGTGAGCTCAGCAGTGGCCATGGGCTTGGCTCCTTCCTTCCATGGCTTCCTCAGGCTAGGCTGGTTTTGCACCATACCACAGTCCCAGGGTAGACTCCTTACGGGGCCACTGACCTCCTGGGAAGCTGCCAGGCTTCCTTACTGCCCAGAAGTGACACCCCGCCACTTCTGCCACATTCTACTGGTAAAGCAGGATCTGGAGCCTGTCCCAATTCAAGGGGAGGGGGCTACACAGGGGCCAGAACACGAAGACACGTGGCTCATCCGGGGTAGCAGAAGGGCCACTGACCATAGCCTGGGACCCCCCCCCCCACCCACCCAAAATCTGGAGCCTGGGGCAACCTGTGCTCCTCTCTGAGCCTCCACTCTTTGTTCAGAAGTGAGTGGAGTCCAGGTGCGGTGGCTGATGCCTGTAATCCCAGTACTTCAGGAGGCCAAGGTGGGAGGATCTCTTAAGCTCAGGGGTTCAAGACCAGCCTGGGAAACATAGTGAGACCCTCATCTCTTAAAAAAATAGAAAATCGGCCAGGCGCGGTGGCTCACACTGGTAATCCCAACACTTTGGGAGGCCGAGGAGGGCAGATCACGAGGTCAGGAGATCGAGACCATTCTGCCTAACACGGTGAAACCCCATCTCTATTAAAAATACAAAAAATTAGCCGGGCGTGGTGGCGGGCGCCTGTAGTCCCAGCTACTCAGGAGGCTGAGGCAGGACAATGGTGAACCCAGGAGGCGGAGGTTGCAGTGAGCCGAGATCATGCCACTGCACTCCTGCCTGGGCGACAGAGCAAGACTCCGTCTCAAAAAAAAAAAAAAAAAAAAAAAAAAAAAAAAAAAGCTGGGCATGGTGGTGGCCCACGCCTGTAGTCTCTGCTACTCAGGAGGCTGAGATGGTAGGGTCACTTGGCTCAGGAGCTCAAGGCTGCAGTGAGCTATGATTGTTAAACATAGGGCCCAGCGTGGAGCCTCACCTATAATCCCAGCACTTTAGGAGGTGGAGGCGGGAGCATTGCTTGAGGCTGGGAGTTGGAGACCAGGGGCAACATAGCAAGACCCTTTCTCTACCAAAAAAAAGTTTGTAATTAGCTGGACATGGTGGCAACTGCCTTTGGTTCCAGCTACTCAGGAGGCTGAGGCAGGAAGATCACTTGAGGCCAGGAGTTCAAGGCTGCAGTGAGTTAAGATCATGCTACTGCACTCCAGGCTGGGAGACAGTGAGACACTGTCTCAAAAAAAAGAAAAGGGGAAAAAAAGTGGATTAGGCCCCTAACGGTCTCCAAGCTCCAAGGACTTTGTATTGCTGGCCTCTGTGCGGCCTCAGTTATGCCCAGCGTCCGCAGCTGGTGGCTGGTGCAGGCGTCCTTCCATGTTTACTCAGCAGCCTCCCTAATGTCAGTCTTTAAGTGGTCTCTTGGATCCACCTGGCCTCTGCGTCTCTGGGGAATGAGTGTTGTGGGAGAGAGAGAAGGCAGCTGCCCCTCCGCCACCCCATGTGACTCATCAGTGGACCTCAGGCCCGCTGCATCCCACCCACACCTGCCCCATCACAGCTGCTCTTGGGTGCAGCATGTAAACACCTGCTCTCTCAGAGCTCCCCCTCCTGGGGACCGCTACAGCCTTGGGTGTCCCCCACCCCGGGCCATGCCTGCATACTTAGAACAACCCATAAAACCACCCAAGGACTGAAGTCTCCAGGATCTGCTGTCCCAGGGACACAAGAACTGTCCAGGGTGGGTACAGGAGAAGGGAAGGAGCCTGGCTGTCCTGGGCACGTCACATGCGACCTGGCAGGAGCCCAAAGCAGGGGTGGCGCTGAGCCCTAGCCTGACCCGGGCTGCACCGGCTGGAGTGACCAGACGGGAAGGTCACTGAGGCAAACCCAGGTGCTCCCGTCTTCTTCCCATAGGATGGAGACCTGGTGGAATAGAACAAGTGTGTTAGTCCGTCTTGACACTGCTTCCTGAGACTGGGTTATTTATAAACAAAAGAGGTTTAATTGATTCAGCGTTCCAGGTGTCTGGGAGGCCTCAGGAAACTTACAATCACCATGGAAGGCAAAGGGGAAGCAGGCACCTTCTTGGCAAGGCGGCAGGACAGAGAGAGAGAGAG
This sequence comes from Homo sapiens, assembly GCF_000001405.40. Classification (NCBI taxonomy): domain Eukaryota; kingdom Metazoa; phylum Chordata; class Mammalia; order Primates; family Hominidae; genus Homo; species Homo sapiens. The sequence goes on from NC_000016.10 coordinate 3,491,705, forward strand.
GCGGTGGTGGGGAGGAAGGGTGGAACTGCCAAACACATTTTATTATTTTTTTCTTTTTTTGAGACAAGAGTCTCACTCTATCACCCAGGCTGGAGTGCAGTGGCACAATCTCGGCTCACTGCAAGCTCTGCCTCCCGGGTTCATGCCATTCTCCTGCCTCAGCCTCCTGAGTAGCTGGGACTACAGGCAGCTGCCACCATGCCCGGCTAATTTTTGTATTTTTAGTACAGACAGTGTTTCACCGTGTTAGCCAGGATGGTCTTGATCTCCTGACCTTGTGATCCGCCCGCCTCAGCCTCCCAAAGTGTTGGCATTACAGGCGTGAGCCACTGCACCTGGCCCACCGCCAAACACTTTTAAACCATCAGATCTTGTGATAACTCACTATCATGAGAGCAGCATGGCGGAACCCCCCACCCCCCACCCCATGATCCAATCACCTCCCATGAGAACCCTCCCTCAACACATGGGGATTACAATTGGAGATGAAATTTGGGTGGGGACACAGCCTAACTGTATCAGCAGGCTTCTCATCCACAGTAACAGTGCTCCCGAGGGACACCGGACAATGTCTGGAGACACTTGCTGTCACAGCTTAGAGGAGGGTGCTACAGATACCAAGTGGGTGGTGGCCAGAGATGCTGCTTAACATCCTACATGCACAGGACAGCCTCCATCCCAAAGAAAGATCCCATCCCAAACATCAACAGAGTCGAGTGGAGACACCCCGGCACAGAGGAAGCCCACACCTGGGTGCGCAGAGTCTGGTCCGGCTGGGAGGAGAAGGGCTGTGCTCATCCTGCCCAGAGGGACCTGGGAGCTGGGGTCCCGCGGAGCAGTGACCTCACCTGGTAGGGGGCAGGTGGGGCCGAGGTCCACATCCCTGCCTCTGCTGCTGTCCTCCCTGGTGCCCTCCCTGACCCCGCCCTGCCTTCCTTCATCCGCTGCGCCCTCCACCCACAATGCCATGGCCTGCATTTAGGATCCTCCTGAGGCAGGAGGATCACTTGAGCTCAGGAGTTTGAGACCAGCCTGGGCAACAGCAGGACCCCCTCCCCCCAACTCTTAAAACAACAGAAAATTAGGCCGGGCACGGCGGCTCACGCCTGTAATCCCAGCACTTTGGGAGGCTGAGGTCAGGAGATGGAGATCATCTTGGCTAACACGGTGAAACCCCGTCTCTACTAAAAAAATACAAATAAATTAGCCGGGCGCGGTGGCGGGCGCCTATAGTCCCAGCTACTCGGGAGGCTGAGGCAGGAGAATGGCGTGAACCTGGGAGTTGGAGCTTGAAGTGAGCCGAGATTGCACCACTGCACTCCAGCCTGGGCCACAGAGCAAGACTCCGTCTCAAAAAAAAAAAAAAAAAAAAGACAGTCTGTAACTCAGCCACAGACAGCCGTAGCCAGGATCTCACCCCTGAGAAGGACATCTGCTGCAGCCACATGCTGGCCCCAAAGAAAACTGGCTCTAAATTGGCCTCTAGACAGTTCTAGACTGCATCTCAAAAAAAAAAAGAAAAGAAAATTAGCCAGGCATGGTGGCTGAAAAGGTGGGCTGTTGAGCCCCTACCCACCCTATGGAGCCAAGCTCAGCAGTGTCTCATCCAGGAAGCTCTCACAGACAAGTATGGTGTTCCCACAGGCCCTTGCCCTAGCTCACGCCTCTCATGCCCTGGCAACTAAGAGTGGGGGCGCGGCAGACCCATCCCTGGAGAGACACAGGACTGTTTTTCTCACCAAACTGGCCTGATGACAGACAGGCAGATGGACAAGAACGTGCAGGCCTTGGCTTTTATTGAGATCAGAGCTGTGGGCTCCCCGGCCTCTCAGGGAGGCGGTGGCGGGGGGGCCTGATTCTGCACTCAGCCCGGCCTCCCAGGTACAAGTGGCTGACTGGAGTCTAAGCAGGCTGCAAGGGCACGGCCATGCTTCTATTGCTTCTGCCCCTCCCTCGGAACCTCCTCCTCCTCCCTCTCCCCATCACATTCTCCCGAGGCCCAGGCCTGGGCGCTGGGCCGCTGCCTGGGCCACCCCATGTGGCAGGGCCACTGCCGGGGGCCGAGCCCCTCCTGCTCAGGCTGCCTCCTCGGCCATCCTGCCCCTCCTGTACCCAGTCCTGGCACTCGGGATCCCTATGGCCTCTCCAGGGCCCCAGAGCGGGTTCTCTTGCACAAGGGACACATGGCCTCTTCCCAGGTCCCCCAGGACCTCTTGGGCCTGAGCCTAGAAGGACTAGGCTGGGGGAGGGCACCCTTGTCTGGGTCCATGCTGGAACTGGAAGCTGAGGAAAGAGGAGAGAAAGGAGTCACTTGAGGGACCCAAGGGGAGGCTGGGGGGGAGGCTGGCAGCCCACCCTGGGGTTTCCAGAATCCGATATTCTTGAAAACAGAAGGGAGGAGGGCAATGCTTCCTCCTTAACAGAATCCCCAGGGGAGGGAGGAGGTTGAGGGAACAGAATGGTTCAAGCTGGAAGGACCCTCATCTAACCTGAACCCTCATTTTACAAGTGAGAAAACTGAGGCCCAGCAAGGGAGACAGATTCCAAGGCCCCTCACCGAGTGTGGAGCTGGGGCAGTCACCCAGCCCTCCCTCCCAGATCCTCCCTTTTTCTCGCACCGCTTTGTCCCTGGTGGATTCTCCAGACCCCGCTTAGCTGTGCGTGATGCAGAGATGGGGACAGATTCATCAAGATCTTGGCCTTCTGGGGCATGGTGCCACTGTGGAGGCTTGGGAGTGGAGAAGGGCCCGCCTGAGGCCCCAGCCCAACCATCCCCTAGGGTCTTCCCCCGTGCCCAGTCCTGCCTTGACAGAGCTCACCACTGCTTCCCAGGCTGTCCCTGGGCAATCGGGCTTCCAGAAGGGCTGAACAGAGGCTGTTACGTGGGCCCAGAGTCCCCTGTGGCAGGTCCAGGGCCCAGGCTGTGCCCTCAGGCTGTGGCAGGCAGCCCCCAGCCATAAGCCGGCCCAGCCAGTGGCTCTCACACTGGCCAGTGGGTGGCGGGTGGCTCTCCAGGTAGAGGCCCAGGCCCCGGAGGTGGCGCAGCCGGAAGTTCTTGGGCTTGCTTCCCTGGGCACTGGGGCACTGCGGCTGCGGGGACCCCAGGCCCCCCTCGTAGATGTTGGGGGGTGCGTCAGGGTGGCCGGGGCGTCCTTGGGCCTGGCTCACTGCATCTGCAGAGGAGACAGCGGGAGGGTGGTGGCCAGCCCCCCACAGCAGCCATGAGGGGAGGGTGCAGTCACATACCTCTGAGACCAGCTCACATGATGGGCTACACCCCCAGCCAACCTGGCCTCAGTTTACCTGTGTGTCAAATAGTCTCAGTCCACTGCCTCCCCTGCCCATGCCCAAGACACGACTCCTCTTCCCACTCCCAACCAACAGGGAGGCCTGGGAAGCCTCGGGCCTTGGTACTAAGAGTGCTTTCAGGACCTCAAGTCCTTTCTACTACCCTGTTCTGCCCGCTACCCTAGGAAGAGTATTCTGGTCCCCACAGAGAAATTGCACAGTGGGTTTGAGAGAAAGTGGCCAGCCCAGGGGCTCATGGCCTGGCCCAGTGGCCATTCCCCTCTCCCAAGCATACATGTCCCTGAGGCCACCCCTCGGCTTTGGGCCCAGGTGGGGACAGAAGCCTATCTCTCTTCCTGCCACTCCTCCCCACAGCCCGGCACCTTCTCTTATGTGCAGCTCAGAAAATGCACAGACCAAGGCTTCCATGGAGGGCCAGTGTGGTGGGGAGGAGCAACCAGGACTTGGGTGCAGCAGGGCCCTGCTCTCCCCTGCCTAGGGGGTACATTGGCAGGTCTCCCCTGGCAACTGGTTCTTATGACATCACGGGGAAGACTCCCAGCCTTCCTGGACCCCTAGTTTGGGAGAGGACAGTGCCCAAGGCAAGGGCAGGGTGAAAGAAAGGCATGGGAAGGGGCCAGAACCCTGGGGGAAGTCCCTGGTCCCTCTGGCTGGGGTCAGGCCACATAAAACAGACAGCTCTGGCAAACTGGAGAGTCCTTCTCTCAGGTGATCTCTTGGGGCCAGCTTCCTCATCTGGGGTGGGAAATGAGGGTTCAGGAGTACAGACCTAGGAAGACCTAGGTCGGTACTTTGAAAATGCTGAAAAGGGGCTGGGGGCGGTGGCTCATGCCTGTAATCCCAGCACTGTGGGAGGCCGAGGCAGGCTGATCAGTTGAGGTCTGTGGGAGGCCGGGGTGGGCGGATCATGAGGTCAGGAGATCGAGACCATCCTGGCTAACACGGTGAAACCCCGTCTCTACTAAAAATACAAAAAAATTAGCCGGGCGTCGTGGCGGGAGCCTGTAGTCCCAGTTACTCAGGAGGCTGAGGCAGGAGAATGGCGTGAACCCGGGAGGCGAAGCTTGCAGTGAGCCCAGATCGCGCCACTGCACTCCAGCCTGGGCTGCAGAGCGAGACTCCGTCTCAAAAAAAAAAAAAAGTTAAACATTCATCTTTCCGGACCTGGCCAAGCAGGAAGCGCCATCATGGGAGCTGACGTCCGCCACAAGAAGGACCTAAAGGTTCGGCGCAAAGAGCCCAAGAGCCAGGATATCTAACTGAGGCTGTTTGTTGGTCAAGCTGTACAGGTTACCGTCCAGACGAACTAACTCCACATTCAACCAGGTTGTGCTGAAGAGGTTGTTTATGAGTCGCACCAACCGGCCACCTCTGTCCGTTTCCCGGATGATCCGGAAGATGAAGCTTCCTGGCTGGGAAAACAAAACGGCCGTGGTTGTGGGGACGCTTAACGGATGACGCGAGGGTTCAGGAGGTGCCCAAACTTAAGGTGTGTGCGCTGCCCGTGACCAGCCGGCCCACAGCGGCATCCTCAGGGTGGGGGCCAAGATCCTGACTTTCGATCAGCTGGCCCTGGACTCCCTCAAGGACGGCGGCCCCGTCCTACTCTCCGGTCTTCGCAAGGGCCGACAGGTGTACCGGCATTTCGGCAAGGCCCTGGGAACCCCACACAGCCACACCAAACGCTATTTCCGCTCCAGGGACCAGAAGTTCGAGCGCGCCAGAGGCCTACGGGCCAGCCGAGGCTACAAAAACGAACCCTCTTATTAAAAAGATTTTGGATGCTGACAAAAAAACAAAAAGTTAAAACATTCAATTTTCTCTTGTCACAGACGACCTGATTTTTCTTTTTTTCTTTTCTTTTTTTTTTTTTTTAAGATGGAGTCTCACTTTGGCGCCCAGGCTGGAGTGCAGTGGCGCGATCTCGGTTCACTGCAACCTCCGCCTCCCGAGTTCAAGAGCTTCTCCTGCCTCGGCCTCCCCAGCAGGTGGGATTACAGGCACCCACCACCACGCCCAACGGATCTTTGTATTTTTAGTAGAGACAGGCTTTCGCCATGTTGGCCAGGCTGGTCTCAAACTCCTGACGTCAGGTGATCCGCCCACCTCGGCCTCCCAAAGTGCTGGGATTACAGGCATGACCCACCGCGCCCAGCAACCTGATCTTGTATGTAGGAAATATTAAATAATTCATACTTGAAAAAAAAAAATCCTGAACCTAGTAGAGCTTTTTCAGAGCTAATGAAGTTCAGAAAAATCTCAAGTCATAAAATCACCACACAAAAATTAATTGTATTTCTAGATACTAGCAAAGAATAAAAAGAATAAAATAGGAATACATTTAACCAAGGAGGTATAAGACAACTCTGAATACTATAAAACATTGCTGAGAGAATCTAAAGACTTAAATAAATTGGAAAGCATCACATGTTCATGGACTGAAGACTTAATATTGTTAAGATAGCAACACTCCCCAAAGTGCTCAGTACAATTCTTATCAAAATCAAAATGGCCTTCATGTAGTGTATTAGGCTTCTCCAGAGAAATATAGTCAGCAGAATGTATATAGATATTTACAGAGAAAATATTTATTAGAGGATAAATAAATCTCCTTATATAATTTTTTCTGAGATAGGGCCTTGCTCCATTGCCCAGGCTGAAGTACAGTGACATGATCACGGCTCACTGCAACCTCAACTTACCAGGCTCAGGCAATCCTCCCACCTTAGCCTCCCAAGTAGCTGGGACTACAGGTGTGCACCACCAGGCCTGGCTAATTTTTTAATTTATTTTCATTTTTTAATTTTTAATTTTTTAAATTTTTGCTGATGGAGATCTCACCATGTTGCCCAGAGCTAGTCTTGAACTCCTGGGCTCAAGTGATCCTCCTGCCTCCACCTCCCAAAGTGCTGGGGTGATAGGTGTGAGCCGCCGTGCCCAGCCAAGAGAAGATTTATTAGGGATATTGGCTTATGTGATTATCCGGGCTGAGAAGTCGCACAATATGCTGCCTGCAAGCTGGAGAACCAGGAAAACTGGTGCTGTAATTAAGTCTGGGTTCAAAAGCATGAGAATCTGGGTAGGGGTGGGGGTGAGGGCTGGTGTAAGTCCTGGTGTCCAGAAGTCCAAGAACCAGGAGCTCCAATGTCCAAGGGCACGGGAAGAAGGATGTCCCAGCCCATGAAGAGAGTGTGAATTCACCCCTCCTCTGCATTTTTGTCATAATTGGGCACCCAGCAGATTGGATGATGCCCACCACACTGGTGAGGGCAATCTTCTTTTTTTTTACTCAGTCTAGCAATTCAAATGCTAATCTCTTCTGGAAACGCTTACACAAGCACACTGAAAAATAATGTTTTACCAGCTATCAGGCATCCCAGTCAAGTTGACACACAAAATTAAGCATCACAAGCAGAAATGGAAAAGCTAATCCTAAAATTCATGTGAAATTACAAGGGAGCCCAAATAACCACAACAATCTTGGAAAAGCAAATCTTCAGAAATCAGAAACACGGCTGGGCATGGTGGCTCACACCTGTAATCCCAGCACTTTGGGACACTCAGGTGGTCAGATCACCTGAGGTCAAGAGTTTGTGACCAGCCTGGCCAACATAGGCGGGCGGATCATGAGGTCGGGAGATCCAGACCATCCTGGCAAACACGGTGAAAGCCCGTCTCTACTAAAAATACAAAAAAATTAGCCGGGTGTGGTGGTGGGCGCCTGTAGTCCCAGCTACTTGGGAGGCCGAGGCAGGAGAATGGCGTAAACCCAGGAGGCAGAGCTTGCAGTGAGCCGAGATCGCACCACTGGCACTCCAGACTGGGTAACAGAGCGAGACTCCATCTCAAAAAACAAACAAACAAACAAACAAACAACAACAACAAAAAAAAGTGAAAAGACAACCTATGAAATGGAAGAAAATATTGGCAAATCATATATCTGATAAGGGTCTCATAGGCAGAATATATAAAGAACACTTACAATTCAAAAACAAAAGGATGTTCAACCCAATTTTGAAATGGGCAAAGAAAATGAATAGACATTTTTCCAATGGAAATATACAAATGGTCATCAAACACGTAAAAAGATGTTCAACATCTTTAATCATCAGGGAAATGCAGGCCGCGTGCGGTGACTCACGCCAACATGGCGAAACTCCGTCTCTACCCAAAATACAAAAATTAGCTGGGCGCGGTGGCGCGCGTCTGTAATCCCAGCTCCTCCGGAGGCTGAGGCAGGAAAATCGCTTGAACCCTGGAGGCGGAGGTTTCAGTGAGCCGAGATTGTGCCACTGCACTCCAGCCTGGGCAACAAGAGCAAGAGTCCATCTCAAAAAAAAAAGTTCAAGTTGATCAACATCCTTTCAAGCCCTTGGCATTGTCAAGAGTTTTTTGTTGTTTTAGCCATTTTATCTAGATTTAATTTTTAGGTTTTTAACGTGTTACCTGATATTTTAGCCAGTTTAATAACTTCATAGTGATATCTCATTGTGGTTTTAATATGCACTTCTCTAATAATAGCCTTGATCATCTCTTCATTTGCATATTAGCCATCCATATATCTTCTTTTGTGAAGTAGCTTTTAAAATGTTTTCTCCATTCTCTAATTAGACTGTTTCTCATTATTGAGTGTTGAGAGTTCTTGATACATTCTGGATACACGTCTCTTTATCAGATATGTGTTTTGTGCATATTTTCTTCTAGACTGTGGCTTATCTTTTGTTTTTCTTAATAACACGTGAAGCAACATTTATGGGAGGCCATTGTTTTGGAGCGAGCTCCTGCACAAGGTACCAACGGACCAGACCAAACCAGAATGGAATCGCTAGTGCAAGGTGCCACGTAATCAATGCGAACTTAGAGACAGGCCAGTCTGCCAAAACACAGAAGATTCACTGCAACCAACAAAAGGGGCCCTGTCCACCTAGGCTGGCATAAGGAAGCCCCCTCTGCTTTAACCCAAAGAAATGCATCTGAAATAACCTGATGCCAACCAATCGCTTTGTGCACTACGCTGTTTCCTTGTTCCTGCTCAAGCTACCTTACAAAACCCGGCTGCTGTGCCACGCCTGGCGGGGCATCTCCCCATTTCACACGTGGAGGCCGCCCCTTCCTGCCGTCTCCTCGCGCCCCCATGCAGAGGCTAGGGCTGCCGGGACCCGCGCGGCGCGAGCGGCTCAGGGCCCCTTTCCGGCCTGTTGTGCAGCCCGAGCCGTCTGCGCGTGCGCGAGACCGAGGCCTGGCCTGCCTCTGGGCGCCCACAGTGATCCCGTCCTCCGCTCGGCAACCAGATTCCGACGAGGAGCGCGCTGTGCCTCGGACGGGGGAAGGCGGGCTTCCTGAGTATAGTGCATTTTTTTTTTTTTTTTTTTTTTGAGACAGAGTCTCGCTCTGTCGCCAGGCCGAAGGGCAGTGGCGCGATCTCGGCTCACTGCAACCTCTGCCTGCCGGGTTCAAGTAATTCTTCTGCCTCAGCCTCCCGAGTAGCTGGGATTACAGGTGTGCGCCACCACGCTTGGCAAATTTTTGTATTTTTTGGTAGAGACGGGGTTTCGCCATGTTGGCCAGGCTGGTCTCGAACTCCTGACCTCAAGTGATCCGCCCGCCTCGGCATCCCAAAGTGCTGGGATTGTAGGCGTGAGCCCCCGCGCCCAGCCAAGCATCGTGCATTCTTTATAGAAATGAGGGGGAAATAAGCAATATGGAAAGCGCCTAGCGCAATATCAAGCACGTAGTAGGTACTCAGAACCTGTCACCCAGCGCGAAACGTCCGCAAAGCGTGTAAACAGACGCCCAGAAGCTGGGAAGCTTGCAGCCCTCATAGACGCCGGTATCGCCACGCCCTCTGCCCTCGGCGTCTCAGGAGCGCTCTCTGCCGGCCCGCTCTCCCCGTGCGTATGCACGTGCCGCCGCGTCTTCGCTTCGCTTTTTGTTTGTCCCTGACCGTGCGCCGTCCAAGGGTCCATTGGTTGCCATAGAGATCGTCGAGCGCTGGGCCTGTGATCGCTGAGGGGCGAGCAGTTGCGACCCTGGGCTCCTGGGGACCTGAGCGTTATGTCTTTCCGCGACCTCCGCAGTAAGGCAGCCCCGCGCCCCTGTGACCTGCGGGTCTTCCAGAGATTCAGGGCTCCCGCCCGCCGGGTCCCCTGTGTAGGCGATCCCTGAGGCTTGCGCTGCCGGAGGCTCCTTTCGGGCCTCTGCGCCTCAGGGACCGCCTGACCCGCGGCTGCAACCCGGCCGAGCGTCCCAGGCCCTTCTTCGGCCATTTCTAGCGAGGATGGAAAGTTCTCTATCTGCCACTGGCCGCGTGTGGCTCAGAACGCTTGAAATGTGGCTAGTGCAGATGAATAACTGAATTTTTAAGTGTAATTTATTTCTGTTTGTGTAGCTGCATGCCGCTCTTCGCTACCGTATTGGAAAATGCATGGAGAGTTTAGAGACTATTTTTTGAGTTGGGTTAGCTTAGCGCTTAGAAAACCGAACAGCAGGCCGGGCGCGGTGGCTCACGCCCGTAAGCCCAACACTTTGGGAGGCCGAGGCGGGCGAATCACCTGAGGTCGGGAGTTCGAGACCAGCCTGACCAACATGGAGAAACCCCGTCTCTACTAAAATTACAAAATTAGCCGGGGGTGGTGGCGGGCGCCTGTAATCCCAGCTACTCGGGAGTCTGAAGCAGGAGAATCGCTTTGGAGGTTGCGGTGAGCCGAGATCGGGCCATTGCACTCCAGCCTAGGCAACAAGAGCGAAACAACATCTCAAAAAACAAAAAACAAACCAAAAAAAAAACAACCAGCAACGAAACCGAGGAGAGGAGGCTGGGTGATAATCATTGCGGCTAACATTTTTTGAGTTTTAACGATCTGCCAGGGCCCGCTCTGTGTTATGCGCATTTCATTTTAATCATCTGAACAACTCTGTGCCCCCTGTATTTGGTAGTGAGGAAACGGGCACAGAGAGGTCAGGTAACTTGGGCAGGTGATACAGGCGGTAGGAGGTGGCACTGGGGCTTGAATTCAGGTTGCCTGAACTCCAGACATCCTGAACTCCATCTGCATCCTTTCTGCAGGGCTGGTAAGGAGAAGGGAGCTCGAATTCCTTTGCTAAGAGGGTGGGGAAGTGGAAGAACGAGGCTAAGAGTGTTGGTTACGGCTGGGCGCAGTGGGTCACGCCTGTAATCCCAGCCCTTTGGAAGACCGAGGCAGGCGGATCACTTAATTTCAGGAGTTCTAGACTAGCCTAGCTAACATGGCGAAACCCTGCCGCTGCTAAAAATTCAAAAAATTAGCCGGGCATGGTGGCGCGCGTCTGTAGTCCCAGGTACTTGGGAAGCTGAGGCAGGAGAATTGCTTGATTCCGGGAGGCAGAGGTTGCAGTGAGCCAAGATGGCACCACTGCGCTCCACCCTGGCCGACAGAGTGAGACTGTCTTTAAAAAAAAAAAAAAAAAAGGAAAGGTAGATGATGATTGCCAATTTGGTGTGATCCGAGGGGTCTCTTAAAGCCAGTTTTCTCGTCCAATTGTTGGTGCCTGAAATTTTAGCATTAGAGATTACTCCTTTTGGTTATGAATTGCTCTTTTCTACAATGTAAAAATATCTAGGAAGACGCATTACCTTTTATCCATGCAGCCACTGAGCACCAGAGTGTGAATCCTGCCCTCTGGGGTTTGAAGGTTTTTGGTGGCCACACATCATGCAGGATGACTGTCTCCTCCCACATAGTTTTTAGAGAGGCCAGCACCCTGCCGGGGGACGTAGAATGGGGTTTTGTTGGGGAGCGCACACACGGAGATTTCGGAATATTTTGATCTTAAATTAATGCTCTGCAGTTGTGCAGTGTATGGTAAGGATCTTACTCAAATTAGTGTCTATTTTGACAATAACACCGCAGCATTAACAGAACTTGACTAGTACCTAGTGGTCAGGAGTATTTAGGCAGTGCCTTACTGTGTGAAGGAAAGGCTGCTGCTTTCTTTTCTGTTCTTTTTTTGAGACAGTCTTGCTCTGTCTCCCAGGCTGGAGTGCAGTGGTGTGATCTTAGCTCACTGCAACCTCTGCCTCCCAGCAATTCTCCTGCCCCAGCCTCCCCAGTAACTGGAATTATAGGCGCCCGCCACCACACTCACCTAACTTTTGTATTTTTATTTTTATTTTATTCTTTTCTTTTTTTGAGATGGAGTCTCGCTCTGTCACCCAGGCTGGAGTGCAGTGACGCGATCTCGGCTCACTGCAAGCTCCGCCTCCTGGGTTCACGCCATTCTCCTGCCTCAGCCTCCTAGTAGCTGGGACTACAGGTGCCCGCCACCACACCTGGCTAATTTTTTTGTATTTTTAGTAGAGACGGGGTTTCACCGTGTTAGCCAGGATGGTCTCAATCTCCTGACCTTGTGATCCACTCGCCTCGGCCTCCCAGAGTGCTGGGATTACAGGCGTGAGCCACTGTGCCCGGCAACTTTTGTATTTTTAGTAGAGGTGGGGTTTCACCATTTTGGTCAGGCTGGTCTTGAACTCCTGACCTCAGGTGATCTACCCTCCTCGGCTCCCAAAGTGCTGAGATTACAGGCGTGAACCACCCGCGCCTGGCCTTTTTTGTTTTTGTTTTTGAGACAGGGTCTCACTCTGTCACCCAGGCTGGAGTGCAGTCACATGATCTGAGCTTACTGCAACCTCCTGGGCCCAGGTGATCGTCCCACCTCAGCCTGCTGAATAGCTGAGACCACAGGCATGCACCACCACACCCAGTTAATTTTTTTTTTAATCTCTGTATTCACATTTCCCAGAAAACAGTTACAGAGTCCCTTTGTGACTTTGCTGTTTCCTGTGCTCACACTTTCTGTTTCATTGTCTTGCGAAGTCTGACCTGACTTGCAGTACCTAGGTAGGTTATTTGTGAACATTGATGGACCATTTTGAACATGGATCTTCAAGAAGAGTGCAGACAGACCTTAAATAACCAGGAAGCACACTGAATGTAGATCTTGGTACATATGGGAACTCAACAAATGTTTGTGGTGTTCATTTCCAAGTCCTGCTCTCTTGAAAGCACTAAGGCTTTTCCTGAGGTGACCCCAACCTATGGATCAACAAGTATTAGTATTACTGTTTCTTAATCTGTTTTATAGTAAATCTAAATATGGTTGTATAGTTCAACCACTCTATTTAAGATTTCTCTAAATACAAGGCGACTGATCTTTAAAACTTGTGTTATTTGGGTCCTATGTGGTCACTAAAATTAAAAAAAAAGACAACTCAGAAACATGAATGTCATCCTACGGATTCCCCTCAGAAATAACCACTGTTAACATTTTAAAACACTTTTTAATCAGCTGAATTTGAGTCAAACCACTGTTGACATTTAAAAATACTTTTTCTTCATGACATTTTATAAGGACGGGTGTTTCTTCCTTTTAGCAGTAAAAAGAAATGAGATACTAAAGAGAGAAATGAAATTCACAGCTAATCCCTCAATTCCATTTTCATGTATAGCCATCTACTTCTCCCATTGAACTTAAATATATGCTTTTTAGGTAGCATTTTTGGTATTTTAAATTTTATCTCCTTTTTGCTTTCCCTTGTAGAAAGTTGACAAATAGTCCCTAAAGCTGTCAATAGGTTGGAAATAAGAAGGAAAAGTAAAGACAATATCTAAGTTAATAAGTAGTTGCTGTGTGATGGGGAACTGAATGAATTGTATTTTTCCTTGGACAGATTTCACAGAGATGATGAGAGCCCTGGGATACCCTCGACATATTTCTATGGAAAATTTCCGTACACCCAATTTTGGACTTGTATCTGAAGTGCTTCTCTGGCTTGTGAAAAGGTTCGAACGGCACTTTATTGACATCTAAGAGTGAATACTGGGTTTTATTTATTAGTCATCTAGAAAACAGGACACAGCTGTGATGCTGCAAAAGGGAAAGTTTTTGGAATTTGACAGACCCAGCTGTATTCTGTTACAAAGGAGTTGTGGCTGGGCACAGTGGCTCACTGCTCTCATCCCAGCACTTCATAATCTCAGTCATTCAAGACTAGCCTCATCAACATAGCAAGACCCTGTCTCCATACACAAAAGAACAATTAGCTGAGCCTGGGTGGTACACACTCATAGTTCCAGCGACTCAGGAGGCTGAGGCAGGAGGATCACTTGATCCCAGGAGTTTGAGGCTGCAGTGCCACTGATCATGCTATTGCACACCAGCCCGGGCAGATTGAGACTGTGTCTCAAAAAACAAAATCAGGCCGGGCGCAGTGGCTCACGCCTGTAATCCCAGCACTTTGGGAGGCCGAGGCGGGTGGATCACGAGGTCAGGAGATCAAGACCATCCTGGCTAACACGGTGAAACCCCATCTCTATTAAAAACACAAAAAATTAGCCAGGCGTGGTGGCGGGCGCCTGTGGTCCCAGCTACTCAGGAGGCTGAGGCAGGAGAATGGAGTGAACCCGGGAGGCGGAGCATGCAGTGAGCCGAAGTGTGCAGTGAGCCGAGATAGCGCCACTGCAGTTCAGCCTGGGTGAAAGAGCGAGACTCCGTCTCAAAAAAAAAAAAAAAAAAAAAAAATCAGTGGAGTTTAAAGAATGCTGTGGGAGTGGGAAATATACCAGGAAGTCGTGAAAGGAGACGACTATTCCTCAGTAGGATGCTGGGCCAGGCTGCTCTTCAGCCCCTCATGGCAGAGTGACAGGGGCCTTTTTGCACATTCTGATCAGTACACTGGATTAGAAATAATGGAGATTTCTTTTTCTGTGAAAAAATTGAATATGTTATATGATTCAGGGTTGGCAGCTTTTTCTGTTAAGGACCAGATAATATTTTACCTTTTGCTAAATATAAAATTCATAAGATCTCTATTGCGTCTCTTCTTTTTGTTAAAATGTAAAAACAGTTCTTAGCTTGCAGGCTGTACAGGTCGGAGGCTGCAGTCTGCTGACCCCTGGTTTCAATACCTTGAAGAAAATAACTTCACCAACTCTGCTGCTGCTTAGAGCTGACTAATCGGCCCTAGCACTGATCTCTGAGTCAAGGGCTGTCAGCCAGGGTAGCAGTTCTGATTAGCTTCATGACATGGTGAGATCTGAGAGAGATTTAATTTTATAAGCTGAGATCCACATTTAGTTTTTGAAATCTGTTTTTCTTAGGTGGGGATTTGCTCCCTTGGTATTTGGTTTTGCTTTTGAAGTTTGCCTTGATCTCACTCTCCCACTTGGGGACTTGGAGAGCGTTGTGTTCCAGACCCGCTGTCCTCTCAGTTGCCCACATTCTCTTTAGTAGACTTTCTCCTTGGTTAACCCGTGCTCTCTCCTCTTACCTCTCTTGATAGATATGAGCCCCAGACTGACATCCCGCCTGACGTGGATACTGAACAGGACCGAGTTTTCTTCATTAAGGCAATTGCCCAGTTCATGGTTAGTGGACACTTATTTTGTGGAGTTGTAAAATTAAATAAACTAGAAAGGATGACTCCTTGTTAGGGCGACTTTCAAACTGTGTAATTGAGTTTTTCTTTCTTTTTTTTTGAGATGGAGTCTCATTCTCTCGCCCAGGCCGGAGTGCAGTGGCACAATCTTGGCTCACTGCAACCTCCGTCTCCTCGGGGGTTCTCCTGTCTCAGCCTCCCGAGTAGCTAGGATTAGAGGCACACGCCACCACACCTGGCTAATTTTTGCATTTTTAGTAGAGACTGGGTTTCACCATGTTGGCTAGGCTGGTCTCAAACTCCCGACCTCAAGTAATCCACCCTCCTTGGCCTCCCAAAGTGCTGGAATTACAGATGTGAGCCACCACGCGCCTGGCCTGAGTTTGCTTTCTAAAACCATTCCATTGCTGGGTTTCTGTGGCACCATTTCACCAGCGAAGTTCTTTTTGTTTGTCTTTTAATTCATTATTTGTTAAGAATTTTGTTTATGCCAGGTGTGGTGGCTCACGCCTGTAATCCCAGCACTTTGGAAGGCCGAGGTGGGCGGATCACGAGGTCAGGAGATTGAGACTATCCTGGCTAGCAGGGTGAAACCCCGTCTCCAGTAAAAATACAAAAAATTAGTTGGATGTGGTGGCGGGCACCTGTAGTCCCAGCTACTCGGGAGGCTGAGGCAGGAGAATGGTGTGAACCTGGGAGGCAGAGCTTGCAGTGAGCCGAGATCACGCCACTGCACTCCAGCCTGGGCAACAGAGCAAGACTCTGTCTTAAAAAAAAAAAAAAAGAATTTTATTTATTTATTTTTGAATAGATAACATATTTCATGGCTCACAAATTGAAAGTAGGCTGGGCGTGGTTGTTCATGCCTGTAATCCTAGCACTTTGGCAGGCCAAGGTGGGAGGATAGCTTGAGTCCAGGAGTTTGAGAACAGCCTGGGTGATGTAGTGAGATCCTGTCTCTACAAAAAATAAATTTAAAAAAAATTAGATGGGCCTGGTGACACGTGCCTGTAGTCTCAGGTGCTTGGGAGGCTGAGGTGGGAGGATTGCTTGAGCCCGGGAGGTTGAGGCTGCAGTGAGCCGGGATCATGTCATTGCACTCCAGCCCAGGTGACAGAGTGAGACCCTATCTCAAAAAAAAAAAAAAAATTAAAAACATTATGAAACAAAATGGAGTAAAATGACTTTTTACCCTATCTGCCCTGGGCCAAGTTCCATTCCAAATAACCACTATTTTAAATCTCTTCCAGAGTTTGTGTGTGTGTGTGTGTGTGTGTGTGTGTGTGTGTGTGCAAATAAAAATATATATTTTTCCTTTGTTTTACACAAATGGTACTGTATTCTACTTGATGTACTTACTGTACACTACAAGATGTTTAGCATCTTGCTTTACTTAATGGTATATTTTAGAGAACTTTCCAAATACATATAGAATTTCCTCATTCTGTTTACGCCTGAGTGGTATTGCTTGCATGGATTTGCCATAATTTATGTAATTTATATAGGTAGGCTTTTAGGTTGTCTGAAGCTTTGCTCTTTGGAACAGTGCTGTAACAAATAACCTGTACATCTCATTTTGTTTGTGTTTGAGTGTGTCCCTAGAATAAGTTCTTAGATTTGGGATTGCTGGGTCAAAAGATATGTGCATTTGTAATTTTGATGTCTTTTACCAAATTGCTCTCCATCAAGATTGTCCCAGTTTATACAACCACTCACAATGTTTGAGTCACTTGAATGCTTTGCTTTTATTAGGTTATATCCCAGTTGTCAGCAGAGGCATTTTCAACTCACCTACATGGGATTTAGTTTAGACATTACATGGAAAGGGCCTTCAACTTTTTTTTTTTTTGGTCTAAAAATAGGCCACCAAGGCACATATAAAACTCAACACTAAGAAGCTTTATCAAGCAGATGGGTATGCGGTAAAAGAGCTGCTGAAGATCACATCTGTCCTTTATAATGCTATGAAGACCAAGGGGATGGAGGGCTCTGAAATAGTAGAGGAAGATGTCAACAAGTTCAAGTTTGATCTTGGCTCAAAGGTAAGGACAACAAAAGCCTTGTAGTGGGCGATGGAGCGTTGATTTCTTGAGCTCTGAAGTGGAAGGAGTCTGCTACAGCTCCGCTGCTTTTCTTCCTCCTCAGCTGAGGGCAGTTTGTCAGTTTTGTGCTCATCAGCATTTGGATAAAGTCAAAGTCACAATCCACTAATTCAACTATTTATTAAAAGCTTAGTATTTGTCAGGTAGCATTCAAGCGCTGAGGATACAGTTGTGAACAAAAAGGACAAAAATCGTGTGTTTATTCTCTTCAGTTAGGGGAGTCAGACTGTGAACAATAAGAGGTGTGGAAGGCCAGATGCAGTGCAGGCTGTGGAGAATAATAAGCTGGGATGGGGATGGATGCTGCCCAGAGTGATCTTAAATCGGGTGATCAGGAAGGCCTCATGGATTGGATGGTGTTTCCAGCAGAGATCCAAGGGAGGGAAAGAGTGAGTTGTGCGGGTGGCGGGTGGCGTCAGGGTGTCTCAGGATGATAATTTGTTTTGGGCTGGGTGCAGTGACTCACTCCTGTAAGCCAAACACTTTGGGAGGCCGAGGTGGGAGGATCCTTTGATGCCAAGAGTTCCAGACCAACCTGGGCAACATAGTGAGACGCCATTTTTACCAAAAAAAAGAAAAAAATTAGCTAGGCGTGGTGGTACACACCTGTGGTCCCAGCTGCCCAGGAGGCTGAGGTGGGAAGATCTCTTGAGCCCAGGCAGTCAAGCCATGTTCATGGCACTGCGCTCCCGCCTAGGCAACAGAACGAGACCTTGTCTGGGGGGAAGAAAAAAAATGTGTTTTGTGTGTTTGAGGAAAAGCAAGGAGGCCGTGTGATGAGGGTTGGGATTGACAGACCCTCTGGCGCCTGGGAAGCCCCTGGAAAGCCTTTGTCTTTGCCTCTAAGGTGGGAATCGTTGGGATCCAAGCGGAACCTTCTGTGCTTATTTCCCGTCCAAAGGGTTGCTCTGGCTGCTGAGCCGCCATCAGACCGAAGCAGGCGGCAGGGCTGGAAGCAGCGAGCCTGTTTGGAGAGTGAGGGGTGACCGTGGCTTTGAGCAGAGTGCTGGTGGGACAGGTGCCGTCAGGTGTCAGGGAGCGACCACAGCAGCAAGCCAGAAATAAAGGTTAAGCCGTTACTCTGAGGCCCAAGGCCTCAGAGCAGGAGACCTAGGAATGAAGGCCCCGGGGCTGGGAGTGCACCTAAGAGTGTGGCCACGCAGGGTACGTGAAACCACAGTGCACTGGCTGAGCTCCAAGTCTGCTGCAGGGAAGAAAGCTTCCCCTGTGAGGCCTGCTAGGTGAGGCCTTGTCATGGTCTATAGTTGGGCTTGAAAAGCCACACACAGCTTTTTTGTTTTGTTTTTGTTTTGTTTTGAGACGGAGTTTCAGTCTGTGGCCCAGGCTGGAGTGCAATGGCACGATCTTGGCTCGCTGCGCCTCTGCCTCCCAGGTTCAAGAGATTCTTCTGCCTCAGCCTCCTAAGTAGCTGGGATTACAGGTACACACCACCATGCCCAGCTAATTTTTTTTTTTTTTTTTTGAGATGGAGTTTCACTCTTGTTGCCCAGGCTGGAGTGCAATGGCACAATCTCAGCTCACTGCAACCTCTGCCTCCCAGGTTCAAGTGATTCTTCTGCCTCAGCCTCCTGAGTAGCTGAGATTACAGGCATGCGCCACCACACCCAGCTAATTTTTTACTTGTAGTAGAGTCAGGGTTTCTCCATGTTGGTCAGGCTAGTCTCGAACTCCTGACCTCAGGTGATCTGCCCGCCTCAGCCTCCCAAAGTGCTAGGATTACAGGCGTGAGCCACCGCACCCGGCTTTGTATTTTTTTTTTTTTTTTTAGCAGAGATGGGGTTTCACCATGTTGGCCAGCTAGTCTCAAACTCCTGACCTCAGGTGATCTGCCTGCCTCGGCCTCCCGTAGTGCTGGGATTATAGGCGTGAGCCACCGCGCCTGTCCTCACATGTGGGTTTTTAACCAGGAGCGACACTCGTCAGCAAGAGAAGTGTCTAGAGATTGGGGCATATTTTGATGGTAGATCTCACGGGATGAGGCATGGGTTGAGAGTAAGTCAGGTGCTACAGGCCGGGTCTTGGGGCAGCCGTGCGGCAGAGCTTGCAGAGCTCATGGGTGTGTTCCGCCTCTGTGCTGTACTCTACGGGAACCACTGGCCACATGTGGCAAGCACAACTGAGGAACTGAGTTGAGTTCTGCATTTTCTTTAATTCTTAAGTAATTTAAGTGAAAATGGCCACATGTGGCTATTGGTTACTATATTAGACATCACTGCTCTGAAGTTTTTTGTGTGAGCCCCTGGAAGGATGAAGTTGCCATGTACTGAAGCAGAGAAGGTTCTGCACATGCTCCATTTGCCACGCCGATTGGCTGTCCAGGTGGAGATGGTGCACAGGTAGCTGGTATGTGAAACTAGAGCCCAGGGAAAGCCCAGGCTGGAGCTGGGAGCTGGGGAGCAATCAGCACACAGATGGTATTAAAGCCTTGAGGGTAGGAGCAGAGCCAGCAGAAAAGACGGGGGGTCCAGGAATGAAACTCTGACTCGCTCCACTTTTGAGAAGCAGAGAAGGTGACAGACTCCTGCAAAGAAGTTTGGGGATGTGCTGCTCGGAAGGGAAGAAAAGCAGCTAGAGCCAGAGCAGGCTGGATCCTGGAGGACTAAGGAAGAGGGAAGCAAGCTATCAAAGCCATCAGCTGCAAATGAAGAGGGAGAGTTGTTGCTAGTGGGTTGAAAATGAGAGCCAGAAGGTGAGGATTGGTTGTCCAGGAGAGAGGGAGAGTGAGCAGAGCAGGGAGACGTTTATGTTTGGGCTCCTTAGAAGAGTTAGCATATTCTAGGAAGAAGGGGTGACACACACATCCTAAGAAAGAAGCCTGTGCACAGGGCTCAGTGCTAAATCCTCATTGTGGTTGTCATCACCTTCCTGGCAACAGCTGCCCATCTGTGGAGCCCAGAACCATTGTAAGTCCTTAGTGGGTGCCACCCGATTTGCGCCTCTCCAAGCCTGTGGAGGAAAGTCTGAGGCAGAGAAGGAGGGCAGGGGAGGACGAAACACAGGACGTCAGGCTGCTGCAAGAGGATGTGTGTCCCTCAGGCTGTCCCTTTGTGTGGCCGCTCTGCTGCCGTCAGGCACCCTACTGTGACAAAGTCCAAGTAGGAAGCACGTCAGCTTTCTCCCAGCTATGCCCTCCTGGTTGTGGCTTCAGTTTGAGGTGACATTAGGTTTTTTGGAGAGACCCAGGCGTCCTGGAATTGGTCTCTTTAGTACTTAGATGATCATTTCCTGAGCGTGTGTCCCGCAGCCTGTGAGCATGTAACTGGGGAAGCACATGTTTGTGGTCACGTGTCCCAACCAAAGGTAGGAGCTGACATGAACAGGCTAGTGGTTGAATGCATGTTAAAAATCTGTGGCTGGCCGGGCACGGTGGCTCACGCCTGTGATCCCAGCACTTTGGGAGGCCGAGGTGGGTGGATCACCTGAGGTCAGGAATTCAAGAGCAGCCTGACCAACATGTAGAAATCCTGTCTCTACTAAAAATACAAAATTAGCCGGGCGTGGTGGCACATGCCTGTAATCCCAGCCACTTGGGAGGCTGAGGCAGGAAAATTACTTGAACCTGGGAGGTGGAGATTGCGGTGAGCCGAGATCGCGCTATCACACTCCAGCCTAGGCAACAAGAACGAAACTCCGTCTCAAAAAAAAAAAAAAAAAAATCTGTGGCTGGCTGAACATGGTGGTTCTGCCTATAATCCCAACACTTTGGGAGGCTGAGGTCGGAGGGTCACTTGAGGCCAGGAGTTAGAGAGCAGCCTGGGTAACATAGCCAAGACCCTGTCTCTATTAAAAAACATCTGTTGCTGAGGTTTCTGTTTTTGTTATTTTCCTTCCAGATTGCAGATTTGAAGGCAGCCAGGCAGCTTGCGTCTGAAATCACCTCCAAAGGAGCATCTCTGTATGACTTGCTCGGCATGGAAGTAGAGTTGAGGGTAAGCATTCCAGTACTTCCTTAACCATGCAGATTTTCTCTTCAAGGTTTTCTTTTTCAATTCTGTTTCTCCCTTTTCAGTTCTGATTTAATGAAATACACCTGGTTGAATGAGCTAATGTGTGGAAAGGTGATAGAGGATATTAGCTGTCCTTCCTGCTTCTGGTGGGCACTGGTCTAGCTTTATTTATTTATTTATTTATTTTTATTTATTTATTTTTGAGACGGAGTCTCGCTGTGTTGCCCAGGCTGGAGTGCAGTGGCGCAATCTCGTCTCACTGCAAGCTCCGCCTCCCAGGTTCACGCCATTCTCCTGCCTCAGCCTCCCAAGTAGCTGGGACTACAGGTGCCTGCCACCACACCCGGCTAATTTTTTGTATTTTTAGTAGAGACAGGGTTTCACCGTGTTAGCCAGGATGGTCTCAATCTCCTGACCTCGTGATCTGCCTGCCTTGGCCTCCCAAAGTGCTGGGATTACCGGTGTGAGCCACCGCGCCCGGCACTGGTCTACCTTTAACTTCTTGTTTAGGAGTGGCAGCTCCATGGCATGTGACTGAGCTGTCCTTGTTGTGCCCACTGGCAGACTTTATTGATCATGATGTTTTTTTCTGGTGTACTCTGCTTCAGCATTTTCTCAAAAATGATCTTCTGAGCTTGCAGTTCCCCGACCTTGCTGCCCAGTGCAAACACCTGGGGACCTCTAAAGACTTCTGAAGCCTGGCTTTCACTCTGGGGTCCTTGTTATGGAATGTGACCTGGGCATTGGGAGTTTTCAGATTCTCCCGGGTGATTCTAACAGCAGTTTGGGACCAGCAATCTTGGCATCACTTCCAGTCAGCTGAAGTTGATGTTGCAGTGGAGACTGATTTGATTTGCAATCCTTATTCCAGCCAATGCCAGCCAAGAAGTATGTGCCATCACCTACATTTAAGTAGCTGTTTAAGACTGGAGTGGTGTTTATTTTTTATTTTTTTAATTTTGTTATTTTTTTTGAGACAGTCTCACTCTGTTGCCCAGGCTGGAGTGCGGTGGCTCAATCTCGGCTCACTAAAACCTCCGCCTCCCAGGTTCAGGTGATTCTCCTTCCTCAGCCTCCTGAGTAGCTGCAATTACAGATATGTGTCACCACACCCGGCTAATTTTTGTATTTTTAGTAGAGATGGGGTTTCATCATGTTGGCCAGGTTGGTCTCAAACTCCTGATCTCAAGTGATTCGCCTTCCTCGGCCTCCCAAAGTGCTGGGATTACAGGCATGAGCCACTGCGTCTGGCCTAGAGTGGAGTAGTGTTTAATCCTTACCTGTAAAGATTTATGGCATTTGAAGCATATGTGCTCAATCTAATGCTTTAAAACTAAATGAATTTCTTTCATTCACTTCCTAGCAAGAGTGCCAGCCATGGCTTCTCTCTCTCACTGCCTTGCCTGTGTTCTGGCATACCCTGGGAGCAAACTGGAAGTGGAAGTCTGGGGAAGAGGGACTTAGGTGCTAGATTGCTATGTCTGCTCATCATATATTGACCCGGCAGTTGCCACCTGATGAAGTGTGGTTGGCAGAATGAAACTGCCACTGACATCTGCTAGCTAATTCAGATGATGAGTAAGGTACCTCCAGGCTTTCCCCTGTTCTGTTTGTAGTGCAGTGGTGTACATATGTCTGTACATGTCCCTAAGAGACTCAGAGACAGGAGCTGGCCACTTGCTGATTGCCACTAGAGCTGTGGCATCATTGTGAGACTTCATTTCCATCCCACGGGGTCTCTTTCAACACCATCCTGTAAAGAATGATGAAGTAACCAGTGGCTGAAACTGTTCCCAAGGAAACCATGAGACCCTGAATGTAGTACTTGTCAAATTCTGTGTGTAGTCATGATCCGAGGAAGAGCGCCTATCCAGTGTTTGTTTTTCTTTCATTCAGTAAACATTTACTGAGGTGCAGCCTCAGCCACAGGCAAGGCACTGAGCTCTGCCTCCTTGACTAAGTCCTCACCCTGCCCTCAGCCATTCCCACCAGGTGCACCGTGGATGAAAGGAAGCACAAGACGAGTTTTGACACAGTGCTTCAGGAACCTTGTCTTACTTTGTTCAGGCTGCCGTCCCAAAACACAATAAGCTGAGTGACTTATAAATAACAGATTTGTTTCTCACAGTTCTGGAGATTGGGAAGTTCTAGATGAAAGCACTAGCAGCTTCAGTGTCTGGCGAGGGCTTGTTCCCCACAGATGGTGCCTTGTTGCTGAGTCCTCACATGGCAGCAGGGGTGAGGGATCTCCCCAGGGTTTCTCTTAGGAGCTAATCACCTCCTAACATCATCACATTGTGGTTTCGAGTTTCAACATAGGAATTTTGGGGTCACACAAACATTGTCTATAGTAAACCTCATAACTATATCCACATTACAATCCCATGTCTCAGAAGTTTTCAGCACTGATATGATAGTCACAGATGTCTCCCTTGATAGGTTAATGGTTCATGCTAGGGGCAGGGCCATGGTCACTGTTCTTATCGGTTGCGTTTGTTAGTGATAGGCAACTGAGAGGGACTTCATGCTAAGAAAGATGCTTAGTTTGGGAGTCACCTGGACAGAATGCAGGTAAAGAAGCAAATTGGGGCTGGGCATAGTGACTCATGCCTGTGATCCTAGCACTGTGGGAGACCAAGGAACGTGGATCACTTGAGCCTAGGAGTTTGAGCAACATAGTGAGACCCTATCTCTATTTAAAAAAAAAAAAAAGAAGCAGCAGCAAATTTGGGAGAAAAGATAATGGATGCTAAGTTCAGTTTTGCTCATAGAGTTGGGGTCACCTAGGCCTCTGGCTGAAAAGGAGGACCTTGAGCTCTGGAGAGAGCTGGGTAGGCACTCAGATAATGGAAGACATTATAGGAGGTGATGGTGGCAGTGTTTTTGCATCAGAGATCCACATGGCAATAAACTTCGGAGAATCAGTCTATAAGGCACATCTAGATCTAGGAATACTGGTTTTGAGAACTCCTTTTCTGAAAATATACGTAAATGATTTTACTGTTTCCTAGGAAATGAGAACAGAAGCCATTGCCAGACCTCTGGAAATAAACGAGACTGAAAAAGTGATGAGAATTGCAATAAAAGAGATTTTGGTAAGATGACTTTGCTTTTATATAATGTTTTTTATGCCTGGGATTCAAAAATACTGATTTCTTGCCCATACAAGACAGAACAAGCTAGGCTTAGTAACAAGGGATGTGTTAGTGGGGAAATGAAAAACTCAAGAGGACATTCGAGCTTACCTAGGTCACTTACTATCATTTTTTTCCCCTCGTTATAAATAAAAACAGCTTCTCATGTTATTAAAAATTGATCAGTTTCAGTAATTTGATAATTATCAGTTATTCAATAATTTTAATAAATAATGCTCTATTTTATTTTGTTTAACCAATTCCTCACTGCTTAGTATTTAAATGATTTCAGGGTTTTCTAAATTCCAGACAGCACTGTAATAAGTAGAAGGATCACTATTGTTTACTGCTCGCTCACATCAGTTATCCTCTCATCTAAAGCAGTCAGTTGGAAGGCAGATCATGAGGGTGACTCTAGACTCAGATTGCTTGGGTTTGAATTCCACTGTGTGATATTAGGCAAGTTACTTACCCTCTCTGTGCCTCATTTTCCTCATCTGTAAAATGGCAAGAACTGCATTCCCAACTGTGTGGGGTCCTTATAAACATGAATCACGACAGGGCATATCAAGCCTCGTCTCTGATGCACAATTGATAATCAGTCATCACTGGTGATTTATTTTACTCAGTAGACACGGATGAGGGCCCCTGTGTACATTCAGAGTAGGCATAAAACAAGAATTTGCTATGAGTTGTACAAAATTCTAAAAATCATAGGTTTTTAAAAATATGTAATTCTTTTGTCATTAAACAGTAATACCTGCTGGGCAGCCCAGCCTAGGGAGTCAGAGCCTCACAGCGGGAGAAGGGCACCACAGCCCTGGTGGGAGATTGGTGACAGATAGGCAGATGGGTCAGATAAGTAAAAATATGGCAAGGATAATGGAGCCACGTTCCTCACTGTTGGAGAAAAAAGTCACAAAAATGTCACAAAAATGGAAAGAGAGAAAATTAGGGTGAACTTGAAATTGGAGGTGTTGGTTAAACGCATAGTTTTCAATATATAGATAGGTATAGGAATAAATTTTGATATACATGTATGCACATTTAAGGAATTACGTATATATGTATATAAATGTTTTATTTATATACATACACGTAGAGACACCCACACTCATACATTTCTTAGCTCTGAGCACACGTAGCACCTGGCTTAATGCCATTCTCCACTAAAAGGAACCAGGACTCTTAGGGGAAAATGGCTAATTCCAGAGTTGGGCAGGAGAAGTACGAGAAAGTAAGGAAGAGTTCAAAGGAGGAAAGGGAACTATTGGAAGCATGCAGAAGCCAACTTAAGTGGGCTTCTCCTGGCCAAAGTAAGGACAACTTAAGCATCAAAATAAATAAGTTAGAATAATTAATTTTATGGTATAATAGAATGAAATAGGAAACCATGAGTTTTCACTGGCATAAAAAAATAAATGAATATTGGAGGCTGAGGAGGAGCAGGTCATTCACACAGATTCGAAGTAACTTTCCACAAAGTACTTTTTTTTTCTTTTTTTTTTTTTTGAGACGGAGTCTTGCTCTGTTGCCCAGGCTGGAGTACAGTGGCACAACCTCGGCTCATTGCAACCTCTGCCTCCCAGGTTCAAGTGATTCTCCTGAGTAGCTGGGATTACTGGCGCACACCACTACACCCAGCTAATTATTGTATTTTTGTTTTATTTTATTTATTTATTTGTTTATTTTTTTAGACGAAGTCTTGCTATGTCACCCAGGCTGAAGTGCAGTAGCGCCATCTCAGCTCACTGCAATCTCTGCCTCCTGGGTTCGAGCAATTCTCGTGCCTCAACCTCCCAAATAGCTGGAAGTACAGGCATGCGCCACCACGCCCAGCTAATTTTTGTTTTTTTTTTTAGTAGAGATGGAGTTTTGCCATGTTTGGCCAGGCTTGTCTCAAACTCCTGACTTCAGGTGATCCGCCCGCCTTGACCTCTCAAAGTGCTGGGATTACAGGCATGAGGCATTGTGCCTGGCCCGCAGAGTACTTATTAATTACAGAGGGGAAAAGAGTCACTTCTCAGGGAGAAGCCTGCCAGTCACCCCCTTAATCAAGAGATCAAAGTGAACATCATCGTTACAGAACAAATCAAAATCATGCACGCCTGGTAGGATGCAGTCACTTCTGAGTATTCCTGCCAACGATGCATATCTGACTCTAATGAGACAAAGCCGGATTGAGGGGCATTCTACAGATTAACCAGCCTGTATGCTCCCAGAGTGAAAAGGTTCTGAAAGTCAAGGAAAGCTGAGGGGGCATTTCAGACTGAGGGAGGCTGTGGAGATGTGATAACTGGACACATAGGCAGCTCCTATCTGCTGTTGGGGACTTCACTGGGACAAGTGGGGACAGTGGAGTGGGGCTGGAGTTAGACGGTGGTAGTGTGTTAGTGCTGGCTTCCTGTTTTGATGATTGTATTGTGGGGATGTAGGAGAAAGTCCTTATTTGTAGGAAATACACGCTAAAGTATTCAGGGTATTGGAACGTCTGGTCAGCAACTTACTGTCACCTAGGTTGGGAAAAACGCTTTGTGTTGTACAACAGGTTTTCCGTAAATTTTTGATTGTTTCTAAATTTAAAAATTAAAAAAAAATTATTATACCTCTTATCCTTGCCAGTGTTCTAACTGAATCAGGTGAACACGGCATGAATGTGCCCTTAGCACTAATATGTTAAAAGTAGAACACCCAAGAGAGGACAGGGTTCATTTCTTGGTAGACATCTCTTAAGACTCCTTTCATTGTTAGAAAATATCTGTGATGTTTGATCATTCTAAAAACAACCAAAACAACATGGGTACTTAAAAGGGTTTGGGGAGTACAGGCCATTTATTTCAGAAACCAGGGAAAATTGCTTGTGTTTACACAGCTGTTTTGCATTGTGGATCTTTCTTGTTTGAGGAACAGATATGTTTAAGGTGGGATAAATTTACTAGGTTTTAATCTGACTTTGGTTCGAGGAAACAGTTGCCATTAACTGAAGTTGTTTAGAAAGGAGACCCACCTTTCTTCCTGTGAGGGTGAACTCGCATTTCTCCTGGGGGCTCTAAGGCACTTGCAGCAAATCGATGATAAGGGTCTGATTATTTTCATGAAAGTATCTTAGAAGTGGCTAGTGTACTTAGACCAAAAAAATTAGACCATAAACGCATTGTCAGTAACAGTGGCTGGTTCCAAAACACACCATGCCTGAGAGTTGTGGAGAGTGTCTGGGCTTCGTAGGCCATTTCTCTGTGGAGCCCATAGCTTTTCAGAGACTTGCAGGAAAACAGAGTAACCCCTTCGTGGGATGCTACACATAGGCAAAGAGCTGGAGGGGAAGCCCCACCTTGGCCACCAGGAACTTAATGCAGGGCTGGAAAGCCAGAACCCTGGGGGGCAGTTCCACGCTCAGCTGGGTGGCAGTCCAGATTCCTCATAAAGAGATTGGAGCCTGAACCCCAGGCATGTGATCCAGCCAGCCACCGGACAAGACGCATGTGAAGACGGCGCACTACCAGTGACTCTACCTGCTTCAAATGAACCTTCTCTTAGGATAGGGAGACTTGTGTCACCGTCAGTGGGCCCGTGTCCCCCTTCCCTTCTTTACTCAGCCTCTGTTGCCCAAGGGCCTCTGTCCAACTGTTGCCCTGGACCCCTTCCAGAGCTGGTGCACACCAGTGTGGCCATTGCCACTGTGGGAACTGCTTTCGTACTGTCTTCAGAGTGGTTTCTCCTCGTTTTTAGTCTGTAGTCAAGCTTCTGTTGCCAGGGAGAGGGAAGAGGACCTTCTCTCAATCCCAGCAGGCAGTGGGTTAGGGCTGGGACCAGCTGTTTCTTTCTCTCCCCTCCTAGTAGAGCAGTACTTGGTGTGTGTGGGTATTCTGTAAGTCGGGTGTTTGTAACTAGGGGCATGGCCCGAATGATAAAAAGGCAGACTGACCGTCCAGAGTGATGTGCACCTTGTTCTAACCGAGTGAGCCAGAGAAAAGACTGCAGGCCTCTCCACCTTGACCAGGACACTCTTCTTTGCATCTTCACTTCTTTCCCTGGGTAGAAATGCCTGCTTTTCATGGGGAAAAAAAAAGAGATACCTTTTTCTGGACCTGTGTGACATTCTCCCTGGAACTAGTGGGTTAAGTGAGTCATTGCTTGGGGAAGTGTCTATTTGTTTGCTTTTGTGTTTGTTGAGCATAATGTTGCTATGCCTGAAGAGTTGCAAAATTCTTCTAAGAATTAGGATGGCTGTTTTTATTGCCACCTTGTCTCATTATTTCCCATTAAATATAGACACAGGTTCAGAAGACTAAAGACCTGCTCAATAATGTGGCCTCTGATGAAGCTAATTTAGAAGCCAAAATCGAAAAGAGAAAATTAGAACTGGAAAGAAATCGGAAGCGACTAGAGACTCTGCAGAGTGTCAGGTAGATATGAACACTTGGAGAATGAGTAGAAAGATGTCCTGGAAAGTTCAAACAAACTGGGCGTGGTGGCTCATGTCTGAAATCTCAGCTACTCATGAAGCTGGGGCGGGGGGTTCTCTTGAGCCCAGGAGTTTGAGACCAGCCTGGGCAGCATAATGAAACCCCATCTCTAAAAATTTTTAAAAATTACCTCAGTATGGTGATACACACCTGTAGTCCCAGCTACTTGGGAGGCTGAGGCGGGAGGATTGCTTGAGCCCAGGAGGTTGAGGCTGCAGTGAGCTATGGTTGCATCACTGCACTCCAGCCTGAGCCACAGAACAAGGCCGAGTAACAGAACAAGGCCCTGACTCTAAAAGAAAAAAAAAGTTAGAACAAAGACTTAAGAGAATAGAATGTGATCTTAACTCTTCTCAAGCAATGAAAAAAAGCCTTACATAAGGGTATCTTCACCTCAAATGTACATGTGTTGCCTGTCATAACAAGCAGATGGCTAAACTCATTCTCTTTACTGCTTGCGGTATGTCTGGAAAACTGCTTAAAGCTTGAACTGCCCTTTAAGCTTTTATAGCTTCTTGGAACTCAAGGCAGAGTAAGTGAATCCAGACGGGGAAATCCAGACGTGGTCTCCTAAGATCTTGCCATAAATTAGGTAGAAACAGAAACATACTCCTGCCTGTTTGTTGGCATAGATTTTAGACTTTATTTAAACCTTGATCATTCCTCACCAGTCAGTAATTCATCTTTCTTCCTACGTTACCTCATTGGAAATATATTTCCCAGGAATACCGATGGAGAATAGTGGTGCCGGCTCTCTCTCTCTTCTCTTCCTCGTTCTGTGCCTCTTTCCCTCCCCCATGCTTCTGCTCTTTCTCCCTTTTCATTCACCCTTTATTTTTCTTTCTTCTTGGCTCCCTCCTCTTCCCAGCTGCCTACTCTGCTCGGATGTTTTGCCTTTTTGGATGTTGGTGGCTGGCTACACCCTGCCCACTGTCCCGAGGTCTGTGGGGAGGCAGCACCTGGAGGCAGCGACAGCAACCACAGGGAGCGCCCTGGCTCCTCCCTGCCCAGCGCAAGGCCAAGGCCCTTCCCCTCCTGAAACTGGCTCTTTACCTCTGGAGCCTCAGAGAGGGAAAAAAAAAAAAACAGAAGTCATTGCCGCCATATAGATTGATCTCCTTGACACATTCCACTTTTAAAGCATCAATTCATTTTTGTTAAGCTCCAAATCATTTTAACAGAAAAGTCTCTTTGTTTTGCTCTAGTTCAAAAGATTATAATTATTTCTGAGTTTATCTGCTTATATTTTTAAAAGAGTAGAATTTTCCCTTTAAGGTCAATAATAAGAAAAAAGAAAAAGTTCAGCAAACCAGTATAGATTTTTATGGTTTTTTTTGTTTTTGTTTTTTTTTTTTGAGTTGGAGTTTCGCTCTTGTTGCCGAGGCTGGAGTGCAATGGCGCGATCCCGGCTCACTGCAAACTCTGCCTCCCGGATTCAAGCGATTCTCCTGCCTCAGCCTCTCAAGTAGCTGGGATTACAGGCGGCCGCCACCACGCCCAGCTAATTTTTGTATTTTTAGTAGAGACGGAGTTTCACCATGTTGGCCAGGCTGGTCTTGAACTCCTGACCTTGTGATCCACCTGCCTTGGCCTCCCAAAGTGCTGGGATTACAGGCATGAGTCATCATCACGCCTGGCCTTTTTAAAAAATTTTTTATCGTTTAAAAACCTCTTTAGACTGGGCACAGTGATTCACGTCTATAATCCCAGCACTTTGAGAGGCCAAGGCGGGCAGATCGCTTGAACTCAGGGGTTCAAGACCAGCCTGGGCAATATGGCGAAACCCCATCTCTACAAAAAAAAAATATAAAAAATAGCTGGGCATAGTGGCACATGTCTGTAGTCCCAGCTACTTGGGGGCCTGAGACAGGAGGATCACCTGAGCCCAGGCGTTCGATGCTGCAGTAAGCCATGATCACACCACTGCACTGTAGCCTGGGTGACAAAGTGAGACCCTGTCTCAACAAACAAAAAAAAACCACCAGCCTTAATTCGTAACAACCTGTGGTCCCCTTTTTAGAGGATTGCTTTAAATTTATAATATCCTGACAGTAGAACATTATTATTATTATTATTATTTCTTTTGAGATGGAGTCTCTCTGTGTTGCCTAGGCTGGAGTGCAGTGGCGCAATCTCGGCTCACTGCAACCTCCACCTCCCAGGTTCAAGCAGTTCTCCTGCCTCAGCCACCCGAGTAGCTGGGATTACAGGCATGTGCCACCACGCCTGGCTAATGTTTGTATTTTTAGTAGAGACGAGGTTTCACCATGTTGGCCAGGCTGGTCTGAAACTCCTGACCTCAGTTGATCCACCCGCCTCAGTCTCCCAAAGTGCTGGGATTACAGGCGTGCGCCACCGCACCCGGCCAACAGTAGAACATTATACCCAAATAAGATAATAATATATATATTTATTGATTTGGAGAGATGTGTCTGGTATGTGATTTTTTTGCCTTTAGAGATGGGGTCTCAATGTGTCACCCAGGCTGGAGGGCTGGAGTGCCACGGCAAGGTCAGAGGATCCTCACTCACTGCAGCCTTGAACTCCAGGGCTCAATCCTCCTCCTACTTCAGCCTCCCAAAGTGCTAGGGTTACAGGTGTGAGCCGATGCACCCAGCCTGATCATTTTTAACTCTATTGAGATTACGGTATATTGAAATGAAATAAAGATTATAAAATTTCTTGGTATATTTAATTTTTTTTTTAAATGCATTCCTATCTATATTTATGCATAGAAAAGTCTGGAAGGATGTATGTCAACTATCAAGCGCTTATACCTGGTGATGGGATTATCAGTAATTTTTACGTCATTCTTCATACTTTCAGGATTATTTCAAGTTTTTACAAAGAGCACATCTTATTTATGATGAAAAAGAAGTATGTTCATTTTGGGGGGAGAAAGCAGAAAAGGGAAAATATTTTTAAGCATTACAAGAATGAAGGACCTTCTCTAATTAAGGGTTTCCAGAGAAAGCCACCATGGAATCTGAAACTGTGAATACCCATTTCAAACTACTGCATATAATTCACCTTTCCTTTTTATTTCATTTGCTTCTTTTAGGCCATGTTTTATGGATGAGTATGAGAAGACTGAGGAAGAATTACAAAAGCAGTATGACACTTATCTGGAGAAATTTCAAAATCTGACTTATCTGGAACAACAGCTTGAAGACCATCATAGGATGGAGCAAGAAAGGTTTGAGGTGAGCTGAGCCTGTCCTCTGTTCAGCCATTCCTTCTGGTGTGTTATTTTGTACTGGGTGACAGGTCATTTTGTTAATATCATTGTGAAAAAAATATCAGTACATGTTTTTTCTCCCTGGTCAGTCTGAGGATTGCTCATGTAATGTGTTTGTTTTGCTGGCAGTGTACACTGGACTCCAGGGTTGTCAAATCTTTGATGTCATATTTCATCAGGTTTGGTCAGTTAAGAGAACAGACAGGGCCGACATGAGGCCTGTGTGGCTGCGTAAGACCCTGTGCCGACATGGGGCCTGTGCTTGCTTTCAGGCCCTGTTGTCACTGTCTTGAAATTCATAATAATTTTTAAGTGCATTTTATTTTCCACTGATCCCAAAAATTATGTAGCTGGTCTCGAGTGCAGATTTAAAAGCTTGCTTGGCTTTGGGAGGCCAAGACGAGCGGATCACTTGAGGTCAGGAGTTTGAGACCAGCCTGGCCAACATGGTGAAACCCCTCCTCTCATAAAAATACAAAAAATTAGCCGGGTGTGGTCGTACACACCTGTAGTCCCAGCTACTCGGCAGGCTGAGACAGGAGAATCGTTTGAACATGGGAGGAAGAGGTTGCAGTGAGCCAAGATCGTGCCACTGTACTCCAGCCTGGACAACAGAGCAAGATCCCATCTCCAAAAATAAGAAAATAAAGCTTGCTTAGTCAGTTCACATAAAGATTTTCAAGGCAAGGTGCGATGGCTTATACTTGTAATCCCAGCACTTTGGGAGGCTTAGGCAGGAGGATCACTGGAGCCCAGGAGTCTGAGACCAGTTTGGGCAGCATAATGAGACCCTGTCTCTACAAAGAAGTAAAAATAAATTAGCTGGACATGGTGTTACACACCTGTTGTCTCAGCTACTTGGGAGGCTGAGATGGAAGGATTGCTTGAGCCTGGGAGTTTGAAGTTGGAGTGAGCCATGATCATGCCACTGCACTCCAGCTCGGTTGACAGAGCAAGACCCTGTCTCAAAAAGAAAAAAAAAAAGGGCCGGGCGCGGTGGCTCACGCCTGTAATCCCAGCACTTTGGGAGGCCACAGCTGGTGGACCACGAGGTCAGGAGTTTGAAATCAGCTTGTCCAACATGGTGAAACCCCGTCTACTAAAAATACAAAATTTATCTGGTATGGTGGCGGGCACCTGTAATCCCAGCTACTTGGGAGGCTAAGGCAGGAGAATTGCTTGAACCCAGGAGGCAGAGGTTGCAGTGAGCCGAGATTGCGCCACTGCACTCTAGCCTGGGCGACAGAGCAAGACACCATCTCAAAAAAAAAAAAAAAAAAAAAAAAAGAAAGAGATTTTCAAGTCCTGGTTAATTGAATCACCAGAATAGCTCATTGGAGATTGTTTTGTAAAGAGGAATGGCAGTTTATTTATTGATTGTGGGAAATAAATGTGTGGCCTTGAGCCTGACCAACCATCTTACAGGTTCCTCTCATCCCTGTGGGTAAGGCCATTTAGGAAAAGAGTGTTTTAGACCCGAGCATGAGTTGATAAATGTGGAATTTAGAGCAAAGGAAATTGAACCAAGTTGTGATCAGTTTTTGAATTGCCCTATCCTTAACCTGAGAATGGTCATTTAGACTCCATTTTCATGATGAAATTGGTCTGCAGTCTCCCTTTCTCATGCCCTTGACAGCTTTTGGTATTAAGGTTATGCTAGGCTTCTTACAATACTGAGCATTTGAGTTTGGCAGAGCTATTTTGTTGTCCAGGAGGGCTAACTGGGAGTACCTAACGCATCCGTGTGGACACATGTCATCTTGACGAGGAATTCATTGCTAGCATTACTCTGTGGCAGAGGCAGGCCATGGAGAAATGGTACGGGACAGGCACATTTCGAGGGCACTAGAAAGAGCTTGGAGTTTAGAACATTTTAAACATTGGGTACCTGGGAAAGAACAGTCAAGGGCAGTGAAAAGAAACGTTGGCCATTTTTTTGTATTATCTGGGGCCACCTCTGGGTTCAGAGAACAAACCAAACAGTATGCCTCAGAGTGGCAGGTAGGTGGCCCAGGAAACTTCCCAGGGAGCCCCTCTACCCTACCCTTCCTTCAACAAGTACATCTCTTTTTCTCTTACTCACTCTCGCTCTCTGTCGTTAGAATACCTGTTCCCTCGAAATACCCCATGCCGGAAACACAGTGCTTTATTTTTAATGTTTAGAACAACAATATATAAAGCCAACTTCCTCCCTCTGTCTGTCCCTCCCCCCCACTCTCTCTCTTTGTCTCTTTCTCTTTCTCAACGGGGTCTCACTCTGTTGCCTGCCACTCTGTCTGGAGGGCAGGGTGTGATTATAACTCACTGTAGCTTCAGACCTCTTGGGCTCAAGCGATCCTCCCACCTCAGCTTCTTGAGTAGCTGGGACTATAGGCACTTGCCACCATACCTGGCTAAATTTTTTAAATTTGTTGTAGAGATGAGGTTTCCCTATGTTGCCCAGGCTGGTCTCAAACTCCTGGGCTCAAGTGATCCTCCTGCCTTGGCCTCCCAAAGCGTGGGGGTTACAGGTGTGAGCCACCACGCCCAGCCCCCATTCTCTTTCTTGATAATAATCAAGGCCACATTTTATGATCTGAGATATTTCCTCCTGTCCCCACCCCTGTTCCCATCCTTACCTGTCCCACCATTTAGCATCTTTTGAGCTGGAATCTGAAGGCAGGGCAGGAAAGATAAATGATAAAATCTATACTTTCTTCCTTTGAAAGCAGGAGGCCTGTCTCTGCCCTAAAATTAGATGTGTCTGTTCTGTGTCCCCAGGTCATACAGGCATGCGTGATGGGCATTTAGTTCTCCTCAGAGGCAGGGAAATGCAATCGGAGAAGCATGGGGTGGGGCAGCTGCTTCACTCTGGGCGCCCCTGTCCACCAGGCCACGAGGCAACCGCAGAGAGAAAGGGCAGTAAGTTTCAGGACCCTGGAGTTGCTCAGGCAGTGTTAATTCTCTTCCCCTTCCTTGAGTTTAGCTCTTTTTTTGTTCTGTAGCACAAACTTAGCAGTCCTTACACAGTGGTGAAGAAGAATAGAACAGTCCAGAAAAGGGCCATCTCTCCTGAGTCTGTATTTCCTCTTCCACAGGAAGCTAAAAACACTCTCTGCCTGATACAGAACAAGCTCAAGGAGGAAGAGAAGCGCCTGCTCAAGAGTGGAAGTAAGGCTGGGCTTCGTAGACGAGCAGTTTACTCTGGACTAGTATTTTCAGCCTTGAAATATATATAGAGAGATATATATATATTTTTTAATATGTATTTTCTTCTTTTTTTCAGCAGTTTTTTTTTTACTGTAGTAAGAACACTTCACTTTACATCTTCAATTTTGAAAAGTATAATAAATTATTGTTGACTATAGGTACAAAAATATTTTCAAAAGGCGGTTTTCTCACAACTTCTATATTGGGTACCATTGTATTCACTCAAGAGTCTGGTTTAAATATAGCATTTAAAACACATTTCGTTCTTGTGCCAGTTAAGATAGTGTTTTCCCCTGTTTAAATGATAGTTTGAATTATATATGATGCGTAACTATAAGAAAACATGGCCCTAGATGTGTGTAGGGTTCTGTATTTTCAGGCTGAATGATGGAAAGCAAGCACTGGGATGCAGTGCAGGGAGAGGGGCCGCTCGCTTTGTGATGGTCCCCATGCTGCTGAGATGCCCCCCATAATCCAGAATGGCTCAGCAAGACACTCAGCTGGAGAGACACAGGGTTACGTCCATGCAAAGCCTAGATTCCGGGAAGGAGCTCTCTGTGACCAGGCAGCTTCCCTTATCCTTGTGTGGGCGGCAAGCCGCCCAGGTGCCGAGGCAAGAGACCGAGAGCACGAGCTGTTCCAGTATAATAAAATATATAAAATAAGAATAGTTATACTAGATATAGATCATAGATATGATTATATATGAATATCATTAATCATTAGTTTATAGCAATTACTCTTTATTCCAATATCATAATAATCCTCGCTCTACAATCATAACCTAGGAAAAAACAGGCCATACAGATATAGGAGCTGAGGGGACATGGTGAGAAGTGACCAGAAGACAAGAGTGCAAACCTTCTGTTATGCCCAGACAGGGCCACCAGAGGGCTCCTTGGTCTAGTGGGAACACCAGCGTCTGGGAAGCCGCCCGTTGCCAAGTGGACCGTGGTCTAGTGGTAGCGTCAGTGTCAAGGAAAAACACCTGCTACTTAGCAGACCAGGAAAGGGAGTCTCCCTTTCCCCGGGGGAGTTTAGAGAAGACTTTACTCCTCCACCTCTTGTGGAGGGCCTGACATCAGTCAGGCCCGCCCGCAGTTATCCGGAGGCCTAACCATCTCCCGGTGATACTGTGCTTCAGTGGTCATGCTCCTAGTCTGCCTTCATGTTCTGTCCTGTACACCTGGCTCTGCCTTTTAGATAGTAGTAGCAAATTAGTGGAAGTACTAAAAGTCTCTGATAAGCAGAAATAATGGCGTAAGCTGTCTCTCTCTCCTCTCTGTCTCTCTGCCTCAGCTGCCAGGCAGGGAAGGGCCCCCTGTCCAGTGGATACGTGACCCATGTGACCTTACCTATCACTGAAGATGGCTCACTCTCCTTACCCTGCCCCTTTGTCTTGTATCCAATAAATATCAGCACAGCCTGGCATTCAGGGCCACTATCAGTCTCCACGTCTTCGTGGTAGTGGTCCCCCAAGCCCGGCTGTCTTTTCTTTTATCTCTTTGTCTTGTGTCTTTATTTCTACAGTCTCTCATCTCTGCACATGGGGAGAAAACCCACCGACCCTGTGGGGCTGTACCCTACATCCCTGAACTTCAGTGTCAAGTCACTGTCAGGGACCGGTAGCAGCCCAGGATCTTCCTGCTGAATTGATGGCCTTGTTGCACGGAGTTCCTCCTCCTCTTGCTGGTTGCCCTTTCTTTTCTTCAGGGTGAAATATTCTATTCACTCTCATGTTGAGGGCAGCATACTTGAGGCATCAGGCCCACACACATGCTCCCACACACACTCTCTCTCTCTCTCTTTCTCTTTCTTTGCCATTTCCCTTGTATCTCTCTCATTTTGCACCTGTTCTGTGACTCTCTCGTCTGAATCTCAGGAAACTTTGGAGGAAGGATAGGGACTGCTGGGAAATCCTCCAGGAACAAGGTTAGGAAATTTGAAGGGCCTGTCTAGCCAAAGCAGCCCTCCCCTTTTTAGTTCCATGTCAGCCAGGAGCATGTGAAGCAGCCCTCAGTGATCAGCCTGCATGGGGTTTGTCCCTTGCGAGAGGCCCAGCTCAGCTAGGAGCCCTGGTTTGTTGCTTGCATCCCATGCTGTCCCCGGGCCAGGATGCTAAGACCTGCCATTCTGATCTTGCTTTATTCACCAAGATTTACCTTTGTGTTTTCTTCTAGGAGTTCTATAGTTTTAGCTCTTACATTTAGGTCTCTGATCCACTTTGAGTTAATTTTTGTATATGGTGTGAGACAGGGGGTCCAACTTCATTCTTTTGCATGTGGCTATTCGGTTGTCCTATTATCATTTGTGGAAAAGACTATTATTTCCCCATTGAGTTATACTCGCATGTTGTCAGCCATTAATTTTAATTGTCACTGTCAGCTCAGTGGTTTCAGTGTCAGCATGCATTAATGTCTTAGTCTGTTTTGTGCTGCTGTAACAGAATACCTGAGACTGGGTAATTATATATTTTACATAAAATATATACAGCATTGTATATATGGATACATGCAGTCATCCCTCAATATCTGCGAAGAACTGGTGCCAGAACCCACCTGTGGATACCAAAATCCACAGATGTTCAAGTCCTTTTCATGTAACCTATGCACATCCTCCCATATACTTTAAGTCATCTCTAGATTACATAAAATACCTAACATAATGCCTATACATCACTTCATTCACATGGATTCAACATAGTACTTGGTATGTGGCAAATTCAAGTTTTGCTTTTTGGAACTTTGTAGATCTTTTTTGAACTTTGTAGATTTTTTTTCCAAATAATTCAGATCCATGGTTGGCTGAACCCATGGATGTGAAATCCATGGATACAGAGGGCCAGTTTTGTATGTGTGTGTGTGTGTGTGTAGTTTATATATATATGTCATATATATTATTATATATAATATATATTATATTATATATTATTATATATAATATATATTATATTATATATTATATAATTATATTATATTATATATATTATATAATTATATATTATTATATGTTATATATTATTATATATTATATATTATTATATATTATATATTATATAATATTATATATTATTATATATTATATATTATATAATATTATATATTATATATTATTATATATTATATATTATTATATATTATATATTATTATATATTATATATTATTATATATTATATATTATATATTATATAATATTATATATTATATATATTATTATATATTATATATTATATAATATATATTATATTATTATATATTATATAATATATATTATATTATTATATATATATTATAATATAATATATTATATAATATATTATATAATATATATTTTATAATATAATTTATAATTTATAAATTTATATTTATAATTATATATGTTATATAGTTATATATTATTATATATAATAATATATGACAATTATATAACATATATAATATATTAGTATTAGGTTATATTATTATCATTATAATCAGAAACTTACTTGTCTGAAATTTAATGAGCCACAGTTCTAGGAGCAAGCCCAAGATCAAGGAGCTGCATCTTGCCGCACCATCCCATGGCAGAAGGGCAAAGAGAGGGCGAGAGAGAGCAAGAGATCAAACTCACAGCCTCAAGCCCTTTTATAACCAGCATTAATCCATTCTTCAAGGCGGAGCCCTCATGACCTAAACACCTCCCAGTATGCCCCACCTCCCAACACTGTTGCATTGGGATTTAAGTTTCCAACACAGGCTTTTCGGAGACACATTGAAATCATATAATAGCAATTGACTTTAGTTTACCTGCTCACTTCTCAGGTCTGTATTGGTTTGAGTTGTAAGAAGAAATCTTATTGAGCCTGAGGTACATGTATTAATTTTATTTTAAAATTGATTATATAATTTGATTTGCATTGCATGGGATAAGGATTTAATGTCTTAATTTCCTGGATAGAATAAGAAATGAACAAATGACTTTTGCACACAGACCTTACTGGGCAGAGCTGTTTCGTTGTGATCATGAAGCCACTCCTTTGTTTTGCCTGCTTGTGTTCCTGCTAGGTAACGATGACTCGGACATAGACATCCAGGAGGACGATGAATCCGACAGTGAGTTGGAAGAAAGGCGGCTGCCCAAGCCACAGACAGCCATGGAGATGCTCATGCAAGGTACCCCGGCGTCTTTCGCTGGACTTCCTCCCTGCGCCC
Organism: Homo sapiens; assembly: GCF_000001405.40. NCBI lineage: Eukaryota > Metazoa > Chordata > Mammalia > Primates > Hominidae > Homo > Homo sapiens. The sequence goes on from NC_000016.10 coordinate 3,530,715, forward strand.
TGTTTCACAGAACACCTGGCCAGGACTGGGGCAGGCTGCTTAGTATTGAGGCCCACAAGCGTGCTGCGAATGGCCCCTAGAAGCAGCTCTTGCTCAGGTTTATCCTGTCCTGTTGTTTATGGCTCTTGAACTGCTCAGTGGTCATGTTTGCTCCTTGTCTGTGATCCCAAGACTGGATGGTTCATATTTATGGCTTGGTATTTCTCACAGCCACAAGAACACATTGCCTCTGCCACTCTCAGTGCAGTGATATACTTAATAGCCTGAGAATTAATGCAGAAAGGGACTTAAATGAGCATCTCTGCCTTAAAAAAAGTTCTTCTAATTCCTTTACTCATCACAAAAGATTCAAGCAACAAAGCTCAGCGCAGTGGTGCACACCTTATTCCCAGCTACTCAGGAGGCTGAGGCAGAAGGATCATTTGAGCCTAGGAGCTCGGAGCTGTAGTATGTGATGATTGTGTCCGTGAATATCCACTGCATTCCGGCCCGGGCAACATAGAGGGGCTCTTAAAACTAAGTTAAGCCAGGCGCGGTGGCTCACGCCTGTAATCCCAGCACTTTGGGAGGCCAAGGCGGGTGGATCACGAGGTCAAGAGATCGAGACCATCCTGGCTAACACGGTGAAACCCCGTCTCTACTAAAAATAAAAAAAAAATTAGTTGGGCGCAATGGCGGGCGCCCATAGTCCCAGCTACTCGGGAGGCTGAGACAGGAGAATGGTGTGAACCCAGGAGGCGGAGCTTGCAGTGAGCCGAGATCACGCCACTGCACTCCAGCCTGGGCGACAGAGTGAGACTCCGTCTCAAAAAAAAAAAAAGAGTTAAAACAAAAAAAGACTCAGGCAACAAAATTTGTAGAGCAAATGTGAATTCTCTCCTGGGGTCTTCCTCATGTCCCACTCCCACCTGGGAGGGCTCATGGCTAGTGGCCAGGGTGGGTGTGTCTTTACAGATTACCTTTCTGTACATATACATACGCACACACATACACATACAAAGATCACCTGAAAAAAATTTAACCTGAGTGCAACCAGACGGTATGTATGGTTCTGCAACTTGCTTTTGTTTTTAAAAATTAAGTACAATTGGAACTCTTCCTCTGTCAGCAATAGATCTGCCCCCTAATTTTTTTTTTTTTTCTTTTTGAGACAAAGTCTCGCTCTTGGTCCCCAGGTTGGAGTGCAATGGCATGATCTTGGCTCACTGCAACCTCTGCTTCCCGGAGGGAGCAATTCTCCTGCAATCCCAAGTAGCTGGGGTTACAGGCCCGTGCCACCACACCCAGCTAATTTTTGTATTTTTAGTAGAGACGGGGTTTCACCATGTTGGCCAGGCTGGTCTCGAACTCCCAACCTCAGGTGATCCACCCGCCTCGGCCTCCCAAAGTGCTGGGATTACAGGCCTGAGCCACCACTCCTGGCCTGCCCCCTACTTTTTAATGGCTATGTCATATTCCTAGCAGGACTGTACCCATGATTTACTGGGCGTTCTCGCATTGATATTTCCCCTCTTTTCCTTGTATATACATCTTTCTGCATGTCTGCATATCTTTAGGTTGCATCATTAAAAGTCAAATTCTTAGGTCAAAGGTTCCATAAATTTTTATTTTAATACTATAAAATTCTCCTATATTTGCCTTTAAAAACATTTCTTATCTACCACCTGTTAATGTTTGGAGCACAGTTGCTTTTTTTTTTTTTTTTTTTTTTTTTTTTGGAGACAGAATCTCATTCTGTCGTTCACGCTAGAGTGCAGTGGCACGATCTCAGCTCACTGCAACCTCTGCTTCCTGGTTTCAAGCGAGTCTCCTGCCTCAGCCTCCCGAGTAGCTGAGACTACAGGTGTGAACCACCATACCTGGCTAATGTTTAAAAAAATTTCTGTAGAAATGAGGTTTCATTATGTTGCCCAGGCTGGCCTCAAACTCCTGGCCTCCTGTCTCAGCCTCCCAAATTCCTGGGATTATACGCAAAAGCCAACATGCCTGGCCAGAAAACAAATCTTGAATGCTATTTCCTGCTTTATTTTCCAAGATTTTTATGACTTCTTCATGCTTTTGTTGTTCTCAGGAAGACCTGGCAAACGCATTGTGGGCACGATGCAAGGTGGAGACTCCGATGACAATGTAAGTCCCCCGCTCCCCTCAGTGGTTCTGTGCACTCTGGGTTTGGCTGTCCCCATAGATGGGAGTGGCTGAGTTGCTGTCAGCAGCCAGGGAGCCGTCTATGGTCAGCCCGGCCGTGCCTCGATGCGTGGCAGGGTTTGGCCTCATGAGGCTCTGGACTCTTCGTTGCTCGTGGATGGCTCATCTCTTTTCAAGTGAATGTGCTTGCTCTGCTTTTTTTGCCTTCTCACTGTTCTTTCCATTCTCGCTTTCCAAAGATGGAAGCAGCACCAGCTCTCTTAGGTAAATGCAAGACTTCCAGCTCCAAGAAGCAGGTTGGTTTTCTGTTCTGCCTCATGTGTTTGTGGGTGTCTGTCAGCCCTCCCGGGGCCAGCCAGGGGCCTCTCCCTAGGAGTGATGCTTCCTCTCTCCTGGGCAAAAAGGCCACTCAAAAGAGATCCTGTGGTGACAGCGGGATCACTGAAGGCCCCTGTGCTAAAGTGGAGGCGCAGGCACGGAGCCTGGAGGCGGGGAAAGCTCAGGCCGGGCCATCCTCAGGCCCTGGGCCGCCACCTAGAAATGAAGGAGGACGCCGAGGGCCGGGCTCAGGACCAACCCCCCTCCCTGTTCTGTGCTGGGGACGGAATGGTGAAGCAGCACTGTCCCCAGACCAGGCCCTCGAGGTGCCAGGCATGAGGCTGAGACATAAGCTGCCTTGAGCTTTACTGAGTGGATAACTCCCTGGAGCACTTAAGCAAAAGGGGATTCTAGGGGTCCTCAGTGAGGTCCAGTCATCAGGGCTCTGCCGCCCATTGCTCAAGCCTACGTTCTTTGTTGCGTCCCTGGCAGTGCTGCTCGGCCCACACAGCAAAGGGCGACTCAACAGAGACTGACCCCAGGCTGCCTCCATGTGCCCTGAATTTACAGGGCACAGTCTGTAGAGAAGCAGAGAGAGCAACTGGAAAATAATTTTCCTAACAAGCTCGGGTGTGGATGGTATACAGCGTCTCTCCGTCTTGCCCACCCAAGACAGAAGCAGAGGGAGTGTGGCGTGGGTGCTGGCAATGCTGAGGCAGCACCGCCTGCCTCTTCTCCAGGGTTTGCCTTCTCTCTCCTCAGAGCGAATGCATTAGTCGCAGCTGAGCTTTATGCCTGGTGGTCACTTGTTTATTTCAAGGAGGCTGTGTCCATGCCGCCCTCCAGGCACAGGGTTCCATGCTTTACGTGTTCAGGCATCCAACACGTGTCTGTTGAGTGCCTGCCACATGCCAGTGCTGTCGTGGATTATGGGGAACGCAGCAGGGGCAGAGGCAAGCCCCTGCTTCATGGCTCACACCCCAGCAATAATGATGGATTGTCGGATCAGGGCTCATGGTGTTAACAGGAGGAATAACAGCTTCAGGGGACAGGGAGTGACAGGGAACAAGGAGGGGGTGGCGTCTTCTGCGAGGTCAGTGAAGGCCCCTGACGTGGTGGTGTTTGAGCAGGGCCTGAGTGGAGGGAGCGAGCGCATGGGTTGGCGGCACCTGGGCATGTGGAATGCACTCCTCGCATCGAGGAGCAGAGGCAGCTGGTGTGATTGTGGGTGAGTGCGAGAGGCAGCAGGGGCCATGCAGAGCTTTGCAGGGTGAGATGAAGACTCTGTTTTCTCTGAGTGTGAGGGGAAGGCCCTGAAGAATCATGAGCCCAGAAGGGTCAAGAGCTGATGATCCCTGTTTGAGAGAAGCCAGTTAGGAGGCGCCTGCACCCGTGGAGGTCAGAGGTGACGGTGCTTGGCCGAAGGTGTGGCAGCAGAGGTGTTGAGAAATGGTCAGGTCCTGGGTCTCTCTAAGAACCATCAGGTTTTGTGAATTGATTGGACATAGGCTGTTAGAGAAAGAGAAAAATGAGGGTGCCTGGGCTTGGTCTAATCAGCAGAAAGCAGAGTTTCATTTTCTGAGATGGGGCCGACTTGACAAAGGGGCTTGGAAGGCAGATCGAAAGTTTGATTTTGGACATTCTGAATGTGACAGCCACATGCTAGGGTTGAGTAGCCAGGTGGAATTTAAGTCTGGAGTTCAAGGGCCACGTCTGGGCTAGAGATTGAATTTTGGGAGCCACCCTTATTTGGTTGGTATCTAAGCCACAAGGATAGATGTGACTGCCTAGGGAGAGCAAGTAGAATGAGAAGAGAGGCGACCCAAGGTCCTGAGCTGCATCTGCCCTGCAGAGGTCCGGGAGGAAGGGGCAGGCAGAGGAGGCTGAGGGGCGTCAGCAGTGAGGAAGGGGGACCTGGACTAGAGAAGGGGCCCTGGGGGATGGAGAAGATGGGTTTTAAGGATGAAGGGGTGATTCCACAGCTCAAGCAGGATGAGGCCTGAGAATCGATCCCAGTCCGTTGAATGTTTCCTTCTTGACAGGAGCAGTGCTGGGGTCAGTAGGTGAGAGCCCGGGGGAACTGAAGCAGTCGTGAGGGGCACAGGTGTGGACAGTGAGTTCAACGACTCGCTCAGGAGCTTTGTGTGAGGGGAGAGAGACAGGGCAGAGCAGCTGGAGAGGAAGGTGGGATTACCTTTGGGGTTTTTTTTCAAGAAGGAAATTACAGCATGAGTGTGCACCGACAGGAATGATCTAGATAGAACGACCAGCCATCCTGGTTTACATGGGACGCAGGAACTGCCGTTTTAAAGCTGGGCTGAGTTGGTCACCCTGGAGCCCTGGATCCGATGAGGAGAGAGAGGGTGTGTCTTTCACTTTGCTCCCTTTTTTTCTTTTTTTTCTTTTTTTTTTGAGATGGAGTCTTGCTTTGGAGTGCAGTGGTGCAATCTCGGCTCACTGCACCTCTGCCTCCCAGGTTCAAGCGATTCTTCTGCCTCAGTCTCCGGAGTAGCTGGGATTCACTTTGCTCCTTATACCAATGTCTATGTTGCTTTCCATCCACAATCTACAAAAAGCCAAAACAGGCCTCCCTTCCCTCTCTCCAAGCCCCTGTCCTTCTTGCCATCTGTAGGGGGAGTCTCTAGGTCCAGTGGCCCTCAGCGCAGATGCAGAGTGCTTCTTAGACGCTGCGGGAAAGCCAGCCCCTGCAGCACCACACCCAGATGCACCTGCAGTTTGGAGGATTCTGGTTGGATGATAAATTCCAGCTGGCAGTACATAGCCTCAGTCCCATCTGTATGCCCTCCCACAGCCTGCTTGCCACTCTGCCAGCCTCTTCCTTCACACAGGGATGCTGCTATAGAAAGGGAGGCAGAGAGTCTTAGGACAAGATGTCAGGAATGAGGCAGGATCCCCCGTTGCATCTGCCATTTTTTTCCTATAGGAGGACTCGGAGGAGAGTGAAATTGACATGGAAGATGATGATGACGAGGATGACGATTTGGAAGACGAGAGCATTTCTCTCTCACCAACCAAGCCCAATCGAAGGGTCCGGAAATCTGAACCCCTGGATGAGAGTGACAATGACTTCTGACCCTTTTGCCAAGGGACCCTGGCAGATTAAAACCCTCAGACTTGTAGGTAAATGGGAACTTAGAAGGTTAGGAAGGTAACCCCTGTTTTGTTTACTAAGCTGGCTGGACTCATGATCACTGAAGCAATACTTATTTCTGCTTTAGCCTCCTATGTTTGCATTCCATGAAGCTTAAATAAGAATTGAAGCAAATCCCTAAGATTTATTTTTTTCCACCTTATTTATCTTCTAAAACTTGAGGAATGCATGTGTTCTTAGTGATTCACATCCACGGGACAAAAACTCAAGAAGAAATAAGAGCTGACGCCACACAAGTCTTGGCTGCTTTTGTTACTATACATTTTCTCTGAGACTCCAGCAGAGTTGGGGCTGGAACTTGGCACTGGGGACTCATGTTTGGAATCGTAGGGGAACATCTGGCTGTTAATCACTTGCACAGTTGAGAACATTTCCTATACATCGGCTTTTAATTCTAGCTCTTATTTCATTTTGTAATCTTATTTTCTTTCGTCTGCATGTTCACAATACCAAGCATTAAATGTATTTTAATAACTAAACTTTTCTGAAAGAAGGTTAGCTAAAGTTAAATGAAAACTTGGTTTCTTTGAAAATCAGGCAATAGAGACAGGCTCCAGATGAGGAATCCTCCATTTTCTGTCCGAAGCTGACATTCCTCTGGCAGTCCAGTTCACCTTGGATTACAGCCACCTTCATGTTTCCACGGTTGGTACTAAATCTGGAAACTCTGGTGACCTGGGCTGCCCTCTCAGAAACTCCAGACTCCCATGGCAATGACAGCCGGGACACTTTTCTTCCCTCCAGCCAGGGTTTCTCTAAAGGAGCTTTGTTTTGTCTAAAGTGTGGCAAGACATAGTGCACAACACAGGGACAAAGGCAGGTTTCCTGCAGCTCGCTACCTAAGTGTTTCTGTAGGGGAAGGAGCCAATTAAGAAAAAGTGTTGGTACAGATTCATGTTTCTGATTTAAAAAAACAACAACACAGGATTGAATTAAGTAGAGTAATAGCACTAGAAGAATTTTTCTGTTGTGAAATTAGAAGTGGAGTTGGTTTTTTTCTTTTTTCTTCTTCTTTTTTTTTAATATGAAAAGTACTTAGCTGGGAGTGGTGGCAAGCGCCCTTGGGTCCAGCTACTCAGGAGGCCAAGGTGGGAGGATCACTTGAGCCCAGGAGTTTTAGACTAGCCTGGACAACTAAGTGAGACTCCATCTCTACAAAAAATTAAAAAATTAGCCAGGTGTGGAGGGGCATGCCTGTGGTCTCAGCTATTCAGGAGGCTGAGGCAGGAGAATCACTTGAGACCAGGAAGTTGAGGCTGCAATGAGCCGTGATCATGCCACTGCACTCCAGCCTGGGTGACAGAGTGAGACCCTGTCTTTAAAAAAAAGAAAAAGAAAAGCACGCTGCTTGTAAAAAGCGTACAGTAGGTCAGGCGTGGTGGCTCATGCCTGTAATCCTAGCACTTTGAGAGGCTGAGGTGGGTAGATCACCTGAGGTCAGGGGTTTGAGACCAGCCTGGCCAACATGGCGAAACCCCACCTCTACTAAAAATACAAAAATTAGCCGGGCGTGGTAGCGCATGCCTGTAACCCCAGCTACTGGGGAGGCTGAGGCAGGAGAATCGCTTGAACCTAGGAGGCGGAGGTTGCAGTGAGCCGAGATGGCGCCACTGCACTCCAGCCTGGGCAGCAGAGTGAGACTCCATCTCAAAAAAAAAAAAAAAAAAAAAAGCATACAGTAAATAAAAAAGCACAAAACAGTTTTCACTTATTTTACAATTAAAAAGTCAGAAGACTTCTGAAGTTACTTATCTTTTAATACATGTATTTAACACCATACTTCATATTATTAAATAGGTTTTACTTAAAAATATAATTATTGTATTTGTACCTGTCAGATATAAATACTTATTCAGGAGTTCACAGGTACGAAAAGATACACATAAATTTTAGGAACTTTTGAGTTATTTCTGTCATTTTTGCTTTTTTCTCTTTCTTTTCCTAAATTTTATGTATAAGATTACCCCTAAAAAAAAAAAAACAGCCAGTATTCAGTGAATTCACCAGTAATTTGAAATGCACCATATTGTAAATGATCCACTGACAGGGAAGCCAGCGTGTTGGAGCCATGCCAGCCACCTCAGACACCGTGGCTCTAAGATGCGGAAGAGTCACTGCATCTTCTTGAATGTTACAGATTTGGTTTGCCTGAATGTGACTTGACTTCTGTTTTGAAAAAACATACGAATAGAGTTCTATTTTCCTTATGTGATGCTTTCTTCTAACACACTTTAACACAGAAGCCTAACCTAGCTACAAAGAGCCTATCCACAGACATAGGCAACAGCTCCAAAGGGTATTTCATTGTGTCACCTGCTTCTAGATCATCTGTTAGTTAACTGACTTTGTGCAAGGTCTCACCATGTATAGCACTGCCTTGCTTGAGCACGGAAGTTTCTGTCAACAGCAAGCTTTATGTGCTCTATCATTTTTATTAAAGTATTTCAGTCAATAGTGACCCATTGTAGAATGGATGCAGGATTCACATGTGCAAGTGCTTTGTGACCTGGCACCATTTGGTTTTGGCCAAGCAGCAGAGCAGACCTCAGGACCTAACGAGGATGGTTGTGATTAGGTCAAATAGAAAACTAGCAGGCCATTGCTGACAATTTTTACTATATAATTAGAGGACTTCCTAAAATGCTTTAAAAAAAAATGTGTATGGATGGAAAATACAAAGGAATTTTTCAAATACTCAATTTTTATTGGTAGTAGTTATCAAGAACAAAGTCCTCGGACTTCTGATGGGAAATCTGAACTGCTGTTTCTCTTTTAGCGTACAAGAAGAAATAGATCCCTCTCATTAGCACTTTAATATCAGTGTCACGTGTCTGGAAGGAAATTGTATTCATTTAGGTAAGCAACACACTACATAAATATCATAGCTGTTAGACCCAGGGGACTCTCAGGTGCCAGAATTGGGGACTCCTTTAATTGGAAGGGAGCTAAAGGGTCTACCTCCTACCTAGAAGTCCTTTCTATGTGGATATGAATTAAATTCTCTTGTCTGTTTTGCTCTGATGGGGTCTGTGTGGGCTAGCTGGCTCTGGTGTGTGCCTGACGACAGACTGAACTCCTTAACCATTTCAGACAGCTTGAAGATGTATGATCATTATTTGAAAAGGGAGAGAGGGAGGACTCTTTGTTTTCTCCACCAGTTTGGCTCCTGAGGTTTCTTCAGCGTTAGGTTTCTGTAGGGCCCAGCTTTCTCCAGTGTTTGGCTACTGCAACTCTGTGTTCTGCCAGTCTCTTAACTCAGACAGAAACAATGCAAACCAGCAGACAGAGCATCACCTTGAAAGTACTAAAACAGCTGTCAATCTAGAAATCTCTGCCCCGCAAAAACTGTCATAAATACTGCAAGACCCATGTTCAGATTTCCCCCCTTTTACAAATAATGTTTTGTTTTATTTCCCAGCTACTACAAGTGATCCAAATGTTCTTTATAGCAGACTTTTTCCTGCAGTCTAGGATCCAGTCAGAGATCTTGCATTAAATTATATCTCTGTAATCTTTAATTTCACGCTATCTGCAATGTTTTGTGTTTTTCATGACATTGATGTTTTTGATGAGGTCAGGCCATTTATTCTGCAGAATATCTGTCAATTTGGATTTTTTCTAATTGTTCTTTCATGATTAGAATCAGGCAAACATTTTTTGACAAGAATACATCAGAGACGACTCCGTGGTGCATCAGACTGGGGGCATGTGATGTCTGTGTGTCCCATTATTGGCGATGTTCAATTCTGTCACTTCTGTTGAGGCTGCATTTGCCAGATTTCAGATTAAGGTACCTTTTTCCCTTTGTAAATTAGGATATCACCTTTGTGGGGTGCCGTTTTGAGACTGCAAGGATATCATCTTCCCGAGTAGGCCTTCATCCATGGCCTCAGCATCCATGATGGTTCCTGTCCGGATGCTCACTTTTGAAGAAACATTTCAAATAATAGTGATTCCTTTCCAATTCAAAAGTAATCATTGCTTTATAGTCTTCATAAATATTTTCTGTGGTTATTTAGTTGATGAAAGCTGTTGATGTCCATTTGGATTTTTTTCCCTCCAACACAAACAGCTGCAGGAATTGGTGCCACATAGAGGCTCAGCTTGCCTGTCTCCATGGAAGCTGTGGCCACAGCAGTGGCTTTGGAAGCCTAGTAAGGAATGACATCACTGCCAGGTGCAGTGGCTCACACCTGTAATCCCAGCACTTTGGGAGGCTGAGGTGGGTGGATCACTTGAGGTCAGGAGTTAAAGACCAGCCTGATCAACATGGTGAAACCCCATCTCTACTAAAAATACAAAAATTAGCTGGGTGTGGTGGTGCGTGCCTGTAGACCCAACTACTTGGGAGGCCGAGGCAGGAGAATCACTGGAACCCATGAGGTAGAGCCTACAGTGAGCTGAGATCATGCCACTGCACTCCAGCCTGGGTGACAGATTCTGTCTCAAAAATAAATAAAGAATGACATCACTGAATACACTGAATGTGCTATTGATAACCAGTGTGCCAGACTCCAGACAACATGTGCCAGGCATCACCCATGTCTTTGATTTTGTAATAAATAAAAAATGGGGCCAGGTGTGGTGGCTCATGCCTGTAATCCCAGTACTTTGGGAGGCCCAGGCTGATGGATCACCTGAGGTCAGGAGTTCGAGACCAGCCTGGCCAACATGATGAAACCCCGTCTCTACTAAAACTACAAAAATTAGCCGGGCATGGTGGCGGGTGCCTGTATTCCCAGCTACTGGGGAGGCTGAGGCAGGAGAATCACATGAACCCGGGAGGCGGAGGTTGCAGGGAGCTGAGATCGTGCCACTGCACTCCAGCCTGGGCGACAAGAGCGAGACTCCATCTCAAAAACAAACAAAAAAGGCAAAATCCTTGGAGAACTCTTACTGTCTCTGTTTCCAGAATCCTAGAATTAAAACTTTCATTTATCTTCACAATTTTCCCATAGCTTTTTCATGTCTGTAAGGATGATACCCTGAAATCTTCTTCTTGAGAAGATAAAGAAGGGTCCCCTCTGTTACCCCTACCAAACGGATGCTCCTCACGGGCTTGAGGTGGCAGCTCATCTCAGAGCATGGGATGATTTTTAACCAGGTGAGTGGAAAGGGGCAGTAATAAACATTTTTAAAGGTTGGGGACACATGAAGTCCTCAGGGTGTAAAGCTGGAACCAGCCTCCTGTACTGCTCAGCTTTCAGGCCTTTGGCCCCTAGTCCCTTGGGGGTGGCCCCTCCCTTCTCTGTGCCATAACAGAGTACCCGTCACCCCCTGCCTGGACCACTCCTGCAGCAGAAGAGGAGCTCACGACCTCCTCCGGCAGCACCTCTCCTTCCTCCCTGCAGAGCCCGGCTCTCGTGCTGAGCAAGCAGCGTTCCCAGCTCCCAGACAGGCCCCCCAGAAGTCGGCCTTTCTGTTCAAAAGCTTCCAGCTGAGCATCTGCCCATTCTCCTGATCCGTCCACCAGGATCACATTTCAACAGTGCACGTGGGAGCATTTGTCTTGATGGCCTCTGAGATCATCCTGGCCCCGGAGTCCCCAATGTGGTTTCCCTGGAGACTAGAAGAGTAGGGTTAAGGCAGGGCTCAAAGCCTGCAGGTTCTCTTTAGTAGAGCAGGCCATACAATAGAAAATGCAGGACCCCATGCAAAGCCTTTGTGCTTCTAGGATCCCCTCGCTACATGGACAAGGCTCAGGGTACCTCCCCTTAGACCAGGTTTCCCTATAGGCCTGCTGAAGCGTCTGGGGGTCAGCTGGCTCTCAGAACTGGGCAAAAGGCAGTGCGCCACCTGGAAGCAGTTCTAAGGGTGAGCAGGAAGGGCAGGTGCACTCACTTGATATGCTGGAGCCTGTGGTTTCCAGACAGTGCTGTGGCAATGCATATCGCCCCGTCCATCCCCAGAGAATTCTCTTGAAGACTAAGTGGAAAAGAGATGGAGACACACGGTGAGCCATCAGGGCAGAAGGAAAACACCCGGGGAAGCAACAGTGCATTGTCTGGGGGCAGTAACCCAGGCAGATGTGTCCACAGGTGCCATGGCAACTCCAGGTGGGAGTTGACCCTGGAGACAGGTGTCTACGAGTGGCCAGATTGTCCCACGCAAGTGCGCTGGAGGATGTAAGGCCATAAATGCAAGATGTGAGTGACTTCTGACTGAAGCTAAGCACACTCAACAAACCCAGCTGCAGTGGAATGTGGACTATAATAAGTCTGATTGTTTATATTCAGAAGGAAATAGCTACAGAAGAAATCAGGAGCATTTTATTCCATCAGGGAGGACCCAGCAGAGAACTCTGCTGCTCCAGGATGCAGGTAGGTCCCTCCAGCCACTTACTTGAGTCTCCGGAGACTTGAGTTTACCTTCAGAGCATTTGCCAGGGCTTTGGCTCCAGCCACCCCAATGGCATTTCCTCTTAAGCTGTTGGGAAAGACAGGAAGCCTAAGGCATGGGTACAGGCTGAGAGGTGATACTGACCCCTCTGCGGGTGGGCTTGGGGCTGCTTGGTAGAGGAAACAAGGACTTCAGCAGTCACAGGAGGCCAGGGCTGTGCCTTCCTCACTCCAGGGCAACAGGGCAGAGCTGGCTCTGGGAAGCAGGGCACACAGGGGCATGGCTGGCCTAGCCAGGAGGGTTGTTGGAGCCTTCCTCCTCTTCCATTTCAAACAGAAAAGCGGGGCTGAGACAGGAGAGGCAGCCCTCCATCTGGGCAGGTCCCCAGTGCTCCCAGCAAGGGCAGGAATTCTGAGGACATGCCTGAGCCTCAGAGCTGTAACCTCACCCCAGGACTTTGGATCTGCCCAGAGAACAAGATCAGCCCCCCTGGGACCCATAAACCAGGCCTCTAGACGTGTTCAGCCTGGCAAGGCCAACCCGGAGAGGAGGGCAAATGATAGCGACTCCCAGGGAAAGGCATGAAGTGGGGCTGGGAAACTGGTATACTTGCACTGAAATGAAGATCACCAGGATGATTTGTGAGTTGTCTGTAAACTTTGTCCCCATATCTATTCATTGAGAATTCATTGATTTCTTTGGGCTAAAGACCATAGATGGAGACTGGAATACTTACTCGAGAATCTCCAAGGTTCTGTTCACAGCCAAGGCTTCCCCTAGCACCTGGGCGCCTGAAGCACCAATTGAGGCCACCTGGAGACTGGGGCGGAGAGGGTGCCGTCAGTGTGAGCCGGCTGGGCCCACCTCCCTCCGCATACTCCGTTCCCTTTCACCACCCCTTGACTCAGGATGGAAAGTGGAGAAACAGCACTGAGAATGGTTGGCCAGCGCTGTGTCTAGGCACTCCATCTCCTACCTACACTGTCTGTTGCCTAAGACAGAGATCTGGATGCTAAGGAGATGAGAAATAGAGGCTGTCCCTGGAAGGGCTCGGGGAGAATGCTCCCTGTACCTCCTCATTACTACTCTCTAGGTGTTTGAGCCCCCAACTGCTAATATCATATTTCCTATATTAGGAAAATCAAACACACCTTCCTTGACTTGTAAACAAAAATAACGTCCAGGCCAGGTGTGGTGGCTCACACCTGTAATCCCAGCACTTTGGGAGGCTGAGGTGGGCAGATCACCTGAAGTCAGGAGTTTGAGACCAGCCTGGCCAATATGGTGAAACCCCGTCTCTACTAAAAATACAAAAATTAGGCTGGGTGTGGTGGTGCACGCCTGTTATCCCAACTACTGTATGGGAGGCTGAGGCTTGAGAATCACTTGAACCCAGGAGGTGGAGGTTACAGTTAGCTGAGATTATGTCACTGCACTCCAGCCTGGGTGGCAGAGCAAGACTCTTGTCTCGAGGAAAAAAAAAAAAAAAAAGACCTCTAACGTGAAAGGATGGCGAAGGGACCGGTTTCCTGACTGCTGCGCACATCTAGGACTTACTAGAGAGCAGTGAGGGCTGTGTTGACCTTCAGTGCACGGGCCACCGCACACGCTCCGTCATCCCCGATGGCGTTCTCCTGTAAACTAGACACAGAGTATGACCCCTTTGGGTGCACGGGGCACAGGGAGCATTCTAGCAAGGCCCTGCCGCACTTGGACCTGCCAGGTTTAACCGACTACACACACCATAGACACTCCCAGGGTTTCCTGGGGATAACTGCCCTTCCTCCACAGGCCCTGCAGCCCGCCGCCTCATACTAAGCACACAGAGGCGTCTGGGGCCTGCATGAGTCTGAACCGCCAGAGGCAAGCAGGAAATGGGACATATAGAGTGACTGTCAGCAGGGGCTTGGGACCCAAAAGGGGATGCTTTTCACAGCCAACCAGAAAATGAACTTAAAGCCCTCAATCCCTGAGCCATTCTTGTTTGTCTTGTTTTCTCTTGAGACAGGGTCTCACTCTGCCACCCAGGCTGGAATGCAGTGGTGAGATCACGGCTCACTGCAGCCTCAACCTCCCAGGCTCAAGCGATCCTCCCACCTCAGCCTCCCGAGGAGACTAAAGTACTTAACTAGAGACGGGGACTACAGGCACATGCCCCCATGCCCGGCTAATGTTTTTATTCTTTTATAGAGATGGGGTCTCACTATGTTGCTCAGGCTGGTCCTGAACTCCTGGGCTCAAGCAGTCCTCCCACCTTGGCATCCCAAATTGCTGGCATTACAGGCAGGAGCCACCACGCCCAACCTCCTTGGCCATTCTTGCTAATTAGGGCTTTGTGTCATTTTTTCCCCTTCTAAGTTGGAGGGAACTAGCAGGCCCTGGTGCAGTGAGTGACTGAGTTTAGCTCAAGCGCACACTGGTATGTTCAAGGCCAAGAGCTGTTTGCATTCATTATTTTAACAGACATTTGAGTGTGGCCGGGCGCAGTGGCTCACACCTTTAATCCCAGCACTTTGGGAGGCTGAGGTGGGTGGATCACTTGAGGTCAGGAGTTCGAGACCAGCCTGGCCAACATGGTGAAACCCCGTCTCCACTAAAAATACGAAAATTAGGCTGGGTGGGTGTATTTTTAGTAGAGACAGGGTTCTCTGTCTCTACTAAATTAGCTGGGAGTGGTGGAGGGCACCTGTAGTCCCAGCTACTGGGGAGGCTGATGCAGGAGAATCACTTGAACCCAGGAGGTGGAGGTTGCAGTAAGCCGAGATCCCGCCACTGCACTCCAGCCTGGGCGACAGAGTTAGACTCCGTCTCAAAAAATTAAAATGAAAAAAAAAATAAGAAAGACAACATTTGAGTGTGTCTCATGTGCTAGGTGTTGTATAAGGCAGCAGGCCTGAGTCCCCCTCTCGAAGCTCAGGTGGGAAGACATGATTAAATGAGCAGGTACAACAGGCCAAGTGCAGGCTGCAGGGAAAAGCAAGCAGCATCTCCCACCCCAGGGTGTCAACAGAAGGCTCCCAGAAGAAATAGGTCAAAACCCGAACCCAAAGTGGGGAGTGTGCCTGGCTCAGCTAAGGAACCCAAACGAATTGAATTCCTGGGGAAGTGAGAAATGAGTCCAGGGAGGGACAAAGGAAGCAGATTTTAGGGGTCCCAGAAGCCACCCTGAGGGGCTGTGTGTACTTTACTCTGCAGGCCCTGGGCAACCATTCAAGGATGGCACCCAAGATGGGACAGAGCTGCTCTGGAAAGGTCTCTGGCCAGCAGTGTGAGAGGATGGACTGAGGTGGAGGCTACCACAGGGATGGAGGTGAGTGGTGCCGATGGCCTGGGCAGGGGCAGTGGACGCAGAGGGAATCGAGTGGATGGCAGGGACACAGAGGGGACCGACCCAACAGGACTTGACAATGAATAGGAAGCAGGAGGTGGGTAGGCACAGTGCCTCACACCTGTAATCCTAGGACTTTGGGAGGCCAAGGTGGGAGGATCGCTTGAGCCCAGGAGTTCAAGACTAGCCTGGGCAACATGGTGAGGCCCCATCTCTTTAAAAAAAATTGTAAATATTACTTTAAAAAATAAGTTATATGCTGGATGTGGTGGTTTGCACCTGTAATCCCAGCACTTTGGGAGGCCAAGGTGGAAGGATCACTTAAAGGTCAGGAGTTCGAGACCAGCCTGACCAACATAGTGAAACCCCGTCTCTATTAAAAAAAAAAAAAAAAGCTGGGCGTGGTGTTGGGCACCTGTAATCCCAGCTACTCGGGAGGCTAAGGCAGGAGAATCGCTTGGACCTGGGAGGCAGAGGTTGCAGTGAGCCGAGATCACGCCTCTGCACTCCAGCCTGGGCAACAGAGCGAGACTCCATCTCAAAAATAAAATAAAAGTTATAGAAAAGGAAGTGGGAGGTGAGAGTGAAGGTCTTGTTTCTAGCTTGCACAGTTGGTTCCATTCACAAGATGGGGAGCCAAGAAGCAGGTTTTCAGGAGAGAGAATGCAGGGACCCTGCACCCGAGCAAGATCCCGAAGGGAGGTACAGAGGGGGTGTGGACGCGCAGGTCTAGGGTTGAGGAGAGAGGGCTGGGACACGGACGTGGGAGTCGTTGGGACTTTGAAGATCACTGGAGCCCAGGGAAAGGAAAAGAGCTCCAGGAAAAGAGACGCCAGGCAAGCGAAGATGACATAGGACGATCCCTGAGGAGCCCTGCGCAGAAGAGCCAAACAGAAGAAAAGAGGACGAGGCCCAGACAGAGGGGACATCCTGGAAGCTGAAGGAGAAGAAATGGTCAGGGAGAAAGGCCGATGAGGCTCCAAGGGTTAAACCTAGAGTTCCCTCACGCCCCAGCGACTCCACTCCCAGGTATATCCAGCCAGGAGAAGGAAAGCTCACGTCCACACAGAAACTGGTGCACAAAGGTCCACAGCAGCACCGTTCCTAACAGCCAAGTAGGAACAACCCAACGTCCGTCAGCTGATGAATGGAGAAATGAAACCTGTGTACCCATACAATGGATATCATTCAGCCTTACAAAGGAACTAAGTATTGAGACAGGCTACAATGTGGATGAACCTTGAAAATCTGACACCAAATGAAAGACACCAGCCACAAAAGGCCACGTGTCGTATGATTCTATTTTTGGCCACGTATCGCACAATTCCATTTATATGCGGTGTCCAGGGTAGGAAGATCATGGAGATGGTAGATTAGTGGTTGCCAGGGTTGGGGGAAAGGGAGAATGGGTAGTGAGTGCTAACGGGGTGATGGAAATGTTGTAAAATTGATTGTGATGATTGCATCACCGAATACACTAGAAACCAGTGAATTGTATACTAAGTGGGTGGATCTTCTGGCGTGAAGATTATATCTCAATCAAGCTGTCATATATCTATGTATATATGTGTATGTACATATATGTATGTGTATATATGTATATGTGTATATATGTGTGTGTATATGTGTGTGTGTGTATGTATATATATGTGTGTATATATATATATTTTTTAACAGGGTCTCACTCTGTCGCCCAGGCTGGAGTGCAGTGACGCGATCTCTGCTCACTGCAACCTGTGCCTCCTGAGTTTAAGCGATTCTCCTGCCTCAGCCTCCCGAGTAGCTGGGATTACAGGCATGTGCCACCATGCCCGGCTAATTTTTGTATTTATAGTAGAGATGGGATTTCGCCATGTTGGCCAGGCTCATCTTGAACTCCTGACACCTCAGATGATCCACATGCCTCAGCCTCCCAAAGTGCTGGGATTACAGGCGTGAGCCAACGCACCCGGCCAATATATTTAAAAGGCAGACAAGGACTGAAACATGCCAGCTGGCCTTAGGGAAGAGGAGTGCCAGGGGTCACTGGATTGAGCCTCTGCCTGATGGGTACCAGGTTTTCAGATTCCCCTGTCCTCAACAGCCCCCGCCCTGCAGCCCCTGGGCAGGCCAACTTACTCTAAGCTGGTGAGGCTCCTGTTGAGCTGTAGTGCTTGTCCCAGGGCCTGGGCAGCGCCGGCCTGGATGAAGTTCCACTGCAGGCTGGGCAGACACAGACACATGTGACTATGTGACTATGTGACTATGTGGCCCTGGGGCAGAGCCAAGGAGGCTCTGATGGCAGGAGGTGGAATCCCTGCAGGATGTGGCAGGAGAATTCCTGCAACCCCTGCCCAGACTTAGTTCTCAGAGGGTCACATGTACTCCCTGGTTAGCCGTGGCCAGAGGGCCGGGGAATAAGCCAGAAAAGACACCTCCAAATGGCCTCTGCCTGGAGGCCCAGCTGTGACCACCTCTTAACACATGTCTGTCTGTGGGTCAGGAGAGCACAGGATGGGGCACAGTCTGCTGGCAGCAGGCTAGCCCGGGCAGCCCCTGAGACCTTTGCAGGGGGTGTCCCCAAACCAGGTGTGGCCTGTGCATCGTTGGTTTGGGTGGAGCCCGGCAGCTCTGCAGAAGGGGAACAGAGCAGGGTGGAGAGCTGCAGACTCACTGAAGGGAGGTGAGGGTGCGGTTTTCTCTCACTGCCACTGCGATGGCCCGGGCACCCTGGTCGTGGAGGAGGTTGGCTGTCAGGCTAGGAGGAAGGGAACAGGAGCAAGTGAGCCGGGGGCCGGCTGTGAAGCCTCCGGTCCTTGGTCACCAGGGATTCCAGGGCTTGATACCAGATCACCCAGCCAGCACGAGGGGGTGCTTCCTGGGGATACGTTGCCCAATGGCATGGTAACATCCTCATCCATCCCCACCAGGTGAAGCAGACGGCGTCACACTAGCCTCACCCTCGTGCAGTTTACACTATGAGAGTGGGGGACTTGCCACCCGATGTCAGGTCTCCTGGCTGCACCCTCCCCAGCCAGCTCCTTCTCCAACCCTGTGACGTGGCGAGGGTGCCCGTCAGCCCAGGCTCGGTGTGGGTGTGGTCATGGCATGAACAGCCTGTGGAGTCACAGGCCCCCACCACGTACTCCAGGTTCTTCAGGGTGCTGTTGGCGCAGAGGGCATGAGCGATGGCCTGGGCTCCCTCGGGACTGATGGAGTTTTCTCGAAGGCTGAAAAAAAAGGAAAGACCTGAGCTTCTGACCGGGCAGATGAGGTGTCTGGCAAAGCCAAGCCCAGGTGTTTAGGCTTCTTGAAGCCCAAGAAACTGCAGGCGGGGGACCTAGAGTTCTGCATAGTCTGGGCTGAGGTGTGAAGGAGCCAGTGCTAGTGAGCCAGTGCTGGGCCAGCCAGGTGCCCCCACTTTAGGACCATCCGCAGTACAGGGAGAGGACAGGATGACAGGGCCCCAGAGGTGCGAGGGGACAGGTGGCTCAGCGTGCATCTGGGAAGGGAGCGGCAGAATGGGCCACTGCGGGCAGCAGCTATCCCCTGCACCCCAAGAGAGCAGGAAAAGGGCCAGGCTGCCAGGAAGGCTTCCCCAGCCATAGATTTCCCTGAGACAGGCTTCCCAGTGCCAAGTCCCTGCAGACAGGTGCCTCGTCAAAGAAACGCCCTGTTTGGAGAGGGTGGCCAGGACTTACCTGAGGCTGAGGAGGGTCTGGTTGGTGCAGAGGGCCCCCATCAGTGCTGCCACTCCTGCGTCACTGATGGAATTGCTCTGCAGGCTGCGGAAAGAGGAGGCGCCCTGGGTGTGGCTGTCCCAGGACCCAGAGGGAGCTGCCCTGTCCCAGTCTGGGACAGCAGGCACTGGGCTCAACAGGGAGTTGGGGGCTCCAGGGACAGTGGTGGCCACACTGCTTCTCTTCTCATCTCTCTTTCCTCTCCCAGCCCCCCACCTTCTAGCCTCTGCCAGGTCAGGGCAGGTGGGTTCAGCACAACAAACCCCCAAATGTAGACCCTGCCTTGATGTGGGTGGCCCCAGACAGCCTCAGAGCAGGGTGTGTTGGGTCTGCAGCCCCCAGAGGGAGTGGCGCAGCAGGCTCCCCAAGTGTGGGTGTAGCGCTGAGCTCTCCTTTCCCCTACCAAAGCTGCTGCAGCTGACTCCCTCTCCAGCCACCCATGCTGGCTTCTCAAGGACACTTGGAGCTCATCATTCCAAACACTCCAGACCCTACCCCAGCCCCCACTGTCTAGGGAAATGGAGCTGGTGGGGCAGGGGCTACTGAGGACAGTGTGTGCCCAGGGTTAGTGTTGGCAGGGAAATGGCCCTGGGGGACAGCCATTTTTCAGGACTGCCGGCCCACTATCTACTGGAAAGAGAACCCAGGGGGAATCGTCACCCTGGCAGGTGGACTCACTCCAGGCTCTCCAGGCCCTGGTTCACCTTCAGGGCCTCAGCCAGGGCCTTGGCACCTCCATCACCAATACTATTACTGGAGAACCTGCAAGAGAAGGGATATGGATGAGCCAGCCTCTGGGAGCTGCCAGGCAGGGCTGGGCAGAGGGATCAGAGTCAGGGAAGCCCTCCTGGGAGGGCTGGCTCTGTTGTCTCAAGGGTGGCCAGTGCACAGTTTGTTCTGCCTGAGGCCTGTTGGCTGTAGTCTCTGCAAGTGACCACCTGTTGTCTGTAAGAAATCAGGATAGCAAAGTCCCTCTTGACTCCCTGGCAAGAAGGGTCAACCCTTCAGTGATAAGTATTTTGGGGGGTTTTTGTGAAGATGGTCAGGAAATGTTTTCTTCTGCCAGCTGGGAAGACAGTAAATGTGAGCCCGAGAAGGTTGGGGTTCACCCAGTCCTGGGAATCTGAGTCTCCATTCTCCTCGGTTAGTGCTTTTGGAGTCCAAAGTCAGCTAACCAGCACTCACACTTCCATCCATCTATCCATCCACTCACTTATTGATTTATCTACTTACCCACCCACTCATTCATAAATCCATCCATTCGTCCATCCATCCACCTACTCACCTACCCACTTACCCATTCATCCATCCACTCATCCATCCACCTACCCATCAGTCCACTTAGCTATCATTTCGTCTGTCCATCCACTCATCCACCCATCCATCCATTTGTCCATCCATCCATCCACTCACCTATTCTCCACTAATTCATTCAGCCATGCCTCCATCCACTCATCTACCCACCCATCCATTCATCTATCCATTCATCCATCCATCCACCCACCCACCCACTCACTCATTCATTCACTCATTCATTCTACCATCCATCTATCCACTCACCCATCCATCCATCCATCCACTCATCCATTTATCCATCCACTCATCCATTCAACCATCCATCCATTCACGTACCCATCCACCTATCCACCCATCCCTCTCTACCCACCCATCCACCCATCTATTCACCCATTCAACCATCCATTTATCTACTCTACTCATTCATTCATTCATCCACATACCCACCCATCCATCCATCCCTCCATCTACCCACTCACCCATTCATCCACTCATTTATTCAACCATCCATCCATCCATCCACCCATCCACCAATCCACCCATCAATGCATCCATTCATCCACTCATCCACCCATCCATCCATCCATCCATCCATCCATTCATTCAACCATCCATCCATCCATTCAACCGTCCATCTATCCATCCATCCTTCCATTCACTCATTCATCCACTCAGTCATTCATCTACTCGTTCATTCAACCATCCATCCATCCATCCATTCACCAGTCCTCTCACCCATCCATCCATCCATCCATCCACTCATTCATTTATCCATTCATTCACCCATCCATCCATCCATCCATCCACCTGCCTACCCATCCACCACTACCCACCCAACCATCCATCCACCCACCCATATACTCATTTAACCATCCATCCATCTATCCACTCATTCATCCATCAGTCCACTCATCCATCCATCCGTCCACTCATCAGTGTATCCCTTCATTCATCCATCCATCCATCCATCCATCCATCCATCCATCCATCCATTTACCTAGCCACCCATCCACCTAGTCACCCATCCATCCATCCACCCACCCATCCATCCATTCACCTATCCATCAATCCATCCATCCATCCTCAGGCTCACAAATATTTGTGCTGGGTTGGGCATTGTGCTGGGCACTGAGGATACTAGTGTGGGCCTTTCATATGTCTCACATGAGCTCTTTCAGACTCCTGTTCTGCTTCAAGGCATCTGCCATCCGCTGGGCTCCCATGGGCCCGATGCTGTTCTTCTGCAGGCTGTGGGAGAAAAGAGAGGGGTCCTTTAGAAAGGCTGGTCACAGCCATTCCCAGGCCAAGGACGGTTCAGGTTCAAGGTCAGGGACAACTAGTGTGCCCTCTACATTTATTGGAGCAGGTGGGGAGGGCGTTCTCCAGATGGGTCTTTGGATTGTTGCCTAAGTGATAATGGACCAACATTATGATGAGGGATAGTAAGGGGTCAGGGCAGCTGAGCCTCCCTTGCAAGGAGCTAGAAAGCAGAGATCAGTAGGTGCTGATAATGCCCAGCAACCTCCCGAATGGGGACCTCCATGGACAAGTCTCTCTGGTGCCTTACCTGCAGTCTGCCTCCCATCTAGACCAGCAGGCTGCCTCCAACCCTAAGAAACCTCCCTAGGGGCCAGGTACGGTGGCTCATGCCTGTGATCCCAGCACCTTGGGAGGCCAAGGTGGGCGGATCACGATGTTAACAGATCGAGACTATCCTGGCCAACATGGTGAAACTCCGTCTCTACTAAAAATAAAAAAATTAGCGGGGCGTGGTGGCATACACCTGTAATCCCAGCAACTTGGGAGGCTGAGGCAGAAGAATCACTTGAACCAGGGAGGCGGAGGTTGCAGTGAGCCGAGATTACGCCACTGCACTCCAGGCGGGCAATAGAGCGAGACTCCGTCTCAAATAAAAAAGAAAAAAGAAACCTCCCTAGGAAGACCCTGGCTTAGGTTCCTCTTCTGAAAAAGCTGCTTCCTCTTGTCCTAAATCTGGTGGAGGGAGACAGCACGGGAGAAACCCTGTCCTCATCCTACAAGGACAGGCAGGCAGGACGTCTCCTGTGTGAGGCTAAATACAAATCCTAAAAAATGTAATTTTCCCTGGTTCCAAAAAGGAAAGAGACTCCTTACCACCCTCATTTTCTCAGAGCACTTCCTGAGAAAACTTGAGGTTGCAAATGCTGCCTCTGTCCCTTTAAGATGTATGTAAATCTTTTTAAAAGCAAAATCAGCCTCTGGCCACTTTCACAGCCTGGGAATGTCTTTCATAAGGGTTTGGAGCCATCTCTTTGAAATGTAAACATTAAGGAACAAAGAGTCCCTCCTTCCCTGCCTTCGGGAATTAGGCTAGGTATCTGGCTTGAAGCTCTAAAGTACCTGCGTGTCATAGAGATAAAAGCTTTACTTTTCCTTTGGATAAAAGCAATTAGGGACCACAAATGGCCACTCCAATTATCTGCTGTATTTAGGATAAACGGCAAATGGTGCTGCCTGGCCCTCTTGCCTGAGGACGAGGGTCCTGTCTGCTTGGCTCTAGAAAAGTGAGCTTTCTGTCTTTACAGTCTCATTGGTGGGTTGCCCCGATGCACCGTGCAGTCAGTTTAATGTTTATCCAATAATTGTTGTATTCTTTCCTACATCTGTGGGTTGGTAGAAGGTATTTTATTTTATATTTTATTATTTTATTTTATATTTTAATTTTATTTTATATTTTAATTTTATTTTTTTTTGACAGAGTCTCGCTGTCGCCCAGGCTGGAGTGCAATGGCACGATCTCAGCTCACTGCACCCTCCGCCTCCCAGGTTCAAGCGATTCTCTCAACTTAGCCTCCCAAGTAGCTGGGACTACAGGCTTGCACCACCATGCCTGGTTAATTTTTTTTTTTTTTTTTTAGTAGAGACGGTGTTTTACTATTTTGGCCCGGCTGGTCTCAAACTCCTGACTTCAAGTGATCCGCCTGCCTTGGCCTCCCAAAGTGCTGGGATTACAGGCATGAGTCCCTGCGCCCAGCCAGGAGGTTTTATTTTTAATTATTTCCCCAACAGCTGCTCTCTCGAAAAGTAATGGGCATCAGGGGCCATCCAGATGGGTCAGAAGGCCTCAGGTCCTAGCCCCATCCATTCTTCCTAGCAGGTAATAGGCAGAGAGGCCCTTGGAGGAGGAGGGAGAAGGGAGAGAAGGGGGAGAGAGGAGATGTGTTCACTCACTGCAGCATGGAGAGGGTCCGGTTGGAGGCCAAGGCCTCAGCCATGGACCTGGCACCATCATCCCTAACGGTGTTGCCCTGGAGGCTGCAGAGACAAGAAGAGGCTCATCACTGATGGAGCAGAAGCTGGAACCCAGGGGTCTGAACTCTCTCTGCAGTGGGGGCACCTCTGTGGAGCAAGGGGTTCTGACCACTACGTGCCCTCACCGCCCACCATGCAGGGAGAGCAGTGGACCCTTTGCACCACTGCCTGGGGCTTAGGTTTTTCTTTGAGTTGCTAAGCATTTGCCTGCTGGCTGGGAACAAGGTGCTTCTGCTCTCTGAATAACCACAACAAAGTCATCAATTGCCCTCATTACAGCTGAAAGACACAGGATCCAAGTGTTGGTGAGAATACAGAGAAACTGCAACCCTCACGCTGCTGGTGGGAATGCAAAATGGTCCGCTGTCTGTGGAATATGGTCTGGCAGGTCCTTAAAAGGTTAAACATGGGTTGACCATGTGACCCAGCAATTCCATTCCTAGGTATATCCTCAAAAGAATTGAAAACAGGCACTGGAAGTCGTATTCACCAATGTTCACAGCAACGATATTCATATAACCAAAAGGTGGAAACAACCCAAATGGCTGTCATTAGGTGAATGGATCAACATATCATGGTCTGTCCATCCCGTGGAATATGATTCAGCCTTAAAACAGAGGGAAGAGGCTGGGTACAGTGGCTCACACCTGTAATCCCAGCACTTTGGGAGGCCGAGGTGGGTGGATCACTTGAGGTCAGCAATTTGAGACCAGCCTGGCCAACATGGTGAAACCCCATCTCTACTAAAAATACAAAAATTAGCTGGGTGTGGTGGCACATGCCTGTAATCCCAGCTACTCGGGAGGCTGAGACAGGAGAAGTGCTTGAACCTGGAAGGCAGAGGTTGCAGTGAGCTAAGATCACGCCACTGCACTCCAGTCTGGGTGACAGAGTCAGACTCCGTCTCAAAAAAAAAAAAAAAAAAAGTTAAAATAAAATGGAAGGAAGCATTGACACATGGTACCACACGGATGAAGCTTAAAAACATCATGCTCAATGAGGAAAGCCGCACACCAAAGGCGAGCCTATATAAATCTATTTACATGAAATGTCCAGAATAGGTAAATCCTTAGAGATGGGAAGCAGATTGGTGATTGTGAGGGGCTGGGGAAAGGGGAGAATGGGAAGTGACTGTTTATGGGTATGAGGTCTCCTTCAGGGGTGATGAAAATATTCTGGAACTGGACAGATGTGATGGTGGCACAACATTGTGAATTTGCTCAATGCCACTGAACTGTACACTTTAAAACAGTCAGGGTTTTTTTTAGACAGAGTCTCGCTCTGTCGCCCAGGCTGGAGTGCAGTGGCGCGATCTTGGCTCACTGCAACCTCCGCCTCCCGGGCTCAACTCAACCTCAGCCTCCTGAGTAGCTAGGACCACAGGCACCTGTCACCATGCCTGGCTAACTTTTTGTACTTTTCTTTTCTTTTTTTTTTTTAGTAGATATGAGGTTTTACCATGTTGGCCAGGCTGGTCTCGAACTCCCGACCTCAAGTGATCCACCTGCCTTGGCCTCCCAAAGTGCTGGGATTACAGGCATCAGCCTCTGGGACCCGCCTAAAACAGTCAATTTTATGGTACATGAATTTCACCCTAATAAAAATAAATAAATAAATAAATAAATAAATAAATAAATAAATAAATAAATGAAAACAGAACAGAAAAGTGGTACCCACTCAGCTAAGTATAGATATAACCACAGGCTTTTAAAAGAGACATAACTGGCTGGGCTCGGTGACTCACACTTGTAATCCCAGCACTTTGGGAGGCCAAGGCAGGCAGATGGCTTGAGTGCAGGAGCTCGAGACCAGCCTGGTCAAAATGGTGAAAGCTCGTCTCTACTAAAAATACAAAAAAATTAGCCAGGCGTGGTGGCAGGAGCCTGTAATCCCAGCTACTTGGAAGGCTGAGGCAGGAGAATCGCTTAAACCCAGGAGGCAGAGGTTGCAGTGAGACAAGATCTCCAGCCTGGGTGACAAAGAAAGAATCCGTCTCAAAAAAAAAAAAAAAAAAAAAAAAAAAAAAAAAAAAGAGACGTAACAAACCACATCACAACTCTGTCCCCTGCTCAGGCCACACACACAGGCTCAAGTCTAGGGAAGAGCTGGACCCTGGAAACTTGCGTAGGGCATAAGATCCCCAGTACCCAATGGGATGGGAGCCAGTATCCCATGCCTGCCATCTTTGTTTGCTTGCTTGTTGAGAGAGTTTCACTCTGTCACCCAGGCTGGAGTGTAGTGGCGCGATCTCAACTTACTGCAACCTCTGCTTCCCAGACTCAAGCGATTCTCCTACCTTAGCCTCCCGAGTTGCTGGGATTACAGGCACCTGCCACCACGCCAGCTAATTTTTGTTTTTTAGTAGAGATGCCATTTCGCCATGTTGGCCAGGCTGCTCTCGAGCTCCTGACCTCAAGCGATCCACCTGTCTCAGCCTCCCAAAGGGTTGGGATTACAGATGTGAGCCACTGTGCCCGGCCCCATGCCTGCCATTGTGAATCACCTCCCATTCTCATAGGTGGTGCCTGAGGAGAGGGTTTTCTGGGCCCTCTCTTGGGGTCACAACACAGGGAGCAGGTGACACACACCTCAGGGAGGTCAGGGTGCGGTTGATCTTCAAAGCGTCTGCCAGCGCCTTGGCCCCTTGTGGTCCAATGGAGTTACCGCGGAGGCTGAAGGAAGAGAGAAAGAGACACCTCCTTCATCTGTCTCCCAGAGAGGGAAGGGGAAACAGAAACTGCATTGACCTTGAAATTCGTGATCCTCTAAGGGAATGTGTAAGGGCTTAGGATCTCATGTTTGGTGGAACCAGGGCAGAGATCCTTATATAAACAAGGAAGGAGTTTCCCCACGACTGTCTCAGGTGTTGGGGGAAAGAAAGCAGCACCTGATGGACTAGTGGGCTTGGGCCAAATGTGGAGATGAGAATGATGGCCCCAGATGCAGGGCAAACATCTGGTGTGTCCCTGGCTGTAGCCCGGCAACTGAGGAGCCATGGTTCAGCCCGGCTGTCCTTCTGCCCCACCAGGAAGGCATGTGCGCTAAGGTGTGGCCTCCCTGTGTCTTATTCCCACAGGAGTCTTAGAACCTGCTCCAAATGAAGTATGGATATTATGTCCAGATGCTACCCAGGGGCTGAATCATGGGAATCAGGGAAGAACAGACAGGTAAGACCCAAGTCATTTCCTAGGAGGGAGGGGACTTCACAAGATGCCTCACAACTCTTCTGGTTCCAATGGCAAAAGTTCGGCCTTGGTTGTCCTTACTTACTCCAGAGAGGTCAGACTTCTGTTGACCAAGAGGGATCTGGCCAGAGCTTTGGCCCCTTTGTTACTGATCTGGTTCTCCGCCAAGCTGCCCAAGGAAAGGGAGAGGAGTGGTTATTTTAGGCATGCACATCTCATGGCCTCTTCCTCAACGCTGTGCCCGTGATTAATCCTCTAGGCTCCCCCACATCATCAGGGTCTGGACATAGGTGGAGATGAGGTGACCCCTGGAGCAGAATGCCAGGCACAGCAGAGCCCCTGAGCCTGGGCAGCGTAGGGCCAGAGTGGGAGGACAGACCCTCATCATGGCAAAGGGTCTCAGGAAAAAGTTTAACCAGAATCCAGCACAACAGCTTCTACACAAACAGCACAGCAAAGAAAATGGAAATCTCGGAAGCCTAACATGCAGATGGCAGCCAGTGGTGTACTGGTAAACTGGCTCCCAGGAAAAACAAAATTTCAAAAACTGGGCTGTGCGTGGTGGCTCATGCCTATACAATCCCAGCACTTTGGGAGGCCAAGGCGGGAGCATCACTTGAAACCAGGCGTTTGAGACTAGCCTGGGAAACATAGGGAGATCTTGTCTCCACGAAAAACATAAAAATTAGTCAGGTGGCGCACCTGTAGTCCAAGCTACTTGGGAGGCTGAGGAGGGAGGATTTAGCCTAGAAGGTTGAGGCTGCAATGAGCCATGATGACATCACTGCGCTCCAGCCTGAGCGACAGAGTGAGACCATGTCTCAAAACAACAACAAAACAAAAAACAAATGCTAGCAAACTGATTTGTAGTATCTGCCACTTTCCATGGTATAAATACTCCCAGCAACACCAAGTTCAAGCACCTCCACCTTGCAAAATTCCTGAAAATTTAACAATCAGCTTTCGTGAACTGGTACAAACAAATTTAGGCACACTACTGATCCTAGCCTCTTTTCTAGTGCAAAATGGCAAATGGTAGAGTTATTTAAAATTAACTTTAAAATTAAAAAAAAACCACACACACACACACACACACACACATCTTGATTTGCCTCAAAAGCATGGTTCTGGGAATATGGTGGTGGATCAACTCAATGTTACTTCATGTATCCAGCTGCAGAAATAGTAGCTGTCCAGGCTCTTTGCCGTTTGTAGGCATTCAGCCCCATGGGATATAGTAGTTCAATTAGAATCCCCAGGCTGGTGCTCTTCTTTTTCTTTTTTCAGACAGGATCTCATTCTGTCACCCAGGCTGGAGTGCAGTGGCATGATCATGGCTCACTGTAACTCGAACTCTCGAGCTCAAGAATCCTCCCACTTCAGCCTCCCAAGTAACTGGGACCAGAGGTGCACGCCACCACACCTGGCTAGTTTTTTAATTTTTTGCAGAGACAGGGTTTTACTTTGTTGCCGAGGCTGGTCTCAAACTCCTGGGCTCAAACGATCCTCCTGCCTTGGCCTCCCAAAGTGCTGGAATTACAGGCATGAGCCACCGTGCCCAGCCTGGTACTTTTCAAGCTATATTGAAGCAAACTGTTCACTGGAATAAAGTCTCTTTTCTCTAAATTCCTTTTCAGAGAACTTCAATTCACAGCATTCGTCCAGGCCACCTCTGTATAAATGTTCTCAAATTCTAGAGTGCTTCCATCCCTCTGGGACTTTTATGGCATTTTATAAGTTGTATTTAACTTCTAGGTGAAATAGGGATGTGGCACTGAGGATCAACTACAGAGAGAGGTAAAGAAGAGCATGTGGCCAGAGAAGAGATTTTTGGCTTCATTCAGAATAATTTACTTTTATTTTTATTTTTAGTAAAGATGGCATCTTGCCATATGTTTGCCAGGTTGGTCTTGAACTCCTGGCCTTAAAGAATCTCCCCACCTTCCAGATTGCTAGGATTATAGGAAGGAGCCACTGTGCCTGGCCCCCGAATAATTTCTGAGCACTACCTAGTCTGCTTTAAGCAAAACTAAAAGTTGGCTATTTTGTCATGTGCTAAAAATGCAGGAGGCGCTCACAGAGGAAAAAATATTAATAATGAGAATTGTCATTCTTTTACTTTTCTTTTTTTTTTTCTTTTTTTTTTTTTGAGACGGGGTCTTGCTCTGTCACCTCGGCTGGAGTGCAGTGGCGCAATCTTGGCTCACTGCAACTTCTGCCTCCCAGACTCAAGCAGTTCTCCTGCTTCAGCCTCCTGAGTAGCAGGGATTACACACACCCACCACCACCACGACTGGCTAATTTTTGTATTTTTTAGTAGAGACAGGGTTTTGCCAGTTTGACCAGGCTGGTCTCGAACTCCTGACCTCAAGTGATTCACGGGCCTCAGTCTCCCAAAGTGCTGGGATTAAAGGCATGAGCCACCGCCCCTGGCCTAGATATCCTTTTAAGCCCATTTTTACCCTCTTAAGGCACAGAAATGACTTCTTCAAACTCACACAGAGCCTACACCTCTAAACATACTCCCCAGTGCCTTATTTTTGTTACTGAATTAGTGTAAATTGCCATTAACTCAGATAAAGATTACTTCAGAACCCAGAGGCTTGTATGAGAATGAAGAATTACCCCTGGCCACAGTGGCTCACACCTGTAATCCCAGCACTTTGGGAGGCTGAGGCGGATGGATCACCTGAGGTCAGGAGTTTGAGACCAGCCTGGCCAATAAAGTAATATAGTGAAACCCTGTATCGACTAAAAATACAAAAATTAGCTGGGTGTGGTGGCATGCGCCTGTAGTCCCAGCTACTCAGGAGGCTGAGGCAGGAGAATTGCTTGAACCCGGGAGGCGGAGTCTGCAGTGAGCCAAGATCGTGCCACTGCACTCCAGCCTGCCCAACACAGGGAGACTCCGTCTCAAAACAAAAAAAAAAACAAAATTAGCCCTTGGGTTCTCTTCTCCAAACTCACCTCCCTAGGTCTGCAACAGCCACCCTCAGAGGATCAGTCACATCGATTCAACCACAAACCCCGAGTGTGTGTAGTTTCTCAGATCCAGGAATGTTATTCCAGGAGACGTTTCATAAGCACACATTCACCATGTGAACTTTTGTCTAATTACAAGATGAAGGTTTTTTTGTTTGTTTTGTTCTTTTTTGAGACGGAGTCTCACTCTGTCACCCAGACTGGAGTGCAGTGGCGCTGGAGTGCAGTGGTGCGATCTCGGCTCACTGCAACCTCTGCCTCCTGGGTTCACGCCATTCTCCTGCCTCAGCCTCCTGAGTAGCTGGGACTACAGGCGCCCACCACCACGCCCGGCTAATTTTTTGTATTTTTAGTAGAGACAGGGTTTCACCGTGTTAGTCAGGATGGTCTCGATTTCCTGACCTCGTGATCCACCTGCTTCGGCCTCCCAAAGTGCTGGGATTACAGGGGTGAGCCACCACACCCGGCCACAAGATGCAATTTTAATTAAAAATTGTTTAAATTGATTTAAAATTAAATTTGAAATTAAATTTTAATTAAATTAAATTTGAAATTTAAAATTTTAATTAAAAATGCAATTGGCTGGGTGCAGTAGCTCACGCCAGTAATCCCAGCACTTTGGGAGGCCAAGGCTGGCGGATCACAAGGTCAGGAGTTCGAGGCCAGCCTGGTTAACATGGTGAAACCCTGTCTCTACTAAAAATACAAAAATTAGCCAGGTGTGGTGGGCCCCTCTAATCCCAGCTACTCAGGAGGCTGGGGTTAGAGAACTGCTTGAGCCTGGGAGGCAGAGATTACAATGAGCCGAGATCATGCCACTACACTCCAGCTGGGGTGACAAAGCAAGACTGTCTGGGGGGGATAATTATAATCCTGTGCCTAGAATGCTGTTGGACAGCAAACTTGGAGAGGTGCTTAGAGAACATTGTGCCTGGCATTATGTCAGCACACGTAGTGCTGTGGAAACACCTGCCTGTGCACAGCGGTGTCTAGTCCCGCCAGGTCACCTCCCTCTTCCTACTGATGAGGCACCTGAGCCTCTAGCACTTTCTGGAATTGGGCAGAAACAAGCAGGCTGCATCTGGAGCCACATGCTCCAAAGACACTTCTCCGTGGCAGCGCCGCTGGCCAGCTGAGCAGAGGATGATGGGAAGAGGGTTCCATACCCCACAAGACCATAGGCACCCTGGAGGTCCCCTGGGTCTGTGTTACCTGATCTTCTGAATGCGACAGTCCTTCCCACTCAGCACGCTGCCCAGCAGCTCCATCACGGGGTCCTGGAACTGGTTGGTGTCCAGCCTGGCCAAGGGGAGCAGTGACAGTGAGTGTCCCACCCGCCCACGGGCAGGGTGGGGGCCCTGGCCCGGGGCCTCTGCCTCTCTCCATCCCATGCAGCGCTATCACCGCAGCTCTGAGATCTGCGCTCAGCCCCAGTGCTCAGACCTTTCCCGTGAGAGTGAACAGGAGGCTGGGTGCCCACGAGACCTGCGGTTCCTGTGCAGAACGGCATCTTCCACGGGCTGTCGTCCTCACCACCCCACATACCGCCTGCCTCTGCGGGACACCTGGATGACCCTCAGCCTGTGTCCTTTCCTCCCTACTCACTAAGGTCCAGAGTGGCGGGCAGGGGACAGGCTGAAAGCATTCAGCGGGTGTGCAGCTTCTATCAGACTGGATGGTTCTGAGGGGGTTATGAATTGAATTGTGTCCCCACAAAAGATATGAAGTCCTAACCCCCTGTGCCCCAAGTATGTGGCTTTATTGAGAAATGGGGTCACTGTGGATGTACTTTGTTAAGGTGGGGCCATGCTGAAGTGGGGTGAGCCTGTAATCCAGTGTGACAGTGTCTTTTTAAGACAAGAAAGCACTGGCCAGGTGCAGTGGCTCAGGCCTGTAATCCCAGCAATTTGGGAGGCTGGGGTGGGCGGGTCACCTGAGGTCAGGAGTTTGAGAGCAGCCTGGCCAACATGGTGAAACCCCGTCTCTACTAAAAACACAAAAATTAGCCAGGCATGATGGCGGGCACCTGTAATCCCAGCTACTAGGGAGGCTGAGGCAGGAGAATCGCTTGAACCCAGGAGGCAGCGTTTGCAGTGAGCTGAGATCGCGCCACTGTATTCCAGCCTGGGCGACAGAGCAAGACTCCATCTCAAAAAAAAAGAGAGGACAGCACCATGTGGAGACAGACACAGGGAGAAGATGACCAGGCGACGGGAGAGACTGAAGTAACGCAGCCTTAAGCCAAGGGTTCCCATCAAACACTGGAAGCTAGAGAGGAAGGAAAGAACCTCTCCTATATGTTTCAGAGAGCGCATGGCCCTCCTGGCACCTTGATTTGAGACTTCTGGCCTCCAGAACTGCGAGAAAACACACTTTAGTTGTTTTAAGCCACCAAGTTCATGGTCCTCTGTTACGGCAGCCCTAGGAGACTGACAGAGAAGCTTGGTGGTGGGGAGGGGACGGCTTCTGCTCTCTCCTCTGCCCCTTCCCCAGCCCCTGCCCCCTGCCCTGGTATCCACCTGAGCTTCCGGCAGTAGAGCAGCTGGGGCAGCAGGCTCTGAAGGACGCCCTGGCTGAGGCTCAGGGACAGGTTGGCCTCCTGGGCACAGGCGTCGGACACCTGCAGGAGGTAGGCCAGGGCAGCGCGGTGCGCGGGACCAGTCAGCCTGGCCAGGGCCCCGCTCTCCATGGCCTCCTCCACGCTGCGGGCCAGCTCGGTGTGCTGCAGCTCATGCAGGCAGTGCAACACGTTGATGGCCCGTGCACAGACTGCGGCATCGGGGCGCAGGCAGCCCTGCAGGAGCTCAGCCACCTGGGTCCGGTAGGCCTGGTGCTCGCCTTGGGCCAGCAGGGAGCCGGCCAGGAGGGCATTGACCCTCGGAGACAAGAGGCCGGAGAGGAAGCGCAGGAACACGTCCAGCCTCCCGTCCTCTGCCTGCATGGCCCGCTGGGCTGCGCTCCTGAAATGCGTGAGGAAGCCCAGCCTGGGCCAGGATACGCCGCTCTCAGTGAAGAGGTCGAAGATGGCCCTCCTGGATGCGCCATAGTAATACGCGGCTGCCACAAACTCCTGCAGGGACAGGTGGGTGAAGCAGTAGGCCACTGACGATGCCAACGTCTCCTCTCTCTGCAGGAAGCAGCTGCACGGGGCGCCCTGCAGCAGAGCGAGGTCTACACCAAACGCCTTCATGTCTTGCTCGTAAAACACGTATTTCTTCTTGAGCAGCCCATGGAAGGCCAGACGGCCCAATGTCCCCACCATCTTGCGGCCACCATGGGCCACCTGCTCGATGCGAGGGCTTGCCTTGCCCTTCTCCTGCCCCTCCCCGCTGAGGGCCATCCTAAAGTACCATGAGTAGAGCTCGCACAGGGTCCTCGGGGGCCACAGCTCTGCATCCTGGGGCCCCGTCCTGCTGCGCCACAGGTGGCCTAGCGCCATCCCCGTGAGCCTGCAGAAGGCTGGGACGGTGCACATCAGGTACAGGGCCCTGTCAGCCTGCACTTGGCTCAGCATCCAGCCCAGAAGGGCCTGGTCCTCGGGGAACATCTGCTCCAAACACACCTTGATCTCCTCCTCGTTAAAGCCCCGGATCTCCGTCATCCGGTCCACCAGGCCCCCTGGGATCTGGCCAGATGCACTGGGACGGGAGGTGATCCAGATGGAAACTTCCGGAAAGAGGTTGCCACGGATGATGTTGGTGATCAGGTGGTCCACCGGGATCTCCTTCTTTGGGTCCGTGCAGGCCACGGTGTTGGAGAAGTCCAGAGGCGTCCTGCACTCATCCAAGCCGTCCAGGATCAGGAGGGCCCTGGCTGGGACTGCCACCGCCAGGCTGGGCTCCCCGACGTGCGGGAAGACCGAGCAGATGAGTCGGTCGGCACACAGCTTCTCGTGGGTGTTGAGATCCCGGAAGGTCAGAGGCAGCACCAGCGAGAAGTCCTTGCCGACCTGCCCATGGGCCCAGAGGCGGACGAAGTGCCTCACCAGGGTGGTCTTGCCCATGCCGGCCACCCCGATAGTGATGGAGACCCGGGGTGGGACAGACACCCGGGAGAGAGGCAGGAAGAGCCGGTCCAGGGCGACGGTCCTGGCGGGGTGCCCGCCCCCGCGGGTGGCCTCCACCTGTGTGAAGTCGTGTTCCCTCAGCTGCAGGTCCGTCAGGCCCTCCACCAGCAGGAGGGAGGCCAGCCTGTGCCAGGGTCCGCCCAGCTCCGGGCCACCTCCCACCTTGCTCAGCAGGGCCTTGCGGTGCCTCTGTATCCTTGAGTCTGCGGGACAGAGGCCAGTGGGGAGGTCTGGTAAGGGAAGAGTGGGCACAATCAGCCCAGGTGTTCCCCACCCCGCGTCTGCCTCCCAAGCCGGTCCTACCATTGCTGCAGGGCCCCAGCGGGGCATCCGGTGTCCTATCCAGGGCCTGCGGGGCCTGGGAGCCTTGACTGCCCTTCCCAGCCAGCAGATCCATGAGGGCTTTCACCTGCTCGGCTGGGGAGCCCGTACCGTGGCCCTGGCCGGCCTCCCTGCCCGTCCGCACCTCTTGCTTCCTCATGGAGTCGGGGATCACCTCCAGGAGCTGTGAAGAGAGGGCCTGAACCTGCTGCCTGCCGTGCCCCCCATCCAGCAGCCTGGGACAGGTGAGCAAGTCCCCAGGAACGGGGTCAGGGATCCCCTCTTCCTCTTTCCTCAGCCTTTGGGTGGCCCACTGGCCTGGCCTCTGAGAATGGACTGGAAGGGCCATTTGTTCCTGGGTGGTAGCAATGATCACACGAATGCAGGGGCCCAGTGGATGATAACTGGGGCCCTGAGCTTGTACCCCGGCCCTGCCACTTACCAGATAGGTGACTGAGGGCAGGCTGAGTCACCTCTCTGCGCCTTGGTGTCTTCATTTGTGACCTGGAAATGATGATGAGGTTACAAGTAAGTTTGCTCAAAAGGAGGGAGGAATGAAAGAAGGTACTCTGTTGGAACATGTGGGAAAAAGCAAAAAAAAAAAAAAAAAAAAAAAAAAAAGGCAGCAGCAGCCACTCTGGGGACGCTACACTGTGTGATTCTGACTAACATTCTGGAAAAGGCAAAAGTATGGAGACAGGAAGACAGTGAAAGAAAGGGTCAGTGGGGGCCAAGGGTTGGGGAGGAGGGGTGAATCGGTGGAACACAGACAATTCCTAGGGCAGTAACATGACTCTGTAGGGTACTACAGTGGTGGGTCCATGTCATTATCATTATACATTTGTCCAGACCCACAGAACGTACAACTCCAAGAGTGAGCCCATGGCTGGGCACAGTGACTCACACCTTTAATCCCAACACTTTGGGAGCCTGAGGTGATGGATCGCTTGAGCCCAGGAGTTTGAGACCAGCTTGGGCAACATAGTGAGAACCCATCTCTAAAATTTTTTAAAAATTAGCCTGGTATGGGGTGTGTGCCAGTAGTCCCAGCTACTTGGGAGGCCAAGGCAGCAGGATCGCTTGAGCCCAGGAGGTCAAAGCTGCAGTGAGCCATGATCACACCACGGCACTCCAGCCTGGGTGACAGAGCAAGACCCCATCTCTAAGAAAAACAAAATAAAACAAAAAACTTAACTCTTCTTGCTCCTGAGTTAGAGCAAAAAGCAAAAAAAAAAAAAAAAAAAAAAAAAAAGAATGAGCCAGAGTATACACTATGGACATTGGGTGATGGCGACATGTCCGTGTAGGTTTACTGATTATAATCAATGGACCACTGTGGCAGGGGACGGTGATAGTGACAGAGTCTGGGTGGGGGCAGGCATGGGGTGTATGGGAAGTCTCTGTACTTTCCCATCAATTTTTCTGTAAACCTGGCCAGACGCGGTGGCTCATGTCTGTAAGCCCAGCACTTTGGGAGGTCGAGGCGGGCAGATCACTTGAGGTCAGGAATTTGAGACCAGCCTGGCCGATATGGTGAGACCCTGTCTCTACTGAAAATACAAAAATTAGCCGGGGAGGGTGGCTCGCGCCTGTAATCCCAGCACTTTGGGAGGACGAAGTGGGCAGATCACCTGAGGTCAGGAGTTCAAGACCAGCCTGACCAACATGGAGAAACCCCATCTCTATTAAATATACAAAATTAGCCAAGTGTGGCAGCACATGCCTGTAATCCCAGCTACTCAGGAGGCTGAGGCAGGAGAATCACTTGAACCCGGGAGGCAGAGGTTGCAGTAAGCTGAGATCATGCCATTGCACTGTAGCCTGGGCAACAAGAACGAAACTCCGTATAAAAAAAAAAAAAAAAATTAGCCAGGCGTGGTGGCTGGTGCCTGTAATCCCAGCTACTCAGGAGGCTGAGGCAGGACAATCACTTGAACCTGGAAGGTAGAGGCTGCAATGAGCTGAGATTGCGCCACTGCACTCCAGTCGGAGGGGAAGAGCGAGACTCCGTAAGCCTAAAATTGCTTTACAAGGAAAAGCTTATTAATTAAAAAAAGGAAATAAAAGATAGAAGAAGGAGGAGTCAAAAAGGAGAAAACGCTGGTTCTCAGAGCGGCTGTTTTTCTTACTATGTTCCTGGGGTCTCCTGGGAGTGCAGGAGCTCCTGGGCTCCCAGCAGTGCTGTTTGCCCTCTGCTCGTGGGGATTGTGATGCAGAGATGCTGAGAGGCAAAGCCAAGGCCCCCCACTCCCATTTGCCTCCTTGTTGCCAAGGCTGGTTGTCCCCCCGCCCCCACAGCCCTCCCACACCCAAGCTGTACACTAAGGCCGGGAACTCGCCCCCACCCACCCTGCTCGCCTCCTCACCGTGCACCCTGGCCACAGCAGCCCCTCCAGTGGGGCCCCAGGAACTCAATGGATGGGGCTCAGCCTTCCGTTGTCCACAGTTCTAGGAGAAAAAACACAATGTGGCCAGCAGAGGTGATGGCTCACTGCTGCTGATGGCAGCCCTGCATTCAAAAATAACACCAGGTGTTGTCACTGCATAGAGAAGCAGGTTGGACCCCACCTGTCCACAGGGCATTTCCCTGGTTCTCAATGTTTAGCTTGCTGTTAGGCTGGGCGGTGTGGCTCACGCCTGTAATCCCAGCATTTTGGGAGGCTGAGGCAGGCGGATCACCTGAGGTTAGGAGTTCAAGACCAGCCTGGCCAACATGGTGCAACCCCATCTCTACTAATAATACAAATGAGCTGGGCATGGTGGTGGGCGCCTGTAATCCCAGGTACTCGAGAGGCTGAGGCAGGAGAATTGCTTGACCCTGGAAGGCAGAGGTTGCAGTGAGCTGAGATCACGCCACTGCACTCCAGCCTGGGCAACAGAGCGAGACTCCATCTCAAAAAAAAAAAAAAAAAAAAAAGCTTGCTGTCTGCAGCCCTGGGATTCAGCAGGCTCCCTGGCCTTGGATTAGCAGTGGGGAGCCTAGCTTTTTCTTTCTTTCTTTTTTTTTTGAGACGGAGTCTGCTGTGTTGCCCAGGCTGGAGTGCAATGGCGTGATCTCAGCTCACTGAAACTTCTGCCTCCCAGGTTCAAGCAATTCTCCTGCCTCAGCCTCCCAAGTATCTGGGATTACAGGCACATGCCACCACACCTGGCTAATTTTTGTAATTTTAGTAGAAGCAGGGTTTCACCTTGCTCACCGGGCTGGTCTTGAACTCTTGACCTTGTGATCTGCCCACCTCAGCCGAGCCTAGCATTTTAACACAGGTGATGCTTTTTATCTGGAAAATGATAAAAGAAGCTTAGCAATAAGTAAATAGTAAAGTAAAAATAAGTAAAACAGTAAAGTAAAAATAAGTAAAATACCATTTTTCAGGCATTCAGGTCATGGTGTTGAAGAAGTAAGGAGTGCGATCAATTTGAGGTTGCTGGCACCCAGGCCAGCTGAACTAACCTGGAACATTAGGAACAGGCCAGGGCAAGGCCAGTCTCCTTATGCTGCCCCAAAGCCTGTTCTTTTATTCTTCTAAATGTCAAAACCAAGAGGGATAAAAAATATGGGATTTTGGGCTAGGCACAGTGGCTCATGCTTGTCATTCCAGCACTTTGGGAGGCTGAGGTAGGAGGATCACTTGAGCCCAGGAGTTTGAGACCAGCCTGGGCAAAGTAGTGAGACCGTAGCTCTACAAAATAAAAATTAAAAATTAGCCAGGCATGGTGGTTCACGCCTGTAGTCCCAGCTACTCAGTAGGCTGAGGTGAGAGGACTGCTTGAGCCTGGGAGGTTGAGGCTGCAATGAGCAGAGATTGCACCATTGCACTCCAGCCTGGGCAACAGAGTGAGACCCTGTCTTAGGAGAAAAAAAAAGATGGGATTTGAATTGACATTGCCTCATGTGTATGGGTCCATGTGGGTAATTTGAGGTCCTTCTTTAGATCCTTCTGTAAAACTTTATATTTTTTCTCATCTCGGTCTTGCCAGTTCCTTATTTGTATCTAGGTATTTTTAAAAACAGTTTTTGTCGTATGATGAATATTGTTGGTATAAAAGATGATTGATTTTTATTTTATTGCATGTCTCATCAACATATTAAATATTCACATTGGTTTTCATCATTTTCCAGTTAATTTTCTTCAGGTTTTCAAATTACTTCAGCAAGGCTGGGCGTGGTGGCTCACACCTATAATCCCAGCACTTTGGGAGGCCAAGGTGGGCAGATCACTTGAGGTCAGGAGTTCGAGACCAGCCTGGCCAACATGGCGGAACCCCATCTCTACTAAAAATACAAAAGTTAGCTGGGTGTGATGGCGTGTGCCTGTAATCCCAGCTATTGGGGACACTGAGGTTGGAGAATCGCTTGAACCCGAGAGGAGGAGGTTGCAGTGAGGCGAAAACGCACCACTGCACTCCAGCCGGGGTGACAGAGAGAGACACCATCTCAAAAAAAAAAAAAAATTCTTCAGCAAGAAGAATTTTTATCTCTTTATTTCTGAAAACCATATATATATATATATATATATATTATTTTTTTTTTTTTTTTTTTTTTTTGAGGTGGAGTCTCGCACTGTCACCCAGGCTGGAGTGCAGTGGCACGATCTCACTGTAGCCTCTACCTCCCATGTTCAAGTGATTCTCCTGCCTTAGCCTCCCCAGTAGCTGGGATTACAGGCACGCACCACCATGCCTGGCTAATTTTTGTATTTTAGTAGAGATGGGGTTTCACCATGTTGACCAGACTGGTCTTGAACTCCTGACCTCAAGTGATCCACCCGTTTTGGCCTCCCAAAGTGCTCGGATTGTAGGTGTGAGCCACCGTGCCCAGCCCAAAAACTATAACTCTTATTTTGAACAATTTTACCACATTGGCCAGGCCTACCCCTTCCTTGGAGCAATAAGGTTGTTGCAGGCCTTCTTGTTTTACTCTAGACTAGACCAGGAGTGGTTCTTGCCCAAACTGTTAGGTGTGATGTTTGTGACAGATTTCTAGTTTTCTTCTCCGATAGAGAAAGATTTATTTTGTTCTATTACCATTCAAATACTATTATGTAATATTTACTGAAGGCATACTGTGTTCTGCATATTCTGTTAAGCACTGTATTTCCATAATTTATTTCTCATAACTCTCAATACCATTATTTCTCCCATTTTACAGATGAAGACACTGAGGCTCAGAGAGGTTAAGTGACTTGTCCAAGGATACACAGCTGGGAAGTGGGAGTTGGGATAGAAATCAATTCCTCACTGACACCAGTGCGTGTGCTGTATAATCTACTGCCTCTTAAGGTAGTTTACACTTTTTTTTTTTGAGACAGAGTCTCAACTCCTGACCTCAAGTGATCCACCCACCTCAGCCTCCCAAAGTGCTGAGATTACAGGTGTGAGCTGCCGTGCCTGGGCAAAATTTTTTAAGATAAGGAATATCTGTTAAATTAGCAAATTACTTTTTAGCATATATTGATATAAACATATGATTTATTTCTCTTCATTTATTCAACCAGCAAATATTTATGGAGAGCCTGTTGTATGTTCTAGGCCCTGGGGATGTGAAGGTGACCAAGTTAGATCAAGTCCTTGACCTGCGGTTTGACGGGTAAGGGATAATGGCAATGGAAAGGAAAACAAGTCAATAAGCAAGGCAGTTTCTGCTGGTGGTTAGTGCTGTGAGTGGAATAAACTGTGAGTGACAAAGAAGCCTGGAATTCTAGGGGGAGGAGGAGCAGAGGTGGTAATTGGCGGCTGGGGAAGGCTGCTGTGAGAGGCCTCTGAGAAAAAGCTACCTAGGAGTAGAGAGGGTGAGAAAGAGTCATGCAGAGAGCTAGGGGAGGGACATTTCAGGCCAAGGAAACAGCAAGTGCTTAGAGGAAATGTTGCTGGAACATGGTAAGTGAGCAAGTGGCACCACCCCCTCAGGGCTGGAAAAGCCAGTCACCGTTGTTGTAAGGAGTTTGGATTTGTTCTAAGTATGGAGGGGAGCCACTGGGGGGAGTGACATGAGCAATGGATATCAGATCTCTCCTGGAATCCATGAGCTACACTAAATGATTTTCTGATATTGAACCAACCTTGCATTCTAGAATACAGTCTTCCATTTGTATTATTAAATAGAAGATGTATATATTCCATATATGTAAAAAATGTGTGGGCTAGCACAAGAATAGATACATAAGTCAACAGAATAGGATATAGAGGCCAGGAACAAATATATATTTATAATATCTACACATTAAGGAGTTTGGTAACATGACAAAAATAGCATTTCAAATCAGTGAAAATGGCATTGGGGCAATTGACCAGCCTATGAAAAATATTTTCCAGCTGTAATTCACATTAAACACAAAATTTATTTTCAGGTCAATTAAGGAGTTAAAAGTTGTAAACACAAAACCATAAAAGCACAATAAGAAAATATGAGATAATATTTTAAAATATTATTTAGGTAAAGGTTTTTTACAGTGAGACGTAAAACTCAGAAGTGTCAGCCTGGGCAACATAGTGACACACCATCTCTACAAAAAAAAAAAAATAGATGGGGCTGGTGGTGGGCACCTGTGGAACTAGCTATGGGGAGGCTGAGGTAGGAGGACCCCTTGAGCTCAGGAGGCTGAGGCTGCAGTGAGCTATGATTGTGCCACTGCAATCCAGCTTGGGTGACAGAGCAAGACCCTGGCTTTAAAAAAAAAAAAAAAAAGCAGAATTCATGAAGAGGGAGACTAGTAAATTTGTCTTAATTGAATTAAAATATTAAATAATTAAATATTTAGTTTGATATTAAATAATTAAAATATTTGCCAGGCGTGGTGGCTCACGCCTGTA
Source organism: Homo sapiens (assembly GCF_000001405.40). Taxonomy (NCBI): domain Eukaryota; kingdom Metazoa; phylum Chordata; class Mammalia; order Primates; family Hominidae; genus Homo; species Homo sapiens. The sequence continues at coordinate 3,571,687 of NC_000016.10, forward strand.
ATCCCAGCACTTTGGGAGGCTGAGGCGGGTGGATCACAAGGTCAAGAGATCAAGACCAGCCTGGCCAACATGGTGAAACCCCATCTCTACTAAAAATACAAAAATTAGCTGGGCGTGGTGGCACGTGCCTGTAGTCCCGGCTACTCGGGAGGCTGAGGCAGGAGAATCGCTTGAACCCGGGAGGCAGAGGTTGCAGTGAGCCAAGATGGCGCCACTGCACTCCAGCCTGGGTGACAGAGCGAGACTCCATCTCAAAAAATAATAATAATAATTAAAATATTTATAAGTAATAATAGATGCCATAAAGTTGAAAGAAAAACTATAAGCCAGGAGTCAACATTTGCAACATACATGGAAAAATATGAATATCCTTAATATATAAAGAACTTATAAATCAATAATAAGTAACCAAACAGAATTATGAACCCCAAATGAAATAGAAAAAAGGACACAGATAATTCATAGAAGTATAAATGACCAAGATATTGAAAAGATGCTCAGTGTCACTAAGGATCAAGAAAAAAGCAAAAGAATAAACTATCATTTTTCATACGTCTCATTGGTGAATATTATAACATAACAGACTGCATTGGTGAGAACATGGAGGTAGTGGGAAATTTTTTTTTTTTTTGAGACAGGATCTCACTGTGTCACCCAGGCTGGAGTGCAGTGGCATGATCAGGGTTCACTGCAGCCTCAACTTCCCTGGGCTCAAGTGATCCTCCAAAGTAGCTGGGACTACAGGCGCATGCTACCACATCCAGCTAATTTTTGTATTTTTTGTAGAGACAGGGTCTTGCCATGTTGCCTAGGCTGGTCTCCAACTTCTGGGGTCAAGCAATCTTCCCACCTTGGCCTCCCAAAGTGCTGGAATTATTGGCATGAGCCACTGTGCCAGGCCTGTAGTGGGAATCTTAATTCATAGTGGGTGGAAGTATAAATTAGTATAACAATTCTGGATTATAATAACCATTATCTGTTGTCATTAAATATCTTTTGTCCTAGAAATTCCACTTCTGGGAATTTATCCTAAAGAAATATGTGGGCCAGGCGCGGTGACTCACACCTGTAATCCTAGCACTTTGGGAGGCCAAGGCAGGCAGATCATCTGAGGTCAGGGGTTCGAGACCAGTCTGGCCAACATGGTGAAACCCCGTCTCTACTAAAAATACAAAAATTAGCTGGGCATGGTGGTGGGTGACCGTAATCCCAGCTACTCAGGAGGCTGAGGCAGGGAATTGCTTGAACCCAGGAGGTGGAGGTTGCAGTGAGCCGAGATGGTGCCACTGCACTCTAGCCTGGGCGATAGAGCAAGACTCTATCTCAAAAAAAAAAAAAAAAAAAAATCAAATATCTAGGAATAAATCTAGCAAAATTTGCAAGACCTCTATACTGAAAACTATAAAACATTACTGAGAGAAATTAAAAAACATCAAAAGGAGGGATGGAGGCTGGGCACCATGGCTCACCCCTGTAATCCCAGCACTTTAGGAGGCCAAGGTGGGTGGATTGCTTGAGCCCGGGAGTTTGAGACCAGCCTGAGCAACATGGGCAAAACCCTGTCTCTATAAAAAGTACAAAAAAAAAAAAATTAGCTGAGCACGGTGGCGCATGCCTGTAATCCCAGCTACTCAAGGAAGCTGAGGTGGGAGGATCGCTTAACTCCCGCCGTCAAGGCTGCAGTTAGCTGAGATCTCACTACTCCACTCCAGCCTGAGTGATAGAGCAAGACCCTGTCTCACACACACACACAAAAGCTAGCAATTATCTAAACATTCAAAGGTATGTCAGCCCAAATGAAGCAGTGCTACTGTCTGCCTGATATGCCAGAGGCCAGGATACGGGGTCCTCTGTCCTTCACTGTGTGACATTAGGGTGTGGCCCAGGTGGACACAGCCTCCTGTTGTTGGATGTCCATGTGCACCCACCAGGTGACCAGCCCTGCTGCTGGGGGCGGGAGTGGCCAGGAGGATGAGAGGACTGCGTGGAAGAAGTCTCAGCTCTGGTAGGGCATCATTTGGGGTCTTATTGATTGATTGATTTAAAATTTTGGTAAAATACACATAACACAAAATTTACCATTTTAACCATTTTAAAAATAATTTTCCTTAAAAAATAGAGGCAGGGTCTTGCTTTGTCGCTAAAAAATAAAGACAGGGTCCTGCTTTGTTGCCCAGGCTGGAGTGCAGTGGTACGATCTTGGCTCACTGCAGCCTCGACCTCCTGGGCTCAAGTGATTCTCCCACCTCAGCCTCCCAAGTAGCTGGGATTACAGGTACAGGTGAGGACCACCATGCTTGGCCCATTGTAACCATTTTATCTTTTTTTTTTTTTTTTTTTTTTTTTTTTTTTTTGAGATAGAGTCTCACTCTGTTGCCTAGGCTGGAGTGTCGTGGCACTATCTCGTCTCACTGCAACCTCTGCCTCCTGGGTTCAAGTGATTCTCCCGCCTCAGGGTCCTCAGTAACTGGGATTATAGGCACCCACCATCAATACCATTTGTATTTTTGTAGAGACAGGGTTTCACCATGTTGGCCAGGCTGGTCTTGAACTCCTGACCTCCAAAAGTGCTGGGATTACAGGTGTGAACCACTGCGCCCGGCCTTGTGGAGCACGGCTTTTAAATAACCAACGCTCGGCCTGACCACCCAGAGATTTGATTGGTCTGGCAAGGGCCCCCACGTGGATCTAGTTTAAGCTCCTCCGGTGGTTCTAACCAGAGTTGAGAACCACGGGACCCGAGCGGGGCTGGGAGAGGAATGAGGGAGGGACAGTGCTGGCAGGAGTGAGGGGTTGGGGCGAGGCAGGACTCACAAGCGCCTGGGAAGGCGGGGACGGGGTGTAGGGGGCTGGCAAGCACCCCTGCCTCTGTGGCCTCATTAGTCTCTCAGTATTGGGAGTCAGCACTCCCTCCTGATCAGACACCCATCTTTGTGGCCCCATGACCTTGGGTCCAGGGTTGCCAGATTCAGCAAATTAAAATACAAGACAAACCTGGGCACAGTGGCTCATGCCTGTAATCCTAGCACTTTGGGAGGCTGAGGTGGGCAGATCACCTTGAGGTCAGGAGTTCAAGACCAGCCTGACCAACATGGCGAAACCCCATCTCTACGAAAAATACAAACATTAGCTGGGCGTGGTGGTGGATGTCTGTAGTCCCAGCTACTCTGGAGGCTGAGGCAGGAGAATCGCCTGAACTCAGGAGGTGGAGGCTGCAGTGAGCCAAGATCACGCCACTGCACTCCAGCCTGGGTGACAGAGCGAGACTGTCTCAAAAAATAATGATAAAATATGAGATATCCACAGATAATTAAATTTCAGATAAACGACATATAATTTTTAGTATAAGCATAGCTTATGTCATACTGGAGACATACCAAAGAAATGGATTATTTGAAATTCACATTTGACCAAGTGTCCTGTATCTGATCTGGCATCCCTGCTCAGGCCCCATTCAGACGAAACGTGGCTTTCATCCTGGACACTGTCCCTAAGAAGGACAGAGGAGGGGGTGCAGGTGAACCAACCCCCCTGCCATTGCCAGCACCTCCCAGGACCAGCCCCAAAGGCTGATGGGGGCTGGTTACCTGGCTGCCACCGCTGCCAGGCCCTGCACGCAGCCCTAACATCCCCCTGGCAGGCTGGAGCCTTCCACAGACCTCTCAGCCGAGTGAGGTCGCGAGGCCGCAGACGCCACTATGGATGGTCAGGCGGCCCCTGTGAGCGCAGCTGAAAGACAGAGAGACTGAGGACAGGTGGGACTCGGGTTGCTTTGGGGGATCTGAAGGCCAGAGGTCGCTCCACAGCTGGTTTGAGCTGCTGCGAGCAGGGCGAGGCCAGAGGGACGAGTAGGTGCCACTGCTGCCTCCTCCCCGGGAGCCTCCCAGGTAGCACCAGGTTTCACCCCTAGAGCTTTGTCTGTGAGCGAAGGTGAACCTGAGGCCTTCCTGGTGTGGTGTGGGCTCAAGCCCAGTTCCTCAGGCTCAGCAAGTGGCCTGCTGCCTCATTCCTGAGAAGCCTCAGTCCCGACGGACTAGCCGCCTCTGCCCATCACCCGCCCACCTGATCTGTGCCTCAGTCCTTGCCGGGACCTGCTGGGTCCTTCCCTGCCACTTGGCGCCCGGGTGGGACTTCCCAGTGCTGGCTGCCTACCTGGGCTGCCAGTATCTCCCACCACGGCTGCTTGGATGCTCCTCTCTTCCCACATCCTGCCCCTGCCCCCTCCCAGGGCCTTGGAATTCAGGACTCGGTTCTCTCGAGGTGGCCCCAGCATCATCACTTGAGCTCAAAAGCCTTCCCGAAGGAAGAAGGAAGTGGCACCTGCACCTCAGGGCCCTACCCTGCTCACTGCATGGACCCCTGGAGTCCAAGGGGTGGAGAGGCCCAGCCCTGGGGAGCCCAGCACCCTGGGACAGAAGAAGAGGGGTGCAGCCTGCAGCCTGTGATGGCCAACAGTGAGCCCCAGGCTCAGGGTCACCTCCAGGGAGGGGTCCAGAAAAACACCAGGGCCTCTGGAGCCTGGCCATAGGGGAAGACCCTGCAGCCAACACCCAGGCTGGCCCAGGGCAGTGGCACTTCTTCCGAGAAGGCCTCTGCGGTTGCCGTCTCTCTCGACCCTTGTCTCACCCAAGGCTGTGGGCAGGAGAGGCCCTGGGGCTGCCCACTCGCCTGGGGGCGGCGCCTGCACCCTCCCTGCCCCTCATGACCTCGCCCCTCCTGTGCTGTCACCTCCATCTACAGGTGGGGTGCTGAGGCCCAGAGAAGTAGCCTCCCATGGGGGGTCCCAGTGCCAGGAAGGGTGCCCAGGTCTGCCGATTCCCCAGGCCGTGGCTCAGCATCACCACTGCCTGCCCGCAGCACCTTCAAGATGCTTCCTGCTTCTCCTGGGCCATCACTGGTACCTGGGGGAGCTGGGTTTTGTCCCTGGGACCTGTCCTGGGCCATTCTTAGTTACCTGTTTTTTCTTTTCTTTTTTGTTTTGTTTTGTTTTGTTTTGGAGACAGTCTCGCTTTGTCACCCAGGATTGAGTGCAGTGGCTCGATCTCGGCTCACTGCAACCTACGCCTCCCGGGTTCAAGCGGTTCTCCTGCCTCAGCCTCCCGACTAGCTGGGTGGGATTACAGGCGTCTGCCAACATGCCTGGCTAATTTATTTTTTATTTTTAGTAGAGATGGGGTTTCACCATGTTGGCCAGGCTAGTCTCAAAGTCCTGACCTCAAGTGATCCGCCCACCTTGGCCTCCCAAAGTGTTGGGATTACAGGCGTGAGCCACCGTGCCTGGCCACATCTCTTTTTTCTACAGCATGAGCCAGTCCTGCCCCAGGAGACAGCTTCTTGGAGTCTCGTGGAGTCTCCCCAGTCCCCCTCCCCAGAGTAGCTCAGGCCTTAAGGCCACTGTCCTTCCTGCCAGCATCCCTTCTCCCTCCCCTGCCCTGCACTGAGGTCACCTGGACCCAACTTACCTCCCGGGCCTCGATGCTGCTCCAGGGACAGCAAGACTGGGGGGCCTGGGGGCGTCCATCTCCATGCTCCTGGGCTCAGCCCTGCTCCAGCTGCGTGGTGGTAGATGCCCTGGGAATCCCTGTGCCAGCCTGAGTTCTCAGGACCAGGGATCAGGGCACTTACCACGCCAACCAACCAACCGTGTGGGGGCCGAGAGCAGTGCAGCCCCGACCTTCTGCAGCCCCACCGAGCCCACCGGCTGTCCCTGTGGCTCCGGGTCCTCACCTCTTCCTGTGCTGGGCTCCACCTCATTCTTCCTTCCTGTCTGATTTCAACAGCCAACAGCCTCGCAGACACATCGAGGAGCCGGGGCACCCTGGCTTGGTCACCGCCCCCGTGCAAGTTAAGTGCGGGGGCGATGCTGGGGGTCTTGACTCTGGGATTAAGTGTCCCTGCAGGTGGCATGCTCAGGATAAAGTGGCTGGTGCCAAGGCTGTTGACACATCACCTCCATCCCGCCACAAAGGAAGCTGCCCCGCCATCAACAAATGCTTGTTTTCAGGCGGGTGGTCAGGAAATCAAGTGAGCAGCCTGAGGTCACGCAACTAGAGGGTGACCCCAGCAGGACTGGACTGTGCCCTGCCACCTCCAGGCCACCCCTGTGGCTCTCCTTATTTATTTATTTAATTTATTTATTTGAGACAGAGTCTCGCTCTGTTGCCCAGGCTGGAGTGCAATGGCACGATCTCGGCTCACTGCAACCTCCCCCTCCCAGGTTCAAGAGATTCTCCTGCCTCAGCCTCCTGAGTAGCTGGGATTACGGGCATGCGCCACCATGCCCCGCTAATTTTTGTATTTTTAGCAGAGGAGGGGCTTTGCCATGTTGGCCAGGCTGGTCTTGAACGCCTGACCTCAGGTGATCCACCCACCTTGGCTTCCCAAAGGGGTGGGATTACAGGCGTGAGCCACTGCGCCCAGCCTATTTATTTTTTGAGACAGGATCTTGCTCTGTCACCCAGACTGGAGTGCAGTGGTGTGATCTCGGCTCACTGTAGCCTCTACCTCCTGGGGCTCAAGTGATCCTCCTGCCTTGGCCTCCCAAAACACGGAGATAACAGGTGTGAGCCACTGTGCTCCCTCTTTTAACACCTCTTGCTTTCTTTTCTCTCTGTCACCCAGTAGGCACCTCTGACTCAGCTGTGCCCCATAACATCTTCCTGTGAGCAAAGGGCTCCCCAGAGGCAGGTCACCTGTACCCTAAGAGGAAACAGCAGAATGTTGCCGTCCGCGGCAGGAGATCGCACTCGGCCCCTGGAAGTGGACCTCAGTGGGTGGCCTGCCCTGACAGGGAAGGGCGTGAGGGGGAAGGACATGGCCCAGAGCAAGCCACATGAGAAAAATTACAATAAAGTATGGGACATCCGCTGGGGACAGGGAGCAAGCAACATGGGGCCACTGAGGGAAGGAGGTGACAAGGTGGGAGCCAAGGGACAGGGGTCCTGGGGTCTGAATTTTCCTCAGCAAGCAAGTGGGAGCCAGCAATGGTTGTAGAGCAGGAGAGTAGTGGGTCTGGACTCATAGAGCAGCTTGTGGCTCAGGGGAGGTAGGAGGGTTAGCTGGTTCCCCAGAGCCTGTGTGGGTGATGGGGGGGAGGGAACTGAGGCAGCAGACCAGAAGTGCTCCTGCACATTCCCCTGCCTGCCTACCTTCTTTTGTCCCTCCTTCCTCTCCCTCCCTCCCAACAATGCTTTCTGAGCACCCAGGAACCTGCTGGGTGCTGGGAGGACACGATGGACCCTCGAGAAGGCTGCCCGAGGCTCCAGGCAGGCAGAGTGCAGACCCAGCAGCTGCAGCCTCGGCTGTGGGGAGCAACAAAGGCGCCTGAAACCAGGCCGCCCACAGGATGTTGGAAACCACAGGGCCCGGTGGGTATCCGTCACATAAAAGGGGCCAGAGGCTCACACTGCCTCCCTTTGTGGCTCAGGGGGATGGATGCGGAGCCTGAGAGGACACAGCCTCATCCACGGGATCTTGGGGAGCAGCCCAACCCAGCCCAGCCCAGCCCCGCCCCGCCCCGCCCCGCCCGTTCCTCCCCCTCGCAGGAATGTCCATCAGTCCACACAGGGCTGGTCCCATTCCCCACTCTGCCCGCTCTGCTGAGAACCAGGTGGGCCGTCCTCCTGGCTCCTGGTGGAGGTGGGGGTGCTGGGCTGGGGGCTCCCTAACTGTTCTCACTCTGGGGCTTTCTGTCCACCCAGAGCTGGGGTCAGCCAGACAGGAAGCGACCTCAGCCCTTCCTAACTCAGCAACAGCGCAAGGCCCCTGCCTGCAGGCTCTTTCTTTGTAAGTGCCCTTGCCTGGGCCCAGGCTGGGGTGTGGCTCCCCTGTGACTGCCTTGAGGGGCTGTGCCCAAGCCATGCCAGGTTGGGGCCACCAAAAGTGGGACAGGCCTGGAGGCCTGTTCATATTACAGTGAGGCATAGACAGACCCGTTTTCTGATTTAGTTGTTACCAGTGAAAGTTCTGCTGCCAGTCTTTTATTCTCCCCCTTTAGAAATGTTTTTAATATTGTTTTCAAAATAGAGACTTGGCCTTACTATGTTGCCCAGGCTGGTCTCAAACTCCTGGGCTCAAGTGATCCTCCTGCCTTGGCCTCCCAAAGCACTGGGATTACATGTGGGAGCCACCGCACCCGGCATGCCAGCTTCCTTCTCAGTCACTCCTGGAAGGTAACTCTCTCTCGCCTTGTCCATGAAGAGGCCCCATTGCCTGCCAGTCTTGCTGCAGGCGCTGTGAGAAGGCATTTTCCATCTGTCAACTGGACCTAGTTTTATGTTGCCCGGGTCAGCGTCATCCCTGTAGCAGGGGCCAGGTCTACTCCTGGATGCCACCACGCCTCTGTGGGTTCCTGCAGTGACTCCTTCAACCCTTTCCCTCTGGAGGAATCAGCTGCTTCACAGCTTGTTTCAGGACAAGGAAATGCTGCTTTGTACAGGTTCAGGGCCAGCATCCAGTCCCCTGGCTGGGTGGCAGTGCATAAACCAAGCCTCTGCCCAGCGCTGTCAGCCCAGGGAGCGTCCAGCAGCCCCAACTGAATCCAAGGTCACCACAAGGCTCGAATCCAGTCCCCAGGCCATGCCTCCCCTGGCCTTGGGCTCACACTGCACTCAAGGCTCCTAACCCAGCTTGTTAACTACTTGGAACCCCTCCCCCAACCCATCTTTACCAGCCTTGAAGTTCTGAACTTTCAAGTCATGGCACATAACACATACTTCCCCAAACCACAAACCCTGCGAGGCCGGACAGGGGCCCCGAGTCCCCCACCTGCACCACTCCCTCTCGCTTCCCTAACACCAGGGAGGGGGATCAGCCCATCAAGGAAGCAGTGCGTGATGCCTTCCGAAACAGGCCAGAGGCCAGCCTCAGATTGATCACAGCTGATCTCAGCCTCTCAAATTGTTCGCCCCGGGCACCGTAAGCTGGGAGGCCTGGGCCTCTCCGCTGGTTCACGTGCCAGGACATAGTATGTGCGCCAGAAATCACATTTCACCCCCTAAATGCTGCTGAGCCCTAAGATGCAGCTCACAAACCCCTCTTCTGGGAGGCTGTCCCTGACACGGCCCTTCAAGCCACTGGAGCCCGACTCCCCACCAGGCTGGGATAGGCCAGCGTCTGTCTCCTCCACTGGACCGGACGCAATGGTAAAGGCATGTGCTGTCTTGGTGAGTTGTGGGGTGGGGCCTGAATCTGCTTTTGTAGCAACTCCCGGCTGAGGCAGCAGCTGGGGGTGCTTGGGCCCCACTTTGAGGTGCGGGGGCTGGAGCTTGGCACCCAGCCAGGGCTCTGTTGGATACGGGTGTGTGGATTAATGGATGAACATCTGCATCTCTGGTCTGGGAACTGAAATGAGGAGACAGCAGGCCCAGGTTACTCCAAAGTAAAGGGCAGGTGCAAGGTGGGGACTTCTGCAGGCGTGGGGCACGGGCTGAGGGGCCACGGTGCCTCCAGGTCCCCCGTTTCGCTCGTGGTCTCCCTGGAGTGTGGCAGCCAGATTTTAATAAAGCCTTTTTGGTTTATTGCACATCATATAAAACTGACTGCACTGTATTTGAAACAGACGAGGACATTCACAAGGATGGAGAAACCAAGGTTTCCTTCTTTCCTGGCCCTCATCTTCCTCCACACTGCTCCTGAGGCTGGAGGCAGCTTTAACCCAAAGAATGGAATCCGCTAGTGAACATGTTTGTTTTGTGGTGGCATCAGAGTTGTTCTGGGCCCTTGTGCACTGTCCAGTTTGGAGACTGCTGGTAACAATGACAAGTGTCCGGGTAGCACGGCTGGGTCAGGAGAACTGCATCTGGGCTGTGGCAGTGCAGGGAGCCTCAGGACACCTGGTCTCAGGCTGGCGGTGGCTGGGGTTGGCCTGAGTGCTGAGGAGGACGGGCCCGGGCTGCCGGGGCAGGCTGGACCTGACGTCCATCTCAGGACAGACATGTAGGGCAGCTGTGCCCAGGACTGGTGGGCTCAGAGGGTGGCAAATGTGGCAGAATAGGCCATGCCCTGGCCAGCTGGTGATGGCCCACTGCCCCCTGGGACAGCTGAGGGCCCTCTTGGGTTAAGGGAGACACACTGGGCCGGGCGCAGTGGCTGGCGCCTGTGATCCCAGCACTTTGGGAGGCCGCAGCAGGCGGATTGCCTGAGCTCTGGAGTTTGTGACCAGCCTGAGCAACATGGTGAAACCCCGTTTCTACTAAAATATAAAAAATCAGCTGGGCGTGGCAGCGTGTGCCTGTAGTCCCAGCTATCTGGGAGGCTGAGGCAGGAGAATTGCTTGAACCCGGGAGGCGGAGGTTGCAGTGAGCCGAGATTGTGCCACTGCACTCCAGCCTAGGTGACACAGCACGACTGTCTCAAAAAGAAAAAAAAAAAGAAAACCAAAAAGGGAGACACACTGTGAGCACGGACAGAGGAAGGGGCTGGAGTCTGTAAATCCAGTGGGTGACATGCTCCAAATGCCACCCTAGAAAGCAGAGCCCAGAGGAGGAAGCCCTGGATTGGGCTGTGGTCATCATCACAGCGCAGAGCTGATGTGGTCCCCAGGCCCAGAAATGCCTGTGGAGGCCTGACCCACGCTGGGTGTCCCAGGTCCTCCCTGCAAATGGCGGGGGTGGGGGCTGCTGATGGCAGGTTGGGGTGGGGTCGGGATGGCCCCATCAGTTCCGCTCCACCTTCTTCTTGCCCCGAGGCTGCCGCCTCCTGCCCTGGAGCTTCTCCCTGCGGGTGGCGGCAGTGGTGAAGGTGATACAGTGGGTGTCCAGGAAGTCCAACAGCCTGCGCGAGGACACACGGAGGCCGTTCTGCCTCAGCTCTGCCTGCAGCTCCCGCAGCTCAAAGGGCTGGTACAGCAGCACCTTCTGGTACAGGGCCGGCTTGGAGCGGATGTAGCACCTCAGCGCCTCGTCTGTGTCCGCCGCCTGCACGGCTGCCTGCGAGGCACTGACCTCCCCCTCGCCCTCCTCTTCACCTGCAGACTCAAATGCCGCTCCAAACTCACAGGAGGAAGAACTGAAAAGAGCCAGACCAGGACGTTGTGCAACCCCTTTCTCTCCAGCCCCTGAGACCATGAGCCTCTTTAAAGGAAGGAAGGTGTCTACGGGTCCCATGGAGCCTGGCCTGTGGCACGATCCCCAGCAAGGCAGGACGGGCCTGAGAGATCCCTGCAGGCTACGCCAGCGGGATCCTGCCCCAGCCAGAAATGTCTAGCATGTGGGGCAGGAACCAGGAGGCCTGCGCAGGGCTGGGGTCAGGGAACCAGCCCCCTAAACCCACCTGGTTTTCCCACAGGTCAAACCCAGAAGGTGACGGGGGTTTTTGAAGATTGGCCATTAGGTCTCACTCGTGCCAACCCTCACGCCCACGGGCCAGAGGATACATGAGGCCACTGACCCCATCGCATCCATCCGGTTACCTCTGTGAGCTCAAGGAGCTGTCACTGCCATCCACAGAGGTGGCCACGGATTCTTGAGAGGCTGGGATCTGGGCGTCATCATTGAGGCCTGGAGGTGCCTCCTTGGTGGGCGACCTGCTTGGGGGTGTGATGCTTTCATGATGCTTCCTTTGATGTCGGGGGCCCTTGGTCTTAGCAGGTCCCTTGGGCCTATGGGCCCCAGGTCCTGTGGTGGCCTCCTGCTGGGCATGGACCCCTGCCCTTGAAGGCTTGTAGGTCTGGGAGGCGAGGGTCTGGCAGTGAGGCGCCTGCAACAGCGGCTGTGAGGACTGGCTCTCGTCCTCGGAGTCTGAGTCCAGGGTCTGGTGAGTGTACTGGAATATCTCCTTCAGCTTCAGAACCATCTGGCGTTTAGGCAGAGGGCGGACTCCAAACCTGACGGAGGAACAGGTGGATCTCAGGACCCACCCACACAGCTGGTCCACACTCCACGTTCCCTATCTTAGCAAAGAGTGATACCCAATGCATTCAGCGAATGGCTTGTGTGACAAACCATAGATGCCTGACTTCTGTGAGCATCAGAGGTTAGTGTCTATTCTAGGCGCCAACTAAGCTTACTCTGAATATTCCAAAAGAAACATTGCCAGCCAGGCACAATGGCTCACGCCTACAATCCCAGCACTTTGGGAGGCTGAGGCAGGAGGACAGTTTGAGCTCAGGAGTTCAAGGCCAGCCTGGGCAACATAGCAAGACCCCGCCTCTACAAAAAATACAAAAATTAGCCAGGCGTGGTGGTGTCACCTGTAGTCCCAGCTACTAGGGAGGATGAGGTAGGATCGCTTAAGCCCGGGAGGCTGAGGCTACAGTGAGCCAAGATCACATCACTCTACTCCAGCCTGGGCAACAGAGTGAGATCCTGTCTCCAAAAATAAAAAATAAACAAAAGATATGCTGCTCCCAGTTCTGAGGGATGGTGGCAGCAGCAGCTTCCCCGGGTGCCCGAGTGGAAGAGCAGTGTCATGTGGATGTGAGAGTTAAATGTTCTTTTAAAAAAAATCAGGCCTCCGCCGGGCACAGTGGCTCACGCCTGTAATCCCAGCATTTTGGGAAGCCGAGGCGGGTGGATCACGTGGTCAGGAGTTCGAGACCAGCCTGGCCAACATGGTGAAACCCCGTCTCTACTAAAAATACAACAATTAGCCTGGTGTGGTGGCGTGTGCCTGTAGTCCCAGCTACTCGGGAGGCTGAGTCAGGAGAATCGCTTGAACCCGGGAGGTGGAGGTTGCAGTGAGCCGGGACTGCGCCACTGCACTCCAGCCTGGGCGACAGAGCAAGACTCTGTCTTTCAAAAAAAAAATCAGACCTCCTCACTCAGACTGCTCTGGCTAGGGGGCCATTTCCATCTACATGGAATATGGGGACCTGCTGCCCAGGGGTGACATGCACGAATCCTGTGTGTTGCCTCCCTGGGGAATGGTACGCAGAGAGAACTGGGAGGCTCACCCCGGCACCCAGCAGTCACACATGCTCCCTAAGGAGCTGACTGCAGACCTTTCTTCCCAAGCCCAGGCCAGCTGCATCCACCAGACCCAGAGACCACACGGGGGGCCCTTCCGCCCCCAGGTGTGTGAAACCCAGTTACTTATGGGAGGGAAAAGACCACTGTGGGCAACAAGCTTTGAAGACCGCCAACCTATCCAGTTCCTTCTTCAGCACCGGCGTCTCCATAATGGAATACTGTGGCATCGGCGTTATGGGCACTTTGGGGGGCAAGTTCTTCTTCCGATTAGCACCTTCTGGGTAAAACAAAAGAAGCACACGTTTTAGCATGAGGGACACGGATTTCCCACATCTGATCCCAGTAGCGTGACCAAGAGGAATAATGCACTTGAAGATAACCCAAGCATCGTTTTGCTCCATGAAAGCAACAGTGGTCACCCCTTCCCTGTCTGGAGCAGGGGCTTCCCAATGATAGCATCGGTGACACGCACTGAGGACCACACCTTGTATAACACGGGTGCCGGGTGAACAGAGCTCCTGGGGCCACTGAACCCAACAGCCCGGCACGTGACTAAAACTTATGCATGTAAACTTAAAAATATCTGACCCACAGTGACAACTTGAGACAATGGGCCACACTGATACTCTTCAAACAGGCTTAGACATCAGTTTTGCTTTTTAAAAATAATTCATCAATTTAAAAAAACCCAGTTAAAAAATGGGCAAAGGGGCCGGGCGCGGTGGCTCACGCCTGTAATCCCAGCACTTTGGGAGGCCGAGGTGGGCGGATCACGAGGTCAGGAGATCGAGACCATCCTGGCTAACACGGTGAAACCCCGTCTCTATTAAAAATACAAAAAATTAGCTGGGCGTGGTGGCGGGCGCCTGTAGTCCCAGCTGCTTGGGAGGCTGAGGCAGGAGAATGGCGTGAACCTGGGAGGCGGAGCTTGCAGTGAGCCGAGATCACACCACTGCACTCCAGCCTGGGCGACAGAGCAAGACTCTGTCTCAAAAAAAAAAAAAAAAAAGGGCAAAGGATGTGAACAGACATTTCTCCAGAGAAGATCTACAAATGGCCAATAAGCACATGAAAAGGTGCCCGACATCATTAGTCATCAGGGAAATGCAAGTCAAAACCACAGTGAGATACCACTGCACGCCCACTAGGATGGCCATAACAAAAAACACAGAGGGTTTGGGCAAAATGGCAGAACCCTATCTCTACAAAAAAAAAAAAAAAAAAATACAAAAAAAGTTAGCAGGGTGTGGTGGCCCAAGTCACCAATGTGGGCAGCTGTTTGTGGCTGGTTCCAGCTACTCGGGAGGCTGAGGTGGGAGGATCACCTGAGCCAGGAAGGTTGAGGCTGCAGCAAGCCATGAACACGCCACTGCACTCCAGCCTGGGCGACAGAGCAAGACCTTGTCTCAAAACAATAACAACAACAACAAAAACAGAATAACAAGTGTTGGTGGAGATTTAAAATGGTGCAGTCACTTTGGAAAACAGTCTCGCAGTTCCTCACAATGCTAAACACAGTTGCCATATGACCCAGCAATTCCACTCCTAAGTACAGAACCAAGAAGAAGGAAAACATGTCTACACGAAAACTTGCACATCAATATTCCTAAGTGGCATTATTAATAACCACAAATTAAAAACAACCCGTGTGTCCACTAGTAGATGAATGGATAAGCAAAATGTGGCATACCATCAGTGGGGTATTAGACATACAAAGGAATGTATGCCCAAAGCCAGGGCAACATAGCAAGACCCAGTCTCTACTAAAAAAAAAAAATTAGCTGGGCATGGTGGCAGCTGCCTGTAGTCCCAGCTACTCAGGAGGTTGAGGTGGGAGGATCACTTGAGCCTGGGAGGTCGAGGCTACAATGAGCTGTAATTGCGCCACTGCACTTCAGCCTGGGTGACAGAGCAAGACCCCTGACTCAAAAACAGGCCAGGCACAGTGGCTCAGGCTTGTAATCCCAGCACTGTGGGAGACCAAAGTGGGTGGATCACTTGAGGTTAGGAGTTCGAGACCAGCTTGGCCAACATGGTGAAACCCCATCTGTACTAAAAATACAAAAAAATTAGCCGGGCATGGCATGGCGATGGGCGCTTGTAATCCCAGCTACTCGGGAGGCTGAGGCGGGAGAATCGCTTGGACCCAGGAGGTGGAGGTTGCAGTGAGCCGAGATCGTGCCACTGCACTCTAGCCTGGGCAACAGAGAGAGGCTCCGTCTCAAAAAAAAAAAAAAAGAATAAAAAGGAATAAAATACTGATCCATGCTACAACATGTATGAATCTTGAAAACTGTATGCTAACTGAAAGAAGCCAGACACAGACACAAAAGGCCACATATTAGTTATATATGGCTCTGTTTATATGAAATGTCCAGGACAGGCAAATCCATAGAGACAGAAAGGTTCTTGGTTGCCAGGGCTGGGGGAAGGGGAAGGTGAGAGACTGCTCATGGGTACAGGATTTTTGAGATGATGAAAATGTTCTAGAATTAGAGAGTGGGGACAATTGTACAACACTGTGAATGTACTGAGAAGCACTGAACTGTCCATTTTAAAAGGGTGGATATTATGGTATGTGAATTATATCTAAATAAAGCTGTTACTTTAAAAAATAATAGGCTGGGCGAGGTGGCTCACGCCTGTAATCCCAGCACTTTGGGAGGCCGAGGTGGGCGGATCACCTGAGGTCAGCAGCTCAAGACCAGCCTGATCAACATGGTGAAACCCGACTCTACTAAAAATACAAAAATTAGCTGGGCGTGGTGCTGGGTGCCTGTAATCCCAGCTACTCGGGAGGCTGAGGCAGGAGAATCCCTTGAACCCGAGAGGTGGAGGTTGCAGTGAGCCGAGATAGCCCCACTGCACTCCAGCCTGGTGACACATTGGAAACAGTCAGACTTTGGTTCTTCTGCCTTTTATGACCATGGAGCCCTTTGAGCCCCCGATGAAAGCGGCAGGCTCTGTCTCCTGAGAAAAGCACGATTCTTCCTGTGGCCGCAGCGTCGTCCTGAAGCCCACCTCAGATCTGCTGTGCAGCCTCCTGCAGCTGTTCTCACAGCACTGCCTGGGAACTGGTTAGAAATGCAAATTCTTAGTCACCCTCCCGAAGCAAGGCTCTGGGGCAGGCTGGGCCACGGGCGTGCTATAAGAAGCTCTCCAGGTGTTTCTGAAGCCCCTGAGGGCCGAGGACACTATCAGTGGCCTCATTCATCTGGATTTTGGGAGGAAATGGGCCCCCAGGCCGCAGGCAGGTGCTCACTCACAGCCTGGCCTTTCTCCCAGTCATGCTCAGCCCAGCCCGGCCTGTCCTTGCCCTCCCCGGAGGTGCCTGGATGGGAGCAGCAGCACCGAGGGGGCCGACACCTGGGGCTCTGACTCTCCCCGGGGACTGAAATGAGCAGGGAGGTGGCATCCCTGCACCTGGGAGGACCAGGAAGAACAGGCCTAACAGCCTCTCACACTTGTCCCACCTGATTCTTTTTTTAATTGAGGTGAAATTCACATAAAAAAATCGTAAAGGGAATAATTCAGTGGCATTAAGTATTCACAATGTTGTACAACCATCACCTCTATCTATTTGCAAAACATTTTCACCACCCCAAAAGGACACCCTGTATCCCATAAGCAGTCACTCCCCATTCCCCCTCCCTCCAACCCAGGCCAACCACTAACCTGCATTTTCTCTGGATTTGCCTATTCTAGACATTTCATATCCATGAGTGCAGACAGTACATGACCTTCTATGTCTGGCTTCTCTCACCCGGCAGCATGTTTTCTGGGTCGTCCACGCGGTAGCGTGTGGCAGTGCCTCACTCCTCTTTGTGGCTGAACACTATTCCATTTTCTAGTGGTCTAGATGGACCACGTTTGGTTTCCCTGTTCATCTCCTGACGGGCATTTGGGTTGCTTCCAGCTTTTGGCGATTGTGAACAGCGCTTCTATGAACATGCATGTCTGAGTCCCTGTTTTTAATTCTTTTGGATATACAGGTAAAAGTGGAATTGCTGGGTCCTGCAGTCAATCTACGGTTAACATTCTGGAGAACCACCCTGGTCCAATCTTAAGGCATGCCGATACTTGCTGAATGAGTTGTGGCCTTTGGAGGTGCCGGCTCCGTGTTCTGGAGAAGGGTCCACAGATGTGGATTTTTAACACATGCCCAGGTGAGCACTGGAGCCAGGCAAGTTTGGGAAACACTGACTTACTGGCTGAGAAGTGTAGCATGAGAACCAGCCCGGCTCTCCTCCACTGTGGAGGGGAGTCTGGAAGGCAGCGGAAGTGTCATGCCTCAGGTCAGCAGGCATTCAGAGGGCAGCCCCTGGGTCTCATGACTGATCTTCCCACCCTCTTAGTGTAAAATAGTAACAAAGACAGTCCCCTTCCCCAGCTCTCCTGGCTACTCACTGGGTGTCTCTAACCCTTCGGGCTTCTGAGCTCCACCAGCGCTTGGCATCTGGGCCGGAGGAGGGGTCTCTGGAGGCCTCTGCTCTTCCCCGTCCCAAACGTCCCACAGAGCCGAATTCAGAAAGCTCGGCCTGCTATTCCCCAGGGAGCCCGCGCCCGAGGACTTCTCTTGCAATTTCCTCTGGGTAGTGCAGCTTCCTCGGATGGGGGTGGTGTCCAGGAGTCCCGGGGAGCGACAGTCACGGCTGTCGGCGGCCTCGTTCATCCTGCGGCTGGGGCTGCTGGTGCTCAGGGGGCCGGTCCGCTCCAGGTTCCAGTGGTCAATGGGAATTGGCGAGAGGGGCTCCATGTGCCAGCAGCAGTCGTCAATTGGAATTGGGGGGTCACTGTCCAGTGGGGGGCTTCTGTTGGCCTGATGGGAGGCCACCTCCTGCTCATCGTCACTGTCTCCGACTTCCACCACTTCACCCGCTGGGGTCTGGTTCAGGAAGCTTGGCCCAGGCGGCGAGTGTTTCAGGAACCGCCTGCTGAAGTGGGCGCGGTCCCCTGAGATGGGATGTGGAGCCAGCGGAGAGGAGTGCGGGTGGCCCCCGGGGTGGGGACGGGAAGGGCTTCTGTGGCCTTGCCTTCTGCCGTCAGAAGTTCCTGGAGAGACGGGAGTGAGGCATGAGGACGGTGTCTGGGGCGGTGGTGTCTGGGGCCTGATGACAGAAAACTTCTGTGCGACTTCGTTCCCTTCCCTGTTTCCTACTGAGGCCCTGGGCGTGTGCTGAGTCACCGCCTGCACGGCCAGCCCGCTCCTGAGGCTGCTGATTTGGGTCTGGGAAGAACAGTCACGGCTTCTGCTGGCCAGCGGGGTGGCGGGCACCAGCCACGAGGTGTCTGTGGTGCTGGCCTCGCTGGGGCTGCTCTCACGGTCACAGAACAGCCAGGGAGCCCCTCTCCTGCCCAAAGAGCCCCGATTCTCCGGCAGCGCCCCCTCATCCTCCTGCTGCAGCACAGCTTCGCTTCTTGGTGGGCTCTGGGAAGGTTCCTGATCTGCATCAACATCAATGATGGAAAACAGCTCACAGGACCTAGGGCTAATTTCTAGAGCTTTCTTTTCTTCCAGAGGATCACTAGAAATGGACTTCATTTTGGTTTGTTCTAGCTCCAGCTCCTCATCCGAGTCCAGTAAGAGGATGACCTCATCTTCTTCGTTCAGTTTGGATGAAGATTTCTGAGATCTGGAGCTCGAATGGTCAGGATTTGACTGGGTTAGGTCAATAGACGGAGATTTTTCTGGGAACATCAGGACCCCCTTATTTCTGCACTCCAGCACGGACCGACGCTCTTTGCCTTTCTGGTGCCCTGGCTCTTTAGACAGCGTGAGGATGCTCCTGTCCCTTTTCTGCTTTGATGGCACAGCTGGAGACAGCAAGGTTGGGGAGCCCACCTGGGAAGTTCCGCCACGGGACCGGGGTGTTGACAGGGACGACCCACTTGTGTGATGAGACCCGCGGGGACTCCCGCCCTGGGGAGGCCCCAATAGGAAGCGGCACGGGTGCGGTGGAGATGCCTGCCAGGGAGCCAGGCGATGAGAAACCTCCAGCCCCCTTTCCCTGACAGCGCCACTTTGTTCCTCGGGCTCACTTGTTATTTGGGACGGCTCTGAGATCTCTCCCTGAGTTGATGAGAAGAGCTGTTCGTAATCCCCGGCATCATCTGAGTGCGGAAGAGAGCCTTCTTTTCTCTCTGCCTGGCAGTCCCTGGAAGGGCTGGAGCAGCTGGAATGGCCAAGCGCCTCCTCTGGCGCCTCCTGCTCAGGGGCCTCTGCTCCCCGTGCCCCTGAGTGCTGGCCCTGGGGTGGCGGGAGAGCGCACTGTCCCATCTTCTCCCAGGTGGTGGCGGCCTCATCTCTTCCTGGCTCCAACGGCTCCATCTCCTCCACCTTGTCCCACTGTTTCTGCACCTGGACACCTGCTAGGAGTTGCCCAGAAACCGGACTGCCACCCTCCAGCCAGTCAGCGTCCTCGCCGGCACCCGCTGCCCTTTCTTCCTGGAGAAGCTTTCGCTGAGTAGCTGCAAATTCATAAATTTCTTCCATTTCTGCTTCATTCACGTTTTCTTGATCTTCTTCGTGGTCCTTGGATTTCAACAAAGTCTCCGCTTCCTCCTCTTCATCTGCCCACATTGACCTCAAGAGTTCCTGGAAATTCTCGGCCCTGCTTTCGCAATTCTCTGCTTCCTTCTCCTCCCATGGTTTGCCCTCTGAGTCAGTGGCAATAGGCACCTGTTCGCACAGGTGAACGAGCTCACTCACGCCAAACCTGCAACACGAAACATCGACAGTCATCGCCCCTCTGCGTGGAGATGGGCTCTGGGTGCCCCGGTGGGGTGGCGGACCAGAGCAGAGTCTTCACCAGGAGGAATGACCATGACCCAGGCCCTGCTTCCCTTTGAAGACGGTGTCCACACTCCTTGCCAGAAACACCCAGGCCACTTAGTTCCAGAAACCGGGGACTGACAACACTTAAAGCAGGGCTTCCTAACTATAGCTGCAGACATAAAGGGGTGTGTCGGACTGAATGTAAGGTAACAGGGATTGGCAGAGCTACAAAACTGGGGAGTCTGTGCTGCCTCAGAGGCTCTTAAGATATGGTGTCAGAGCCAGGCATTGTGGCTCATGCCTGAAATTCCAGCACTTTGGGAAGCCGAGGATCACTCAAGGCCGGGAGTTTGAGATCAGCCTGGACAACATAGAAAGTCTCCATCTCTACAAAAAAATGTAAAAATTAGCCTAGGAGTTCAAGGCTACAGTGAGCTGTGATCATGCCACTGCCATCCAGCCTGGGCAACAGCAAGAGACTCTGTCTCTAAAAGGATAAAAAAGGTCATGCATGGTGGCTCATGCCCATAATCCCAGCACTTTGGGAGGCGGAGGCAGGAGGATTGCTTGAGGTCAGGAGTTCAAGAACAGCCTGGGCAACACAGCGACACTCCGTCTCTCCAAAAAATAAAAAATAAATGAAAAGACATGGCATCAGACACAATCCACAGCACACCAAGTCCTTGAGTCAGCCCAGGCCAACGGGCAAGCCAGCCAGCCACCTGCTTGAAGGCTCTGTGGCCCGTCAGTATATTTCCAACTCCAGAGGCTGAGCTGTTCCTTTCCTAAGAAAGCAGCGGAGGGAGGACGCAGGCTCGGATCAGCGGCCCAGGCCCTGTCCAGAGGCACAACACTTGTCCCTCTGAGCTGCTGCCTCTCTCCTAAGATGCTGGCTGGACAAGCCAGGAGAGCTGTGGCATCTGGGATGCAGCCTAAGCATTCTCTCCATGCCTGTTTTATGGGACTCTGGAAAGGACTGCTGTTGTTCAGGTCTAGTGGTGGAACAATCACTGAGCAGCAGTGTTGGGGGGCGCTGTAGCCAAGGGCCATTCTCTTATCACACCTAGGGGGTTAAAAACCACGGGACTCAATAGAGTCCTCCTGATCCAGTGCTTGGCACCCCTGCAAGGGTCTGTTCTGGCCTGACTTTCACCTAACATGCCCTGTTCCACAGGGTCATCACTGGTCATGGACTTGGGATTAAAAGGTATAAACAGGACTGTTAGTTCTCTTGGCCTCAGCCCCGAGCCCTCTGCAGCACAACCCTCCAGAGCTGTTAACCTGCCAGTCCTCGTCAGTTAATTTCAAAAGCTGGGGAGCAATCCAGACCTGTGGGCCAGGGAGCTCAGCTCAGAGCTAAGGCCAGGAGGAAGGCCAGTGTCCGCAGTGTAGAGATAGTGCAGGAACGTGCGGGCGGCCTCGGTGCTCACGTCACCCAGCAGGACACGCTGGGTCAGAACCCCGTCCTCTACAGCGGAGAAGCCTTCATTGTTCACCTGCAGGTGAAATGCAACACAGAGGGTTTACTGATCAGAGAGTTGTAACTTGGAGCAAAGCAGACGGTCTGGGGTGTCCTGCAAGTCACTAGTCTTTTTATTTTTCTTTTTAGAGACAGTGTCTCCCCTTGTCACCCAGGCTAGAGTACAGTGGTGTGATCATGGCTTACTGCAGCCTTGAACTCCTAGGCTAATTTTAAATTTTAATTAATTTTATTATTTTGAGTTGGAATCTCTCTCTGTTGCCCAGGCTGGAGTGCAGTGGTGAGATCTCGGCTCACTGCAACCTCCACCTCCTCGGTTCCAGCGTATTCTCCTGCCTCAGCCTCCCGAGTAGCTGGGATTGCAGCCGCCCACCACCATGCCCGGCTAATTTTTTATAGTTTCAGTAGAGATAAGGTTTCACTATGTTGGCCAGGCTGGTCTTGGAACTCCTGACCTCAGGTGATCCACCCTCCTCGGCCTCCCAAAGTGCTGGGATTACTGGCGTGAGCCACTGCGCCCAGCCCCTAGGCTAATTTTTAAATTTTTTTGTAGAGATGGGCTCTCACTGTGTTGTTCAGGCTGGTCTTGAACTCCTGGCCTCAAGCGATCCTCCCACCTTAGTCTCCCAAAGTACGGGGATCTCAGGCATGAGCCGCCGTGCCTGGTCCCTAGTCTTAAAAGCAGCTCCATGCCCCAGGAAAAGCATTAGCCACTGTTTATGCAGATTTTTGGCCAATAATTTTACAGGTGAGGCCTAACACTCCTCTTTTGTCAAATCGTATTGGGACTAGATATTCCAGGACCCCGTTAAGAGTCCTCCTGATAGACACATATGGGATCCAGAACTTTGACAAAGACTGAGAATAGCTCCCTGAGTTCCTGCCCACACTCAAGTCAAATGCTTTCAAGTCAGAAGGCAGGTTCATCAGCAACTCATCCCTGAGGAGATCAATTATGAGCCTTTGTAATTATGCAAATAGAGAAAAGAGAAAACAATTCTGGGAAACAATGGATTTTCTTTTTGTTTTGTTTTGTTTTTGAGACAGAGTCTTGCTCTGTCGCCCAGGCTGGAGTGCAGTGGTGCAATCTCAGCTCATTGGAAGCTCCGCCTCCCAGGTTCATGCCATTCTCCTGCCTCAGCCTCCCGAGTAGCTGGGACTACAGGCGCCCGCCACCATGCCCGGCTAATTTTTTTGTATTTTTAGTAGAGACTGGTTTCACTGTGTTAGGATGGTCTTGATCTCCTGACCTTGTGATCTGCCCGCCTCGGCCTCCCAAAGTGCTGGAATTACAGGCGTGAGCCACCGCGCCCGGCCAAACAATGGATTTTCATTCAACAGAACGAAAACACTGATGTTTCCCAGTTGTGAGGCCATCCCCTCACACCCACTCCTAACCTCAAGCGTGGGTCTTTATCTCTTCTCCACGTGTTGCAGAAACGGATGGTTGGGAGGGAGAAGGTGAGAACATGGTGGGGCAGGAAGTGAGGGAGAGTGGGGGGGTGGAAAGGGCACCTGAGACATGGGAAGACCTGGTTGGAGAAAGGCAGGAGGAGAGAGGGAGAGAGAGGAAAGGAGGGCACACGGCAGCCCACGTACTTACATACTGGATGAGGAGCGGGCATCGGGCATAAAGCACGAACTTGTGGGCGTAAAGCACCTCCCCGCTGTCCGTCTGAAACTGGACATCACTCAGGTGTGGGTTATTGACCATGGCGCCAAAGTCAGCAACCAGCAGCCCGAGGGAGAGCTGAAGCAGGAGGAGAGGAAGAGCCGTCACCTCCCCACCTCTGCTCTGCTAACTGGGCAGTGGGAAGCTCCCCGCATGGAGGTGGCGCTAGGGTGGGCCGGGAGCCAGGACCTGCATTCTCCTTTCCTCTCCAAAACGCTTCCCACGATGGCCTCAACCTCTGAGTGACCCTAAGGCCCTGAGTAGCACAGAAGAGCAAAGCACTAGCTTGTTCCTCTGGCTCTTGCCAGTGGGTTCCCTGGCCCCCGTGGAGATGCCAGACATGGGGCTAGATGTGAACTCACAGTGCTGGCAGCTCCCGCACTGAGTGGGACAGGCTGCGGGATACCTGGGCTTTGAGGAGGTGCACCCATCCCCTGTGACGGACAAGCACCCTGAGTCCAAGCAGCTCGGGGACCTGGCCAAGAGGACAGCCGGGTCCAGTCTGTGATGATGTCCCTAGGCTGGCCTTGGCATGAAGTGCTTGGTTGACACTGACATGCAAATGGGAGGAGGTCCACTCTAGGGAAAAGCCAGTTCCCACCCCGGTTCTTCCCCAGACAGCGCACTGACAGGGAGGCCAGGCCAGGCTGCTCAGCTGTGCTCTGGAGCCCAGGACCCGCACAGAGGGGAGGGAGAGCAAGCCCTTGGTGAGCTCCCAACTACTGAGGAACGAGCAGAGCGTGCCTGGATGGGGCAACCGCGCTGAGAAACTGTGGTCCCTCTACACTCCTGGGACCCAGGACAGGGCAGGCTCTGGGGCCTCAACCCCAAGGTGCCCCATGGAGTCACAGACAGAAAAGGCAGAAGTCTCGTGGCAGAGCCCCCAGAGGGGCGCTGAGGTGGCTGTGGGTCCGTGGCTCTGCTCACGGATGTCAGGATGTGGCAGCCTTCTGGAAAGCAGAGGCCTTGAGAGGCCACTGCACTTGCGTTGGGGGCCAGAGGCCAGCGGTGAGCCAACCCCACCACACACATGGCAAGTGGGATGGCCGGGACCAGAGAGCGCGGGCCAGAGCCAGTTCTTACCAAGGTGCGGCCGCCCCTGTCCGGGTGCTTGTCCTGCG
This sequence comes from Homo sapiens, assembly GCF_000001405.40. NCBI lineage: Eukaryota > Metazoa > Chordata > Mammalia > Primates > Hominidae > Homo > Homo sapiens. The sequence goes on from NC_000016.10 coordinate 3,595,643, forward strand.
ATGGCACCACAAACCCAGTCAGAGGAAGGCCGCCGGGCACCACGTCCAACCCTGAGTGGAGGATTCACAGGTTAAAGGAACGTCACAGCCCAGCCACATCCACCACCAAGAAGACAGCGTTGACCACAGGCTGAGCCAGCCCCTGCGGTGCCTCGGAAGGTGCTTGCTATCCGAGGACACCTTCATGCAAAGCAAACCCGCACACCCTGTCTCACCACCACTCCACCAGGGAGGTAAGAGAAGAGCAAAACAGACAGTTCACCCAGAGGATTCACTCGCTGTGGGCAGACAGCTCTGTCTTTGGTTAAAGTGGAAGGAAAATCATGACAGAGTTGTCTACACCACATTGACCTTTGAGAAAAAATGAAAGCGCCCAGAGGCTGCGTGTTCTCCCACCAGGTCAGAGCTGCCGTCGCGGCGGCACAAGAGCCAGTCCATGGCAGCCTCAGCCGCGGGGAGGGGAGGCCCGGGAGGGCAGGGCTGGCCCTAGAGTCCCACCCAGCATCTCACCTGCAGTCCCTTCCGAGCCAGCCAGGCCCCCACTGCCGGGCCACGGGCTGGCGCTCAGTCCCTCCCTCGCCAGGTCCACGAGGTCCTGCAGGGCCTGGTGCTCCCTCTGGCTGGCCGAAGGCGACGGGCCCCTGGAGCCACAGCCTGCAGTGGGGGTGCCGTGGAGAGCGGGTGACCTTCGCTCGCTCAGCTCTGAGTGCTCAGGTGGCACCAGAGGCGGCACGGGCTCCTGCATAAGGCCCTGAAAGAAGCCAGTAAGGAGAGTGACCACGTGGTCACTGTCATTGACGCACACACTGCAGAAGCCATCACATGTGGTATGCACGGCTGGACCTAAAACTACAGAGCAGGATGTGGGCTGTGGGGACAGACTGTCCCCGGGGCTCCAGCCACAGCCTGGAGCAGTCCTGGGATGCTTTTCCCCAGCACTCATGTCAACATGCTCCTCCTCTGTCACGGCCAAGGCCAGGCCTGTGGCATCTGTTTGCACAAAGGCTTGTCAGAGGCCAGGGGGGCCCAGGCCTGCCGCCCTCCTGAAGTCCTCCAAGCTGCCTCAGGCAGCTGCGTACTGACTGTAGGGCTACCTGCCGCACGACTGTCTGGAGTGTGTGCTCCGAATGCCAGTTTCCGGGCTCCATCTGAGGCATTTTGCCAGTTGCCCTGGGACTCTGTTTTTTTTTTTTTTTTCAAGACAGAGTCTCACTTTGTTGCCCAGGCTGGAGTGTAATGGCACGGTCTCGGCTCACTGCAACTTCCGCCTCCCCGGTTCAAGCGATTCTTCTGCCTCAGTCTCCCAAGTAACTGGGATTACAGGTGTGTGCCACCATGCCTGGCTAATTTTTGTATTCTTAGTAGAGATGGGGTTTCACCATATTAGCCAGGCTGGTCTCGAACTCCTGACCTCGTGATCCGCCCACCTCAGCCTCCCAAAGTGCAGGGATTACGGGCGTGAGCCACTGCGCCCGGCCGGGACTCTGCATTTTCAACAAACTCCAGGAACACACTCTGGTGGACACCAAGGGTCCTCCCTGATCCTACCCAGAGTACCATGTAGTTGCTGGACAGAGAAGAAAGCTGCAGCCACCAAGTGCCCCTCTGGCCTCCTCCCGCCTCTGCCTTTCCTTCCTGGACTTTCCATCACCTGGCTGTGGGTACCCAGTGTTGCAGTTCTGGGATTGCCAACCTCCCCCAAAAGCCTATCCATGTGCCTGAGGGGAGGGACTCACCTGGGCAGGCCGCTGGGGCACGAGAGGAGGGACCAGCCTGGCCGTGTAGAAGTCCTCCATGGCCCAGGCCCCAGTCAGTGCGCTGCCCTCCCACAGAAAGCTCTGCTTGCGTTCAGGTGGAGGAGGACACTGGCCCGCTCTTTCCCACCCTTCCTTTAAAATCCTGCTGGCAGGAAGTGGTGGCGTGCTAGACAATTCCACTTCCTCAGAGAGGAGCAGGGCCACACGGTCCTCTATCTGTCGGCCTGTGGTTTCAGAGTCCTGGACTAACAACAATGGGGGGGATACCGGGGGTTTCTTCTTGCGACTTTTATTCTCTAGAGAGAAACAAAAGCGACACCATCAACGGTGGAGTCGGTCCACTCACCCGGGACCTGCTGATGGCCTCTCCCAGGGTCACTCTTCTGATCACACAAACCTGCTTCTGGTCTTATCCTCTCAGAAAAGGCACTTTCCAGCCTGAGCGCTGGTACAGCCGCACCCGGCTCCATCTCCGACCGGGACAGAGCCATGGCCACCAGCAGGTCCTCGGACGGTGCCTCGTCCACCTTCCGCCTCTTCCGTGGCTCCTTCTTGCTGGTGGGTCCTCTCCGTTTCAGACCTCTACTGTGATCACTGAAGCTAGAAAACAGCCAAAGAGAAAAGTTACTGGGGCTAGAGGAGTGCACGCTTCTCAGGTTGGTCACACTGGTCTGGAGAGGGCTGGGCCTGAGAGAAAAGTGACGGATGTGGACCTGCCAGGCAGATGCGTCCCCCACTTCCACTGCCTTGTGTGAACTCATTCAATTCCAGGCCAGAAGTTCAACATGGCCCAGGCACAGGAGGGTCTGGGTTCCTTCACGTGCTGCTGTCCAGCAGGCTCATGGCAGATGTACGGAGCCATCTGTGGTACCTGCACATCCTCATGTGGCCAAGCCCATCCAATGGAGTCAACAATCGATGGCTCTGAGCAGGCTCCCTGGACTCCCACCACCTTCACCCATCAATACTTCCGATGCTCCTTACACGGTCCTGGCCACACCGGCAGAAAAGGATCCCTTCCCTCCTGCAAGGGCTCCACGGCAGTGCCTCTGTCCATGGCCAGAAGGAAGGGCTTCCCAGCTTAGGCTGCCGATGGTCAACATTATACCAGCCGCCCCGGGACTCTGCACTTTCAACGGGCAGCAGCTCGTTTGGTTTGGAGGAAATGAACAGGAGTTTCCGGCTGGAGAGAACCTAGGCTGCCTGGGTGACTCCCAATAAGCTGGGCAAGAAGGAGGAGGGCAGAGGTGACAAAGGAACTTAGCACAAACCGGGCCCACCTTCCCTGCAATGCAGTCATGCCTCTGGCTTTTGCAAAAGCTCATGCTCTCCAGGGTGCCAGGGATGGCTCAAGTTCACCTTCCCAGGAACGTGGATAATCACAGCCTCCCAGAGGGAAAGGAGCTGCCTGGGCAGCCTGGGACCCTGCTTCTGTGAAGGGAACACAGACTGTGTTCCCTCCTCACTCCCCAGCAGGCCAGGTTTGGGCTGTGGGGAAAGAATATGAGGCACTCTGGCCGGGGCATGCGTTCTGATGACCACAGGCTTGGCCTTTGGGGAGGGAGGGGTTCAAAGACCCCATGAGGGCATCCAGCTCCTGTAGTTTTCTACTCTGACAACCTTCTAAACGGATCCACATACATCTAGTTTCAGTACTTGGAGGTATTCTAAAGGCAGACATACTTTATCTGAGCAGGTGCTTTTGGCGTGGTCCTGCCAAGAAAGAAACAATGGCTTAGATGACGTCTATTCTAAGGCCTCAAGGCTTGCACCCCTGCCATGCTAAATACAGATGCGCTCCTCCACCAAGAGAATCCCCTCTGCCCTCTGCCATCTCAGCCCCGAGCCAGCTCAGCTGCCCATGACCTGTGTGCAAAGCAGGGGGCGGGACAAACAGCTATCGCCTTTGGCCTTCCCTTTGCTCCTGACAGCGGTCTCAAACCTGGAGGAGTCAAAGGTCCAAGATGCCTTTGTTCACTATGAACCTGGTGTCAGCTCTAGCGTCCTCAGCAGCAGGGCAGCGTGGAGCAGGGCCAGCCCTCTGGCACTTGTGTGGCTGTGGTTTGCATGCTGAGGACTTGTTTCCTGGCTGTGAGCAAGGCAACTCATTTTAACTTTTAAGCATTAATTCATGCAAGATTTTTAAAAAATAGGGTCCTACACTTCTGTTGCACCAACTTTGTTGTTGTTTTTGTTTGTTTTATGAAGACAGGTTCTTGCCCTGTCGCCCAGGCTGGAGTGCAGTGGTGCAATCACAGCTCATTGCAACCTTGGCCTCCCAGGCTCAAGTGATCCTTCCGCCTCAGCCTCCCACGTAGCTGGGACTACAGGTGTGCAGCACCACAGCCAGCTAATTTTTTAATTTTTTGTAGTGATGGGTCTTGCTATGTAGTCCAGGCTGGCCTTGAACTCCTGGGCTCAAGTGATCCTTCCGCCCTGGCCTCCCAAAGTATTGAGATTACAGGTGTAAGCTACCGTGCCTGGCCAATCACCAAATCTGTGAACTGTGCTGAGTAATCTTATGTTAACAGTGTGAAAACTGGACTGTGCTGAGGTGGAAACCATGCTGTCCAACAACGAAATGGATGGAGTAAAGTGACTACCAAATTCTTAGATGTGGTAAAGCAGTAGTCCCCAACCTTTTTGGTACCAGGAACTGGTTTCATGGAAGACAATTTTTCCATGGGACAGGAGTAGGGGAATGGTTTCAGCATCAAAGCATTCCACCTCAGATCATCAGGCTTTAGATTTTCATAAGGAGAGCTCAACCTAGATTCCATGCATGTGCGGCTCACAACAGGGTTTGTGTTCCTGTGAGTCTAATGCCACCACTGATCTGACAGGAGGCGGAGCTCAGGCAGTAAAGCTTGCCTGCCCGCTGCTCACCTCCTGCTGTGTGGCCAGGTTCCTAACAGGCCACAGACCGGTACTGGTCCGAGGCTGGGGGGTTGGGGACCCCTGCACTAGAGGGTACCGACTGTGGGATCATGGGATTGGAAACTCAGGAAGGACCTTGAGGAAAACAGTGCGAAGATCATTTCTGCACCCCCCTAAAGGGGCAGGTCCAGAGCCTTCCAGAATGCAGATTCTGTCCCCTCCTCACTCCCTTCTAGACTGTGCCCGATTTCCGCCCTAAGTGTTTCATTTCCAGAATCAAAGAGGGCTCTTTTTCCCTCCAACACTATAAAAAGCTTTTTTTTTTTTTTTTTTTTTTTTTTTTTGGAGACAGGATCTCACTCTGTCCAGGCTGGAGTGCAGTGGTACGATCTTGGCTCACTGCAACCTCTACCTTCTGGGTTCAAGTGATTCTCCTGCCTCAGCCTCCCAAGTAGCTGGGACTACAGGCATGTGCCACCATGCTAATTTTTGTATTTTTAGTAGAGACGAGATTGTACCATGTCGGCCAGGCTGGTATCGAACTCCTGATCTAAGGTGATCTGCCCACCTTGGCCTCCCAAAGTGCTGCGATTACAGGTGTGAACTACTGCGTCCAGCCCATAAAAAGCTTTTTTAAATAGAAAAAGCCCTGAGTGCACACAGCATTATTTGGCTTGGTTTTCTTCCTTTTCGTCGACTTACCTGAACATGGGTGGGCTGCTGCTACCCTCAGGCTGTGCTGTCTGCAGCCGCACAGCCTGAAGCAGGAGCTGGGGGCCAACCTCCATCTTCACAGCACACTGCTTCAAGTGACTGGTTCTGCTCTTTAAGGTAAGAAACGGTTTCCCACAAATCGGGCACTCAGGGATCTGAGGCACAGAAGGTCTTAGTGTCTTTTCAGCTTCATCCAAGCACCTGAAGGAAAACAGTCAATACAGGAGAACCACCCTCCCCAGGAATGTGGATTGGAGCAAATGTGGGTCCAGGTCAACACAGACGTGCTGTGGTCAAAGCAAGTTCCCCAAAGCCAATCCCCTCTACACAGCCTGGCTCCGTCTCCCGGCAGTCAGCCCCTAGACACTACACTTAGGTATCTGTCAGCAAAGTTGGCTAAAGAAAGCAAGGAAAGATTAAATGCAGTTACATGATGACTTAGAAATTCCACTCCTAAGTAGAGACCCCAAAGAACTGAAAGCAGGTACCCAAACAAATACATGAAACCCATGTTCACGGCAGCTCTATCCACAATCCCAAAGGGTAGAAATGCTCCAAATGTCCGCCAATGGACGAAAGGATAAACCATGGTCATATTCCTCATCTAAGAATGGGAAAAACACAGTCTAGCCATACAATGAGATACTGCTCAGCCATAAAAAGGAATGAAGCCTGCTCCATGCTACAACATGGATGAACCTCAAAAACAACATATTAAGTCAAAGAAGGCAGACACAAAAGGACAACTGTGCAATTTCAGAATCGGCAAATCCATCCAGACAGAATGTTGATTAGTGGTTGTCAGGGGAGAGAGGGGCAATAGGGAGTGGCTGCCAATGGGTGTGGGGATTCTTTTGGGGGTGATGAAAATAATCCAGAAGTGATTGTGGTGACAGTTGCCCAACTGTGTGAATATCCCAAAAGTAGTGATTTGTTCAGTTTAAATGGGTGAACTATATGTTCTGTGAATTGTATCTCAACGAAGTTATTTTTAAAAAGGGGTAGGTTGACAACAAAGCTGAGGTGCTGTTGTCATGGTAAGGTGTGGAGATCCGCACTCCAGCCCTGGGGTGCTTGGGGATTCTGGTCACATACACGGGAGAGGCGACGGCCCAAGCTGCCCCCACCTGTTCACATGCTGTTCCCTTCGGGTCACGTTCATGGCTGAGAGGTTCTTTTGACAAATCTGGCAGAAGAACAAACCCTTTTCCTCCAGGCTATCATCATGTGCCGATGCTCCTACCCGTGCAAACTCCTGCTGCAGGGTCAAGGCCACCGCAGCGTCGCTCTCTGGGGCAGGGGGCCCAAGCCCATACACTGTGGAGAAGCACCAAAGATCCGTGAGAATAAACTCCAAAGACAAGCTCACCCTCAGACCTCTGCTCTGTCAGCTCCTGCAGACCATGGGGAGCAGGTGGAACGCAAAGAAACCAGAACCCAGCTCCACTCTGCAGGCTGGTGACTTGGACACTGTCCAGTGAGACTGGGCACTAATCAGCACTCCGGGAACAGCCGTCTCCAACTTTAACATGGATATGCATTACCTGGGAAGCTTGTCGACACTCAGATTCAAATTCAAGGGGTCCAGGTGCAGCCTGAGACTCTCCGCATTTCTAGCAGCCTCCAGGCTTGGCGATGCTGGCAGCACAGGACCACTCTGAGTAGCAAGGACCTAAACTTTCCCACTTCTGCTGAAGTTGGCTACCTCGGGCATTGCAAGTTCACAAGGCTCATATTCCAACAAAGCTAGATGTTCTCTTCAAAACTCACCCTTTCCTGCTGACCTTTTACTGCCCATGATAAAACCAGGGCAGAGTGAAATGCCTTTGGCGTTTAAAAGGCAGCATCTCTTACTTAGCATCAGACTCAAGAATGGACTGATTCTGGTCTTGAGATGGCTCCCAGGGTGGCCCATCTGATATTGCTGGAGCAGACCCCTGTCACTCACAAGGGATATGCCCTGAACGCCTCATAAATCCCCAAGTTCTTCATGGCTGTGGCCTACCAGTGCCTGCCACTGAGGCCAGCAAAACAGCACACCTTCATTTTGGTGCCCTGTTTTGTTTGTTTGTTTGTTTTTGAGATGGAGTCTCACACTCTGTCGCCAGGCTGGAGTGCAACGACGCGATCTCAGCTCACTGCAACCTCTGCCTCCCGGGTCCAAGCGATTCTCCTGCCTCAGCCTCCTGAGTAGCTGGGATTACAGGTGCCCACCACACCTGGCTAATTTTTAGTAGAGACAGGGCTTCACCATGTTGGCCAGGGTGGTCCTGAATTCCTGACCTCAGGTGATCTGCCCGCCTTGGCCTCCCCAAAGTGCTGGGATTACAGGCGTGAGCCACCGCGTCCAGCCTGGTTTGGTTTCTTAACAAACAAATGGTTTATCTCTTTCTGAGCACTTGCTGGGTGTGATGTGAAGATACAGAGAGAACTGAGTCAAATGCTGGGCAGGGGCGGAGCTCACACCAGCTGGGTGCCTCCTCTGCAACTCACATGTGCGTCCAGGACTGATGCCTCGGCAGGACATCAAATCACTGCCTGCTGTGGACCCTGGGGTGGCCTGAGACTCCTCCGTGCTACTGCAGTGAAATCTGCAATGCAATGCCAAGATCCTGCATACTTATTAGCTGTAGGTCTGCCGATAATGGTTTCTTCCTATTTCTTTTCCTTTTGTATATTTTCATCAGAGATGAGAATCCATATTGTTTTGGGGATGGAGAACAGGAGCACCTGGCATTATTACGCTTATTGGGCCGGTGCCACACCAAGTACACAGCAGCTATGGGGCACTGTCGCCACCCTGTCTCACCTGCAGCCAATGAGCCTCTAATCTACTCAGAGTGGGGCAACCCAATGGTTAGAGGAAGGAGTTAACGATCCCATAAAGAAATAAATCCAGAAAGTGGGAAATCTTATAATACAATTAGCCTAGCCTCTTCAAAAACTCAGTGTCATAGGGCTGGGTGTGGTGGTTCACACCTGTAATCCTAGCACTTTGGGAGGCTGAGGAGGGCAGATCCCCTGAGCTCAGGAGTTCAAGACCAGCCTGGGCAACATGGTGAAACCCCATTTCTAGTAAAAATACAAAAAAATTAGCCGGGTGTGGTGGTGGGTGCTTGTAATCCCAGCTACTCAGGAGGCCGAGGCACGAGAATAGCTTGAACCTGGGAGGCAGAGGTTGCAGTGAACCGAGATTGTGCCACTGCACTCTAGCCAAGCCTCTGTCAAAAAAAAAAAAAAAAAAAGTCAGTGTCATGGAAAACAAAAGGAAATGGGGGACTATTCTAGAATCTAGACCTTAGGATACTGCTGAGCTACAGCAATATGCAGTGTGTGAACTTACTGAATCCTTGTTCAGAAAAAAAAGAAACCAGCTACAAAAAATAACCTTGAGACAACCAGGGAAATTTGAGTTTGAACTGGACGCCAGGCACTATTATGGAATTAAGCGTGCTAATGGTATTGTGGTTATGCAGCAGAATCTAGGGGTAAAGGATCCTAATGTCTATAATTTACCTTCAGATAATATGGAAGAAAAATATGTACGCTTGGCTAGGCACGGTGGCTCACGTCTGTAATCCCAGCACTTTGGGAGACTGAGGTGGACAGATCACAAGGTCAGGAGTTCCAGAACAGCCTGGCCGGCATGGTGAAACCCCAACTCTACTAAAAATACAAAAATTAGCTGGACGTGGTGGTGCATGCCTGTAGTCCCAGCTTCCTGGAAGCTGAGGCAGGAGAATGGCTTGAACCCAGGAGGTGGAGTTTGCAGTGAGCCGAGATTGCGCCACTGCACCCCAACCTGGGAGACAGACCAAGACTCCATCTCAAAAAAAAAAAAAAATGTATATTTATAAAGACATAAACAAATGGCCAAATGTTAACATTTGTTAAATCTAGATTGAGGTATAGGGGATTAGGGGATTCATTGTAATTTTTTTTTTTTTTTTTTTGAGACAGGGTCTCACTCTGTTGCCCTGGAGTGCAATGATGCAATCACAGCTCACTGCAGCTCAACGTCCTGGGCTCAAGCAATCCTCCCACCTCAGCCTCCCGAGTAGCTGGGACTACAGTTGTGCACCATCATGCCCAGCTAATTAAAAAAAAATTTTTTTTTGAGTCAGAGTCTTGCTCTGTTGCCCAGGCTGGAGTGCAGTGGTGCAATCTCGGCTCACTGCAAGCTCTGTCTCCCAGGTTCACGCCATTCTCCTGCCTCAGCCTCCCGAGTAGCTGGGACTACAGGCACCCACCACCATACCTTGCTAATTTTTTGTATTTTTCATAGAGATGGGGTTTCACTGTGTTAGCCAGGATGGTCTCAATCTCCTGACCTTGTGATCTGCGCACCTCGGCCTCCCAAAGTGCTGGCATTACAGGCGTGAGCCACCACGCCTGGCCCCTAAAATTTTTTTGTAGAGATGGGGGTCTCACTATGTTGTCCAGGCTGGTCTCGAACTTGTGACCTCAAGTAGTCCTCCTGCCTTGGCCTCCCAAAGTTTTGGGATTATAGGCATGAGCCATCATGCCTGGCTTCATTGTAATTAAAACAACAACAACAAAAAAACCTTTTCTGAAAGGAAGAGTTCTTTGTGAATACTGAGGGTTATCTTTTTAAAAGGAAAAAACTGAAAGGGAAAGCTTTCATAATAAAAAGTCATAATTTTTAAAAAAAGGAGGCCAGGCACAGTGGCTCACGCCTGTAATCCCAGCACTTTGGGAGGCCAAGGCGGGTGGATCACGAGGTCAGGAGATCGAGACCATCCTGGCTAACAAGGTGAAACCTTGTCTCTACTAAAAATACAAAAAATTAGCCAGGCGTGGTGGTGGGAGCCTGTAGTCCCAGCTACTCGGGAGGCTGAGGCAGGAGAATGGCGTGAACCTGGGAGGTGGAGCTTGCAGTGAGCTAATATCGTGCCACTGCACTCCAGCCTGGGTGACGGAGCGAGACTCCATCTCAAAAAAAAAAAAAAAAAAAAAAAAGGAAGAGGGCCAGGTGCAATGGTTCACGCCTGTAATCCCAGCACTTTGGGGAGCTGAGGTAGGCAGATCACTTGAGGTCAGGAGTTCGAGACCAGCCTGGCCAACTTGGCGAAACCCTGTCTCTACTAAAAATACAAAAATTGGCCAGGTGTGGTGGCACACGTCTGTAATCCCACTGGCTGGGGCAAGATAATTGCTTGAACCTGGGAGGCGGAGGTTGCAGTGAGCTGAGATCATGTCACTGCACTCCAGCCTGGGTGACAGAGCAAGGCTCTGTCTCAGAAAAAAAAACAAAACGGTACCTTATCAAGGAAGCTAGGTGGGAAATGATCCCAGAGACTCTTCATTCTCTGGCTGGATCCAGTGAAGTGGCAAAGGTAAAACATCAAGCAGAGAGCCTATCCACAGAAGAAACTCAACAAATGCTGATTCCTTCCCGCCTCCCTTCCTCAGAGTTGTATTAACTTATCTCTGTGTGGAAGACAGAAACACACTCATCATACCATTCCCCGCCATCATCTCCTCTTGAGGATCCTTTGGGACATTTTCTTCCCGCGCAGCCTCGAGGGAGCACTCTTCTGAAGCGTGTCTCAAACGCTCGGGGTCTGCTCTCTTGAACTGCTGCATTCGCTGTAGGACCAATTGTGCTGTGCGGGGTTTGGAGGGACTTGGCACTGCTGTTGTCAAACAGGAAGGAGGAGGCTGGGAGTCGCTGTTGGGCACATTCTCTGGCAAGGAGGAAAATATTCACAACCATCTGTTGTAGCTGGAGAAATAAAAGACTTTTCTACCAGATACAGGTTAGACGCAAGTTTCAAGAGTCCTTTATCAACTAGTTTAGGTTTGACTCACAAATGTGAAGAGGACTGGTTGCTTGTTGGTAACCTCTTTGTTTATGGCAATATAGACATAAATATCAATAACAGGAGGGGAATGGGATGTGACTGCTAATGAGCATGGGGTTTATTTTTAGGATGATAAAACTGTTCTAACGTTAGGTAGTGGTGGTGGTTGGACAAGTCTGTGAATATACTAAAAACCACTGAACCATACCCTTTTAAATGGTGAATTTTATGGAATATCAATTATACCCCAATAAAGCTATTATTAAAGAAATATTAATGACAAAGGTTTATGTCCTAGATCAGTTCTTCTTTAACTTGGGATCCACGGATGATCTTCAGTGGGGATCCATGAACCCCATGAAGTTGTGTGCCAGTTTTGCAGATACGCGCATGGATACGTGTTTTGGGGGAACCATGCATAGATTTCATCCGACTGGCAAAGAGCACGAGAGACCAGTAAAGTTGGTGAGGCAACACTGCTGATGCCTTCCAGTAGTCTATGCGACCTGAGACTCTACCACCACTCTACTGAGAGGTTATTAAGATCAGGAAGTGAGGGCAAAGGAAATTTAGAAACAGAACTCAGGAGCTCAGAGAGCCCATGGTGTATTATATATGCAAGGGTAGTTTTCAGTTTTGCATGAAGAATGTGTAGTAAGCATATAGCTCAGTATACCAAGGGCAGCAGGGCAAGAAAACTGCTTTAAACAGTTAAAAAATTATCCAGGCACGGTGGTGGGTGCCTGTGGTCCCAGCTACTCGGGAGGCTGAGGCAGGGAGGACTGCTTGAACCTGGGAGGTCAAGGCTGCAGTAAGCTATGATAGCACCACTGCACTCCAGCCTGGGTGAGAGACCAAGATCCTGTCTCTAAAAACTAAGTAAGTAAATAAATCAATAACAATAACAAAGGAAAAGATTAAAAGGTCTTCAGAGAGAGAAAGAAAGAACCTGAAGATTCTCCTGGGACTTGAGCCCACACAGAGTCCTCATGCGGCCCTCTCAGCAGCCTATCCAAATTGGCTGGCCCAGTCCAACTTACCCACTTTGGAATAAATTCAAGAAAACAAGAGAAGCAGCATTATTGTGTTGTTTGTGTAACTCATGTCAATCATATAACAGAATTTCATAGGAAATTCTGAAAGAGCAGAGGACTCCAAACACAATCATGTGAAAAATTCACACGGGTTATGTTTTTCTTGACTGTTGTTTAAACCAGGAGTCAGCCGGGCGCAGTGGCTTACGCCTGTAATCCCAGCACTCTGAGAGGCTGAGGCACGAGGATTGCTTGAGTCCAGGAGTTCAAGACCAGCCTGGGCAACATAGTGAGACCTCCAGCTCTAAATTTTTTTTTAAGCTTAAAAATTAAAAAATAAAAACAAACCAAAAGTTAGCAAACTACGGTCATGTGGCTGGCTGCCTGTTTTTGTAAATAAAGTTTTACTGGCATATGGCCATGCCTGTTCATTTACATATTGTCCACGCCTGCTTTCTCACTATGACAGCAGAGTTGAGTAGTTGTGACAGAGTCTGTGTGGCCTACAAAGCCAAAATATTTACGATCTGGCCCTTTCCAGGAAGTTTTCCAGCCCCTGGTTTAAAAGAGTACAAATTACCTCTGGTTTTCTCTCTGGAAAGGTTTGGCGATGGTTCTTGCTGGTTACCCGTCTGGGTGTTTTGTGCTGTTTCCCGGAGCACAGGTGGATCTGGAGCAGAGGCAAGCACACCCCCCTCCCCATTCACAGAGTGGGCCGGTTCACTTGCTTGCCATTTGGTTACCCTTTGCTTTTTAGTCCTAGGGGCCTGGCTGCCAGACGGAGGTTTCTTCTCTGCAGGGCCTTGAAGGGTTTTGGTCTTGGTAGCAGTTTGTTTGGTCCTTTTCAATTTGCTTCTTATCTGAGTGCCGTTTGAGGCAGCCTTTTGTGTCTTCCTTTCTCCTGACACTTCCTTGATTCCATGTTTTTTCACCCTTTGGAAAAAGCTAGCGCAGAGTTCTTTAAAGTCCTCATCAGACTCATCCATCATCTGACCAGTTTTAAGGCTTTCAGGCTGGTCTTCAGAGGAGCGAGGGTCAATCCCAGGACAGGCAGACAGATGAGAAAGTGAACCCAAGTAGAAGCCTAGCTGAGCCTCATTCACACTCAGTTTCATTAGGGTTCTTCTCTACTTCTCCATTAGATACTTGGAGAGTTTGCACAATTGAACAAAAAGTACTGTTTTCCTCTCTATAATGATTGAAGTATCTTTGTTCAAATTGGGCCTGTGGTTAAACATGTTTAAAGCTTCCCTCTGTTAAAGTCCACAACTGGGCCGGGCGCGGTGGCTCACACTTGTAATCCCAGCTCTTTTGGAGGACGAGGCGGGGGGTGGATCACCTGAGGTCAGAAGTTCGAGACCAGCCTGGCCAATATGGTGAAACCTCGTTTCAACTGAAAATACAAAAAATTGGCCAGGCGTGGTAGCAGATGCCTGTAATCCCAGCTACTCGGGAGGCAGAGGCAAGAGAATCGCTTGAACCTGGGAGGCGGAGATTGCAGTGAGCCGAGATCGTGCCACTGCACTCTAACCTGGGCAACAAGAGCAAAACTCTGTCTCAAAAAATAATAATAATAAATAAATAAAGTTCACAACTGAAAGAGTGTTTTGTTGTCCAATAGATGCCTCTGAGATCGAATACATATGAACCTGGTGCTCAGATAATTCTCCAAGATCTCCATGATGATGAAACATATATGGTTCACTTAATTACACATCTGTGGAAAACCAAAAGCATGTAAGTGTAATCAGACATTGTCATTTTATGCCAGTTCTTCCAGGGAGGGACAAGGGCATGTGGGGTGAGGGAAAAGTCTTCGGAGTAACAATACTGTCAAATACTCAGTCCAGCCTGGTTAACATGGTCTAACCGTCCTATCAGACATCACAACAAAAGGACCTAGAAACCTGTCAAAGCATGTTGTTCTTCCACAGGTATTAAAATATGTGCATCTTGGGAGAGTGTTTTCTTAACTGAAATTTAGGGAGCAAACCCCATAAAAGGCAGTCACCACAGAAACAGGATGATCCCCAAATCTAGGAAAACTATCTCCTACACTGATCTAAGACCCCTGGCTGTTAAAGAGGCTCTTTCTGTAAATACTGCAACATAAGAGACAGAAAGAGACATTATATTCTCATGAACACTCAGGAGAGAAAAGGTCACTTTTACTTATCTTCTCAACCCAGCAAGGCTCTCCAAACCTGGATGACTGGAATGTCGCCTGTGTGCAAAGGCTGGGCCTCGTGAGCATGGTTGTTTACTTTGGCACACAGCTAAGTGGGGTTCAAAAATCAAAACTGAATGACCCAATGGCAGAAAGTTATTCCTTTCAAATACAATAATGCAATCTCCACTGTCCAAGGAATCTAATTAATCATTTTGTTTTCCAGAGCTGAAAATACTCCTACCTAGAATCTACTTTGTATGGCTGGCGCATTCTCTTCTGTGTCTTCCCCTTAGAGAAGTGTCCTCTAATCCTTTATGGACCGTCTCCATCCCCGTTAATCCCTATCATCGCCCACTGTTTTCACAATGGCATCTGTCATAGGTTATCATCATATGAAACAGGTAATATCTATCGAATGCTTACTGTGTGCCAAGCACTGTTCCAATTGCTTTCCAAGTCAAACTCGTTTAATCCTTACAAGAAGCCTATATGGTGGAATCTCTTGTCATCCTGTCTTTACGGCAAGGAAACACGCGCAAGCAGAATGAGGAACTGGCCTAAAGCCAGTTCAGGAACAGCTTTCACAGTGGCAGGGCTGGGATCAAACCCAGGAAGTGTGGTTCGAAACTATCCGCTCTTGTGTTTTTATTCATCGGCTTATTATCTGTCCCCCATTAAGCTCAACACTTCAGGAGGGTAGAGATCCATCTATTACTTTGCAACCTCTTTGGCTGATCTGGTGCCTGACTTGAAATAAGTGCTCCACAACTACTTGTTGAATTCATGAATTGCAAAGAGTTCGGTATAATGGGAGTAGAGAGAAAGGTGTAGGAGAAAACGCTGCGGGGAGAGGAAAGGATTGGCTCACAAGGGCCTGGAAGGTCAGGCTAGGCAAAGTGAATTTTATCCTGTTGGATGCGGGGAGCGGCTGGAACAAATTCCACCTCCACAACTGTGTTGATCTCCGCATCTCTGTTGATATGAACCTCACAACAGTCTATCTCCTCCTATAGGTGCCCAGTCAAGATTTACTGAATGACATAACGGATCCTGCAAGCCTGCAGGTTTCCAGAGGGAAGGGGACTTGTGCCTCCTTGCTTCGTACCTACCGCAGCCCACGGCTCACAGCAGGCGAGGGATGAATGAATGGATCGGTAAGGGGCGGACCCTCCCGCTTCCCCCAACCCGGCGACCTACGGAAAGGGGCTGAGGGGTTCCCCGTCTGGGAAAAGGGCTGCCAAAGACTCTAACGGCTCTAAAGTCAGACGGAGAACCCCGATCCCCGGACTGGCCCGGACGGAGACCACCGTGGGGATCCGGATCCGCCACCCTCCTCCCTCCAGGCGGGCCCCGGCCCCTCTCCACCCGAGTGCGGCTCCTGCCTCTCCGTCGGGGCTGCGGGCCTGCCGAGGCCACGGAGCCAGCGAGGGAGACGGGCGAGAAAGGCTCTTCTCCCTTAGGAAAGAGAGAACGGCCCGAAATGACAGGACCTCCGCCTCCCGGGTGCCGACTCCCAGCCCCACAGCCCGGCTCCTCCTACCTCCGGCGCCGCCGCGGCACCTTCTTAACGGAGACTCGCGCGCCTGCGCATGCGCCGCCCGCGCCCCCGCGGAGCATTGCCTGCGCGCAGGCGCAGAGCGGGCGCGCGCGGTGGTGCGGCAGCCTCGCTTCCGGTCTTCCTCTGCGGCGCCGGGCGCGGGCCCGCGGCGGCCAGCGCTTCCGGTCGGCAGGAGGCGGGGCGAGGCGGAAGCGGCGCTTGCTTCAGGTGGAGTCTGTTAGTTTTTGAGAAAGAGTTAGGGCGAGTTTAAGGCACTGTGGCAGCTGTGAGATAAAGTCTGGTTCCTCCCCAGCTGGCTCAGGAAATGTTCGCGGATACAACGGCGGCCCCCTCTGGGCATACCTGCCTGTGGAGCGGAGAGTGGACGGTGTGAGGGGGACCGGGAGAGGCACCAAATCTGGCCTGGGGGCCCGAGAAGCTTCCTCTCAGGTGGGGTGGCGTGAGAGTCGAGGCCTGGAGGTCGGGGAGGGTTAGCTACGTGAAGAGGGGATTCTGCCGCGCTTCAGGTGCCTGGAGGGGATGCCCGAGCTCTTCCGCAGGGCTAGGGTGAAGCCAGCCAGGGCCTGGGGGAAAGGTAGCAGAGGTTTGCCATGGCTTGGTATTTGAGGGACTTTACACATCGTATTAAGGGTTTGAGCTTCAACTTGGGGTCGTCGGGAGCCATTGAAGGTTTTTTGTTGTTTGTTTTTTGAGACGGGGTTTTGCTCTTGTTGCCCAGGCTGGGGTGCAGTGGCGCGATCTCGGCTCACTGCAACCTCTGTCTCCCGGGTTCGAGCGGTTCTTGTGCCTCACCTTCCCAAGTAGCTGGGATTACAGGCGCCAGTCACCACGCCCAGCTAATTTTTGTGTTTTTAGTAGAGACTAGGTTTCACTCTGTTGCCCAGGCTGGTCTCCAACTCCTGACCTCAGGTGATCCGCCCGCCTCGGCCTCCCAAAGTGGTGGGATTACAGGCGTGAGCCACCGCTCACGGCTTTTTTTTTTTTTTTTTTTAAGTAGAGACGGGCGGTGGGGGCGGGGGGGGGAGTCTCACTATGTTGCCCAGGCTGGTCTCGAGCCCTGGCCGCAAGAGATCCTCCCGCCTCGGCCTCCCAAAGCGCTGAGATTACAGGCGTGAGCCACCACGCCCGGCGTAAGATTTTGTTTTTAAAGGCCTAATTACAGTGAGAACAGATGAGGCAAGGACACCCATTAGGAGGCTATTACATAATCTAGATGAAAAGTGAGAGCGGCCCGAATTAGGAGGTGGAGCGAAAAGAATGGAGAAATATGGAGCATAGTCAAGACGCAGTTGTTAACGATTTGCCGGTTTCTGGCCTTAACATCTGAGAGTAGTGTGCCTCCAGTCACTGAAATAATGAACACAGGAGAGGTGTAAAGGAATCAGTTTGCAGGGCAGACAATATGTTTTTTAAAAGATACAGTATCATAAAATGCACACTAGAAGTGTACATTCAGTGGTTTCCAGTACGTTCACAGGATTTGCAGCCATCGTCGCTAATTCCAGAACGTTTTAAAACCCCAAATCGAACCTGCCGTACCCATTCGTAGTCACTCCGCAATTCCCCCGACCCCATCCCCTGGCAATCACTTATCGGCTTTCTGTCTCTGTGGTTTTGCGTATTCAGTACATTTTATGTAAATGGGATCATGTGATACTTGGCTTTTTCTGCTGGGCTTTTATTAAGCATGTTTTCAAGATTTCATCCATGTAGATGAATCAGTACTGCATGCCTTTTCATGGCTGCATAATCACGTGTTTGGATGGACCATGTTTTGTTTATCCATGTATCAGGTGATGGGCATATGGATGTTTTTACTTTTTGGCTGTTAGAAATAATGCTGCTATGAACATTCGTGTTCATAACACAAGTTTTTGTGTTCTAGGAGTGGAATTACTGGGTAAGACTACATTTGATTCTGAATGTTGAGCTTCAAAACCTTCCAAGAGGTTTTCCTTGATGAAGGATTTAGGAGGTGTTTACTTGCTCTCTGGCTTGGAAATCTAAGTTAGTTTGTAATATGGTTTCCAACTGGATAAAGAAGACAGAACAAGAATGATAAGCAGCCCAGAGGCAAGGGTAGGGCAGGGTGTCTTGGGACTTGAATTTATAGAGGAGACTGAGTGACGACATGGAGAGGCCAGTGCTGTTGAAATAATTTCTCTTTCCTTCCTTCCCTTCCTTGCTTCGTTTTCGACGGAGTTTGGCTCTTGTTGCCCAGGCTGGAGCGCAGTGGTGTGTGCAACCTCCACTTCCCTGGTTCAAGCGATTCTCCTGCCTCAGCCTCCGGAGTAGCTGGGATTACAGGCGCCCGCAACCGCGCCTGGCTAATTTTTTTTTTTTTTTTTTTTTTTGGACAAAATCTCGCTCTGTTGCCCAGGCTGGAATGCAGTGGTGTGATCTCGGCTCACTGCAAGCTCTGCTTCCCGGGTTCACGCCATTCTCCTGCCGCAGTCTCCCGAATACCTGGGACTACAGGCGCCCGCCACCACACCTGGCTAATTTTTTGTATTTTTAGTAGAGACGGGGTTTCACCATATTAGCCAGGATGGTCTCGATTTCCTGACCTCGTGATCTGCCCGCCTTGGCCTCCCAGAGTGCTGGGATTACAGGTGTGAGCCACCGCGCCCGGCGTAATTTTTTGTATTTCTAGTAGAGACGGGGTTTCACCATGTTGGCCAGGCTGGTCTCAAACTCCTGACATCAGGCGGGCGATCTTCCTGCCTGGACCTCCCAAAGGGCTGGGATTACTGGTGTGAGCCACCGCGCCTGGCCTGAAATAATTTACTTACATTTCTCAAGAAAAGGAGGCGTGCCACCACGTTCAGAGCCACAAGGGAGACATCAGCTTTTGGTTAGGAGGAAGAAATAGGAACAAGGAGAAAGTCTAGGCCAGAACCTTTATGGGGTTCCTCAGAAATAGCAAGTCAGGGCGGAGTAAACATTTTAGGATTGGATAATTTAAATAATTCCATCACGCTTTGCCTTTGGGTGGTCTCTAGTTGCTTGGTACCTGGCCATGGATGATTTAGGGCAGGAGAAATACTGGCTTGGTGTGTGAGAGTTAGATAAAGGGGGGAGGCTGACTTGCCTGTGAGAGGCATGCTCCCAAGTAAGTTGTTTACTGTCTTGAGGAATTAGACCTGGGAGAGGCAGTCTCCCTGCCAGCAAGATTTATTAAGATTTCAAAATATCATAGGATACAGAAAATTTTTTTAAACATCTAATAAACATGGACATGGCTGGGTTATGAAGGATAATTGTAATGGTAGAAATTACTGTTTTCCAGTCAGACTGAAAATGAAGTGCCTGTTTCCTATTTAGGATTTAAATCTCTTAGAGTCCTGGTGAAGAAAGTCTTTGCTACCTCTCTCCCCCAACCCCAAATCTGGCTATATTATTTATTTACATAAAATAAATTAGTTGAAGTGTGGTTTAGAAAAGAGAGTTTTCTTAAACCTGAGATTCTCAACTGAATCACCTGTGGAATTTTTTTTTTTTAATTGGAAAGGCTGGGACACTACTCTTAGGCCTACTGAATAAATCTTTCAACCTGTGTCTTTTGAAAGTTTCACAGATGATTCTGATGGTCTCAAGATTGAGAAGCACTGCATTTAACCAGCACCAACTGAACAAACACTGTAGGCTAAGTATAAGAGAGATGGCAAGAGCTGGGTCAGGGTGGTGCATGGGATTTCCAATTATACATAATTCCTCCCTTCAATGAACAAAGCCATCCATAACTGGGGCACCTGCTTCTTTGGGCTAAAGGTGAACAATGGCAGCCACCTTGTCCTGGACCCTATTGTGACTGTTACTCCAGCAGAAGCCCTGGGGTTCATGCTGTTAGTTAGAAGTCACCCAGTATGACTAAGTTGAGGGGCAGTGTTCAGAAACAGTGTTACTAGATGGATGTTATTTCAGTAGGAACAGTATTGTGTGTTCCCTGTCAGCATTTGAGGCGGAAACCCACTGCACTGTCAGAACAACCAGGGAGATGAAAGAAGATGTCAGATACTAAAAGGTGCAGACAGTCCTTGTGTTTGGTAAACCTTACAGGGTTTATCTGAAAGAGAAAATGGATGCAGAAGTACATGAAAAAACTGTGTTATTCCAAATAGATGTGCTGTTTTCCCAGTTCATAGGAGTCGGTAATTTTTGGGTTCAGGGCAAAAAGGCAAAGGTTGAAGATGCTGTGATGATCACGTCCTTACCCTCCTGGAATATTTCCTTTTTGAAAGCTTCTGGCATCTTCCACTGAGTTCATGTTTTAAACAGTTGGGAGGATGAATTGAAGGGCCCTTATCCCAGGTCTGTGGTTTGATTATAAATGGTAAAGCCATAACCTGTCCACCTCCCTCTCCTTTATCTTGACAGGGGTTGGGGAGACAGCAGATTGAACAAGGAAAGAATTGTCTCCTGAGTTCTTTGATCATGTTAACTTTTATTTACTGTTGTATAGTCACATTTTCTAGACTGCTAAAATTGGTGAAATCAGGACAGGAAATAACTGTTTTTACGTGTATAAGTATACAAAAGTTATTCGAGATGAGTTACACTGCATTTCTTTCAGTGTGCTGCCTGCCACTGCTGCCTTTGTGTGATTTTGCTCTATATGTTCTGCTAGACAAATTTAAGGGAGGTTTCAGACAGCAAAACTCCCCCCAAAGCATCTACCAGCATAATCCCTATCAAAATCCCAACAACGTTTTAATTTTTTTGCAGAAGTGGAAAAACCGATGTTAAAATTCATATGGAATTGGCCGGGTGCGGTGGCTCACGCCTGTAATCCCGGCATTTTGGGAGTCTGAGTCAGGCAGATCACTTGAGGTCAGGAGTTCGAGACCAGCCTGACCAACATGGTGAAACCCCATGTCTACTAAAAATATAAAAATTAGCCGGATGTGGTGGCAGGTACCTGTAATCCCAGCTACTTGGAAGGCTGAGGCGGGAGAATCCCTTGAACCCAGGAGATGGAGGTTGCAGTGATCCAAGATCACAACACTGCACTCCAGCCTGGGTGATACAGTGAGACTGTGTCTCAAATAAATAAATTAAATAAATAAATAAATAAATTCATATGTAATTGCAAGGGGCTCTTAATACCCAAAACCCAAATAGCCACTTTGTTCTTTTTCAAGAACGTACTTCCTTATATCAAAACTTATTACAAGCTATAGTAATCAAGACTGTGTGGTACTGTACCAGCATAAGGATAGACATATGGGTCAGTGGAAGAGAATTGAGAGTCTAGAAATAAACCCTTATATTTATGAGCAATTGATTTTGTCCGGGATGCCAAGACTAGTCAATGGTGAAAGAGTAGTGTCTTCCACAAATGGAGCTGGGATAACAGGATATCACATGCAAAAGAATGAAGTTAGACCCTTACCTCATATCATGTACAAATATTAACTCAGAATGGATCAAAGACCCAATGGAAGAGTGAAAACTATAAAACTCTTAGAAGAATACAAGGGTAGGCTGGGCGTGGTGGCTCACCCCTGTAATCCCAGCACTTTTGGCATCACCAGAGGTCAGGAGTTTGAGACCAGCCTGACCAACGTGGAGAAACCCCGTCTGTACTAAAAATACAAAATTAGCAGGGCGTGGTGGTGTGCGCCCGTAATCCCAGCTACTCGGGAGGCTGAGGCAGGAGAATCGCTTGAACCCGGGAGATGGAGGTTGCGGTGAGCCGAGATCGCACCACTACGCTCCAGCCTAGTCAACAAGAGCGAAACTCCATCTCAAAAAAAAAAAAAAAAAAAAAAAAAAAGAATACTACAAGGGTAAATCTTTATGACCTTGGAGTTGGCAGTAGACTCTAGATATGACACTAAAAGCAGAAACAACAAAAAATAATGAATTGGATTTAATCAAAATTAAAAACTTTTTTGTGTAAAAGTATACTATCAAGAAAATGAGAAGACAACCCACAGAATGGGAGATATTTGTTAATCATATACCTGATAAGAATCTATGCTGCTGTCTAAATGTTTATGTCTCCCCCCACCCAATTCATATGTGAAGGCCTCAACCGCAAGGTGATGGGATTAGTGCATAAGGATAAGGATGGAGGCCCTTGTGGCCATGTGTGGTGGCTCATGCCGGTAATCCCAGCACTTTGGAAGGCGGAGGCGGGAGGATTGCTTGGGCCCAGGAGTTTGAGACCAGCCTGGGCAGCAAGGTGAGACTCCATTTTTACAAAAATTTTTTTAAAAAAAGAAAAGAGGCCCAAGAGAGAAACCCCCTACCCTTTCTGCCATTAGAGGAAGTGGGCCTTCACCAGACAGAGTCTGCCAACACCTTGATCTTGGACTTCCCAGCCTCCAGAACAGTGAGAATTTCTGTTGTTTATTAGCTACCCAGTCTGTGGTATTTTGTAAGAGCAGCCCAAATGGACTAAGACATTCTAGTAGCACAATATAGAAAGAACTTTTACAACTCAATGAAAAGACAACTCAGAAAATGGGCATGGTAGAACTTGTCCTGTGAAGAAGCCAAGACCAAAAAAAAAAAAAAAAAATGGACATAGGACTTGAATAGACATTCCAAAGAGTGGCAGGTGCCAACAAGCACATGAAAAGATGATCAGCATCATGAATCGTTAGAGAAGTGCAAATTGAAACTGCAGTGAGATACCACTTCATGGCCAGTAGGACAGCCATTTCCTAAAAAAAAAAAAAAAAAAGTATTGGTGAGGATGTAAGGAAGTTAGAACTCTGATACATTGCTGGAGGGAATGTAAAATGGTACAGCTGCTGTGGGAAACAGTTTGAGGTTCCTGAACAAGTTAAAGATAAAATCATCATATGATTCAGCAATTCCGCTTCTAAGGATATGTCCCAAAAAATTGAAAAAGTGTTTAAGGGCCAGGCGCGGTGGCTCACGCCCGTAATCCCAGCACTTTGGGAGGCCAAGGCGGGCGGATTACCTCTGGTCAGGAGTTTGAGACCAGCTTGGCCAATATGGTGAAACCCCGTCTCTACTAAAACTATAAAAATTAGCCGGGCTTGGTGGTGGGTGCCTGAATCCCAACTACTCGGGAGGCTGAGGCAGGAGAATCACTTGAACCTGGGAGGCAGAGTTTATGGTGAGCTGAGATGGTGCCATTGCACTCCAGCCTGGGCAACAAGAATGAAACTCCGTCAAAAAGAAGAAATGCTCAAACAAAAACGTGTACACCTCATATTCAGTCTAAATGCCCTTCAGTGCATGAATGAACAAAATGTAGTATAGAATGGAATACATGTTACACTGAACATTTGCTTATTTCCGTTTTGTAATTTTTTTTTAGTGACAAGGTCTCATTTCTGTTGCCCAGGCTCGAGTACAGTGGCACAATCATGACTCATGGCAGCCTCAGACTGCCAGGGATCAAGTGATCTTTCTGATCTTCCCAACTTCCTTATCTTCCTGACTCAGCCTACCTGTAGCTAGAGCTAGAAGGGCCCCTGGGTAATTTTTTTTTTTTTGAGACGGGGTTACACTCTATCATCCAGAATGGAGTGCAGTGGGGCAATCTCAGCTCACTGCAACCTCCACATCCCAGGCTCAAGTGATCCTCCTGCCTCAGCCTCCCTAGTAGCTGGGACTGCAGGCATGTAAAACCACACCTGGCTAATTTTTTGTATTTTTAGTAGAGAAAGGGTTTTGCCATGTTGCCCAGGCTGATCTCAAACTCCTGCGCTCAAGTGATCTGCCCACCTTGGCCTCCCAAAGTGCTGGGATTACAGGCATGAGCCACAATGCCTGGCCTGTGGGTAATTTTCTTTCTTTCTTTTATTTTTTATTTTTTTTTGGAGACAGAGTCTCGCTCTGTCGCCCAGGCCGAAGTGCAGTGGTGTGATCTCAGCTTACTGCAAGCTCTGCCTCCCAGTTGCATGCCATTCTCCTGCCTCAGCCTCCCGAGTAGCTGGGGCTACAGGCTCCCGCCACCACGCCTAGCTCCATTTTTGTATTTTTAGTAGAGACAGGGTTTCACCGTGTTAGCCAGGATGGTCTCTATCTGCGGACCTTGTGATCTGCCCACCTCGGCCTCCCAAAGTGCTGGGATTACAGGCATGAGCCACTGTGCCTGGCCGCCTGTAGGTAATTAAAAAAAAAATTTTTTTTGTAGACACAGGTCTTGCTATGTTGCCCAGGATGATCTCAAATTCCTGGGCTCAAGTGGTTCTCCTGCCTTGGCCTCCCAAAGTGCTGGGATTATAGGTGTGAGCCACCACGCCTGGCCCTCAGTATTTTTAAAAATTCTAATTTCCATTTACAGCTCTACTAAATATTTCATCGAGTCAGCAGATTGGTTATAAATATAACGAAAATTCATATGTATGGCTTTTCTTTTTTTTTTTTTTTTGAGACAGAGTCTTGCTCTGTCACCTAGGCTGGAGTGCAGTGGCATAATCTCGCCTCACTGCAACCCCCGCCTCCGGGGTTCAAGTGATTCTCTTGCCTCAGCCTCCTGAGTAGCTGGGACTACGGGCATGCGCCATCACGCCTGGCCAATTTTTGTATTTTTAGTAGAGATGAGGTTTCACCATGTTGGCCAGGCTGGTGTTGAACTCCTGACCTCAAGTGATCCACCCGCATCGGCTTCCCAAAGCGCTGGGATTACAGGCATGAGCCACCTCGCCAGGCCTGTGTATGGCTTTTCTTTTAAAAAGTTTACATGTCATATTTACCACATTACATTCATTGAGTCACATCATTCATCACATCATTTAGTCACGTGACTGGGTAACAAGCATTTCAGAGATCAAAAGGCTTCGTATAATTAGTAAAGAAACCTTTTATTTATTTATTTAGAGACAGAGTACTCAGTGTGTCACCCAGGCTGGAGTGCAGCGTGGCCTGATCATAGCTCACTGTAACTTCGAGGCTGCAGTGAGCTGTGATCATGCCACTCTACTTTAGCCTGGGTGACAGAGTGAGACCCTGTCTCAAAAAAAAAAAAAAAGTAATTATACTATGCATATTGCATCATGAGCATTTCTCTAAGTCAGTAGATAGGAAGCCATATTATATTCCATATTTAATCAAACATTCCCCTGTTGATAAAGATATATTTATAGTTTTTATCATTATAGATTATGCAATAAATGTCTTTGTACTTATAACCTGTATGTGTGTGTTTTTATTTCTTTTGGAAGGAGTCCTAAATCTAGGATTTCTAGGCTAAAGGGTATGTGTGTTTTGTTTGGTTTGCCTGATTTTTTTTTTTAAAAAGTTTATTATTTATTTTGAGACAGAGTCTTACTCTGTCACCCAGGCTGGAGTGCAGTGGCGCAATGCCGGCTCACTGCAACCTCCGCTCCCCAGGTTCAAGCGATTCTCCTGCCTCAGCCTCCGGAGTAGCTGGGATTACAGGCGCCTGCACCACACCTGGTTAATTTTTGTATTTTTAGTAGAGACGGGGTTTCACCATATTGACCAGGCTGATCTTGAACTCCTGACCTCGTGATCCACCCGCCTCAGCCTCCCAAAGTGCTGGGATTACAGGTGTGAGCCACTGTGCCCGGCCTATTTTATATTTTTTTTAGAGACAGGGTTTTGCTGTCATCCATGCTAGAATGCAGTGGCACGAGCATAGACTCGAACTCTTGGGCTCAGACAATCCTCCTGCCTCAGTATCCCGAGTAGCCAAGAGTACAAGCGTGTGCCACCACACCCAACTGACTTTTAAAAATTTTTGTAGATATGGGGTCTTGCTATCTTGCCCAGGCTGATCTTAAACTCTTAGCCTCTGGTGATCCTCCTGCCTCCAAAAGTGCTGGGTTTACAGGTATGAGCCATTGCTCTTGCCTGGTTTACCTGTTTTAGAAAAGAATACCTGTACATTGTTAATTTTTTTTGTCCAGGAGCTTCAGAAGGGTACAAAAATTCCCTCCTACTTCTGGCCCCCTGACCTCCAAACTCCCTCATCAGAGGCTTCTTGAAATATTCCAGATAATTCTGTGCACATACAAATATAAATATATATCCCTGCTTTTCCCCAATGTAAATAAACGGTAGCACATTTTACCCATTGTTCTGAACCTCGTTTTTGCAACTTAATGAACTGTCTTGGAGATTTTTCCTTATTACATATAAATCTATCATTTTGTTTAGCAGTTGCATTATATGTCATCATTTGGATACATTCATACTTCATTGTATCACCTATCAAGGGACATTAGATGGCTTTCATTTCCTTCTACAATGGCTAATGGTGCATTGAACATACTTGTATATACTTTTATGCAGATTTGCACATATATTTGTAGGATATTCCTGTAACATAAGTGGAATTGCTGGGTCAAAGGATATGGGTAAATCAGAGTGTTTTGGGGTGTTACCCAGTTACCTTCTAAAGAAGCCAAATTGGCCAGGCGTGGTGGCTCATGCCTGTAATGCCAGTACTTTGGGAGACCGAGGCAGGTGGATCACTTGAGGTCAGGAGTTTAAGAACAGCGTGGCCAACATGTTGAAACCCCGTCTTTACTAAAAATATAACATTAGCTGGGCATGGTGGCGCACCCCTGTAATTCCAGCTACTCCAGAGACTGAGGCAGGAGAATCGCTTGAACCCGGAAGGTGGAGGTTGCAGTGAGCCAAGATCACACCACTGTACTCCAGCCTAGGTGACAGAGCAAGACTGAAAAAAAAAAAAAAAAAAACGGAGGCTGAATCAGTTTCCATTCCGTTAACAATGAATGTCTTTTTACTCATATCCACACACTCACAGAATATATCATGAAACATTTTGTCTTTTACTATTTCAGCGGTTAAAAATTGGTGTCTTGTAGCTTTACTTTACATTTCTTTCATTGAGGAAACGAGTATTTTCTTCACGTGATTAAAAGCTACTTGTTTACCTATGACCTTATGTTTGTGGGCTTTGCATTCTTTTAGATTGTGTGATTAATCTTTTTCCTATTGGTTTGTAAGATTATGTGATTAATCTTTTTCCTATTGATTTGTAAGAACTCTATATTGTGGAAATGGATATAGTGTTACAATGTTACAGATAGTTTTTACCAGTTTTTATCATTTGACTTAAAAAAATTTTTTTTCTTTTTTGAGGTGGAGTCTCACCATGTTGCCCAGGCTAGACTTGAACTCCTGGGCTCAAGTGATCCCCCTACTTCAGCCTCCCACGTAGCTGGGACTACACCTATGTGCTACTGTACCTGGCTTGGCTTTGACTTTTAATAAAATTTTTTCCATGTAGAGCTTTACAGTTTTTTGTAGTAAAATAACTTTTCTTGTATGCACATACCTTCTTCCAGTGTTTGACTCACCTTTACGTTCTCTTAATGATGCCTTGTAATGAACAAAGGTTCTTCAAAGCTGGAGGCATCACATTACCTGACTTGAAATTATACTACAAGGCCTCTTTTGGGAGAGTGAGGGGAAAGGATTTCTTGAGAGCTTGAGACCAGCCTCGGCAACATAGTAAGACTCCATCTCTAATGTACCTGCCCCCCACGTCCCCCCAAAAAAATTAGCTGGGCATGGTGGTGCACACCTGTGGTCCTAGCTACTCATGCAGTAACTAAAACAGCATGGTACTTGTACATATTTTTGTACCATAGATCAGTGGGACAGAATAGAGAACCCAGAAGTAATGCCACTTGCCTGCAACCAACTGATCTTCAATAAAGTTGACAAATATGCAGTGGGGGAAGGACACGCTATTCAATAAATAGCGCTGGGAAAATTGGCTAACCATATATAGAAAAATGAAACCGTACCTCTATCTCTCACCGCATACAAAAATTAACTCAAAGACTTAAACATAAGACCTGAAACTCTAAAGATCTTAGAAGAAACCCTAGGAAAAACTCTTCTGGATATTAGCCTAGGCAAAGAATATATGACTAAGACCTCAAAAGCAAATGCAACAAGAAGAAAAATAGGCAAATGGGACTTAATTAAATGAAAACACTTCTACACAGCAAAAGAAATAACAGAGTAAATAGACAACCTATAGAATGGGAGAAAATATTTGCAAATTAAGCCTCTGGCAAAGGACTAATACGTAGTATCTCCAAGGATCTCAACAAGAAAAAAAAACCCATTAGTAAGTGAGCAAAGGCTGGGCGTGGTGGCTAACACCTGTAATCCCAGGACTTTGGGATGCTGAGGCAGGAGGATCACTTGAGGCCAGGAATTAGAGAGAAAGTAGGCAAAGGACAAGAACACATACTTCTCAAGTGAAGACATACAAGCGGCAAAGAAACATGAAAAAGTGCTCACATCAGTAATCATCAGAGAAATGCAAATCAAAACCACAGTGAGATATCATCTTACACTGGTCAGAATGGCTATTATTAAAAAGTCAAAAAACAACAGATGTTGGCATGGATGCACAGAAAAGGAAATGCTTATATGCTGTTAATGGGACTGTAAATTACTATAACCTCTATATAGAAAACAGTATGGAGGCCAGGTGCGGTGGCTCACTACCTGTAATCCCAGCACTTTGGGAGGCTAAGGCAGGCGGATCACTTGAGTGCAAGACCAGCCTGGCCAACATGGTGAAACCCCGTCTCTACTAAAAATACAAAAATCAGCTGGGCGCGGTAGTGCACGCCTGTAATCCCAGGAAGCTGAGGCAGGAGAATCGCTTGAACCCGGGAGGCAGAGGTTTCAGTGACCTTAGACTGTGCCACTGCATTCCAGCCTGGGCGACAGAGTGAGACTCTGTCTCAAAAAAAAAAAAAAAAGGTTAGTGGCTTTTGTGTCCTTGGTTAGCAAGGTCTTCTCTACTTTGAGATTATAAAGTAATTTTCTGCATGTTTTCTTCTAGAGTTTTTATTTTTACATTAAAATTGTTATTGGCCAGCTGCGTAAGGCACCTGGTGGTGCTCTAGGCACTGGGTTAGCGTCCCTTATGCCGAGCTCTAAACCTTCAGAATGCCCTTGCCGCCCCTGGCTGAGTTCACAGTGGCTGAAGCTGTTCCCATAAGACCCTGAATCTAGCAGCCACTGTGTACTATACCTGGAGCAGTCCAACTGGGTGGACTGTGCTCAGCATCCGAACATCTAGACAGGCAAAGCCATTCCCAGTGGTGGCCCAAACCAGCAAACATTGTGTAACAATTTTTTTGCAATCAATTTTTCTTTTCTTGTTTTTTGAGATGGAGTCTTACTTTGTCGTCACCCAGGCTGGAGTGCAGTAGTGGGAACTTGGGTCACTGCATCCTCTGCCTCCCAGGCTCAAACAGTCCTCCCACCTCAGCCTGTATTCTATTTCTGTAGCTGAGAATATAGGTTTCTTCCAGCACACCTGGCTAATTTTTTATTTTATTTTTTATTTTTAGTAGAGATAGGGTTTTGCCATGTTGCCCAGGCTCGTCTCGAACTGGGCTCAAGTGATTTGCTTGCCCCAGCCTCTCACAGTCTGAGATTACAGGTGTGAGCCATCATGCCCAGCCTGCAGTTTTTCTTATTAAAACTTAATGGGGGCCGGGGGCAGTGGCTCACTCCTGTAATCCCAGCACTTTGGGAGGCCTAGGCGGGCGGATCACCTGAGGTTGGGAGTTCAAGACCAGCCTGGCCAACATGGTGAAACCCCGTCTCTACTAAAATACAAAAGTTAGCCAGGTGTGGTGGTGCATGCCTGTAATCCCAGCTACTTGGGAGGCTGAGGCAGGAGAATTGCTTGAGCCCTGGAGGCAGGGGTTACAGTGAGCCGAGATCGTACCACTGCATTCCAGCCTGGGCAACAGAGTGAGACTCTGTCTCCAAAACAAAAAACAATAAAACAAACTAATGGGGCTAGGCATGATGTTATATTCTTGTAGTCTCTGAAACTTGGGAGACTGAGAAGGGAGAATTGCCTGAGCCCATGGTTCAAGGCCAGCCTGGGCTGTGTAGTGAGACCCATCGCTGCAAAAAAAAAATTGTTTAAATAAAATTAGCCAGCATGGTAGCACATGCCTCTACTCCCAGCTATTCAGTAGGCTGAAATGGGATCGCTTGAGCCCAGGAGGTCGAGGCTGCAGTGAATCATAATCGCCTTTCTGCACTCCAGCCTGGGCAACAGAGCAAGACCCTGTGTCAAAAAATAAATAAATAAATGAAACGGCCAATATAGAATAAAGGTGCTAAAAAAGGCATAGGAGGGAATCTTCATGACTTTGGGGTAGGCAAAAAATTCTTAAACAGGGACACAAACCACTAACCATAAAGAAGTGACAAATTATGTGACATTAAAATTAAGAACCTTTATAAGGCACCATTAAGAGGGTGTAAAGGGCTGTGCATGGTGGCTCATGCCTGTAATCCCAACACTTCAGGAGGCCGAGGCAGAAGGATCGCTTTAGCCCAGGAGTTTGAGATCAGACTGAGCAAAATAGTGGGACCCTGTCTGAACAAACAATTTAAAAATTAGCCGGGTGTCAGGGCATGCGCCTGTAGTCCCAGCTACTCTGGAAGCTGAGGTGGGAAGATCACTTGAGCCTGAGAAGCCAAGGCTATAGTGAGCCGTGATTCTGCCACTGTACTCCAGCCTGGGCAGCAGAGCAAGACTCTATCTCAAAAAGGGTGTAAAGATACCACAGACTAGAAGATGTGTGTGATGTG
Source organism: Homo sapiens (assembly GCF_000001405.40). Lineage (NCBI taxonomy): Eukaryota > Metazoa > Chordata > Mammalia > Primates > Hominidae > Homo > Homo sapiens. The sequence continues at coordinate 3,626,146 of NC_000016.10, forward strand.
CACGGGACTAGTATCATATGCACAATGACAAAGGATTAATATCTAAAGAAATCCTAAAAAAAAAAAAATAGAAAAACAGGCAAGAGACTTGAGTGGCCAACAGGTATATGAAGAAGTGTTCAACTTATTTAGTCAAAGAAAATGCAAATTAAACCACAGTGAGTGATCACTAAACTCAGCAGCATGAACAAAATGAAGATAACTGCTAGACAATAGCTAGTGTGGTAAGGACTTCCTGTTTGAGCCATGGTTATTTAGAAGTATGTTGCTTAATATCAAGTGTTTGGAGAGTTCCCTCATTTTTCTGTTACTGGTTTCTAGTTTAATTCCATTATGGTCAGAGATCATACTTTATATGATTTCAATTTTTAAAAATTTGTTTTGTGACTTTTATGGCTTAGAATATAGTCCATCTTGAGTGCTCCAAGCTTGAACACTTGAAAACACTATATATTTCTCTGTTGTTAGGTGGAGTGTCCTCTAGATGTCAGTTAGATCCAGTTGGTTGATGATGGTGTTCAGGTTGCTGATTTTCTGTCTACTGGTTCTATGTATTGAGAAGTGTTGAAGTCTCCAGCTCTGATAGTGGATTTGTCTGTTCTTCATTTGTCAGTTTTTGTTTCATTTATTTTGAATCTCTTTTGTTAGATGCGTATGCACTTAGGATTATGCTGTCTTGATGAATTGACCTTTTTTATCATTATGTAATAGCCCTCTTTTATTTATTTTATTTTATGTTTTTTAGAGACAGGGTCTTGCTATGTCACCCAGGCTGGAGCACGGTGATGTGATCAAAACTCACTGCAGCTTTGAACTCCTGAGCTCCAGTGATTCTCCTGCCTCCGTCTTCTGAGGAGCTGGGACCACAGGCACATGCCACCATGCTTATTTAAATTTTTTTTTTTTTTTTGGTAGAGACAGGGTCTCCCTATGTTGCCCATGCTGGTCTGAAACTCCTAGCCTCAAGTGATCCTCCCATGTTGGCCAAGTGCTGAGACTACAGGCGTGAGCCACTGCACCCAGCCCTCTTTATCACTGGTAATTTTCTTTGCTATGAAGTCTACTTTGCTTGTTTGACATTAATATAGCCAGTCCAGCTGTCTTTTGATTAGTGTTTGCATGACATATCCTTTTTTTTTTTTTTTTAGACAGGGTGGTCTTGCTCTGTCACCCTGGCTGGAGTGCAGTGGCATGATCACGGCTCACTGCAGCATTGAACTCTAGCTCAAGCCATCCTCCCACCTAAGCCTCCCGAGTATGGGACTATGGGTGTGTGCCACCATGGCTGGGTAATTTTATTTTTTATTTTTTTATAGAGACAAGGCCTCACTATGTTGCTCAGGCCCGTCTGGAACTCCTGGGCTCAAGTGATCCTTCCACCTCAGTCTCCCAAAGTGTTACATGAGCCAGTGCACCTGGCTTGTCTGTGTTTTCTTTTGTTTCCTATGACTTTGATATGATATCCATGTTCTTTTGCATGTGGATATCCAGTTTTCTCAGCAACATTTATTAAAAAGACTATCTTTTCCCCGTTGAATGGTCTTGGCATCCTTGTCAAAATCATTTGACCATATATGCCAGGATTTATTTCTGGGCTGTCAACTCTATTCCAATAGTCTGTATGTCTGTCTTCCTGCCAGTACCACATTGTTGTGATTACTGCAGTTTGTTAGTAAGTTTTGAAATCAGGAAGTGTGAATCCTGAATCTGTTTTTCTTTTTCAACATGGTGTTGGCTATCTGGGGTCCGTGGAGATTCCATATGAATTTCAGCATGTATTTTCTATTTCTGCAAAAAAAAAAAAAAAAAAAAAAAAGTCATTGGGATTTTGCTTCAGTTTACATATGAATCAGTAGCTCACTTTTGGGAGTATTGACATCTTAACAATATTAAGATATCTTGTCTTAACAATATCGTCCAACCCATGAAAGTGTGATGTTTTTCCTTACTTATATCTTCATTAATTTCTTTCAGCGATGTTTTGTAGTTTTCATTGTATGAATCTTTTACCTCCTTGGTTAAAAGTCCTAGGTATTTTATTCTTTTTAATGCTATTGTAAGTGGAATTGTTTTTATAATTTCCTTTTCAAATTGTTCAGTGTTAGTATATAGAAATGCAAATGATTTTTGTGTGCTGACTTTGTATCCTGCTGCTTTGCTGATTCTGTTATTGTAATTATTTTTTGTGTGTAATGTTTAGGCCTAGTTTTTTACATATCATATTAAATCTGTGAATTAATTTTACTTTTTTCTTTCCAATTTGGATATATATTTTTTTCTTAATTGCTATGGCTAGAACTTCCAGTACTAGGTTAAATAGTAGTGGTAAAGGTGAATGTTCTCATCTTAGAAGAAAATTTTTTAGTCATTCACTATTGAGTATGATGTTCATTCAATGTGCATTTCTGTTTTTTTCTTTCTTTTTTTTTTGAGATGGAATCTCGCTGTGTCGCCCAGGCTGGAGTGCAGTGGCGCAATCTCGGCTCATTGCAAACCTCCGCCTCCCGGGTTCACGCCATTCTTCTGCCTCAGGCTCCCGAATAGCTGGGACTATAGGCGCCCGCCACCACGCCCGGCTAATTTTTTTGTATTTTTAGTAGAGACGGGGTTTCACCGTGTTAGCCAGGATGGTCTCGATCTCCTGACCTCGTGATCCGCCCGCCTCAGCTTCCCAAAGTGCTGGGATTACAGGCGTGAGCCACCGTGCCTGGCTCTGTTTTTTTTTTTTTCTTTAAAAACTTTTAGGCTGGGCGCAGTGGCTCACGCCGGTAATCCCAGCACTTTGGGAAGCCGAGGCGGGCGGATCACTTGAGGTCAGGAGTTTGAGACTAGCCTGGCCAACATAGTGAAACCCTGTCTCTACTAAAAATACAAACATTTGCCGGGTGTGATGGTGGGCGCCTGTAATCCCAGCTACTTGGGAAGCTGAGGCAGAAGAATTGCTTAAACCCTGGAGGCGGAGGTTGCAGTGAGCCGAGATTGCGCCACTGCACTCCAGCCTGGGCGACAGAGCAAGACTAAGTCTCAAAAAAAAAAAAAAAAAAAAAAATTGTAATAAGCTTTCTCGGGTTTAACAATGTAGGTTTTTCAAATATGGCTTTATGTTGAGATATTTCCCTTGTACGTTTAGTTTGTTGAATGTTTTCATTTTGAGAGGGTGTTACATTTTGTCACATGCCTTTGCTGCAGCAATTGAGATGATGTGATATGTTTCCCATTATTCCATTAATGTGGTATGTTACATTGAATTTTGTAGGTTGGACCATCCATGCATTTCAGGAGTAAATCCCACTTGTTTGTGGTGTATAATCCTTCTAAAATGCTACTGAATTCAGTTTGCTAGTATTTGTAGAGGATTTTTGCATCATTGTGCATAAGGGATATTAGTCTGTGGTTTTATTTTATTGAATGCCTGGTTCTGATATGAGGGTAATACTGGCCTGTTAGAATGATTTAGGAAGTATTTCTTACTCTCCACTTTTTTGGAAAAGTTTTGAGAAGGGTTGGTACTACTAGTTGTTGTTTAAATGTTTGGTAGAATTAATCAGTGAAGCCTTCAGGTCCAGGACTTTTCTTAGGAGATTTTTGATTACTGATTAAATCTGCTTACTAGTTACAGGTCTCTTCAGCTTTTCTGTTTGTGATTTAGTCTTGGTAGGGGTTTTTTAATTTGTTTTTTTGTTTTTAAAACAGAGTCTTGCTCTGTTATCCAGGCTGGAGTGTAGTGGCACAATCTTGGCTCACTGCAACCTCTGCTTCCTGGGTTCAAGCGATTCTCCTGCTTCAGCCTCCCAAGTAGCTGGGGCTACAGGCACCCGCCACCATGCGCGGCTAATTTTTGTATTTTTATTTTAGTGGAGATGAGATTTTACCATGTTGGCCAGACTGGTCTCAAAATCCTAACCGCAGGTGATCTGCCCACCTCGGCCTCCCAAAGTGCTGGCTTGCAGGCGTGAGCCACCACGCCCAGCCCTTGTTTGTTTTTTGTTGTGTGTGTGTGTGTGTGTGTTTGTTGTTGTTTTGTTTTTTGTTGTTTTTGTTGTTGTTGTTTTTGAGACGGGGTCTCACTTTGTTACCCAGACTGGAGTGCAGTTGCGTGATCACAGCTCGCTGCAGCCTCGACCTCCCAGGCTCAAAACGATCTTCCCACCTTGGCGCCCCAAGTAGCTGGGACCACAGGCACACGCCACCACACCTGGCTAATTTTTGTACTTTTTTGTAGAGACAGGTTTTCTCCATGTTGCCCAGGTTGGCCTTGAACTCCAAAGCTCAGACATCTGCCCACCTCAGTCTCCCAAAGTCTGGGATTACGGGCATGAGCCACTGTTTCTGGCTATTTCTCCCTTCAATTCTGTCAGTTTTGCTTTATATATTTTGATGGTCTGTTATTAGTTGTAATCTGTTTATAATTTTATCTTCTTGCTGTATTGAACCTTTATATAATGTCCTTTTTTAATCTTTTTTTTAAATTTAAAGTCTCTTTTGTCTTATAGTAATAGAGCCCTGCTCTCTTTTGGTTAGTGTTTGCATGGAATATGTTTTTCCATCCTTTGACTTTCAATCTAGTTGTGTCTTTGGATCTAAAGTGATTCTTTTTTGTAGTCCCAGTTACTTGGGAGGATGAGGCAGGAGGATTGCTTAAGCCCAGGAGTTCAAATCTAGCCTGAGCAACATAGAGAGACCCTGTCTCTCTAAAAATAAAAGTAAAAATAAAAAAGTAAGTTTCTTATAGATGGCATATAATTGGGTAATGTAGTTTTTTTCCACGTTGCCAATCTCTGTCTTCTGATTGGAGAGTTTAATCAATTTACACTTAGTTACTGATCAGGAAAGACTTATGTCATTTTGCTGTTTCTTTTCTATATACCTTATAGGATTTTATTTATTTATTTTTTTAGAGATGGAGTTTTGCTGTCACCCAGGCTGGAGTGCAGTGGTGCAATCTTGGCTCACTGCAACCTCCGCCTCCTGAGTTCAAGCGATTCTCCTGCCTCAGCTTCCCAAGTAGCTGGGACTACAGGCGCATGCCATCACACCCAGCTAATTTTTTGGGTTTTTTTGTTGGTTTTGTTTTTGAGACAGAGTCTTGGTCTGTTGCCCAGACTGGAGTGCAGTGGCAATCTTGACTCACTGCAACCAACCTCTGCCTCCCAGATTCAAGGAATTTTCCTGCCTCAGCCTCCCTAGTAGCTGGGACTACAAGTGCCCCCCACCACACCCAGCTAATTTTTGTATTTTTAGTAGAGAAAGGGTTTCACCATATTGGTCAGGCTGGTCTCGAACTACTAACCTCAGGTGATCCACCTGCCTCGGCCTCCCAAAGTGCTGAGATTACAGGTGTGAGCCACTGTGCCCAGCCACCTTATAGGTTTTTTTGTTTTGTTTTGTTTTTAAATTGAGACGGAGTCTCGCTCTGTTGCCCAGGCTGGAGTGCAGTGGCATGATCTCAGGTCACTGCAACCTCTACCTCCCAGGTTCAAGGGATCGTCCTGCCTCAGCCCCCTAGTAGTGGGATTATAAGCACGCACTACCATGCCCGGCTAATTTTTGTGTTTTTAGTAGAGATGGGGTTTTGCCGTGTTGGGCAGGCTGGTCTTGAACTCCTGACCTCAGGTGATCCACCCACCTCGGCCTCCCAAAGTGCTGAGATTACAGGCATGAGCCACTGTACCCGGCCATGGATTTTAAAATCTCTAATTACCTGCATTATTGTCTTCTTTTGTGTTTAGCTGGAGTTTTGTAGGTTTTCTTTTTTCTTTTTGTAGTAACATGTTTAACTATTTTCTCATTTTATTTTGTGTAACATTGTAATTTGAATTTATAGCAGCGTAATTTCAGTAACATGCAAAAATTCTGCTTCTTTATAGCTTCATCTCCACCCCTTTCAGTTGTCACAAAATTACATTATTATATACTGTGTGTCCCAAAACATAAACTCATAATTGTTTAAATGCATTAGTCTGCTAAGGCGTGTTTTATGGACCCGAATGTGATCTATCTTGGTGAATGTTCCATGTGAGCTTTAGAGGAATGTGTATCCTGCTGCTGTTGGATGAAGTGCTCTATAGATGTCAATTCTGTCTGGTTGCTTGATGGTGCTGTTGAGTTCATTATGTCCTTACTGATTTTCTGCCTGCTGGATCTGTCCACTTTGATAGATTGATGTTGAAGTTTCCAACTATAATAGTGAATTCATCTGCTTTTCCTTGCAGTTCTTAGTTTTTGCTTTGAGGATTTTGATGCTCTGTTGTTAGGCGTATACACATAAGGTTTGTTACCTCATCTTAGAGAAATACTCCTTTATAATTTTGTAATGTCCTTTTTCTATCCCTGATAATTTTCCTTGCTCTGAAGTCTGCTCTGCCTGAAATTAGTATAGCCACTGGGACTTTCTTTTTGATTCCTGCTATGTCTTTTTCCATCTCTTTAATTTTTTCTCTCTTTTTTTTTTTTTTAAAGACGAGAGTTTCACTCTTGTTGCCCAGGCTGGAGTGCAGTAGCTTGATCTCAGCTCCCTGCAACCTCCAACTCCTGGGTTCAAGCAATTCTCCTGCCTCAGCCTCCTAAGTAGCTGAGATTACAGGCATCTGCCACCATGCCTGGGTAATTTTTGTATTTTTAGTAAAGACGGGGTTTTACCATGTTGTCCAGGCTGGTCTTGAAATCCTGACCTCAGGTGATCCGCCCGCCTCAGACTCCCAAAGTGCTGGTATTACAGGAGTGAGCAACTGTGCCCAGCCTCATCTCTTTAATTGTAATCTACCTATGTTTTTATATTTAAAGTGAGTTTCCTGGGTCTTCTTTTAACATTTTTTGCAAGGTGGATTTACTGATGACAAATTCCCTTAATTTTTGTTCTTCTGAGAAAGTCTTTATTTCTGTTCATTTTTGACCCAACACATGCTTGGGTCTTATTTTTGAATATATTCTGACATTCTCTATTACTTATTTGATGTATTTAGAACATTGACATTTAAAGTGATTATTGGTACAGTTAGATTAATATCTGCCATATTTATTACTGTTTTCTGTTGCTTTTATTCTTCCCTTTTCTTTTTATTTTGGTCTTCCACTCTTTTTCTGCTTTCTCTGGCTTTAATTGAACATTTTATATGATTACATTTTTTCCTCTCTTAGCATGCCAATTATGCTTCTTATTATATACTTTTAAAAAGTCTTGGCTGGGCGCAGTGGCCCATGCCTGTAATCCCAGCACTTTGGGAGGCCAAGGTGGGTGGATCACCTGAGGTCAGGAGTTTGAGACCAGCCTTGCTAACATGGTGAAACCCCATCTCTACTAAAAATACAAAAAATTAGCCGGGCGTGGTGGTGGACGCCTGTAATCCCAGCTACTCGGGAGGCTGAGGCAGGAGAATGGCTTGAACCCGAGAGGTGGAGGTTGCAGTGAGCCGAGATGGCGCCATTGCACTCTAGCCTGGTTGACAAGAGCGAGACTCCATCTCAAGAGAAAAAAAAAAAAAAAAGTCTTTGCCCTTGAGTTTGGTATTTACAGTTACAACTAATCCAATTCCACTTTCACCTGATGCTATACCACTTCATGGGTTGTACAAGTTCCCTCTAACAGAGTATTCTCAGTTCATCCTTACTGTCCCTTATGATATTGCTGTCATTAATTTCACTTATTCAAAAGCGAAATTATTATTTTTATTATTATTTTTTTAAGACCGAGTCTCGCTCTGTCGCCCAGGCTGAAGTGCGGTGGCTCGATCTCGGCTCACTGCAAGCTCTGGATTCCGGATTCACACCATTCTCCTACCTCAGCCTCCCAAGTAGCTGGGGCTACAGGTGCCCACCACCACGCCTGGCTAAGTTTTTTTGTATTTTTAGTAGAGGCGGGGTTTCACCATGTTGGCCAGGATGGTCTCGATCTCCTGACCTCGTGATCCGCCCGTCTCGGCCTCCCAAAGTGCTGGGATTACAGGCGTGAACCACCGCACCTGGCCATAAGTGAAATTATTGACAGCAATATCATAAGGGACAGTAAGGATGATTATTGACCCAATCATTGAATACATTGTTGCGGGTTTGTTTTTGTTTTTGTTGTCGAGACAGGGTTTTTTTGTTTGTTTGTTTGTTTTTTGAGACAGAGTTTCGCTCTGTCACCCAGGCTGGAGTGCAGTGGCGCAATCTGGGCTCACTGGAAGCTCCACCTCCCAGGTTTGCACCATTCTCCTGCCTCAGCCTCCTGAGTAGCTGGGACTACAGGTGCCCGCCACCATGCCCGGCTCATTTTTTGTAGTTTTAGTAGAGATGGGGTTTCACTGTATTAGCCAGGCTGGTCTCGAACTCCTGACCTCGTGATCTGCCCACCTCGGCCTCCCAAAGTGCTGGGATTACAGGCATGAGCCACTGTGCCTGGCCGAGACAGGGTCTTGGTCTGTCGTCCAGGCTGGAATATAGTGGTGCGATCATAGCACACCACACCCTTGAACTCCAGGGCTCAAATGATCCTCCTGCTTCAGCCCCTCAAGTAGCTGAGACGACAGGTGTGCACCACCATGCCTAGATAATTTTTTTTTTTAATTTCTAGTAGAGACAGGGTCTCGCTATGTTGCCCAGGCTGATCTTGAACTCCTGGTCTTAAGAAGTCCTCCCGCCTCAGCCTCCCAAAGTGTTGGGATTAACAGGTGTGAGCCATTGTACCCAGCTTTTAAAAATATTAATAATAGAGTCAGAGTGTTACTATGTGGCCCAGGCTAGAGTGCAGTGGCTATTCACAAGTGCAATCCCATGACTGATCAGTACAGGAGTTTTGACCTGCTTCATTTCTGACCTGGGCTTATTCACCCCTCCTTAGGCAACCTGGTGGTCCTTAAGGAGGGGAGGTCACCATTTTGATGCCAAACTTAGTGCAGACACTCAGTCCAAATAGCCCAGAACTCCTGGACTAAAGCTATCCTGCCTCAGCCTCTTGAGTAACTGGGTCTAGAGGCATGCACCACCATGCCTAGCTGTTGCTGTTATTACCTTGAACAAACTGTTAAAAATAAGTTAAAAATAAGAAAAGTAGACCGGGCGTGGTGGCTTTTGCCTGTAATCCCAGCACTTTGGGAGGCTGAGGCAGATGGATCGCTTGAGGTCAGGAGTTCAAGACCAGCCTGGCCAACATGGTGAAACCCCATCTCTACTAAAAATAAAAAAATTAGCTGTGCGTGGTGGCGTGTGCCTATAATCCCAGCTACTCAGGAGGCTGAGGCAGGAGAATTGCTTGAACCTGGGAGGCAGAGGTTGCAGTGAGCCAAGATCGCACCATTGCACCCCAGCCTGGGTGACAGAGCCAGACTCTGTCTCAAAAAAAAAAAAAAAAAAAAAAAGTAAGAAAAGTAAAATATTTTGCCTTCACTTATTTATTCTCTAATGCTCTTCCTTTATAGGTCTTTATTTCTGACCTGTATTATTTTCCTTCTTTCTCAAACACTTCTTAATATTTTTTGCAAGGCAGGTCTACTGATGACAGATTCTGTTAATTTTTATTCTTCTGAGAAAGTCTCTTCTCTTTTGAAGGGTAATTTTACTGGATACAGATTTTTAGGTTAATAGGGTTTTTTTTTTTTCCTTACAACACTATAAATATTCCCTCTACTGTTTTCCCTTGAATAATTTCTCAAAGAAGTGTGATGTAATTCTTATCCTTACTCCTTTATAGGAAAGGAATTTATTTCCCTGTGGCTTCTCTCAAGATTTTCTCTTTGTCTTTGATTTTCTGTAGTTTATTGTATGCTTACATGTAGTTTTGTTCTGTTTTTGTTTTTTGCTATTTATCCTACCTGGTATTCTGTGAGCTCCCCAGAACTGTGTTTGGCATCTGTCATCAGTTTTGGAAAATTCTCAGTTCATTATTGTTTCAGATACTTTTTCTGCTCATTTCTGCCTGTCATCATCTTCTGGATTCCCATTATGCATATTTATGCCTTTCTAATTGTCCCACAGTTCTTGGATATTCTGTTCCATCTTGTTCATTCTTTTCTCTCTGAGTTTCAGTTTGGGAAGTTGCTACTGACATTTTTTTTCAAGCTCATTGATTCTTTCCTTTGACTGTATCTAATCGATGAATCCATCAAAGGCATTCTTCACTTTTCTTAGTTTTTTTTGTTTCTAGCATTTCCTTTTGATTCTTTGAGTCTTTATCTCTGCTGAAATTACCCATCTGTTTTAGCATATCATCTACTTTTTCCATTAGAGCCCTTAGCATATTAATCATAGTTGTTTTAAATCAGAGTTGTTAGCTGTGATAATTCTAACATCTCTGCTATTTCTGAGTCTGGGTTTGATGCTTGCTATATCTCTTCAAAGTCTGCTTTTTAATCGTAGTATGCCTTGTAATTTTTTTGTTGAAAACCGGACTTGATGTACTTGTTAAAAGGAACTGAGGAGGCCGGGCATGGTGGCTCACGCCTGTAATCCCAACACTTTGGGAGGCTGAGCGGGGAGGATCGCTTGAGCCCAGGAGTTCAAGACCAGCCTGGGCAACGTAGAGACCCCGTCTCTACTAAAAATAGAAAAACTAACTGGGCATGGTGGCACACGCCCGTAATCCCAGCTACTCAGGAGGCTGAGGCACGAGAATTGCTTGAACCCGGGAGGTGCAGGTTGCAGTGAGCCAAGATCATGCCACAGTACTCCAGCCTGGGCAACAGAGTGAGACTCTGTCTGGGGAAAAAAAGAAAAAAAAACAGGCCAGGCACAGTGGCTCATGCCTGTAATCCCAGCACTTCGGGAGGCCAACGCAGGCTGATCACTTGAGGTCAGGAGTTCGAGACCAGCCTGATCAACATGGCGAAAGCCTGTCTCTACTAAAAATACAAAAGTTAGCTGGGCATGGTGGCAGGCGCCTGTAATCCCAGCTACTTGGGAGGCTGAGGCAGGAGAATCGCTTGAACCCAGGAGGCAGAGGTTGCAGTCAGTAGAGATTGAGCCAGTGCACTCCTGCCTGGGTGACAGAATGAGACTCCATCTCAAAAAAAAAAGAAAAGAAAAGGAAGTAACTGAGGAAAATCAGCCTTTGGTGTGAGTTTTTTAGTTTATCTGGCTAGGCGTTAGGCTCTGTCTGCTGTTTGCTGTAACTATAGGTGTCAGAACTAAAATTTCCTCCTGGGTCTGTTTTTCCTTCCTTGGGTTTCCGTAGAGACTTCTTAAATAAAGTCTGAGATATGCAGGTTTTTCCGTTCTATTCTCTTGTTATTATATAGGAGCCCTATTTATGTGGTGGGAAGGAGGGGAAGTGTCCTAAGTCCTGTGACTAGGTCTCAGTCTTTTTGTGAGCCTGTGCCCCTGGCCTGTGACTTTTACCAGCACTTCTCAGTTTGGGGTTTTTGCCTCCTTAGGTGAAACAGGAAGGGAGAGGGGGCTGGAGTTAGGCCCTTTCTTTCCTGCCTGTGGAAGGCTTAGGGGTGCTTAAGTTGGGTCAACCTTTCCCTTAGGCTGATGAGGATCTTATAAAACCTAATTAAGTTAGGCTCTTGTAAAATAGTTTCCTTTGAGGACAGGCCTTGTTAAGAACAGGAAGCTCTAGACATAGTCCACATGGCTGCTTTCCCCCTCCCCCGCCAGAAGTATGAGAGGATCTTTCTCTGATCTTGACTGTGAGAGTCTGGTAGGGCTCATGGAGGTAAAGTCCACATTGAGTCTCCAGCAGTTCATGAATTGCTGTGTAAATTTTCCTACCCTCGTTTCCACTCCTGGGCTCCTGCTCAGGTAAGCTCCAGTTCACCCTGTTGACATGTCTCCTGTGTCGGGGGCAGTCATTTGCCCTGTAACTTCAGTTCTCTGATGCAGCTAAAAGGGGTTGTTTGCCAGTTCAGTGTTGTTTCTTGTAAGGATGGTAGTGACAACTTCTAAGCTCCTGACATGCCTCACTGAAGAATGAAAGTCCTTTGCCTTCATTTTTTAATGATATTTTTGGTAGATAAAAATAATTCCAGTTGACCAGTTTTTGTGAGTGTGTGTGTGTGTGTGTGTGTGTGTGTGTGTGTGTTTTTCCCAGTACTTTAAAGATGTTACTTCTTTGTCTTTCCGCTTACAGCAGAAGTATCATGTCATTCTTACCTATATTTATCAGTACATAATATGCTTTTTAGCTTAACTGCTTTTAAGACTTTTTAATTTAACACTGGTTTTCTACAACTTGATTATGATGTGTCTTGGTGCAGTCTTCTTCAGGTTTATTTTGTTTGGGTTTTTCTTTTTTTTGAGGCGGAGTCTCGCTCCATTGCCCAGGCTGGAGTACAGTGGCGCAATCTTGGCTCACTGCAAGCTCCGCCTCCAGGGTTCACGCCATTCTCCTGCCTCAGCCTCCCGAGTAGCTGGGACTACAGGCGCCCGCCACCACACTCAGCTAATTTTTTGTATTTTTTAGTAGAGACGGTGTTTCACCGTGTTAGCCAGGATGGTCTTGTTCTCCTGACCTCGTGATCCGCCTGCCTCGGCCTCCCAAAGTGCTGGGATTACAGGCGTGAGCCACCACGCCCGGCCTCTGTTTGGGTTTTATTGACTTTCTTGGATGTGTGAATTGACAGTTTTCATCATATTTGGGAAATTTTGCTTATTTCTTCAAATATTTCTGTCTCCTCTTTGTTTTTCTTCTAGGACTTCCAATTATGTGCACATTAGACAGCTTGATAGTGTCCAATAATTTTTTCTCTCTGCCTTATTTGAGTAGTTTCAATTGCTATGTCTTCAAATTCATGGATCTTTTCTCTTTCAGTGTTTATTTGGTGTTAATCCCATCCAGTGCATCTTTTCATTTCAGGTTTTGTTTTTACTGTCTCTGGAAGTTCCATTTGGATCTTTCTATATCTTCCGTGTTCTCATCATGCTCATGTTTCCCTTTACCTTCTTAAATATATGCCGAACTATTGTCCTTGTCTGCTAGTTCCTTTATCTCTGTCGTTTCTAGGTCAGTTTCTATTGACTGTGTATGGTTATAGGTCATATTTTCCTCTCTTTCTTGCATGTCTGTTATAGCAGTTATCAGTTTATTGCGTCTCAACTCTAAATCCACCCTTCATTGCCACTTGTGATACTGGAACATTTCTCCCTTGCCCCATGCTGGTCTTTGTCAGTGGAAAGCGTTGAGAGGAAAGGGCATTTCTTGGTTCTTTGTGCTTTGCTTACAGCTGTCTGTGACATGAGCTGGTATGTGGGACATATAGGGTGCTCAGGCAGCTTTCAGGCAGGTCCCATAGCACCCCAGCTAGCCGCCTGGCAGCTTTCTGGTGAGTTCAACAGCACCCCCACACCAACCCCCCGGCTTTCCAGCACTCCTCAAGCAGCCTTCCAGCTCACTGTGTTAGCGTCCTCGCACGTGGTTCTTGGCCCTCAGTTCTGTCCTGGGACAGCCCAGTCGACGTCATCATCTAGTGCGTGCTTTTGATCACACCCTCTCCTAGGTCTGAATCCTTCCCTTAGTTACCTCCCTTTACTCTAGGATGTTCTGTGGATTTCTCTTTTGTTCCCTCTTAGTCAACTCCCTGTAAATAGTTAATAATTCTTATGCTAAACTTCCCTTGTTTAAGCTACCATGTGGTTTCTGTCCCCTGGTGGGACCCTGACTGATAGGCCCGGTTATTTTTTAAATTGGATGCTGAATATTGTGAATTTCAAATTGTTGGCCAGGCCCGGTGTGGTGGCTCATGCCTGTAATCCCAGCACTTTGGGAGGCTGAGGCAGGTGGATCATTTGAGCTCAGGAGTTCAAGACCAGCCTGGGCAACATAGTGAGACCCTGTCTCTGCAAAAAATGAAATAAATTATTGGCTGGTGAATTTTGTTGAATTCCTTTGAATAATGTTGGGTTTGGGTCTGGAATGCAGTTAAGTCCCTTGGAAGCAGCGATCCTTTAGAGACTTCTGAACTTTTCAGTGGGTCCAGTGCTGCTTTAGTCTGCAGTTGACTTAGCTCTATTACTAAGGGTGATGGCCTTCTGCGGAGTCTACCCAATACCCCACGAATTAGGAGATCTCTCCACGGTGGCTTGTGGGAACACAAAATATTCCCTGTGTGAACTCTGGGGATTGTTTTGTTTGCTACTTCCTCAGGAGTCTTTCCTGGGCCTTCTCATATAGTTTTTCTCACCCAGGCACAGATCTGTTTTCAGCTAAAGACTCCAGGAGACCCTCTGCAGATCCTGGCTCTGCCTCTGCAGCTGCCTCCTCCCCAGGACTCTGCCCTGCAAATAGCAGCAGCCTTGGCCTCCCTGAGCTCTGAACTCTGTCTTCCCAACTCAGAAAGACTGCAGGTTCCGGCTGAGTTTCCCTGCCTGCGCTGCAGCCTGGAACCCGCCTCCTGGCTGTAATTGGTGCAGTCATAGGATGTGCTCTCTTGTCTCCCTTATCTTGGAATCACTGTCCTGCACTGTTTTCCACCAACTGAAGGCAAAAGTATGTTGTCCAGTTTTCCAGGTGTTCAGGGTTCCCTGTTGCTGCATCCTACATGAGTATATAAACAGAGAACAAACAAAACAGCCTGTCAGGAGTTTGCTGAAGTTTCAGAATAGGTGGTGCTGGGTGAGCTGATGGGCATGAGTAACACTCCCCTTTTCCTTCTTTTAGTGACCACAATATGAATGGGAACAGCAAGATGGCAAAAGCTTGCTGAGTGGTACAGCGCCAGCCTGGGTAGTGGCCTCCCCAGCAAGTTGCATGTCACTAGCTTCCTGTGGCTGTCACTCCTGGGCCCAGGCACCTCCGAAGATCAGCACCTCCTCATGGGCTCAAGCGAGGACAGGAGCCCGTCACCCATGAGCTCTCAAGGGCAGAGCCACTGTCCTGTCTCGATGGCTCCACCGTGACTCCAGTGGACTTTGGACAGTGGGGAGCAGGCCCAACAGGGCCACTCGGATGTGGTCACTCTGGATTTGGGTGGATCAGCACCAAGCTAGACTCATCCCCAGCCCCCAGGTGCTGTTGCTGCTCCTGCGTGAGGCCCCATCCACAGCTGCAGCTGTGGCAGGGTGGCTAGTGGTGGCCAGCATGGCCCTGCTGCAGCTCCACGCTGTGGGGGGCGTGGCCCTGACCAGCAGCCACCCCTCCATGTGGGCCACAGGGGAGGAGCTTAGGAAGCCGCCTTGGCAAGGTGAGTGGACGCATTTACGTAGTGAGAGGTGAGAACCAGTGCCGCTCCCCAGAGCCCTGCGATTCCTGGGGAGGCTGAGGCTTGTAGACGCCTTGCCTGCTCTCCTCCTGGGGTGCTTTCCTGTTCACAGGGCTGGGACCTTGGAGGGAGAATGGAGGCAGAGCCTCTGTCTGCCCCCGCTCAAGGGCCCAGCACAGGCAGGCCCTCTGGGGAGCCCCTCAGTGGCTGGTGGGGAGTCTGGGGCAGGGTGAGGGACAGCATCTTCCACCGACCACAGGCTTGGGCAGCATCTGTCCTGGAGGCCATCCCTGTGGGAAGGCCTCTTTTGTATGACTCCTTCCCTGTGAAATGGCTTCTCCATGTAGTTCAGCCCCACAGGTGCCCTCAGAAAACACGAAGTGCTTTCTGCACGTGTCGCGGCCCCCAGAGAAGAATTTGGTTACAGAGAAGGTGACAGCTCATGGCTTCCTGAGGGTGGGGCAGTGGGAGAAGTCCCCAGGGGAGCTTGGGGCCCATGGCCTCCCACACCCTGGGTGGGGCTGCCCACTGGGAGGCCCACATTGCCTCAGTGTCCTGCACCCTACAGTTCAGGGTGCCTGGGGGCTGGAAGGAGAGCAGGGGCCGGGGACCAGTGGCTCACAGGGACCTGGGGAGAACTGTGGAACCAGCCTTCCCAGCCGTCCCACCCAGGAAAGGAGTGGGCAGAGTTGGAAGAAATACAGCACTGCCTTGGCCTTGGCCTCAGACCCGAGGGTCTGGCTATAGCCATGGTGGTGGCTGTGTCGTGGGGGCTGCATCATGGCACTGGCAGTGGCCCCAGGACTGTGGACTAGTGCAGACTAGCACAGAGTTCCTGCTGGGCTCGGGGTGGGAGCCCCTCCTGGCCGTGGAGACAGGCCCACGTCAGCCCCTCAGGATCTGTTGCCCAACAGCTCTCAGCCTTTTGCTTGGGGCCTCTTTGCGTGGAATGGTTCTGAGTTCTCTGCTATCTGGCAGCATCATCTTCTGAGCACTGCTCTGACAGATGCCTTAGTCCACAGACTGCCATGCCCTCCCATTAGGAGCCATCCTTGGGCACTCCTGTGTCACCCGTAGTTACTCCACCATCCTGCCAGGCCATGGGATGTGGAGGCTGAAGAGTCCAAATGGGACAGAAGCCTGTCCCCTCCCTCCTTCCTCAGAGAGGCCTTGGTTGGGCTCACACTGAGTAGGGGCAACCAGCAGCCGGAGAGAGTGGAGCTCTTAAACTGTGGCTCCAGAGCAGAAGGCCCCCTCTGACACACCTTTCATCCAGCATGTTCTCCGTGAGCACCTGCCACGGCCCAGGCCCTGCTCTCGGTGCTGCCGGCTGAGCCCAGCTCTCGTGGGGCTCGCATCTAACAGGAGAGGGTAACTACAGTGTGAGTGAGATGTGATTCGTGGTGAGGAATAGAGGAATAGAGGAATGAGGATGCAGAGGTCTTCTGTCCTAGAGGATGCTTGGCTGGGCAGAGGGAAACGGCCTTGTGTCCCTGGGGGACTGTCATTGTCGGGCACATCTCTGGATGGGACATCTGTGGCTGGAAGCTGTCCTTGTGGCCGTGCTAGTTGGACCAGCCTGGCTGGTTATCAGTCCGTGTCCTCAGCCCCTCCCCTTTTCAATGACTCATTCCAGGTTCCGCAGGCTCTGCGTCTGGTGTGGAAGAGCTCACGGGGAAGCACTCCTGCCCAGGACCCGAGGAGCCGGCCACCGTTCAGAAGGCCCCAGCTTGAAGGCCTGGAGAGCCGCCCAGCAGCACAACACAGGGAAGCTTGGGGAGGTGAGCCCCACTTCCTGCTCCCGCACAGGCTCTTCTCCCTGGGGCACTGGCTGGGCGGGATGCTGAGAAGCTGGGCATGGGCGGCTGCTGAGAGGCAGAGGAGCCAGAGAGCTGCAGGAAATATCCTGGGGCTGGGAGACCAAGATAGGGGCTCAGGGCTGCCGAGGCGGCTGGACCTGAGGGGCCAAGACCCCTGAGCGAAGGAGCCAGAGAAGAGAGACGGACATTAGGCACTGGTCTCTCTAGCCATTTGCTGATGAAGCTGCTTAGGGCAGAGGAGCAGAAAGTGGCTGAAAAGCAGAGTGGGATTTTTGGCAGTTTCGTGGAGTTAGGGAATAGGTTGGGGCCTGTCAGGTGCAGGGCCCTAAGAAATATCCCAGGCTCTCATCTGGGACCAACCCTGCCTCGCCGGGACAAGCCACAGCTGGGCTGTTCTTTCCAAAGACTGCAGAGGAGCTTAGTGTGGGTGGAGTTCCTGATTCACTGTCTCACTGCTGCCCACCACGGAGCGGAGTGGGTGAGCTGTCCCTGTCGGGGGACATGTCCAGACCCTCCGCCCTTCTGTCACGCACAGTCCCTGACACTCAGTTGAAGGCAACCAGGTACACTGGGAAAGGGGACCAGGGGAAGAAAGGTGACAGACCCACAGGAGACTGAGATACGGTTTTTGGACATGGACTTTAGTATGTTAATCACATCTGTTTTATTTTTTTATTTTATTATTTTATTTATTTATTTATTTTGAGATGGAGTCTCGCTCTGTGGCCCAGGCTGGAGTGCAGTGGCGCGATCTCGGCTCACTGCAAGCTCTGCCATCCGGGTTCACGCCATTCTCCTGCCTCAGCCTCCCAGTAGCTGGGACTACAGGCGCCCGCCATCATGCCCGGCTAATTTTTTTGTATTTTTAGTAGAGATGGGGTTTCACCGTGTTAGCCAGGATGTGATTTGCCTGCCTCGGCCTCCCAAAGTGCTGGCATTATAGGCGTCAGCCACCGTGCCCGGCCAAGCACAGCTATTTTAAATAATAGAGATAAGATGATGGATTGTTTCATAGAATTGGAATTCATAAAAAATATAATGGAAGTTCTAAAACAGAAAAGCACAATAACTGAAATTTAAAATTCAGCCAGGTGCAGTAGCTCACACCTGTAATCCCAGCACTTTGGGAAGCTGAGGTGAAGAGTTTGAGACCAGCCTGGGCAACACAGCAAGACCTTGTCTCTACTAAAAATTTTTTAAAATTAGGCCGGGTGCAGTGGCTGACACCTGTAATCGCAGCACCTTGGGAGGCCAAGGCAGGCAGACCACTTGAGGTCAGGGGTCCAAGACCAGCCTGGCCAACATGGTAAAACCTTCTCTCTACTAAAAATACAAAAATTAGCCAGGTGTGGTGGCGGGTACCTGTAATCCCAGCTACTCAGGATGCTGAGGCAGGATAATCGCTTGAATCTGGGAGGCAGAGGTTGCAGTGAGCCAAGATTGCACCCCTGCACTCCAGCCTGGGCAACAGAGTGACACTGGGTCTCAAAAACATAAAGATTTTACAAAATTAGCCGGGGATGGTGGCACATGCCTGTGGTCCCAGCTACTTGAGAGACTGAGGAGGGAGTATTGCTAGCACCTAGGAGGTGGAGGCTGCAGTGAGCTATGAATGTGCCACTGCACTCCAGCCTGGGCGACAGAGCGAGACTCCATCTCAAAAAAAAAAAAAGAAATAAAAAATCCAGTAGGTGTATTTACCAGCAGATTGGAATCAGCTGAAAAAAGGATTAGTGCTCTAGAAGAAAGGTCAATAGAAAATACATAGTGGGGCTTGGCATGGTGGCTCACGCCTGTAATCCCAGCACTTTGGGAGGCCAAGGCAGGCGGATCACTTGGGCTTAGGAGTTCGAGACCAGCCTGGGCAACATGGCAAAACTCCATCTCTACAAAAAATACAAAAAATTAGCCAGGCCTGGTGGCGCATGCCTGTGGTCGGTCCCAGCTTCTTGGGAGGTTGAGGCAGGAAGATCACTTGAGCCTGGGAGGCTCCAGTGAGCCAAGATTGTGCCACTGCACTCCAGCCTGGGTGACAGAGTGAGAGACCCTGTCTCATTTCTTTAAAAGAAAAAAAAAAGTAAAAAGAAAATCCCTTGCAACTACCACCACAACCAGCCCACTTTACACTGTGTGTCCTTTTCCTGGACCCTGAGGGCGCCCTCCCTTTTCCTTTCTGTGGCCCCCTAGCCTTGGACAGGGAGGGGGCCCTGCTGAGAAGGCCTTTGTACTTGGGAGAGACCGAGGTGGCTTCGGAATTGGGGGATTACTTTTCATTGCGACCCTTGTTGGAAACATCAGCACACTGGAGTCCAGTTGCAGTTCGCCTTGTGGCTTTGTTTAAATCCTCATTGGGAATATGAGTTCTCATTGTCCTCAGGGACTCAGGCTGCGGGTGTGCTAACCTCCCTGGTGAGAAAGTGGCTTTTTAGACAAACTTCTTTTCATTTGCATCTCTCCTCAAAGCAGAATGCAGAAAGCGGCAGCACTGGGAGCGTGTGGGGAGGGACGGGGCAGCCGGCGGAGGCTGAGCCAACATGCCGTGGTTCAGGCCCACACCTCGTGGAAGGCAGAAGGCGAGTGCTGACATTCCATAGCAGGCCGGGTTGGGGAAGGGGCGGTCTGCTGCCTGCTGCCTGCTGAGCGTGACTGTGCAGCTGTTGTAAGTCTTTGTGATTCTGATGTGTGGTGATCTGAGAAATTTCCCATCCTGGGTTAACACTTTCTTTATTATAAACAGAAATTAATTCATGAGGGATGGCGCAACCAGGCTGGGGCGCAGACCAAGGGCAGTGCACTGGGCTGTGATGACTGCATCCTGCTCAGGTTGTGGGACATGGGGTTAAAACACTGTCACGGCAAAGACACTGGCCTTTTACCTGAGTACAGGATAGTAGCCCTTTGTCCTCTAAGATGCTCTGTCCCTGGGGCCAGCAAACACCTCCCAAGGGAGAGGAGAGAAAGAACCCCGAGTAGAGCCAGCCGAGTAGAGCCAGCCGAGGGCAGATAGGTCTTGTAGGGCTGTGGGAGCCACTGCAACCCTGGGAGCTTCCTGTCAGCTCAAGCCCAGTGCCCAGAGTGTCCAAGTGCCACCTGGATGCCCTGCAGTGTCCACTGTGCTGGGTTCTCAAGGTTTTTCTCTGGGGGGGGTCTGCGGGGAACCTGGAGCTGCTGGGTAGGAGGTGGGCTTGTGGCTCAGCTGTGTCCAGTGGCTGGCTGTGGAGCGCCTCCTCTGCTCCAGTAATATTTTCATGGGCAAGAAAGACCACTACTTTCTTGGCCACCGCTTCCTGGAGCTTGTGTTCCTGGAAGCCAGCCATAAATAAGCCGGCCATAAACGAGGGTAAACAGGTGCCTGAGTAAACACACCAGAGCAAATGAGTCATATGGGCCGGCAGAGATGAACCTGGGGCCATGGCGGGTGTAGGGGTTGGGTGGGGAGAGGATGTCCTCTGAAAAGGTGACATTTAAGCTGAAACTGGAATGACAAGAAGGCCCCAGCTCTGCAGGCAGAGCGGAAGGCTCAGAGCTTAGAATCACGTAGGTCATGGAAAGCATTGGATTTCGTGTTAGGGACAATGAGAAACTGGTGACAGATTTTAAGTAGGGGAATAAAGAGATCTAATTACACATTTGCGAGATGTTCTGAGAGCTGTGGGGACGGCTGGGACATGTACCTGGAAGCAGGGCAGCCAAAGGGAGAGGCAGTGATGACGGGTGGTATGGAGGCTGCAGAATCTGGAGGACGTGCAGGCTCAGGGTGCATGGTGCGGGCGGGGCTGAGGGGGAGCGGGGCCTAGGATGATCTCAGGTATTCTAGCACCTGGATGGTGGTGGCACTATAGACATGAGCAGGGAAGGCCAAGGAAATAATCTGGGGCCATTGTGGCTGCAGCAAGTTTATGATGCCTGATGCCCGATGCCCATCAGACCTGTCTGAGGGGAGATGTCCCAGCCACAGCTGAAGTGTGAGACAAAGCCCCTGCTTCAGAGGACAGCAGGGGAGTGTTTCCTAAGCAGGCGTGACCAGACGGTGTTTCTAAGATGGAAACCTGGGCATTTAATTTTTTGTGTGTGGTTTCATTTTTAACATTAACTAATGGTTACCTTATTTTTGGATGTTGGATCACATCTGGCAGTATTGCTTTAAAAGCTTTTGATTTGTAGAATTGTAAGAACTAATCATGGGATTTTTTTTTTTTTTTTTTTTCTTTTTGAGACAAGGTCTAGTAGCTCTGTCACCCAGGCTGGAGTGCAGTGGTGCAGTCATGGCCCATTACAGCTTTTACCTTCCAGGCTCACACAATCCTCCTACCTCAGCCTCCTGAGTAGCTGGGACTACAGATGTGTGCCTCCATGCCTGGCTAACTTTTTAATTTTTTGTAGAGACAGGTTCTTGCCATGTTACCTAGACTGGTTTTGAACTTCTAAGCTCTAGCAGTCCTCCCACTGTGGCCTGCCAAAGTGCTGGGATTACAGGCATGAGGCACCACACGCAGCCAGAAAATTTCAGCATATTCAAAACTAGTATTACACATCTTCGTGTACTCATTACCCAGCCTCAGGGCTGGCATTTTGAAGCAAATCCCAGGTACTGTACCACTTCATCTTTCAATATTTTATTAATAGTATGTGACTGTAAAATATAAGGCCAGGTGTTGTAGCTCACACCTGTAATCCCAGCACTTTGGGAAGCCAAGGCAGGAGAATCACTTGAACCCAGGAGTTGGAAAGCAGCCTGGGCAGCACAGTGAGATCCCCACCCCATCTCTACCAAAAAAGAACAATTTTTTTTTTTAAATTAGCCAGGTGTGGCTGGGTGCAGTGGCTCACACCTGTAATCCTAGCACTTTGGAAGGCTGAGGCGGGCGGATCACTTGAGGCCAGGAGTTTGGGACCAGCCTGGCCAACATGGCAAAACCCCGTCTTTACTGAAAATACAAAACTTAGCCAGGCATGGTGGCGCACATCCGTAATCCCATCTACTAGGGAGGCTGAGGGAGGAGAATTGCTCAAACTTGGGAGGCCGGAGGTTGCAGTGAGCCATGATGGCACCACTGTCCTCCAGCATGGGCAACAGAGCAAGAACCTGTCTCAAAAGAAAACAAAACCAGGTGTGATGGCACATGGCAGGAGGCTGAGGCAGGAGGATCCCTTCAGCTCAGGCTGCAGTGCACTACAATTGTGCCTGTGAAAAGCCACTGCAGTGGCCGGATGCGGTGGCTCACGCCTGTAATCCCAGCACTTTGGGAGGCTGAGATGGGCGGAACACAAGGTCAGGAGATCGAGACCATCCTGGCTAACATGGTGAAATCCCGTCTCTACTAAAAATACAAAAAATTAGCTGGGCGTGGTGGCGGGCGCCTGTAGTCCCAGCTACTCAGGAGGCTGAGGCAGGAGAATGGCATGAACCCCAGAGGTGAAGCTTGCAGAGAATGGTGTGAACCCCAGAGGCGAAGCTCGCGTGAACCCCAGAGGCAGGCTGCAGTGCAGAGCCAAGATCGCGCCACTGCACTCCAGCCTAGAAAGAAAAGCCACTGCACTCCAGCCTAGACAACGTAGTGAGACCCTGTTCCTAAAATAATTTCTTTAAAAACAAAACATAAGGACCAATAAGAGCCATTACAAACTTAAGAGTTTACTATTAATACTTCCCAGTTATGGGTCAGTGTTCTGCTTTCCCTGATTGCCTCTTACATAATTTGTTACACAAATGTCTGTTTGCATGAATAAAAGATTGGATGTTTTATAGGATCTAAGGTCCATACATTTTGTTTATGGATATATCTCAAGTTTTATTATCATTTAACATCCATCTCAAAATGTGAACTTTTTTTAACCTATGAGTTCTGCCTCTCTTCTTCTTTTCATTTTGAAATCTATTGATGAGCCTGTCCTTTGCCATCTACGATTTCCCAGTCTGGGTCGTACCGTGTCCCCATGGTGCTGTTGAACGTGAGCCTCTGTCCTTGTATTTGCTTTAAGTTGTCATTTAGATCTAGAGGTTTGATCAGATTCAAGATTGTTTTGGCAAGAACTCTCCTAAGTGCTGCTGTGTGTGGTCTTGGATTAGAAGGGACAGAGGCTGTCTTTTGTGATGTTAGCAGCCACTACATCAGGGCTGAGATTAGGGACGGCAAAATGGTGACTTTCAGGTCTAGCATTCCTTCCTCGTGTATTAGCTGGAGTCCACCTATCTAAAGAGAGCCTTCTCGAGCTATGGGTTACTGGGCAGTCCTTTTTGCATAGGAAAGGCAGAATACCGCCTTGATCCTTTGACTTTATTTGCCTTTTTGCAGAAGAACAAGTTGAGTTCCTAGCATCCCCCTAAGGTGGCTGATAATTATTTTATGTCAACATGAACTTATGTATTGAAACACAGTGATATGTTTAATCTGTTGCAATTATTCTTTTCAGTAGCAATTTGTAGAACTGAGAATTTCTTTGTGACAGAACGTTGAAGCAGTGGTGAATGATGAAGGATAGAAAAGAAGTTATATTCAGTAAAGTAGGAAATCTAACTCAGGCATATGCATTATGTCAGATCAGAAGCTTCACACTTTCTCAGTTGAGAGCACTCTTGATTAAGGTTCAATAATTATTTTAATAGTAAGCCAAAAGAAATCCCTGATAGTGGTGCCGGAGGAGACAGGTTGTGTTTTTATCTTGTGGCCTGGGTAGTGTCCTGGGACCCTCTGCCCCATCTGAGTCAAGTGTTGTGGGATAAAGGAATCTCTCAGGGCGAGGAGCTTCTTAAGTTAAATCGGTAGAAATTTAGGCATGACATGGGCCTTCAAATGTGTGAGGAGCTGTATCATTTTATTTCTCGGTGTGTTTTCCCCAACTTCTAGTTGATAAAAAAAAAATTCTTAAAGAGTTTTCGTATGTGGGAGCTAAGGTGGTCTTGTAAAATTTCAAGTCATCCTTAAATAAAATGACCCGCCTGAGAACTTGCTCCCGCTAAGTGGCGAAATCAACTGGAGTTGGTTCCTACAAGTTTTGTTTATTCTAGTTTTGTTTGTAAGTAGGTTGTGTGAGTTAATTCATGGATATTTACTATATGTCTTTTAAATTAGAAAACATTTGTTATTATGTATGTCCTTTTAGATTTTACCTGCAGCTCATACTTTGAAATCATCACCCAGTAGTGTCTTACTCTAGCATCGTCTAAATCTGAGCATCATCTGGTGGAATCTTAAATTTCAGTAGAAACCACGAGTTATTAATACATCTTCCACTCAAGTATCAATTTCAGAAGGAAACGTAAATGAATATTCTAAATAAGGCTAATTTGTATTAATCTGCCTTTATGTTTGAGGGAAAAAAAGCTGAGACATTGCATGAAAGATGATGCAGGATATACGCTGATCTTTTGGCCCCAATGAGCTATTTGAACATTGTCCTGTTTATTGTTAGTTTTCTTCATCATTTATTATATGGTCAATTTTTGAATTCCTGTAATATGAAACCTTATTCTATCTTTTAACTTACTGTTACCTAAAGTTAGTAAGTCCAGATTATATGGTCATTCAAAAAAAAAAAAAAAAAGAAAAGAAAAAGAAATCCCCCACAGTTCCATTTATTAAATAAGTAAACCCCAATAATAAGCATTTGTGTCCTGGCAACTTATAGTGGATGTCTAGAAAAGTAATACATAAAGAGAAATGTTCATGTTATTTGTTTAGTCATGGGATGTGTGTGCCTGTCGAGCACCTCTTCAACTTGGAATCTGGTAGAACACCGCCACCCTCATTGCCTCATTTTTCCACGTCGACCTTCACAGTAATTGCTTGTTCAGTGACTGCCACAACCCAGCCTGGCAGAGAGAGGGAAGATACCCTATAAAGCAAGGTAACGTTAATGTTGAGACCATGAATGGCCTTGAGCAGAGCAGAGTATCATTGCTTCCTTCAAAATTCAGAAGGATCTGATGGTGCTCTGTGAGTTCATGGGGGTGCCTCCGTGCAGGTTGGAAACCACAGCTGTGCGTCCTTCCCGCTTTCCCTCTTGATCAGTAGAAGGGTACCCTCCCTGGCCTGCACGTCGCTGGGTCACACAACACTGGCTGTCGTTGCACAAAGCCACGGCCACCAGCGTTCCTTTGAGGCCATTTGTTTCCAGCCATGGTGCCTATAGGATTTTTCCTTTATCCTGTAATTTCAGCCAAATCAGAGCATGTGACCTGGCTTAGATGTCAATATAATTGTTGTTATGTGCTCTTTTCCCTTCCTGTGTCTGTGACAGGTTTAATTTAACCTGAGAAGGCTGCAGATCCTCGGGGTTGGTGTAAAAACACCTCATCCTGATCTGAGAAG
This sequence comes from Homo sapiens, assembly GCF_000001405.40. Taxonomy (NCBI): domain Eukaryota; kingdom Metazoa; phylum Chordata; class Mammalia; order Primates; family Hominidae; genus Homo; species Homo sapiens. Next base: position 3,651,388 of record NC_000016.10, read on the forward strand.
GCGGTCAGCTTTTCTCCTCGTTGCCGTTGGCTGCCAGCACCCATTCTCTGTGGATGTGAAAATCCCAGAAGGGCTGGGCTTCCTTCTTGGGCATTCCCCAGGCCTATCTCCAGAGTGGGGCCCAGCATGGGAGGATTGTACCCCACTCACTCCCCTGATGTGGGGCTTGGACCTACAGCTCGACAGCACCCATGGAATGTGGGCAGAAGCGACAGCAGCCAGCTCCGCCTTGGCCTTAGGGCGGCACGTGTTCTGCTTGTGCCCTGGGAGCCTCCACCTTCCACACTGTGGGAAGAGGGTGCCCAGGGAGCTGCAGTCTCTCCAGCCCAGCCCCAGGACGAGGCCCAGGCAGCAGAGCCACCCCAGCAGACCTGGCAGTGTGAGAGAAATGCATGTGTATACACTGAGTTTGCAGGTGGCTGTTACATGGCAGCATTGACTGACACAGACAGAAAAGAGATCCACGAGGGAGAAGTGAGAGTGCTGGAGACTCCACAAGCCACAGGCTGCAGGGGCAGGATGGCTTCTTAGAAGGTGAAATGATTGTTCTGGGAATCTATCAGAGGAAGACATAGAGGCTCCAGACGGTTGAAGGCCCAACAGTGATCCCAGACGGGCCCCATGTCAGACCAGGCTCCTCCAGGGCTGTGCTGCCCTCACCAAAGCCCGTCCTGAGGGCAGCCACACAGCAGGCAGCACTCGCCATTTGTACAAGCGAGGCCCAAGTTCCAGCCTTCCTTCTGGCAGGTAGAGGAAGCAGGGGCACTATGCCTGGGAGTTCCTGAAAGCAGATGGGGCAGCATTTGGTCAAGAGCCAGGAGGGGATGACAGACCAGAGGGGAACCCTCGTCCCACGTGCTGAGCACACGTAGGGGGTTGGGCACTTGCTCTGTGAGCTATAATTGGTGTCCCTGTGCCCCGCCGGAAGCTGCACCAGGCAGTTTCTTGGTGGAGGACAGTGGCCGCCCTCTAGCTTTACTCCCTTCCCCGTGATGGGTCGCTGTCAGATGTGTGTCCAGGAAAGGCAAACACCAAAGGCAGAGGACTAGTCCCTACACCGAATACTCCGGTGGCCTTGCTTGGGGGCTGGGTTTTGACGTGCTGGAGGCTGTCCTAGACTTAGAGATTAAAAACAGGGAAGAACCATTGCTGAAACCTTTGGAAAAGCCTGCAATGGGGCCTCTGGCAGCCTGAGGAGTGGTGGTGTTTCCATCTGGTAGACGCCGTCTCAATAGGAGGGACAGATGAGTGCACCAGTGCTGCCAGCCAGAGGCGTCTGTTGGCGTGTCTTTATGGAATGGGGTGCCAGTCTTGTGGAGGGTGGTTTACCTTCCTGTTTCTAGTCCCCACTGGGCCTGCCTTCTGCTTCATGGCCAGCTGGCCAGACCGAGCACTTTCCTGACTTTCGACCTTGGCCCCTGCTGACTCTTGCCGTTGAGGCCTCCTGCAGACCCCATTTGTATTCATTTCCTGCAGTTCTCATACCTGAATCCCGCCTGGACTTCTGCCAAGCCTTCCAGGCCCTCCTCCCCCAGGGGGACCACAGATGCTACGTGCAGGGCTGTCCTTGGAGGGCCAGCACAGCCCCTTCCAAGTGGGCAAGACCCAGGGGTGGCTCAAAAGATAGCTGTGCCCTAGCCCTGGAACCTCTGAATGTTGATTTTTGTAGCAAAAAAGGACTTGCAGATGTGAGTAAAGGCTGTTGAGATAAGGACATCCTCCCTGCTCTCTGGGAGGACCCCAAATGCAGGTGCACAGATCTTAAGAAGAAGAGGCAGAGACTGGGGTGATGCAGCCACAACTAAGGAAAGCCAAGGATTGCTGGCAGCCTGCAGAAACTGGAGGGCAAGGAGCATCCCCCAACCGCCCGGAGCCTCCAGGAGGCGCAAGGTCCTACTGACTCCCTGACTTCAGACGTCCAGTCTCCGGAATTTTGAGAGGATCCATTTCTGTTATTTTAAGCAACCAAACTTGTGGTAGTTTCACCAGTCTCAGGAAATGAATACGAATGGAAAGTCAAAGATTCCAAGAAATGAGTGGCGGGGTGCGGTGGCTCACACTTGTAATCCCAGCATTTGCGGGAAGATTGCTTGGGCTCAGGACTTGGAGACCTTGTGTCTGTGAGAAACTTAAAAAATAGGCTGGGTGCGATGGCTCACGCCTGTAATCCCAGCACTTTGGGAGGCCGAGGCAGGCGGATCACAAGGTCACGAGTTTGAGACCAGTGTGACCAACATGGTGAAACCCTGTCTCTACTAAAAATACAAAAATTAGCCGGGTGTGGTGGTGCGTGCCTGTAATCCCAGCTACTCGGGAGGCTGAGGCAGAAGAATTGCTTGAACCCAGGAAGCAGAGGTTGCAGTGAGCCGAGATAGTATTACTGCACTCCAGGCTGGGCAGCAGAGCAAGATTCCGCCTCAAAAAAAAAAAAAAAAAAAAAAAAAAAAAAAAAAACTGAGCATGGTAGCATGCACCTGTGGTCCTGGCTACGCCGGAGGATTGCCTGAAGCCAGGAGTTCAAGACCAGTCTGGACAAAAGAGCAAGACCCCATCTCTACCAAAAAAATTTAAAAATTAGCCAGGCATGGTGCCGTACCCATAGTCTTAGCTACTCAGGAGGCTGAGGAGGGAGGATTATCTGAGCCCTGGCGGTTGAGGCTATAATGAGCCATGATTGTGCCACTGCACTCCAGCCTTGGCAACACAGTGTGAGACCCTGTCTCAAAAACAATAAAAACCCAAAACAAAAGAACCAAGAAATTACTGGACCTGAGGCCTGGCCTTTAGCTGCTGCCCTGCCCTTGTGACCTGGTCACTCGGGATCCCCTGGGCCTAAACACACAGCCTATTGTCTACCTCAAGAAGGCTCCCCACTGCTTGGCTGGCAATTGGGGTGGGCTTTGCAGGCCCCACCTGTCCTGGCCCCACGGCGCTGGTGCTGCAGGCCCCCACCACTGCTTGTTCCGAGCTCCCCAGCCTCCTGCAGAGTTGCCTGCACCTGATGGCGATGAATCAGGAAGGCAGGCGTGTCCTGGGCCACAGAGCAGTCATGGCTGTCAGCCACCAGGGGGCTCCATTTGCAACTTTGGATGTGGCTTTGGCCTCTTTGTCCAAAGTGACCTTGGGGCCCCCAGACAAGAGACAGGGAGACTGGAGCCCAGCCCCACCCTCCCGCACATACCTGGCCCATCCCTGCCCTATCCTGGAAGATGGGGGCCACCACACGTGCAAGGGACACGGGATAGGAACCTTTGGCCTTGTTATCAGACATTTTAAAACTAAGTGCAAACGTGATTATCAGGTGCAGTTTTTACAGCAGCAAGAAACCTGTGCTTACAGAAAGAAACACGTGCTAGCAACCCACCTATGCGGAAAGCCACACAGAGCCATTGTTTTCTGCACTCTCAGGTGACGGCTCACATTTGCCCCAGGGAAGGTCACAGCTGCCTGAACTTTTAAAACTCCCAGACACGCACTGCCTGTGCAGGATCCGGAGCCCAGCAGCACTGCCAGGGCCTTGAAGTGCTTCTTCAGAGACCTTTCTTCATAGACTACTTTTTTTTCTTTAAGCAGCAAAAGGAGAAAATTGTCATCAAAGGATATTCCAGATTCTTGACAGCATTCTCGTCATCTCTGAGGACATCACCATCATCTCAGGTGAGCACCAGGTGGAGTGCCTCTGGGTGACTGGCCGGTTTGGAGCAGGGAGGGAGGCTTAGAGTCTCATCCTCCAGCAGCGAGTGAGGCGGAGGCTCCAGCGTCCCTCCCGGGCGGGTTTTCTGGTGGATGGAGGAGTGACTCGGGGTCCTCTACGTGGTGCCAGCTGTTTGGCTTTCTGGACGTTGTAGGAAAGGGTTTCCCCCGCCTGCGTCCCCCTGACCTTGAGCTCCACCAGCCCCTGCCAGCTGGGCTCCAGAAGGCTGGAGTGCTGTGGCAGGGATGACGTCTCACTTCTGTTATGTCTCTGTGCCCTGTGCTCTCCCAGGATGAGGGGCATGAAGCTGCTGGGGGCGCTGCTGGCACTGGCGGCCCTACTGCAGGGGGCCGTGTCCCTGAAGATCGCAGCCTTCAACATCCAGACATTTGGGGAGACCAAGATGTCCAATGCCACCCTCGTCAGCTACATTGTGCAGGTGAGGCCAGGGCAGCCTCCCCCCAAAAGCAGAGGAGCTCTGGAGTCTAGGGCTGGTGGGCAGGGCCAGCCCTATGGAGCCACAGGGTGTCGGGTGTGGGGTACTGAGCACCACTGCTCCCAGCACGGTGGAACAGGCTCTTGGCTGTGGACCAAGGTCCTCATCCCTGCTGTGCTGTCCCTGGCTGGCAGCAGGAGCCCAGGCAGAAACATGAGGCTGCGGTTAAACCGAGCAATGCCACGAGCATCAGCTGTGGCTCCCTTTGTGGCGCTGTAGGGTCCCTGGGTGGCACCAGCCCTGCTCAGCACCACTGTGGCCCTGCCCCCAGATCCTGAGCCGCTATGACATCGCCCTGGTCCAGGAGGTCAGAGACAGCCACCTGACTGCCGTGGGGAAGCTGCTGGACAACCTCAATCAGTGGGTGACAGTGGCAGGGTCATAGGAAGGTGACATCTCGTCCACGGCACAGCCTCACTTCACTTGGGCCCCAAGGGTGGGGACCTGGGCACAGCCTCGCTATCGGCAGCCAGAGGGGTCCCCTATGGCCCCCGCCACTGGGACCTTTTGTTTCTTCAATCCAGGGATGCACCAGACACCTATCACTACGTGGTCAGTGAGCCACTGGGACGGAACAGCTATAAGGAGCGCTACCTGTTCGTGTACAGGTGGGTGGTCTAGAAAGCCAGGAAGCCCCTCCCTCACCTGGGAGGGCCCCAACAGAGCAGGGAAGTAGTTTGTCCTATTAGTTTGTCCTATGGCAAGAACCTGAGGCTTCAGAGCAGGGTCCAGGGTGGAGTGAAAACACCCCAAGGTCCCGGACCAATGGGTTGAGCAGGTGCCTGGCTCCCCCGCCCTCCTGTCGCCTGGGTCCCGGACCAATGGGTTGAGCAGGTGCCTGGCTCCCCCGCCCTCCTGTCGCCTGGGTCCCGGACCAATGGGTTGAGCAGGTGCCTGGCTCCCCCGCCCTCCTGTCGCCTGGGTCCCGGACCAATGGGTTGAGCAGGTGCCTGGCTCCCCCGCCCTCCTGTCGCCTGGGACGCGACGCCTGCCTCCTGGGAAGCAGGAGTGGGGCAGCTTCCAGCCTGGGGTCACCTCCTCCTGCCCGGCCTTCCCGCAGGCCTGACCAGGTGTCTGCGGTGGACAGCTACTACTACGATGATGGCTGCGAGCCCTGCGGGAACGACACCTTCAACCGAGAGCCAGCCATTGTCAGGTTCTTCTCCCGGTTCACAGGTGGGTGCTGCCTGGGCCAGGGTGGGGCTCGGCTTGGCGCTTATGGCCTCCACCCCCTCCTAGGGAACCTGGAATGCCTGTGTCACACACTGCCCTCCCAGTCCCTGGGGCTTGGGTTTTCCATTCAAGTCATTTGGAAAATATCCACCCCCCGGGGGGACTGTCATGATACATAGTTCCAGCTGACATGGTGACTGAACCTGCCCCCAGGGAGTGTGCCTCACACGACGTGGCTGTCTCCACAGAGGTCAGGGAGTTTGCCATTGTTCCCCTGCATGCGGCCCCGGGGGACGCAGTAGCCGAGATCGACGCTCTCTATGACGTCTACCTGGATGTCCAAGAGAAATGGGGCTTGGAGGTGAGGCCCTCCCAGGGGCAGTGGGCACCAGCGGCCTCCGCATGTCCCAGGGCCACAGGCAGCGTTTCCTGGTAGGACGTCATGTTGATGGGCGACTTCAATGCGGGCTGCAGCTATGTGAGACCCTCCCAGTGGTCATCCATCCGCCTGTGGACAAGCCCCACCTTCCAGTGGCTGATCCCCGACAGCGCTGACACCACAGCTACACCCACGCACTGTGCCTATGACAGGTGAGCAGGGCCTCGCGCTTAGGGCAGACTGAGGGCACCTCCAAGGGCAGCCGTGACTCATAGGTCGGGCTTCAGAAGCCTCAAAGCCTTTGAACACTCACCCAACTGAGCTTCAGTTGATCCACTACAGGGAACAGAATAACAAGAGCCACGATTTTTAGGTTTTTTCGGAAAAGCACATCTGGGGATAAGAGGAGAGGCAGACACCTAGGCTGTCATGTGGTTTCCACATTGAGGGGCACAGACCAGGGTGTGCAGTTTTGGGCACCCACAGACCTGCACTGGCAGGTCCCAGGGCTCTTAGTTTAGTTCCTGCGGGTGCTGAGCCAGGCCCATGTGTGAAAGGGGAACCTACTTTCTCTTCCCAACACCCATCAGGATCGTGGTTGCAGGGATGCTGCTCCGAGGCGCCGTTGTTCCCGACTCGGCTCTTCCCTTTAACTTCCAGGCTGCCTATGGCCTGAGTGACCAACTGGTATGTGTCCTCCCTTGCACAGCCACATGAGGATGGGACACAGGAGCTCAGGTAGGCTCAGCCCAGACCCTGTGCCCACTTGCCTGCAGGCCCAAGCCATCAGTGACCACTATCCAGTGGAGGTGATGCTGAAGTGAGCAGCCCCTCCCCACACCAGTTGAACTGCAGGAAGAGAGGACCCATCCTGCCACAGGACCCAGAAAAAAAGCCCAACACACACTCGGGTTAAGAAATACCTTTAAATTTAGGTAAATAAAGCTCAAGGAGGTGGGGCTGTCATCTGTGGTGTCAGTCCTTCTGGCCCCCTGGCTGTCAGTGTCGCTCCAGGGCCTTGACAAGCAGCTCATTCAAGCGGCCCACCATGGCCCTAGGGTCGTCAACAAGTCCAGCAGCAATCATGGCGTTCTCGTATATCTGAAAGGCAAGAGGAGAAACCCATTATGAGGGGCATGGGGCACCTTTTCATTTTTTTTTTTTTGAGACAGAGTCTCACTGTTGCCGAGGCTGGAGTGCAGAGGCACGATCTCGGCTCACTGCAACCTCAGGTGATCCCCCCGCCTCCCAAAGTGCTGGGATTACAGGCGTGAGCCACCACGCCTGGCCATTTTTCCGTTTTTAAAACAGAATTTGGCTGGGCACGGTGGCTCACGAGGTCAGGAGATTGAGACCATCCTGGCCAAGATGGTGAAAACCCCATCTCTACTAAAATACAAAATTAGCCAGGCGCATGCCTGTAGTCCCAGCTACTCGGGAGGCTGAGGCAGGGGAATTGCTTGAACCCGGGAGGCAGAGGTTGTAGTGAGCCAAGATCGCGCCACTGCACTCCAGCCTGGCAACAGAGCAACACTCCATCTCAAAAAACAAACAAACAAACAAAAAGACAGGATTTTAGAGGAAACCGCTGTTCCACCCTGAAGGCAGGCTGGCAGGGCTGGTAGCCTGGGTCCCTGCAGTCATCCTAAGCTGCTGCACTCACCTGATCCACCAGCAGCTGAGCCAGGCCAGGCTCGCTTGCGCGCAGCTGATTCAGCTTCTTGATGAGCGCGTGCCTGCAACACAGAACCCACCAGAAAAAGCAGCTCAGTACCACGTGCTGTGACCCTCCCTTCATGTTTTGGGATTATCAGGATATTTAAAGAAGCACAGTAAGACTGTCTGTAGTTTTTTAAATAAGGTATGTTAATGATCATTTATAGATAATATCATTATATACCCAGAAAACCCAAGAGAATCAGGAGTGTCAGTATTAGAAAATGCTGTAAGGTAGCCAAACTCCAAGATTAATATACACTAAAGGGACAAAAGGAGCTTAGTACGTGAAGACATGCCTTGGTTCCTAGATAAATAATAAAAGAGAAGGGAGTAAGACCCACATGTTGAAACATATTATAGGGCTCTAGTAAATAAAACAGTTTAGGTCTGGAAAGGGGGAAGGCAAACAACTCCATGTAACGAGGGTGGACACTGAGTGTCTGATGAGGACAGTATTTCACAGAAGAGGGAGGAGACAGATCACTCCATCCAGCAGCACTGGGATGACTGGGAGCCATGCAGAAAACCATTTAGACCAGAGTAAATTCCAGAGGGATCAAAGATGACAAGCACAATTCTAGGGAAGAAATGTTTCATCATCTCAGAAGGGGAAAGCCTTTCCAAGCAAAACCACAAACCAAAAAGTAAAGAATGATTGACATATTTGACGTCAGAACAATATTTTTTTCTGCATAGGAAAAAGCATCATGTAGTATTTAACCTTAACATGAATATTATAATTTTTCACTTAGAAGTCTGATAAAACCGAGGGCTCTGGGGAACTGTAAATTTGTACAACCTCTCCAGAGGACAACTGGAGTCGGGAAAACCACATGTGGATGATATGCTGAGACTCAGCCATTCCATTTCCTAACTGCATCCCTTTAAACACTTTTTTTTTTAGATAGATAGATAGATAGATAGATAGATAGACTCTCACTCCTTCACCCAAGCTAGAGTGAAATGGCATGATCTTGGCTCACCGCAGCCTCCTGGTTTCAAGAGGTTCTCTTGCCTCAGCCTCCCAAGTAACTGGGATTACAGGCACCCACCACCACCCCCAGCTAGTTTTTGTATTTTTAGTAGAGATGAGGTCTCGAACTCCTGACCTCAAGTGATCCACCCGCCTAGGCCTCCCAAAATGTTGGGATTACAGGCGTGAGGCACCGCACCCAACCTAACAGAGGAAACACTTCAAATGCACATCCTCACATTTCTAGTCTACGTAGCTGGAAAAAAAGGACATTCTTAATATGCTAATGTGGAGGTCACCTAGTTACCCTAAGGGAGAAAAGCAAGGCAAGGACCCACTGCACAGCAAGTTCCCCCTTGGAAGCCCACGGGCGCAGCTGCCCACAAATGCACATAATCTCTGCAGAAATACAAAAGCCCTAATGCTGGCTGCACTGGGGACACAGGTAGGAGGAAATTTTCCCCTGTAAGCAGTTTTGAATTCTGAACTATGTGGACAGAACACCAAATTTTAAAACAAATGAAAGTGAAGCTGGCTGGGCACAGTGGCTCTCGCCTGTAATCCCACCACTTTGGGAGGCCAAGGCTGCAGTGAGCTCTGATGGCGCCACTGGTACACTCCAGCCTAGGTGACAGAGCAAGACCCTGTCTCCAAAAGTGAAGTGGCAACAGACAGAAACGAGCACTTCTGCAGCTATCTCACAAAACTAGTTTGCCACCAAAACTAGTTAAAGTGACCTGGTGTCCGCCTCACTGAGCTGCTCCAGCAGAGGCACAGGCATTCTGCATACTGGCGCTGCTGTGCACTGACAGCCATAAGCCAAGTCAGCCTTTCCCCAGGAGTGCCATGGCTAGGAAGATGCATCTCCCTCGCCTCCAGTATAATTTTAAAAGTTATGGTTGTAAAATGACAAAAGAAAAAAACTAGACATGTACTAAAGAACAAAACAAAAACTGGCTGGGGGTGGTAGCCCACACTTGTAATCCCAGCACTTCGGGAGGCTAAGGCAGGTGGATTGTTTGAGGCCAGGAGGTAGAAGTTGCAGTGAGCTGAGATTGCCCCACTGCACTCCAACCTGGGGGACAGAGTGAGACCCTGTCTCAAAAATTAAAATACTACTTAGGCTACATTGTGGGGGGGGTGGTAAGTCTATGGATTTTGATTTCCTTTTTGCTGTTTTCTATTTTTGGTAACATGTTTATGTAACTTCATTTTTTAAAAAATTGCTACATTCAAAATTTCCCCCAAAAAAGAAACTTCATATACAAGTTAGTTCATATACAAGTTAGAAAATGAAATTTTAAAATACCCCATAAGACACATCAAAGAATAATTCTTTAAAAATGGTACCAGAACCCTACAGAGAATGTAAGGTACCAAAGGATGTTAAAGACCTAAATAGATCACATTCATGGGTGCAAAGAAGTGATACTGTAAAAAGAAAGAAACTCAAAAGATACCTAAAGGCAGGTGAAAAGACATTTACAACAGATAAAGGGCATATAAAGAACAACAGGAAGAAACGAGGGAAATCTTACGGCTCAGCCACTGTCAGGGCTGGGGGGTTCTCGGTGCACCCTGGAAGCAGCTCCCACCACCGGGGCCACAGAGAAACCCACACAAGCCCCAGACACGTGGACAAGAATACTCAGAGCAGCCTGGCTCTCCACAACTTCTGACCAAGAACCACCGGAGGCCCAGCAGAGCAGAACGGAGCAGTCTGCTGTGCCGAGGTGGGTTTCTGCAGCGGACATTATTCGGCTATGAAAATGAACTTGTGGCAGCCCCTCTGCATGGGCAACCCTCATGCCAAGTGAGCAACGTGAGACTTCAGCAAACACCAAGATCCACGTACAAAGCTCAAAACAGGCAAAACTGAGCATGTCCAGGACACGCACAGGTGGCAAAGCCATAAAGCAAAACGAGGACATGGTCACAGGCTGGGATGTGGCTAACCTCCCAGGTGACACCTGGGGATGGTAAGGGGCTGGCCAGGTTCCATTTCACATGGGTGCAGCCTAAACTGCATACAGCTCCTTATAGTTACCCACATGTCCACAGGCCTCACGCACTTTTCTTCTGTGTCACATTCCACAACAAAAGAACACCACACACAGGATTCTGGGGAATCCCACAGGCTGGAAGAGCCAGGAGCGTGGCCTCACCTGGGGTTGATCTCCAGCGTGGGCTGCAGGAGCTGTGCGCGCTCCTCCTGGGTCTTGGCCAGCTGCTGCATGCGCAGGAAGTGGCGGGCAGCCCCCATCTCCAGCACGGTGACCATGGCAGGGTGGGTGTCCAGTCGGAGGGTCACCTGTGAGCAAAGCCCGGGGTTGAGGGTGATAGAGGTTCCCAATGTGAGAGGGCTGGCAGGATCTTACCAGGGGTGAAGGTCACCCAGACCACGAGGTAGCAGGCGGGGTCTCAAGGACTCCCCTGGACCAGCGCTGCTCCCTCCCCATTACCCACTAACTTGTGGGCCCTGAGCTGATGCCCCACGCAAAGATACTGTGCCCGAGGGGCTCCACCACCCTGGTGCCCCGCTGCTGCCTCCAGGAGCTGCCCGAATCCATCGTCCTCTGCTCCATGCCAGCCCACCCTGCATGAGGCCCCTTCCTCCAAGTGACCATGCATGGGACGCTCATTTCTCACTCTGAGCTAGACAGGTTGGTGGGGGGAGTCTTAGCTCTCTGAAGCCCACCCAAAACCCCCGACTAAGCACCCAAGTGAGCATGTGAGCTCCTGAGGGCTGGGGTAGCATGTCCCTTGTTTGGAACCCCCACGTCCTCAGCCATTGCAGCTCCCACTCAGGATGCTGGTTTTTCAGTTCTCAGTTCACACCTGCTCTGGAGCAGGGCTGGGAGAAAGACACGGCCTTCCTGCCTCAGCGGCACTCCCGAGCAACACGTGCCGAGCAGGGACCCACAGGGTCTCCACCTGACACCAAGGGCTTCTGCTGCTGCTGGAAGGACACCCAACGGGCCAGGTACTGGGAGCCACCAGCTGGCCAGCCTGTTAGGGACACTGCGGCCAAGTGGTGGTCCATCCCCGGGAAAGCCTCACCTTCACGTTGGTGACACGCGACCCCAGCACATTTCTCATCCAGGCCATGAGCTCCTCCGTCTCCTTCTCTGATAGGCACTCGGCGGCTGCGGAAGAGCAGGCGACAGGGAGCTCAGGCCTGCATCCCAACTCCCCGGCTTCCATGGGGGCCACGCAGCATGCTTCCAGCTCCCACCTCCTCTCCCACCAGGATGGAGACACAAGCTAGCAAGATGCTTTTCATCTAAAAGTAAAACCTCAAAGGATGCTTCAGGTTGCCTGAGGCCCATACAACTTGGTTAGGGCTTTAAAAAAATACACAGCCTCTCAAGAAGCTGGGCCAGCTCCAGAAGCCACCGTGGCAGGAGCACTGGACAGACCCCTGATATCTAAACCAGGAGGCACCTTCCTCCAGTCACCAGGGTGCTCCCACAAGGCTCTTCTCGGGGGTGGCTGAGCCCAGGTCAACTGACGAAAACCCAAAGGAAGCCCTCGCTGCGGGGCAGGAGAGGCGTGCGGGGAGTGGAAACCAGCCCCACGCCTAGAGAGCAGGGGATGCCGACCTGGGGACCTGTCCTCAAACTTCTCCTCCTTGTAGTGATCCACGACTATGTCCGTCTCCACAGAGATCAGCTTCTTCTTGTCAAACTCACGAAGGTGCAGCAGGGTGAGCTCATCAAACTGCTCAAAGCAGAAGAGAACCTGCAGGTGGCCAAGAGCAGCTCCATCAGACCCCGGGGGCCTCCAGCCACCACAGAAGAAAGGATGAGGGCGGCAGGAGGGCTGGGGGAGCCAAGCGGGCCACACTGGGGAACACCGGGGCAGTTGGGGTTCCTAGGCCTGCATGACAGTTACTACGACACCTGGGTCTAAGGAAGGCTCTGACTGCCTTCAAGGCAGAAGCACTCCACGCATAAAGAAATCCACATGTGGCTGAGTGCAGTGGCTCACGCCTGTAATCCCAGCACTTTGGGAGGCCAAAGCAGGCAGATCATGAGGTCAGGAGTTCGAGACCAACATGGTGAAATGCCGTCTCTATTAAAAATACAAAAATTTGCTGGGTGTGGTGGTGTGCACCTGTAGTCCCAGCTACTCAGGAGGCTGAGGCAGGAGAATGACCTGAACCCAGGAGGCGGAAGTTGCAGTGAGCCGAGATCGCACCACTGCACTCTAGCCTGGGCGAGAGAGCAAGACTCCATCTCAAAAAAACAAAAAACAAACAAAAAAAACCACATGTGACCTCCAAGTGGGAAACAGCCGTCACAGTCGGTCCGGCCTCTGTGCCCGTGACCCTGACCCACTGTGCAGCCCTGCCCGGAGTCTTGGGCAGGTTCACCCAGCACAGAGCTGAGAAGGTCAAGACCCTCCCCAGGTTGCAGCCCCCGGAGCCCGCCCCACCCACCGCTCACCCACCTCTGTGTCTTTCTTCTTCATGGCCTCATAGTAGGGTGAGTGCTCTGCCAGGTGACGGTTGGGGGCGCACAGGTAGTAGATGTTGCGGGTGCCGGCCCGCATGCGGCTGGCGTATTCTGAGAGGCTGGTTAGCTGCCCGGAGGGCAGCGCCGAGGACTCGTAGCGCAGCAGCTTTGCTATGTCCTCCTAGAAGGGACGGGGCAGGTCACCACTTATTCCAGGCCCATGGGCTCAATGTTGCCCAACTAACTGGGCGCAAACCCTCCGATGCCCATGGCCTCCTGGCACTCCAGGCTGGCCCTGACCCGAGGGACGGTAGTGGACTCGGGGGTTGTCCGAGAGCAGGCCTTGCTCTGCCCATCAGGCCCCTTTTGGGAGCTCTGGGGGCTTAGGAAGCACCTCCTGCCCCAGGTGGCCCAGGGGCTCTCCAGGGAGCTACGCGCACCACGCCCTGGGAGGGGACCCCACCCAACAGCAGAGCCCGGCCTGGACCCAGCGTCTTCCCTCTGCCCTCAGTGACAGAGTCAGTCTCTGGTGGGCACACGGACACGGGTGAAGTCCACGGTTCCCGGCCCTCCTCACAGCTGGCTATGGCAGAGACTGGCTTTGCCCAGTGGGTTTCAGTGGGATTTGGAGAAGGGCCCTTAGGGGAGGGGTTTGCCCTCCTCCCCATCAGCTGAACGCAGCTGTGACCTCTAGAGCTCATGGGAGCTGCAGCTGGAAGGACGCAGGGGGAAAACAGAAAGAGGGAAAAGCAAGGAGCTGGACACCCAACCAGCAGGGCCCAGGCCACCCCTGCACACATGGTGGGTCTGCATTGATAAGACATGTCACACGTGCACACCTACAAAGACCTAGAAATGTCTCTGACTCTTACCTGTGTGCTGTTAACTCAAATGAAGATAAAGGAGAATGAAGAGGCCTGTGTCAGAAGCTGCCGAAGTCGGCAAACAACCAGAACACGGCCTCCTTGGGACCCCACACACGTGGTCACCCTCCTCCTGCTGCTGGGGAGAAGGGACACCAGCACGGGATGGGCTCCTGGGATGAAATGTTCTGGGGTTACAGTGGAGGCAGCCACACCACACTGTGAATGCACTAAATGCCACTGAATTTTACGTGTTAAAAGGTGAATTCTGTGAATCTGATGCTATGTAAGTTGTATCTCAATAAAAAATGGACAAAAAATGTTTATGGAACAAATGTTTCGTTTTTCAGCCATCCACTATTGGATTAACTGAACGACTGGCCCCTGTAGCATAGTATTTGGAGACTGATATCCAGTACATGATGAATAGTCCCTCAACAGACACTGAGACCACCCACTTCCCCACCCACGGGATCGGAGTCCTTGGCTTGTCCCACCTGTCTGTGGCTCCCCAGCCCCCAACATCCTCTGAGGGGAGACAGTGTGTGCACGCCCTCTTCCTGCCACTCCCTGGGCTGCACCTTCACACAGCAGTGAGGCTGAGCCCTTCAGAGCACAGCACAGCACTGGTGGGAGGGTAAGGATGTGCCTGGAAGGTGCCAGAGGCCCAGAAGCCTGGCCTTCCATTTCCTGACCCTGGTGGCAGCAGCAGCAGCAGCCAGGGTACCCAGCTGCACCGTCGCCACATCAGGGGACACCTCCACCAGCTTCCTCAGCAGCCCCAGGGACAAGGTGGCCCAGAAAAAGGCCTGGAACACAGCTCCTATACCTTGACCTCCTGCTCGGTGGCGGTCACAATGCCCTCCCGCATGAACAGGCCGTAATCTTCAAAAAACTTTGCATACTTCTCAGCATCTTTTTTACTCTGGTCAATGAAGAATTTGATCAGCCTCTGCTGTAAAACGTCCCGGAGTTTCCTACAGAAAAGAAATGCATTTAATACATACAAGCAGCCTCTATGAAATACAAATGGCCAGAGGGTACGAAAAAATGTTCAGCCCCGCTAAGAATCAAAGAAGTGAAAACAACAAGGTACCGTTATTGGCCAAACTGAAAAAGACTGAGCAGAAAGACAGAAACCCTGGGCAGTGGCCGGACAGGAGGCAGCAGGGTGGAGGGCAGACACCCCCTGGAGGCAGTAGGAGAACCGATGCCCCCAGAGACAAGATACCCACGCCCGGAAAACCCTTCCAACCTTTGAGCCAGTTGTTCCAATTATAGGAACTGCACCTTAGGAAACATGTGAGCACACCAAGATTTATGTACCAGGATTTTCACTGTGGCACATAAAATATAACAATTATGAACAACCTCATGTTCAAGAATATAGGCTAAAATTATGTAATGCTAAATGGCCATAAAAAAAAAAAACTGCATCTTTTAATAATCCTCAATGACATGAGAAAGTTAGCTGTGTTGAAAGAAAACCCAGAAAAATCCCAATGTGGGTAAATTACAGTACGTCTATAGATACAGGCAAAGAATGCACATTCTACATGTACATAACAATTTTCCATCATTAGGAGCAGCACTGTATATACTATATATGTACACTGTAATTTGGGATTTATACTGAATATATGTATACTCTAATTTTTCAAAATTGGGATTTTAGGGATCAGGATATTTACTGCAGCATTACATAATGGCCTAAAATTAGGAACAACTTTATCACTGGGACTAGGGATATTTTTATTTTCTTCTTAATATTTAGTCTTTCCTTTAAGCAGGTAAATTACAATGTATTTCAATAATCCAGAGCATGGGAACAACACTCTCTCGAGTTCATTTAGAGCCTTTCCTCCCACACTCCATCCCCAGTGACTCAGTCCTTCAGCCACAGGGCAGAATGGGACAGGACATGCCTTCGTGCCTGGGAGCGGGGGGACAGTAGCCCAGGATGCGGTGCAGAGCCCAGGGAAGGTGTCTATGCAGGGCCATGGTTGGGAAGAGCCTGGTATGGGTGTCAGAGCCCAAGAACCCCAGAGAAGGGTGTCCAGGCTGGGGGCGTGACCAGCCCACCGTGAAGAGTCAGAGCCCAAGTAGGTGACAGGGACACCCGCAGAAGAGGGCAGTGGCAATGGTAGATTGGTTACATGGAGGGGGATTGGTCAAATGGGTAACCGTGCTAAGAATAATCAACGGGGCATGGTGGCTCCTGCCTGTAATCGCACCACTTTGGGAGGCTGAGGCGGGCGGATCACCAGAGGTCAGGAGTTTGAGACCAGCCTGGTCAACATGGTAAGCCCCCGTCTCTACTAAAAATACAAAAAATTACCAGGGCATGGTGGTGGGTGACTGTAGTCCCAGCTACTTGAAAGGCTGAGGCAGGAGAATCGCTTGAATCCGGGAGGCAGAGGTTTCGGTGAGCCAATACCTCGCCACTGCACTCCAGCCTGAGCAACAGAGTAAGACTCCATCTCAAAAATAAATAAATAAATAAATAAATAAAAATAAAAAAATTTTATTAATGATAGCAAGATTATAAACTCTTGAATAAAACAGGAAATCAGCCCATATAAATAAATTATAAATAGTATAAATATAACACATCAATTTTTTTTTTTTTTTCCATCCGACGAATCTTGCTCTTGTCCCCCAGGCTGGAGTGCAGTGGCGTGATCTCGGCTCACTGCAACCTCTGCCTCCCGGGTTCAAGCAATTCTCCTGCCTCAGCCTCCCAAGTAGCTGGGATTACAGGCACCTGCCACCATACCCGGCTGATTTTTTTTTTTTTTTTTTTTTTGAGATGAGTCTCGCTCTGTCGCCCAGGCTGGAGTGCAGTGGCGTGATTTTGGCGCACTGCAATCTCCACCTCCCAGGTTCAAGCAATTCTCTGCCTCAGCCTCCCGAGTGGCTGGGATTACACCTGCCTGCCACCACGACTGGCTAAAATTTTGTGTTTTTAGTAGAGATGGGGTTTCACCATCTTGGCAGGCTGGTAACTCCTGACCTCGTGATCCACCCGCCTCGGCCTCCCAAAGTGCTGGGATTACAGGAGTGAGCCATTGCGCCCAGCCTAATTTTTCTATTTTTTAAGTAGAGACGGGGTTTTACCATGTTGGCTAGGCTGGTCTCGAACTCCTGACCTCAGGTGATCTGCCTGCCTCGGCCTCCCAAAGTGCTGGGATTACAGGCGTGAGCCACCGCGCCCGGCCAACACATAAATATTTTAAGTAAATAAATGAATGTATTGAGAGTTTCATGAAGAATGTGACATTTACATAGCTTCAAAATACCTATAACATCTGTTAATTACAAAGGGAAGGACATCCTTGTTTGTTGGAAATGCACCCCAAAGGCATCGAGAAGGCAACTTCCTCTCACAGGATTCGAGGAAAAACATGTTCTTGGTACCATGCTTCCAACTTTTAAGCCTGTGATTCTTTCAAAAGCTCTAATTTCGGCTGACTCTTTTCTGATCGAGATGAGTTCTCAGACTGACAACGCAACCTTTGACAACCACAAGCTGGGATGAGGACCCCTGCTCTGCAGCTTCGGGCACTACCAGTGGGCCAGCATGCCTGCCACAGCCAGGAATGCAGCTCCCTTACTGAGCAGGACCACCCCTCTGTGACTCAGTTTCCACAACTATGAGTGAGGACTCACGGCTCCCCTCACAGGATGAAACACGTGTTTATGCAGGCTCAGCACAGTTCTCAGTGGAGAAGAAATACTCAGGAAACACATTCAGGATGGGGAGAGGAACGCAGCCGCCTCGGCCCGCAGGGACGCCAGGAGCTCCCTCTCCACAGGGCCTGGCCCCTGCCTCCACTTCATCCGTGAGCTTCCCAGATGAGGCCAGACGTGTCCTCAGTTCAGTGGGTGTCCTTTGCCTTATCCAGCCCAGGGACATTGTACCTGGAACCTCCCCTCCTGTGGCCACTCCTGGGCAGGGTGATGGGGATGGACAAGGTGGGGACAACTCCAGCACCAGCAATAATAATCCGGGAGTCAGCCCCAAGCCCTCTCTTCACTGAAGTGAACTGAAACATTGGGCAGATCACCAGTAACCCACAGGCGCACTCGAAGTGCACAGGGTCAGTACACCAAAGAGCACGACTCTAACGACCACAGAACAGTCGCTGCTGTGGGGCGGGGATGCATCCTGTTGAGGTCAGCACAACTGCTGCCCTGTGGTCATGTCGGCAGCAAGTCGGGGTCCTGCTGTCAGAAGCCAGCACGGCTGTGTGGGGAAACAAGCACTGAGGCCCCCTTTTCATTGATTATATAACATCTCTTTAGTCAGCAAGGAAAATACCTTTTATATAGTTATATCTTCCGACCAAGTAACCCCACCCCTAGTATTCTATCCTAAGGAAATACAGCTGCAGGTAAAGATTTCAGAACAGGCCAGGCGCGGTGGCTCACACCTGTAATCCCAGAACTTTGGGAGGCCGAGGCAGGCAGATCACAAGGTCAGGAGATCAAGACCATCCCGGCTAACACAGTGAAACCCTGTCTCTACTAAATATACAAAAAATTAGCTGGGCGTGGTGGTGGGTGCCTGTATCCCAGCTACTCGGGAGGCTGAGACAGGAGAATGGCATGAACCCGGGAGGCGGAGCTTGCAGTGAGCCGAGATCGTGCCACTGCACTCCAGCCTGGGCAACAGACCAAGACTCCGTCTCAAAAAAAAAAAAAAAAAAAAAAAAAAAAGATTTCAGAACAAAGATAAACATGCACTGCAGTGTCATAACTGCAGAAACACTGAGACAGCCCAGCTGTGCAGCCCCGAGGGACGGGATCAGTAAACTATGGTACATCCCTGTGATGTCCCATGATGTAGCAATTAAAAGTGCTTCCAAAAAACAACATGGGAAGTGGTGCAAATAAACTAGGTAGAAAAAAGGAAACAGTATAAGCAATATGAATTCAATTGCATGAAAAACAAAAACAGGCCGGGCGCAGTGGCTCAAACCCGTAATCCCAGCACTTTGGGAGGCCAAGGCAGGCGGATCACGAAGTCAGGAGATCGAGACCATCCTGGCTAACACGGTGAAACCCTGTCTCTACTAAAGATATAAAAAATCAGCCGGGCATGGTGGCAGGCACCTGTAGTCCCAGCTGAGACGGGAGGCTGAGACAGGAGAATGGCGTGAACCTAGGAGGCGAAGGTTGCAGTGAGCCGAGACTGCGCCACTGCACTCCAGCCTGGGCGACAGAGCAAGACTCCGTCTCAAAAAAAAAAAAAAAAAAAAAAAAAAAAATCTAAGTGGCCAGGTGCAGTGGCTCATGCCTGGAATCCCAGCACTTTGGGAGGCTGAGGCCAAAGGATCGCTTGAGCCCAGGAGTTCAAGATCAGCCTGGGCAACATAGTGAGATCCCAACTCTACAAAAAAATACAAAAAAATTAGCCAGGCATGGTAGCTCACACTTGTAGTCCCAGCTACTTGGGAGGCTGAGGTGGAAGGATTGCTTGAGCCCAAGAGGTTGAGGCTGCAGTGAGCTGTGATCACACCACTGCATTCCAACCTGGACAACAAGAAAGACCCTATCAGTCAACCAATAAAACATCACTGCGGCTTGCTTGGTTGAAAAAAGAAAAAAATCTCCATGGCTTTCTGCCTCTGAAGGTGAGGCAGGAGGATATCACCGGCAGGCCATGTGACCTCGCAGGGCTGGGCATGGACCCACCAGGCAGGAAACCACACTGCCCACCATCTCCCCAGACCTGCTCCTGCCCGCGGCACAGGACAGAATCTCTGAGGACCAGTGCCTCTCGGTGTGGGCCTCTCGCCATGCCCACAGCGCAGCCCCAACACACACCAATTACCCAGACTCATCCTTTTTCCGAGGATCTGCTTCCATTTCAACACTGGAGAGAAACCGGTGGGCAGAGAAACACTGCAGGCACGTTGGGGGCTCCAACAAGGCCCGTTCCATGGCATGCTGCACGTGGTGGGCTCTTGAGAGACCTCCAGGGCTCCAAATTCCAGCTGAATCCTCACCCCACAGGCTCCCTCTGAAACCTGCCCTATGTGGCTGCCAATCTACCCCACCCTAAACCATCAACAGCAGTCATCTCTAGGTGAGAGCACAGGTCACTTGAATGTGCTCTAGTAAGGAAATACTACTTGCATTAGGGGAAAAAAAGCCAGTAAGCGAGGTTTTGAATAAAGACTATTTGGTGAGCCTGGGGCCAGAGTGGGGAAGTGATAGCTACTGATGGAGAACCTGGAGCCAGCACACTGGAGTCCCCTCCACACAGGGCTGGCCTGCTGCAGGGCTGCAGTCACAACCCTGGGGCACAGGTGGGCAGGTCTGGCTCTGCGGCCCCTCCCCCTATCCAGACTCCAGCCTCAGCCATGACCAGCCACCCCCACCTTCTTCTGGACCACAAGCTTCAGAGGCCAGGCCAGCACCTGGAAGGCTCCTGAGGGCCCCCATGTGCAGGCCGGGCTTCCCCGACCACCTCTGCTCTCAGCTCCATGGGCCACGGCTAGGGCCCTCTGGGGGCAAAGGAGCAGGTAGGGGCCTTGTCCCCAGCAGGGTCCTCTCCCCGCGGCCCGAGGCTCACCTGATGAGTGCGCTCTCCTGCAGCAGCTCCCGGCTGAGGTTCAGGGGAATGTCCTCACTGTCCACCACACCTGGGAGACACGGCAGTCAGCTTCTCCCGGGGCTGCGGCCCTCCACACCACCCAACATTCCCCATTAACCTGCCCTTTGTCTTCAGGCCTGGCCTTCAACCCAGCACGTGTGCTAAGAGGGAAGCAGGGAGGCGGCACTGCCGGAGCTTCCTCTACGTCCTGCCACCTCCCAGAACAGTGACCTGGGCTGTGGGTGGCCGGGACAGCCTCGGGGTAACACTCGGAAAATGACAGCCTGGGCTTTATGTTAAAAATCACAACTCTGGCTGGGCACAGTGTCTGACGCCTGTAATCCCAGCGCTTTGGGAGGCCGAGGTGGGCGGATCATGAGGTCAGGAGTTCGAGACCAGCCCGGCAATTATGGTGAAACCCCATCTCTACTAAAAATACAAAAATTAGCCGGGTGTGGTGGCGGGCGCCTGTAATCCCAGCTACTCGGGAGGCTAAGGCAGGAGAATCACTTAAGGAGGTTGCAGTGAGCCACGATTGCACCACCGCACTCCAGCCTGGGTGACAGAGCAAGACTCGTCTCAAAAAACAAACAAACAAAACTCTATCAGGGATGGTTCGCACCTCTGTGTACCAAGGCTTAAATACTGAAGTCTTTCTTAAACTATAATCTCACTCAAACGTAACACAACTCACATATCAATCTGAAACTCAGTATCCCTACATATGGAAAGACCTCAATCTGAACACCCCAGTGCTCCCCCCAGATCAGTCATGTGCGTAGGGAGGTGGGGCAGCTCCCGGGGTCTGTAAACGCGACTGACACACAGGCAGCGCAGGCCGACGGCGGTGCTCTCGCTGCAGAGGGCTGCTGAGAATGGAATCAGCACGGTCCCTCACAGATGCAGCGGGCGACACTGGGCCACGGGGGCACTGCTCACGGACTCTGAGCAGCGTACCTCGGATGAAGCGCAGCCACTTGGGCAGGATGTCCGTGGCCTTGGTCTGGATGAGGACTTTGCGGCTGTACAGTGCAACGCTGGAGCCCAGCTCCCGGCTCACATCAAACATGGACGGTTTCTGGGGGTGAGGAGAACACGCCATCATGCAGCACTGACCCTCCCCAGGCAGGCCCTGGCTGGGAGGTGGGGGCGGACACGATGAATCCAGAGCCCACTCCCGCCTCGCCCTCCCCCAGCGTCTGCTCTGAGTTGAAGCCCAGTGCAGGGGCCCCACGATGCCCCACACTGTGGCTCTGCAGGGGCTGAAGGCCTTCTCTGGCAGCTGCCGCCCTCCCCAGCCCACCCCCTAAGGAGGACACAAGAGAGTGAACCTTGCACGTACCCCTGAACACACTGAACACAGCCAAACCTTGCTACAGGTCAGGGATCAGCAAAGAGCCCTCCGACCAGATCCAGCTCACTGCCTACCTCTGTGTAGCCTAAGAGTGGTTTTTACACTTTCAAACAGTTGAGGAAAGATTTCAAAAAGGATGATCTCATGAGACGTGAAGATGAAACTCAAATTTCAGTGTCTACGCAGCTCATGGGACCCGGCCCTGTGTGCTCAGAGGGCAGCAGGGCAGTGCTGCTTCCTCACCCGGCAGGGTTAGTGGCTACGAAAGACACCGGGCCCGAAACGCTGGGACCAGCTCCTGTCTGGCCCTCGTGGAACGTGCCTGCCAACACCTGCTCCACACTGGTACTTCCCGAACCGGGACCCACACCTCATCACGGGATCTGGTTAAAATGCGGCGGGTATCTAGTTCAAATGTTGGGAGACCTGGTTAAAATGTGGGGCGACCTGGTTAAAATGGGGGGGATCCGGTTAAAATGCGGGGAGATCTTATTAAAATGTGGGCTCCCACGCAGGAGCCCTGGGTGGGGCCTGAGACTCTAACAAGCCCCTGGAGGCCACACCTGGCTGGCTCTTTCCAAGATGGATGCCAGCTGTGCAGGACATTAGGAGAGTTTCCAGGCAGCCAAGGACAGAAGAGCCTGGGGGCAGGACGGGCTGGCTCTCAGCCCCGAATAGGTCTCCTTACGGCAGGATTTGCGGGAACTTCAATGTGGTAAAGGAAACCAGGGGAGGTGGAGGGTGTGGAGGAAGCACACAGAGAGGCCAACGGAGAGGCAAGACCACAGGCCCTTCCCAGAGCGCCTGGCAGGACAGCATCCACTGATCCACAGCAGATGATGTAGGCTCTGAGGGCCCTCCCCAGGCACACCCCAGTCCACAAGCCTCCACCCCAGCCTGCACTGAGATGCCCATCAATCCTTCCCTCGCCATGTGTGACCCCTGAGACAGAGGAAACCTCTGTGGTTACCCACCCAGAGGCATCTGTTCTTTTTTTCTTTTTTTTCAGAGATGGGGTCTCACTATGTTGGCCAGCCTGGTCTGCAACTCCTGGGCTCAGGTGATCCACCCTCCTCAGCCTCCCAAAGTGCTGGGATAACAGGCGTGAGCCACCACACCCAGCACTACCTATGTTTTTCATGCCCTCACACTGCCATGTTAATCATGTGACATCTGCAGAGCTGATGCCACAGGGGACAACAGAGTCACCCTGAGGGCCGTGGGACTGCCACAGTGCCTCACCATGTCGGGCACGTAGAAGATGCTGCGGATGTTGAGCGGTGCGTCCGTCTTATAGTGCAGGGTGTAGCGGGGCTTGTCGTGAGCCTGCGCGACGTAGCGGTAGAACTCCTCATGTTGCCACTCACGGACATCCTTGGGGTCCATCATCCAGATGGCCTGGAAACGGAGATCGGCGGGGAGGGCGTCGTGTTCACCACGCACGTCTTCTCCACCACCGTGCAGGCCTGAGCCAGTGCAGCGCCTGGCCCTGGACAGGCTCCTGGGACAGACGGGCGGTGGTCTCAGGCGTAGACCCCTCTCCAGCCCCACCGCTGGGCTATGCCGGGTAGTGCAGGGGAGACACACAAGGCTCTGGGGCAGGAGCTCCTCAGGACAACATGTCAGGAGGA
Organism: Homo sapiens; assembly: GCF_000001405.40. Taxonomy (NCBI): domain Eukaryota; kingdom Metazoa; phylum Chordata; class Mammalia; order Primates; family Hominidae; genus Homo; species Homo sapiens. The sequence goes on from NC_000016.10 coordinate 3,674,728, forward strand.
CCAGCCGGGACCTGAGGGGGCCTGTGGGAGAGGATGACGCTGCCCAGCAGGGGCGAGCTGACGAATACAGTGTGGGCCGTGAGAGCGATGACGACCCACGCTGCACCGCAGCTGAGCCGCGAGGGGGAAGTCAGTCACTGAGGACAGCATGCCGTGTGACTCCATCCAGGAGAAACGTCTGGAACAGGCAGCACAATGGACAGAAAGGAGACCGTGGCTGCTGGGACTGGGGGAGGGGCAGTGGGGAAAGGGCTGCTTTTTGGGGTGATGGGATGTTCTGGAATTGATGCGGGGTGGCTGCACAGCTCTGTGGCTGCACTGAACACCATGGCTGCACACTGATGTGGTGAGCCAGCTGGGATGGGCGTTACGCCTCAGTGAACCCTGACCCCTGACCCCGGCTGCCCGGTGCACAGGGGCAGGGCTGTGGTAGAGCTGGGCCCCTGTCTCATCCCCACACCCAGGTCTCATCTCCACAGAGCAGCTCGCCCTGTGACTCTGGGCCGCATCCCCTGGGCTCATCTCTTCTCCGCTGCCCTGAAACGTACAGATTTGTCTCCATGTTTGACCAGTCCCTAGAGGAACTCAGGGCTCACCTGCAAGGTGTTCATCCGCCTTCCATTCAAGTACAAGGGGAAGCTGACGAAGTTGCTGTACTTCGTTACCACATCTGGAAGGGACAAAAGAAAAACCACACTGCATCTACAATGCTTGTGGAAACGCAAGCTTTGCAGCAGCTCCAGGATGAGCGCCAGCCTGCTGGGAAGGGTCCTCCATGCTGTGTACACTTCACAGGTACAGAAACAGGGCACAGTGGGGACACCTGTCCTCCCCCCAGTCTCACGGGGGCAGCAGCGGAGCCCACGTGAGAACCAGAGCTGTGGAGGCCCCGGCTGCTGCGAGACTGCAATGTCAGCTTGTGGCTGGAACATGGCTTTCTGGGCTGACTCCTGGGGGTACTCAGGGCCTCCCTGAGTGTCCAGCAGGACACAAAGAGGGAAGGCCACGCCCACATCCTGGGACAGGACTGCGCCAAACCCCCAGGTGCACTAAAGGCCAAGGGCCACGCAGAGGAAGGAGGAGGAGGTCCGCCTCAGCCAGGCCAGCTTCCTCCCAGTCCCAGCAGGAGCTCGATGCTACGCAGCCCTGGCGGGCAGCCCCCCTCCCAGTCCCGCAGCGGCTCGGCCCTTCACGGCTCTGCCTGTGCACCCTACGTGCAGGTAGAACCAGGGAAAATGCCTGCTGACCTGGTGGCCTCCAGGCCACACATGGATCCCAGAGTGAGCCTGGGCCCGGGCTCCCGCTCACCTCGCACCCGGGCCTCGCTGGAAAACTCCTTGCAGTCGGATTTCAGGTGGATGATGATTTTTGTCCCGGTTCTAACTCCCGAAGCTTCGGCGATTTCAAACACTCCAGAACTAAGGCAGGCAAAGAAAGGAAAAGCCAGGTGGATGTGACACTGGGACATACCCTGCATGGGACTCCAGCGGTTCCCGAGGGTTTCATAGGCAGAGCCCAAACAACACACAACACACCTCAAATGCCCCATTTCTGACCCCAGCGCACCACTCAGGCCATCACATGCCCATCAGGAACGATGAGCCTGTCGCAGGCGGCAGAGTTCTCCTGGTTCCCTCGGGCGGGGGGCGGGGGGGCGGGGGTCCTCCACCGACCCTGGGCTTCGAAGAAGCTTCTGGGCTTACCCCAAAAGCAGGCCTGGGGCACTGTGGGGGACTGGCCCAGCTCCAAATCGGGTGCCAGATGCCCAGGGGCAAAAACAAAGGCCAGGGGGACAGGCGCCCCCTAAGAAGAGCAGAAAACCATCTCCGAAGCACAGGAGGGGGGAATCCCCCGGCAGGGCCATGTTGATGCCTTGGCCTAAGTTTACTCTGAGCCCCGCTCCCATGGAATTAAACAGGAATGTTAGTTTTGGGAGAGTGGGGAGTCAAGCTGAGCACAGTGCACACACTGTGGAGCAGAAATGGCATCACGGAGGGAGGACGCCTCGGCTGGCTGGAAGCGGCTCACCTGCTAAAAAGCCCTCGGAGCCAGGCGTGGTGGCTCACGTCTATAATCCCAGCACTTTGGGAGGCCAAGACGGGCAGATCACCTGAGGTCGGGGTTCGAGACCAGTCTGACCAACATGGAGAAACCCTGTCTCTACTAAAAATACAAAATTAGCTGGGCGTGGTGGCATGCGCCTGTAGTCCCAGCTACTCAGGAGGCTGAGGCAGGCCAATTGCTTGAACCTGGGAGGCGGAGGTGGCAGTGAGCCAAGATTGTGCCATTGCACTCCAGCCTAGGCAACAAGAGTAAAACTCCGTCCCAAAGGAAAAAAAAAAAAAAAAAGCCCCCAGCAGGCTCCTCACCCTATAGAGGCAGAAGTGGGCTGGGGAGACAAAGCCAGGAAATGCCAGGGCTGGGAGGAAGCAGAATGAGCTCTTGCAGAAGGTCGGTCACAGGAGGCTGCATAGTGTCCACCAGGCGACAGGCCAGTCCTGCAGCTCAGCCACTGAGAAAGGAGCTCAGCGCGGGCCGGACCTGCCTTCCCGAGCGCAGTGGTGGTGACCAACCACATGGGACCAGACAGGTGCCATAGGCCACCTGGAGCCACAAAAGTCACTAACTCCCCAAAATGGGAGAGTCAGATTTCATATAAAAAGCCCAGAAAATGCCTGTGTACGTTTTCTGAGTCCATCCCTTTCCAAACTCCATGCTAAGGGCTCCAGCTCAGCTTTGAGCTGCCTGTCAGGCGACATTCGTCACTCACCCATCTGAAAGCCACTGGTAACCCAGGCTCCCCGGGGCTGCCGAGCGGGAATAGACCTCCACTCTGTCAGCCACCATGAAAGCTGAGTAGAAACCCACTCCAAACTGGCCGATGATCTTGCTGCTGGCCTCAGCCTGGTTCTGCAGAGCATCCAGGAAGGCCTGTGGGGCAGAGGCCAGTTAGTGAGGCAGCCTCCCCTCCAGAGAGCAGACACTCCCAACACCGTGGCTCTTCTGCGAGCACCGCTAAGACCCCTTCATCCTGAAAACAGCCACACCGAGTACTTTTCCACCCCATTCTACACGTGAAGAGCTAAGTCACAGAGAGGTGACACATTAGCCCTAGGACAACCAGCTGGCAGCAGTGGGACAAGTGTGTTTTCCATTTGATTCCCAAAGCTCACAGTCCTGCCTGTCCCAGACAGGTGGAGGCCTGTGGGTCACACCTGGGGGTGGGGAAAGAGCAGCTTGAATAAGCTCTTTCCCTTGAATAAGCTCCTTCCATAGGAAGGCCAGGAGTGAGGAGAGGCTCCAAACTGGCTTCCATATTCAAGTCTCCTGGACTCTACACTTTGTGGGAAAAAGAGTAGAAATCACGCGCATGCGTCTGTAAGCACCGCACAGCACTTCATTTTTCTACTATAATACTGCCAAAGGTCCTAAGGCCAAAGTCAAGTAAAATACACACGCCCACTGCCCTGGCCCACGTTGTCCGATGGAACTTTCTCCAACAACAGGAACGTTCTGCCAGGTGCAATGCGACAGCCTGCCGAGCACCTGCAATGTGGCCTGTGCAGCTGAGGAGCACAATGTCCCCTTTTATTTAATTTGAATGCATTTACATTTAAACTGCCACATGCAGCTGGTGGCCGCTACACAGGACAGCAGACCAACCTCGAGAGAAATACAACAAAAGACGTAACGTGGGGGTCAAGTCACAGTTAGGGTGGGTTTTTTGTTTGTTGTTGTTGTTGTTGTTGTTTTTGAGATGGAGTGTCGCTCTGTCGCGCAGGCTGGAGCGCGGTGGCGTGATCTCAGCTCACTGCAACCTCTGCCTCCCGGGTTCAAGTGATTCTCCCGCCTCAGCCTCCCGAGTAGCTGGGATGACAGGTACCACCACCACGCCCAGCTAATTTTTGTATTTTTAGTAGAGACGGGGTTTCACCGTGTTAGCCAGGATGGTCTCCATCTCCTGACCTCGTGATCCACCTGCCTCGGCCTCCCAAAGTACTGGGGTTACAGGCGTGAGCCACCGCACCCGACCTAGTGTTTTCATCTTACAGATGAGGAGACTGAAGTAAGTGCTTTGCCCAGAGCTGGAAAAGGGCGACCGCTGGAGGTTCCCAGGCTGTTGGTCTGAGTCCAAATGTGTTGCTCTGCCTCACAGCACTTTTCTGCAAAGTCGATTCCCTGAGCCTTGTGGGCTTGACGCAGAGAGGGTCAGAGGGATCAGTCCCCTCTCACACAGCGCCGTGATGAGAACGGGCTTGGGATGCGGCGTCTGTGGGTTTGATGGTTCTGGTCAGAACTGCTCTGTGGGTCTGGGCATAGTGACGTGCACCTGTAGTCACGCCTCAGGAGGCTGAGGCTGGAGGATAGCCCGGCCAACATGGTGAAACCCCGTCTCTACTAAAGATACAAAAAATTGGCCAGGCGTGGTGGCTCGTGCCTGTAATCCCAGCTACTTGGGAGGCTGAGGCAGGAGAGTTGCTTGAACCGGGAGGCAGAGGTTGCAGTGAGCCAATACAGTTGGTCCTCCTATCTACGGGTTCCACATTTGCAGATTCAACCAGCCAAGGATCGAAAATACTCAGAAAAAAAATAAAAAACAACACAATGATAAAAAGTAGTATAAAAAACATAACTATGTTATATCTATATCTAGCATTTACATTCTATCAGGTATTATAACTAACCTAGAGACCATCTAAAGCATACAAGAAGATGTGTCTACAATATACGGCACCAATTTAATCCGGGACTGGAGCATCTGCAGACTTTGCTATCCAAGGGGGGTCCTGAAACCAACCCCTAGATACTGAGGGACCAACCCCCAGATACTGAGGGATGGCTGTCATGTCATGAGGTGTTCCCACAGTACCCACTGCGTGGCATGCAACTGACAACGTTCTTACTTAATCTGGCACCCAGGGCCACCCCTACTGGAGGGATCCTTGCACCCTGAGGGGAAGGGGGAGGCTGTGTGGGGGCCCCACGCTTACCTTTGACCCCGATCTGGCAATCGTCCCCAGGTTGGACACCAGCTCTTCCTGTGTCATCCCGATACCAGTATCCTGAGGAGAGAGACGCACTAAGTGCCAAGCCCCCAGCACCTGGGGAGCCGGGTGAGTGCACCAGCAGTCCCAGGGACTCAAGTGGTGTCAATGACATTGGCCAGACAGGGCCCAGCCAGGTAGCACCAGATGCTCATCAGAAAAGACTAATTCTAGGGGCCGGGAGTGATGGTTCATGCCTGTAATCCCAGCACTATGGGAGGCCAAGGCAGGCGGATCACTTGAGGCCAGGAGTTCAAGACCAGCCTGGCCAACATGGTAAAACCCCATCTCTACTAAAAAAGAAATTAGCCAGGCATGATGGCGAGCACCTGTGGTTCCAGCTACTCGGAGGCTGAGGCAGGAAAATTGCTTGAGCCCAGTGAACCCAGGAGGCAGAGACTGCAGTGAACTGAGATTGCGCCACTGCACTCCAGCCTGGGTGACAGAGTGAGACTCCATCTCAAAAAAAAAAAAAGAAAAAACGAAAAGACTAATTCTAGTCATAGCAGCTTGGCCTCACCAGAGAAAACAGGAAGGGACAGCAGAAAGTTGCTTTGTTTGTTAAAAACCATTCCGAAAAGAAAATATTACACCAGCAATTAGGAAAAGCACAGCTCTCCCACCATCAAGATGTGGCCCCCACGCCTTCTCCCTGGCTGTGGTTCTGGGGAACAGTGATCCCCTCTGGTGGCTCTCTCAATCCAGCAGAATGATCTGACTGAGGACACCAGGAAGCAGGTGTTGGGAACGCAGCTCTGCACGCGGCACCTACTCCCACCCTACCACCATGGGAACAGCGGGCACAGACGCCTCTCCTGCGGGAAGGCAGAGCCCTTGCGTTGGAGCCTCTATCTGGCCTATCCTGTTGCAGCTGCTCTGCTCTGAGTGCCAGTGTCACCCAAATCCATATATTAAGACCTAAGTCCCAAGGGGATGGCACTGGGAGGGGGGCCTTGGGGAGGTGATCAAGTCACGACGGCTCCACTCTCATGAATGGGAGTAGGGCCCTTAGAAAACAGGCTTGAGGGAGCTTGCCTGCCCCTTCCACCTTCTGTATGAAGATGCAAGAGGCACTGCCTGAGTCAAAGGGCCCTCGCCAGATGCCCAATCTGCTGGCCCCTTGCTCTTGGACCTCCCAGCCTCTAGAACTGTAAGCAATAGGGTTCTGTTGTTTATAAATTGCCCAGTCTAAGGTATTCGGCTATAGCAGCCTGAATCACAATACAGACCAACGCGCTGGTGAACACACAAGGCCTTACTGACCATGGGCTCCTCCTTCCTCAAAGCCCAGTCAGACTCCCATCTGCAGATCCTCGCTCAACATGCCCATAATGTAGCCACAGCCCCAGCTTGCTCTGCTATGATGTGCAGACCACCTTAAATAAAAGAGCTCACTCCAAGCCTCCACATCTATGAATTGGGACAAAGGCCCTCAGAAACAGTTTTCTGAACTTCCTTCTAGGAAGTTCCTTTCTAAAGACTTCCTCTCCAGGACAGCCTGCAGGAGCCATGGGAGCCCACTAGCACCAGGCGCCAGTGCTGTCTCCATTGGCAAAGCAAGGGTGGTCAGTGCCACTCAGCAAATAATCCACAGCAAGCAGCAGGCCAGGGAGACTGGCCAGCTGTCAGCCTTCCCATTGTAGGCAGCACAGGCAGAATGGGTGCCAAAACCACATCACCACCAGTTACTGCAGTGCACACATGTGTGCATGTTTCACGGGCCCCAGCAGCCAACAAGAAACATGGCACCAAGAGGCTTCTGGGCAATTATTTCTGAGGTGCCGGTTTGAATAGTCCAAAATCCAGCCTGATTCATTTATTGTAGATCATGTAATAATTATGAATAAAAAACTACTTAAAATTAGTATCTAGTTGATATCAGTCATTAAATATAAGTTTCATTTAAGTGTTTAATACATCAGAAACTTAAATAGAGTCCTTAAGGGAAAGGTTAATGTTAGACCAAGGTAAAGGAAAAAATGCAACTAATAGCTCCTATTTTCAATTTATTTTTATTTTTTCCCAAACTGATCTGCACTGCAATCCCAGTCTAAATCCTCACAGGTTTTGTAGAAAATGACAAGCCGATTCTAAAATGTATATGGAAATACAAAGAACTTAGAAAATTTTCAAAATATTTTGAAGAACGAAGTTGGAGAATTTAAAATACCTAATTTTAAGACTTCCTATAAAGCTACAATAATTAAGACAGTGCGATGTGGGCATTTAAGGATCGACACATGGATGAAAGAACCAAACAGAGCACAGGAACAGAGATGCACAGAGAGTGTATTACTTGATTTTTGACAAAGATTCCAAGGTAATTCAATGGGGGATGATAGGTCTATTAACAGATAGTACTGAAACAACTGTACACCCATAAACAAAACATAAACCTCAAGCCCTACCTCACACCATACACAAAAATTAACTTGAAATGGATCATAGATCTAAATATAAGAGCTAAAGCTATAAAACCTCTAGAAGAAAACATAGGGCTGGACACAACAGCTCACATCTGTAATCCCAGCACTTTGGAAGGTCAAGGTGGGAAAATTGCTTGAGCCCAGGAGTTTGACACCAGCCTGGGCCACAAAGCAAGACCCTGCCTCTACAAAAAAAAAAAAAAAAAAATTTCTCGCTCTGTCACGCAGGCTAGAGTGCTGGAGTGCAGTGGTGTGATCTCCGCTCACTGCACCTTCCGCCTCCCGAGTTCAAGCAATTCTCCTGCCTCAGCCTCCCGAGTAGCTGGGACTACCGGCACACGCTGCCACACCCAGCTAATTTCTTTTGTATTTTCAGCAGAGACAGGGTTTCACCACGTTGCCCAGGCTGGTCTTGAACTCCTGAGCTCAGACAATCTGCCCGCCACGGCCTCCCAAAGTGCTAGGATTACAGGCGTGAGCCACCATGCCTGGCAAAAAAAATAATTTTTTTAAAGTTAGCCAGGCATGGTGGCATGTGCCTGTGGCCCTAGCTACAGGGGGCTGATGTGGTAGATCACTTGAGCCCAGGAGGTCAAGGCTGCAGCGAACCCTGATAGCACCAATGCACCCCAACCTGGAGACGGAAGAAGATCCTGACTCTAAACAAACATAAAAACCTTCCAGGTCAGGCTGGGTGCGGTAGCTCATGCCTATAATCCCAGCACTTTGGGAGGCCGAGGCAGGCAGATCACACGAGGCCGGGAGTTTAAGATCAGCCTGACCGACATGGAGAAACTCTGTCTCTATTAAAAATACAAAATTAGCCAGGCATGGTGGCACATACCTGTAATCCCAGCTACTCGAGAGACTGAAGGCAAGAGAATTGCTTGAACCCGGGAGGCGGAGGTTGCAGTGAGCTGAAATCACACCACTGCACTCCAGCGTGGGCAACAAGAGCAAAACCCCATTTCAAAAAAAAAAATCTTCCCGGTCATCAAAAACAAGGAAAGTCTGAGAAACTGTCACAGCCAAGAGGAGCTAAGGGGCCAGGACAACTAAATGTCATGTGGGATGCTGGGAGAGAAAAAGGACATGAGGTAAAAACTAAGGAAACCTGAATAGACTTGTGTTAAGAATAATATATCCATACCGGTTGATTAACTGTAACCAATGTAATATACTAACATTTCTTTTTTTTTTTTTTTGAGACGAGTTTCACTCTTGTTGCCCAAGCTAGAGTGCAATGGCGCGATCTCAGCTCACCACAACCTCCGCCTCCCGGGTTCAAGCAATTCTCCTGCCTCAGCCTCCTGAGCAGCTGGGATTACAGGTGCACACCACCACATCTGGCTAATTTTTGTATTTTTATTAGAGATGGGGTTTCACCGTGCTGGCCAGGCTGGTCTTGAACTCCTGACCTCAGGTGATCCGCCCACCTTGGCCTCTCAAAGTGCTGGGATTACAAGCGTGAGCCACTGCACCCGGCCATAAGGTTTCAATCATAAGGGAAGCTGGGTGTTGGAGTAGATGGCAACGCTGTACTATCTTTAAAATTTTTCTGAAAATTGAAATCTGTTCTAAAATATTTACTAAAAAAAAAAAAAAACTATAGATTTTTCAGATGTAGACAGAAATCATCTGTTGCCAGGCGACCCGCACAATGTGATTTTAAAAGGAAATGGTGAGACTAGGCGCGGTGGCTCCCGCCTGTAATCCCAGCACTTTGGGAGGCCAAGGCAGTCAGATCACTTGAGGTCAGGAGTTTGAGACCAGCCTGACCAACATGGTGAAACCCCATCTCTACTAAAAATACAAAAATTAGCCGGGTGTGGTGGCATGTGCCTGTAAACCCAGCTACTTGGGGGGCTGAGGCAGGAGAATCACTTAAATCCGGGGGGCAGAGGCCTCACTGCAGTGAGGTGAGATCATACCACTGCACTCCAGCCTAGGCAATAAAATGAGACTCTGTCTCAAACAAAAATAAAAAGGAATTTGTGAGGGTTTACAACAGGTATATACATAAAATATTTGACATCAAAAGAAAAAGATGATTTTGCCACCGGAATGATACTGTTGTAAGATTCTTACAATGAAGTGTTAAATATCAATTCAAGCTAGACAGTGATAAATTAAGGCTGCATATTTTATTCCCTAGAAAATCCCCTAAAAATAACAAAAAGCAATGTAGCTGAGATATCAGTAGATGAGATGGAATGGCATAATACCTCTGAGACCCCACAAGAAAGCTTCCTTTTCTAAAACTTTAGGTAAGAATAATCTATCAATATTAGTTAATTAATTGTAATAAATGGGCTGGGTATGGTGGCTCATGCCTGTAATCTAACACTTGGGAGGCCAAGGCGGGCAGATCACTTGAGGGCAGGAGTTCAAGCCCAGCCTGGCCAACGTGGTGAAACCCCATCTCTACTAAAAATACAAAAATTAGTTGGGCATCATGGCACACATCCGTAATCCCAGCTACTCAGGAAGCTGAGGCACGAGAGTTGCTTGGACCTGGGAGGCGGAGGCTGCAGTGAGCTGAGATCACACTACTGCACTCCAGCCTGGGCGACACAGCCACACTCTGTCTCCAAAAAAAAGGAAAAAAGATGAAACAAATGGACCATGACGCTCCCATCGGCTATTGAGAATAGAAAAACTGGGTCCCAAAGGATATAATGGAGCTCTAAATTACCTGCTCAAATTTTCTGTAAATCTAGAACTGTTCTTTAAGAAAAAAGAAGACAAAAGACAAAACCAAAAATCATTATTGTAACATAAATGGTCTTAGTACCAGGAAGTACTGGCACATGAGGACTGGCCCCTCTGCTAAAGACCAAGAATCATGTCCCCATGACCCCTTGCCCCAGCACATCCATTTTCAATCATCTGCAAGGAACCTCTGTGCTGAAAACAGGAGGAAAGCACAGGGCGCTGCAGCCCTGCCCACAGGGCCCATTCCACAGCCAGGCCAGCTCAGCAAAGGCAGGGAGAGAAGAAACCCACTCCCCACCCAATCCTTATGACCAAGGGCTATGACAAACAGCTGGCACGTACCACGGGGCTCAGTCTGGATTCTCTAAACCCAAGAGGGAGTGCGTAAAGCTGACACCTCACAAAAGCCCCTCCTTTAATTAAAACAGCCATCCCTTCACAAGTCCATTCATTCACGCGTGCCTGCATTCATTTATGTGGCATGACCTTCAGAGCAAGCCAGCACCCTAAAAGGGAATACTCAGATCCCACCGAGGCCAGTCTGTCCACCTCTCCACAGAGACAGACACCCCCGCAATGACGCCGTGACCCTGGGATGACAGGTCCTGAGGCAGCTGTCTTTGGATGCAATGTCTCTCAGGGCCCCTACCTGATCCTCTTTGGCCTAACTTTTCAGCCTTAAAATTTCCACAAGGCTACAGCAGCAGCCACAGCACTGCTTCGTCGGCATTTTGAGGGGAAAACGCAGTTAAAAATATGAAAAGAGTACATTAAAAATAAGATATGTTTAGATATGTTAATACCTGCATATACCAAAACCCTGTGTGGCCATATGCTAAGATGTTACCAGTAGTTATTGCTGGATGATGGGGTGATTTCAAATTTTCTTCTTTTCTGCTTACCTGCTTTTCCAAAATTTTCTATAATGAATGAGTGCTACTGTAACACTAAATTATAGCCAGAGTTATCCTGGTGGTACGGACGGCCAGTACGTCCCTGGGACCCGAGACATCACTAGAAGGCGGATCCTGTCCTTGCTGCATGGCCGGGCCTGCCACACGCCTGGACACTGAGGGAGGTACCTGGATGGTGATGGTGCCTTTCTCGGCATTGGTCTGCAAGTGAATCTCCATTTCTGGCAGTGCTTGGCCGTCAGACACCAGTTTGTGACGCAGTTTTTCCAAGGCATCGCTGGCATTGGAGATCAGCTCCCGTATAAACACCTACAGGAATAGAAATGGGAGGCACAGACAATGAAGGACACTCATCCTGCAGGATCTATCTGGTCAGCTGCACTTCCAATAACTGTTAAAAGGTAGAGGAGAATAGTCAATTCTCAAAGCATAAAGAGTTTCTGCTTTAGTCAAAGGCAGTTCCTCTGGGCCGGTCACAAAGTGACTGAAGGTGCTGACTTTCCTTTCAGGATTTCTTTGAGAGTCTCACTCTGTCACTCAGGCTGGAGGCTGCAATCACGGCTTATTGCAGCTTTAACCTCCTGGACCCAAGCAATCCTCCCACCTCAGCCTCCTAAGTAGCTGGGCCCACAGGCATGCACCACACCCAGCTAATTGTTTTAAAATTTTTATAGACACAGGGTCTCGCTATGTTGCCCAGGCTGGTCTTGATCTCCCAGGCTCAAGTGATCGTTGTGCCTCCGCCTCCCAAAGTGTTGGGATTACAGACGTGAGCCACGGTGCCTGGCCCTTTTCAGGATTTTTAATCAAGCCTGAAGTTACGTGTCCATCTGTTAATTATAACTTTAAGAAGAGCCCTCTGGCTGGGGTTGGGGGCTCATGCTTGTAATCCAGGCACTTTGGGAGGCTGAAGCAGGTGGATCACTTGAGGTCAGGAGCTCAAGACCAGCATGGCCAACATGGCAAAACCCAGTCTCTACTAAAAATATTAAAATTAGCTGGGCGTGATGGAACACACCTGTAATCCCAGCTACTCAGGAGGCTGAGGCAGGAGAATCGCTTCAACCCACAAGGCGGAGGTTGCAGTGAGCCGAGATGGCACCACTGCACTCCAGCCCCGACAGAGAGAGACTCTGTCTCAAAAAAACAAACAAAAGAGGCCTGCGAGGAACAATTTCTTTCCCAACTCCTGCACAGGGATGACGGCATATCACTCAAACATCCATTTCTCCTTGATATGGTTTGGCTGTGTCCCCACGAAAATCTCACCTTGAATTGTACTCCCATAATTCCCACGTGTTGTGGGAAGGACCTGGTGGGAGATAAGTGAATCATGGGGGCCGTTTCCCCAGTACTGTTCTCGTGGTAGTGAGTAAGTCTCATGAGATCTGACAGTTTTTTGGGGTTTCTGCTTTTGTGTCTTGCTCATTCTCTCTTTGCCTGCTGTCATCCATGTAAGACGGGACTTGTTCCTCCTTGCCTTCCACCATGACTGTGAGACTTCCCCAGCCACATGGAGGTGTAAGTCCAATTAAAGCTCCTTCTTTGGTAAATTGCCCAGTCTCAGGTATGTCTTTATCAGCAACGTGAAAATGGACTAATACACTCCTACTCCACAAAAACAGGTTCCCTAGCTTCATCTCATCTAGTGGGGACCACCAAACACCAGGTCTACCACACCCGGAGAAAAACAGGCCTCAGGGCCCAGCTGTCCCTCAGGAGCTGAAAAGCACACTGACCTCAAACAGACCTTCCATTTAAAATCAGTGAGAGAGGCCGGGTGTGGTGGCTCACACCTGTGATCTCAGCACTTTGGGAGGCTGAAACAGGCAGATCACCTCAGCCCAGGAGTTCAAGACCAGCCTGGGCAACACGGCAAAACTCCGTCTCTACAAAAAAATACAAATATCAGCCAGAGGCTGAGGAGGAAGGATGGCTTGAGCTCAGGAGGCGGAGGTTGCAGCGAGCCGAGATCATACCACTGCACTCCAGCCTGGGCGTCAGACCCAGACCCTGTTCCAAAAAATTAAAAAACCAAAAAAAAAAAAAACAAAAACCCACACAATTAAAAATAGAAAAATTAAGTCCGCAAGAGCACATAGGTGAAGAGGAAGCGGTGGCTGATCTGGGCGGAAGCTGGAGGTCACTGGGAGTCAGGAATGCAGCACTCATCAGTACGAAACCCGGAAACAGCTCCTAGAAGGCCCTCTGAGCTTTGAAATCTGCTGCTTTACAAACTTTCTTCAGGACTCTCCTTTGCCTTCCAGCAATAATCAGCATGTCAACGATGGTGGCCTTCATCTTTCTTTTTCCTTGTCCTGTCACCCCAAATGAGTTTTGCGGGGTTTTTTTTAATAGAGATGGGGTCTCTTCACGTTGCCTAGGCTGGTCTCAGACTCCTGGACTCACACAATCCTCCTACCTTGGCCTCCTAAAGTGCCGGGATTACAGGTGTGGGTCACCGCACCTGGCCCCAAATGCGTTTTAATTTCCTCAGTAACTCCTCCCTGCTCCATACACACAGGACTGGGGAACCTTCTTCCTCCGGCAGCCAAAGCCGCCAAGACCTGCAGGTAGTCCCACCAGGCAAAGGGGCCTCAGAGCGTATCCAAAGCTCCACAGAGACGGAATTCAGCAGAGCTGCACGCTAGGATTTGGGGGACTTTTTTTTTGGAGAGAGGGTCTTACTCTGTTGTGCAGGTCAGTGTAGTAACACAATCATGGCTCACTGCAGCCCCAAAGTCTGCCAGGCTCAAGTCATCCTCCCACCCCAGCCTCCTGAGTAGCTGGGACCACAGGTCAGTGCCCCCATAGCTGGCTAATTTTTTAAATTTTTTGTAGAGACGGAGTCTTGCTGTGTTGACCAGGCTGGTCTCAAACTCCTGGGCTCAAGTGATCCTCCTGCCTCGACCTCCCAAAGCACTGAGTTCCCAGGCATGAGCCACCACACCAGGCCTGTATTTCGGGAACTTTTAAAATTATTGGCAAAATTCAATTAATTCCCAGAGTTGATCCAGCCCAAAGAACCATCTGGATACACTTATCCAGGAAACCAAAACAGATTCTGGTAAAACTCCTCTCACTGGTAGCTTAAGATGAGGACCTGTCCAAAGTTTAATGCTTTCTCACAGCTAATATATTATCTGGCAATTCTCCAGAATGGCATAAAAACCAGCTTTGTGAAAAGAAACTTTGCTAGCATCGGGCATGGTTAGCAGGGAACGCACCTCTTTTTCTGAGTACAGGGACCGGGCAACAATGTCCAAAAGCTTCTTTGTCTCGGCCTGGAACTCATGTTTGGAAGTGGAACCTAGTAATGAAACACAGACACAACCAACAAAGTTTAACTTCTATTTTTGTGCAAGAATACGCTACGTCACATTCCAAAGAAAGCTTAAGTTTATGAGTTTTAAACTTTTTTTTTTTTTTTTTTTTGAGACGGAGTCTCGCTCTGTCACCCAGGCTGGAGTACAGTGGCACGATCTCGGCTCACTGCAAGCTCTGCCTCCCGGGTTCACGCCATTCTCTTGCCTCAGCCTCCCGAGTAGCTGGGACTACAGGTGCCTGCCACCACGCCCGGCTAATTTTTTGTAGTTTTAGTAGAGACGGGGTTTTACCATGTTAGCCAGGATAGCCTCGATCTCCTGACCTCATGATTGGCCCGCCTCGGCCTCCCACACATTTAAGATCATGAACAAAAAGAAAGAAGCAGACAGAAACAAAGTCTGGCTGGGCACCATGGCTCATGCCTGTAATCCCAGCACTTTGGGAGGCCAAGGCAGGAGAATCACTTAAGCCCAGGAGCTCAAGACCAGCCTGGGCAACACAGAGGGATCCCGCCATCTCTACAAAAAATACACAAAGTAGCTGACGGTGGTGGCACACACTTGTGGTCCCAGTGACTCAGGGGGCTGAGGTGGGAGGATCACTTGAGCCAGGGAGGTCGAGGCTTCAGTGAGCCATGATTGCACTACAGCACTCGGCCTGGGTGACAGAGAAAGACCCTGTCTCAAAACAAAACAAAACAAAAAGTCTCTCAGAAAGGAGGTCTCAGGGCAGGACAAATCCTCCCACTGCTGAGGCCAGACATGCCTCGGGCTATGTCGAGGGAATGCTGAGCCTGGTTTCCCAATGTGCATGGTTACGAGAACTGGACTGCCTCTAAGAACCAGATTATATGTTCTTTCTTTTTTTTTTAGAGGCAGGATCTGGCTCTGTTGCCCAGGCTGCTATGCAGTGGCAGGATCGTGCTCACTGCAGCCTCAACTTCCTGGGCTCAACCGATTCTCCTGCCTCAGCCTCTCAAGTACCTGGAACCACTGGTGTGTGCTACCATGCCTGGCTAACTTTTTAATTTTTTTCTGTAGAGAAAGGGTCTATCTTGCCCAGGTTGGTCTCGACCACTTGGCCTCAAGCAATCCTCCTGCCTCGGCCTCCCAAAGTGCTGGGATTACAAGTGTGAGCCACTGTGCCTGGACTATATTCTTCAAAAAAGCGGTTTCCAAATTAATTAGTTAGAAATCAAAATAACAAGAAAACCTCACTTCTCTTTTTAACTTCAAAGATTCTACTCTTGTCGACCCACTTAAAAGCCAGAAATGGAGCCACTTCAGGACTGGCTCCAAAGACTGCTTTTTTATACTTCAGAGGGAATGAAAAGACAGCTCCAGAATTCGGTCCTGCGCAGACTGGGCCAATGCTGAGTTTCCCCTCCCGCTTCCATGATTATTAGCAGATGTGCCATGAATCACCACTCAGGGGAGGTGCCGGACGGCAAACTCACGGGTGGCCACCAGAGGGGGCAAGACACACCCGACACTGGCAGAAGTCCCTCGCTGGGACAGAAATGGAGGGCGCAGCACTCCCTACAGCCAAGACCTTCTGATTTCACACCTAAGGCGGTGGCTCTACCAATCACTGCCTCCACCCTGAAAATGCCCCTTTACGCACAGCAGTGAACCAAAAAGCCCTCCCAGACCAAAGCACGAGCCAAGGCTACCC
This sequence comes from Homo sapiens, assembly GCF_000001405.40. NCBI lineage: Eukaryota > Metazoa > Chordata > Mammalia > Primates > Hominidae > Homo > Homo sapiens. Next base: position 3,690,829 of record NC_000016.10, read on the forward strand.
TGCACGCTCTCTGTGCTGCTGATAATCGAGTGCAGGGGTTCCTCCTTGTCCTCGGCGGTCTGCGTGCTGAACAGTCGTCCTGCCTGCAAGCTCCAGGCTGGGTTTCGCCTGGGGCCCAACTGGGCTGTGGTCCTCCGAGGACACAGAATTGGTTTTCCTGAAAAGACAAATATGCAGAAAGAATGAGAATTAGGAAGACACGAGAAACAATATGGTAATTCGTCCCATCAAGGGTGTCTAGCAGAAGCTAGCGTGGACATCTCTAAGTCGGGCTGTTGCTGAAAGAGAAATCCACAGGACCAAATGCCACAGTGTCAGGGTGTGGTTTTGGCAAGGAGCCCTCACAGATGTCATCAGTGTAAGATACTGTGTCTTCTCAGAACCGCAGAAGCGAAACTGGAGGGGGTGGGCTGCTGCCTTCTTTTCAGAGGGGGTCTCGCTCTGTCACTGCGATCACAGCTCACTGCAGCCCCAACCTCCTGGACTCAGGCAATGCTCCTGCCTCCGCCTCACGAGTAGCTGGGACCACAGGCACAGACCACCATGCCCCCATAATTTTTTAAAAAATTTTTTGTAGAAATGGGGTTTTGCTATGTTGCCAAGACTGGTCTCGAACTCCTGGGCTGAAACCATCTTCCCGCCTTGGCCTTACAAAGAGCTGGGATGACAGGCGTGAGCCACCATGCCCAGCTGGCAGATGCCTGCTGACAGCACTTCCCACATTCGCCTCACGGGTGACACCTCGCATCAACCTACCAAACTGAAACCTGTCTCGACCCTCGCAGCCCCTGCAGAAGCCCCCGATGGGCCACACTTCTTTGCTCTTGACAGTCAAGCAAAAAAAAAATCCTCCCAAAAGGGATCCAAATATTTAAATGTTAATATTCTGAAACTGTCTCATCTTCTAAAAGTTGATTCTTTCCCATTGCTTTTTCATCCAAAACAGATTTTTTAAAAAAAATTTGTGTACTTTAAAAACTGAAAAACAGCTGACGATGGGTTCTACCTTCTAACTAAGAAGGAGACTTGTCTTCTGTAACTTCCTGCTCAGTCCAGTGGGCTGAGAAAGTTGCCGGCAGAGCCCAGCGAGGGAGGAAAGCAGCCAATGTGTCCCCAGCCGCACGCAGTTCACCGACGCAGGCCCAGAAACCAGACACTTTCACTCCAACACAGGACTGGACCGACCCAACACCAACACCCACTGACCCCAGGGACCACATACCAGGACCCTGCCTTGGTCAGTAGATTTGCAATACGTGATGGTGTCAAGGATATGTGGCCAGCCAGCCACGCCGTGTCAAAGTCTAAGCCTAAATGAACCGCATCTAACTGGGAGCCTCTCCTGTTCTTCACAAATTTGTAACAAGTAGAAAGGAAAGACAACAGAATATCCAGGAATCAAGGTTTTAAAAATCAGCATATCAGCCAGGGGTGCGGTGGCTCACGCCCGTAAACCCAGCACTTTGGGAGGCTGAGGTAGGCGGATCACATGAGGTCAGGAGTTCGAGACCAGCCTGGCCAACATGGAGAAACCCCATCTGTACTAAAAATACAAAAGTTAGCCGGGCATGGTGGCAGGCACCTGTAATCCCAGCTACTCGGGAGACTGAGGCAGGGGAATGGCTTGAACTTGGGAAGTGGAGGTTGCAGTGAGCCGAGATCGTGCCGCTGCACTACAGGCTGGGTGACAGAGCAACATTCTGTCTCAAAAAAAAAAAAAAATTAACATATCAACTTTCATACTCCTAAAAGGTACAAAAACTTGCCTTTTTTTTTTTTTTTTTTTTGAGATGAAGTCTCACTCTTGTTGCCCAGGCTGCAGTGCAATGGTGCAATCTCGGCTCATTGCAACCTCCACCTCCCGGGTTCAAGCGATTCTCCTGCCTCAGCCTCCCGAGTAGCTGGGTTTACAGGCGCCTGCCACCACACCCAGCTAATTTTTGTAGTTTTAGTAGAGACAGGGTTTCACCATGTTGGCCAGGCTGGTCTCGAACTCTTGACCTCAGGCGATCTGCCCACCTCAGCCTCCCAAAGTGCTAGGATTACAGGCATGAGCCACCGTGCCCAGCCAAAACTTGCCTATTCTTTAGGCTTATTCCTGGACTTACAAACAGCACAAACCTGGCCTTTTGTTTTTGTTTTTTTTTGAGATGGAGTCTCGCTCTGTCGCCCAGGCTGGAGTGCAGTGATCTCGGCTCACTGCAACCTCCATCTTCTGGGTTCAAGCGATTCTCCTGTCTCAGCCTCCAAAGTAGCTGGGACTACAGGCACCAGCCACCATGCCTAATTTTTGTATTTTTAGTAGAGACGAGGTTTCACCTTATTGGTCAGGCTGCTCTCGAACTATTGACCTCAGGTGATCCACCCACCTAGGCCTCCCAAAGTGCTGGGATTACAGGCGTGAGCCACCATGCCCGGCCAACCCTAGCCTGTCTTTATCTCTATGCAGATACCTTAAAAACATCTACCACAATTCAGAAAGTATTCAAATTCCAAACCATGTAAACATCCAGTTATTTGGGCCCATGTAATTGCATTGTTCACTTTATTCGTACAGTTAAAAAAAAAAAAAAAATCCCGGGACATTTCTTCTGGAATTAAATGGTATTTGGCATTAGAGGAGTTCGCGAACAGTCTACATCAAACCAGGGTGCTGAAGTCTCTGTGCCTCCTTCCAAAGCACAGCCAGCCCTGGGGGCACAGGAGGGAAGTGTCCAAGTGCCAACACCTGCCCACAGAGCATATCAGTGTTTCTCACCATTTGTGTAAAAGAAACACAAAAAGGATAAACCAGAAACTGATGTGACTGTGTATTTTGTTTCCTAGGACTACTGAAACACAGCACCACAAACTAGGCAGTTTCAAAAAGGTCCACAGTTCTGAGCCAGGCACACAACCTCACACCTGTAATCCCAGCACTTTGGGAGGCCAAGGCAGGAGAATCGCTTGAGCCCAGGGGTTTAAGACCAGCCTGGGCAAGAAAGTGAGACTCCATCTCTGCAAAAAACACAAAAACTAGCCAGGTGTAGTGGTGTGCACCTGTAGTCCCAGCTACTTGTGAGGCTGAGGTGGGAAGATCACTTGAGCCCAGGATGTTGAGGCTGTAGTGAGCCAAGATCACACTACCGCACTTCTGCACTTCAGGCTGGGTGAGACAGCGAGACTCTGTCTCAAAAAAAAAAAAAAAAAGGTCCCAGGTTCTGGGCAGCGGTGCTTCCCACTGGAGGTGCCGAGGGAGAGTCCATCCCGCACCTCTCCCCAGCTTCTGGCAGTAGCCGGCATCCTTGGTGTTTCATGCTTTGCAGACCCTCCAGGCTCTGTCTCTTGTCACATGGCAAGCTCTTCTCTATGTGAGTCCTGGCTGTGTCCAGATTTCCCTCTTCTTATACGGATACCAGGAATACTGGAGTTAGGCCCCACCCCCATGCAGTGTGACCTCATCACAACCTGATACATCTGAAATGACCCAAATAAGCTCACACTCACAAGTACCAGGGATGAGGACGCGAACGTATCTTTCTCTTTTTTTTTTTGAGACAGAGTCTCGCTCTGTCATCCAGGCTGGAGTGCAGGGGCATGATCTCAGCTCACTGCAACCTCTGCCTCCTGGGTTCAGGCGATTCTCCTGCCTCAGCCTCCCTAGTAGCTGGGATTACAGGCACGCACCACCATGCCTGGCTTTTATTTTTAAAAGAGACATGGTTTCACCATGTTGGCCAGGCTGGTCTCCAACTCCTGACCTCAAGTGATCTGCCCACCTTGGCCTCCCAAAGTGCTGGGATTACAGACGTGAGCCACCATACCTGGCCTCTTTTTAAAAAAGAATAAAAATAGAGACAAGGTTTCTCTTTGTTGCCCAGCCTGGTCTTGAACTCCTGGACTCAAGTAATCCTCCCACTTTGGCCTCTTAAAGCACTAGGATGACAGGTATGAGCCACTGTACCCGGCCTTCAAACCCCACAGCTTGGTTACCTACAGGAGGTGTGTATTAAACTCCCCGTGGCACAAACCCGGTAGCTTACAGTAACAGACACTTATTCTCTCACAGTCCTGGAAGCAAGAAGTCCAAGATCAAGGTGCCACTAGGGCTGGTTCCTCCTGAGGCTGGGAGGGAGGGTCTGTTTGCGCCTCTTCCAGCCTCTGCAGCCTCTGGCGTTGCTTGGCTTGTGGGTGGTCATCTTCTCCCTGTGTCTTCCCTTCAGGACGTCTGCCCTTCTCCCTCTACACATGTCTGTCTGTTCAAATGTCCCCATTTTATAAGGACACAGTCATACTGGATTAGGGCCCACCCAAGTGAACTCATCTTAACTTGATCACCTGCAAAGACCCTATTTCCAAATATGGTCACATTCACAGGTACTGAGAGCTGGGACTTCAACATCTTTCGTGGGGAGACACAATTCAACCCCCAACCAGCATATGTACAGAGAATGCAAAGAAAGCGGGAAGGGGAGAGGGCTGGCAGAGCTGAGGGAACATGACACTTCCACATACATCTTTTCGTATGTCTCTCTTAGAACCATGGTCAGGTTTCTCATACTCAAAAAACAAACCATTACTTAGCCAGACGTGGTGGCGCACTTCTAGTTATCAGCTACTCGGGAGGCCGAGGTGGAAGGACTGCTCGAACACAGGAGGTGGAGGTTGCAGTGAGCCGAGGTCGCACCACTGTACTCCAGACTTGGCGACAGAGTGAGACTCTGTCTCGAAAAAAAAAAAAAAAGAAAAGAAAAAGAAAAAGAAAAAGAAACCGTGAAAACAAAACAGGGCGCACATGAACACAAAATGAAATACAAACAGCAAATATGCAGAGCTGTGACGATGACATCACCACTCTGAAAGAAGAACTAACCTAAGAGACTTCAGAAAATAGCACTTTGACTGTTACTGTAAAACTAACCTCAGAGGACAGCACACCATCACCAGGCTCGGGCAGGAGATGTGTCCCCTGCGGAGTCAGCAGGTCTGAGCCCGATTTACGCATGTGCCAAGATCAAGCGGAAAAGCTGATTGTGGCTACTGAGTTGGGGTCCTCACAGTTGAAGAAAAGTCACTGATAAGGAAGGGGCAGGAATAAACCCTGCGGGGCGGCACTGGAGGTACAGGCATCAGTACAGGCTCACAACCTTTGCCATGTGTACAGACTGGATGCAGAAATCAATACCGGAACATTTACACACACACATTTCCCAGCTCTGTCCACTGACGCGTGACAGGGCCCAGGCGCGATGACCCCCCACTTAGGCTACAGAGAGCAAAGTCCAAAAGCTGTTCCAGTTTCAGCACTCTAAAGTCCCACGTCCCAGGGAAAGCCTTTGTCCTGGCAAACTAGGACGGCTGGTCACCCTACCTGGCAGCCAGATCTTGGTTTGTGAATACCTCTCTCCAAAAACAGGAACCAGAGATCCCTGCGGAGCACACAGAGGAGCCTAGGACACCCAGTGGTGTGCAGAAGGACGAGAAAGGACGGGGTGTGTCAGGAGAACACACAGCCCAGCCAGAAGGGCTCCCAGTGGCAGAATCTAGGACAATCTGTGCGGCAAAATAACGAACGACAATAATGGATTGTAAGCTGTGACCCGGCAAATCAAGCAAACATCGGTGCACACTTAAACAGAGGAGGAGCAGCAGCTCTTCATCACAGCAGAATTCCAATGAATAAACACAAGGAATGGCAGAAAACAGAAAGCACACCATCAGGAAACACCACAGCAATAACTGGCTGGTGTAAGTTACTACTATTTTGAGACAGGGTCTCACTCTGTTGCCCAGGCTGGATCACAATGGCACAATCACAGCTCACTGCAGCCTCGACCTTCCCGGGCTCAGGTGATCCTCCCACCTCAGCCTCCTGAGTAGCTGGGACTATAGGCCGTGTATTACCACTCCTAGCTAATTTTTTTTTTCTTTTTTTTTTTGACTGGGTCTCACTCTGTCGCCCAGGCTGAAGTGCAGTAGAGTGATCTTGGCTCACAGCAGCCTCAACCCTCCGGATTCAAGTGATCCTCCCACCTCAACCTTCCGAGTAGCTGAGACTACAGGCTCATGCCACCATACCCGGCTAATTTTTGTGTTTTCTGTAGAGACAGGGATTCACCATGTTGCCCAGGCTGGTCTCAAACTCCTGAGCTCAAGTGATCCCCCGGCCTCTGCCTCCCAAGCGCTGGGATTAGAGCCGTAAGACACCACGCCCAGCCTAAGGTTATGTATTTGAAGCAGTGGTAGATACTGCCAAGTCACACTCCACAGAGATCCTATCAGTTTACGTTCCCACAGCAATGTACTAAAGTGCATATCATCCTACATTCCTGCCAAGTCAGTGTTGAGATGAAACTCTTGGATCTTTGCCTATTGGTCAGATAAAATTTTCACTGCAGTTTTCACTTACATTTCTCTTATTATAAGCAAAACTGAGCACTGTCCCGTATTTTTAAATATTTCCTATTTCCTTTTTTGTTAAGGGACTGTTGGTATCCTCTGATAATTTTTCTACTACATTTTAAATCTTCTTCTTATTGATTTGTAAGAGCTTTTTATATATTAAGGAAATTAGTCGCCAGGAGCGGTGGCTCACACCTGTAATCCCAGCACTTTGGGAGGCCGAGGCGGGAGGATCACGAGGTCAGGAGATTGAGACCATCCTGGCTAACACGGTGAAACCCCGTCTCTACTAAAAATACAAAAAATTAGCCAGGCGTAGTGGTGGGCGCCTGTAGTCCCAGCTACTTGGGAGGCTGAGGCAGGAGAATGGCATGAACCCGGGAGACGGAGTTTGCAGCGAGCTGAGATGGCGCCACTGCACTCCACCCTGGGCAACAGAGCAAGACTCTGTCTCAAAAAAAAAAAAAAAAGGAAATTAGTCTTTTGGTTGTAAAAGCCTTCCTCACTCTAAGATTAAACATGATTTCCCCATGTTTCATTTTTCTAGTCTTTTTGGTTTTTCCCCAATTAATATGCAGAATTTTTTTTTTTTTTCCTCGAGAAGGTCTTGCTCTGTTGCCCAGAGCTGGAGTGAAATGGCGTGATCTCGGCTCACTGCAACCTCTGCCTCCCAGGTTCAAGCAATTCTCCTGCCTCAGCCTCCCAAGTAGCTGGGATTGCAGGTGTGCACCACCATGCCCGGCTAACTTTTGTGTTTTTTTGTTTTTTTGTTTTTCTTTTTTAAGTAGAGACAGGGTTTCACCATGTTGGCCAGGATGGTCTCGAACTCCTGACCTCGTGATCCGTCTGCCTCAGTCTCCCAAAGTGCTGGGATTACAGGCACAAACCACTACACCCAGCCTATATTTTTGAAAGGATTTAATATAATATTCATTATGGGAGGAGTATATAGAAGTCCTCACAATTGGGAAAAAGAAAAAAATAAGAAATCTATATTTCCAGCCAGAATTGCAAGACTTAGTATCATAACGCCAAGATTACATTAATTGAATTGACAGCATTCTTAAAAGCAGATTTGATTTCAGGTTATGTAAACTTTCCACAACAACTTTTTTTTTTTTTTTTAGAGTCTCACTCTGTTGCCCAGGCTGCAGTGCAGGGCGCCATCTCGGCTCACTGCAAGCTCCGCCTCCCGGATTCATGCCATTCTCCTGCCTCAGCCTCCCAAGACTACAGGCGCCCGCCACCATGCCCGGCTAATTTTTTGTATTTTTAGTAGAGATGGGGTTTCACCGTGTTAGCCAGGATGGTCTTGATCTCCTGACCTCGTGATCTGCCCGCCTCAGCCTCCCAAAGTGCTGGGATTACAGGCGTGAGCCACCGCGCCCGGCTTCTACAACAACTTTTAATCACTAACTCAGGTGCAGTGGCTCATGCCTGTAATCCCAGCACTTTGGGAGGCCAAGGCCGGGGGGTCGCTTCAGCTCAGGAGTTTGAAATTAGCCTGGGTAACATGGCAAAACCCCATCTCTACAAAAAAACAGCCAGGTGTGGTGGTGCATGCCTGTAGTCTCAGCTACTTGGGAGGATCACTTGAGCCTGCAAGGCAGAGGTTGCAGTGAGCCAAGATCACGCCACTGCATTTCAGGGTGGGAGATGCAGCCAGGCCCTGTCTCAAAAAAAAAATTAAAAATTAAAAAAAAAATAAACCATTAGAGGAATAAATCTGCCTGAACCAGATACCAAACACGCTAGCTGTACAATTTCCGTCTTTGTGTTTCTCCTACACCCTAAAGGAAAAACCACAAACCTCAATGTCAGGCTACAAGATCTTACTGTTAAACTATCTGGTGGTTTGGGGTCGCACAAAATGGGAAGCACTGATAGTTTGAATGTGACACCACACACCCCTCCCCTTCCACCCCCCACATCCCTACCCACTACTGCCAGTGCCCATGCAGCTCCTCCACTCTGCAGCTGCAGTCTCAGTAGCTGGGACTCCTTCCCATCCGAGTTGCTGCAGGGCCTGGCTGCAGGCCCTCTCTCCCATTCAGGCCTCCCTGGCCCCAGCAGTTCACAATAATCTCTTCCTATGAGTTCACTGCACTTAACTTTTTATGCTGCCCATTTAAAAAAATTTTATACTGGCCAGGCGCAGTGGCTCACACCATAATCCCAGCACTTTGGGAGGCCGAGGCGGGTGGATCACCTGAGGTCAGGAGTTCAAGACCAGCGTGACCAACAGGGTGAAACCCCATCTCTACTAAAAATACAAAATTAGCACTGGGTGCCTGTAATCCCCGCTACTCGGGAGGCTGAGGCAGGAGAATCACTTGAACCCACGAGGCAGAGGTTGCGGTGAGCCGAGATTGTGCCATTGCACTCCAGCAGCCTGGGTGACAAGAGTGAAACTCCGTCTCAAAAAAAAAAAAAAAAAAAAAAGATTTATTCATGTATTTACTATTTCTTTCTTTCTTAGAAAAGAGATTGCTCTGTCACCCAGGCTGGAGTGCAGTGGTACAGTCATGGCTCACTGCAGTCTTGAACTCCTGGGCTCAAGGGACCTTCCTGCTTTACTCTCCTGAACAGCTGGGACTGCAGGTAAGCACCATCACACAGGACTAAATTCTTTTTTTTTTTTTTTTCCTAGAGATAGGGTGTTTCCATGTTGACCAGGCTGGTCTTAAGCTCCTGGTCTCAAGCAATCTTCCTACCTTAGCCTCCCAAAGCTGCTGGGATTACAGGTCTGAGCCACCACGCCCAGCCTGTGCTGCTCATTTGAAACTGCTGCTATATGCCAGCATATGACATTTCCCACTGTTAATTTTTTGGTTAATGTATAATTTATCTCACCAAATTAGGGCAGGAAAAAGCTTGTATTTCTCAGTAACACTCTTTGAAGACAGGAACATCCATATTTCTTGGTATGCCAAAGTATCTATCACAAAAGCTACTCTTTACAAACTTTTTTTTTTGAGATGGAGTTTCCCTCTTGTTGCCCAGGCTGGAGTGCAATGGCGCGATCTCAGCTCACCCCATCCTCCTCCTCCCGGGTTCAAGCGATTCTCCTGCCTCAGCCTCCCGAGTAGCTGAGATTACAGGCATGTGCCACCACGCCTGGCTAATTTTGCATTTTTTGTAGAGACGGGGTTTCTCCATGTTGGTCAGGCTGCTCTCTAACTCCTGACCTCAGGTGATCCGCCCACATCGGCCTCCCAAAGTGCTAGGATTACAGGTGTGAGCCACCACGCCCAGACTTTTTTGTTTGTTTGTTTGAGATGCAGTCTCACTCTGTTGCCCAGGCTGGAGTGCACTGGCACAATCTCGGCTCACTGCAAACTCCGCCTCCCAGTTCAAGCCATTCTCGGGCCTCAGCCGCCCGAGTAGCTGGGACTACAGATGCACATCACCACGCCAGGCTAATTTTTATATTTTTAGTAGAGATGGGGTTTCTCCATGTTGCCCAGGCTGGTCTCAAACTCTGGGGCTCAAGGGATCCTCCTGCCTCAGCCTCCCAAAGTGGTGGGATTACAGAAGTGAGCCACCGCACCTGGCCAAGGGTGCATATTTCAAACACCAGAGTAACCACTAAAATAATAATTCAAAGAAGAATAGCTTTAAAAAGCATTAGATAAACCACAATGGAAATCTCAAATACATTTCATTGATAAGGAAAGGAAAAACAGGGAAAAAATCCAAAAGGACAAATAAAAGGCAAATAATAAAATGGTAGCAATAAATCCAGCCACATCGATATTTACTCTTACATTAACAGACTGAACTCTAATTATAAGGCAAGGATTGTCAGAATTGGTAAAGGAAGACCTAATTACATGCTATCTACAAGACACTTTAAACATAAAGAAAAAGATACACTTAAGACAAATGAATGGAAAAATACATACCATCCAAAAAGTGTGTTTAAGAAAGCTGGAGTGGCTCTATTAATATCAAGTAAAATACATTTCAAAATAAAAAATATTATTAGGAAAAAAGAAGGATATTTCAGAATACTACAACAAACAATTCATCAGGAAAATGTAATCACAAGTGTGTATTTGCCTAATAACAGAGCTTCAACATATATGAAGTTAAAACGGAAAGAATTAAAGACAAAACAATTCCACAATCACAGCTGGAGATCTTAACACTCCTCTCTCAATAACTGACAGAATCAAACCAAAAAATAAAACAGAAGCCGGGCACAGTAGCTCACGCCTGTAATCCCAGCACTTTGGGAGGCTGAAACAGGAGAATCGCTTGAACCCGAGGCAGAGGTTGCAGTGAGCTGAGATCGCGCCCCTGCACTCCAGTCTGGGTGACAGAGTAAGACCCTGTCCCAAAAAAAAAAAAAAAAAATAGCCAGACAGTCCAGAAGAAAAACCTGGGGCAAAAGATATGAACGGCATTTCACAGTGGCTACAGAAAGCGAAGGAGCACCAAACTATATATGAACACAGCAAGCTCTCCACGAGCTATGTAGTGAGTAACAGAACACAGAGAAGGGTGCGTCCCTGAGGGAATATGTACATCTGCACTTACTACAGTCATACAAGTAAGTAGTGGCAGGACCCACAGGCAACTAATAGTGGTTATGAAGACAGCAGGTGCTCTGAACAGCAGCAAGACTTCTCAAGCTTTACCTGTTCACATGGTTTTGGTTAATCAAACCATATTTATTTATTCAAAACAGATATTAAATTATTAAAAATATGAGGCTGCCCGGCACGGTGGCTCACACCTGTTATCCCAGCACTTTGGGAGGCCAAGGCAGGTGGATCACAAAGTCAGGAGTTCGAGACCAGCGTGGCCAACATGGTGAACCCTGTCTCTACTAAAAATACAAAAATTAGCTGGGTGTGGTGGCGTGCACCTGTAATCCCAGCCTGGGCGACACAGTGAGACTCCATCTCGGGCGGGGGAAAATATGAGGCTGTCACAAAAGTGCTAATGTTTTCCCTGCTGTCGATGTTGAGGTCACTTGAAAGCTGGTATGGACACATCGGATGAGGAATTCAGTCTAGGGGCCTCTTAGGAGCCAAGGCCCAATGACTAGACTAAGTGGACCCAGCAAACACAGAGGGAGGGGGCCTGAGGCACAAACACAGACAAGGTCCTATGCTCGAGGCAAACAAGGACGAGGTACAAGGTGAGAGCCAGAAGGGGCCACTGTGCTGCTTCACAGACCTGGGAAGAAGTTTTTTGAGAAAAGACTTTCATTTTTCAAGAGGCAGATCATTTTAAAGAATAAGGCCTAGGGCAGTGGCTCACACCTGTAATCCCAGCACTCTAGGAGGCTGAGGCAGGCAGATCGCTTGAGCCCAGGAGTTTGAGACCAGCATGGGCAAACTGGTGAAACCCCGTCCCTACCAAAAATACAAAAACTTAGGTGGACATGGTGACACGCACCTGTAGTTCCAGCTACTTGGGGTACTTGAGGCGGAAGGATCACTTGAGACCAGAGGGTAAAGGCTGCAGTGAGCCGAGATCACACCACTGCACTCTAGCCTGGGTGACAAAGTGAGACCCTGTCTTTAAGAGAAATTTAAAAAGCTGGGTGCGGTGGCTCACACCTGTAATCCTGGCACTTTGGGAGGCTGTGGTAGGCGGATCACCTGAGGTTGGGAGTTTGAGACCAGCCTGACCAACATGGAGAAACTCCATCTCTACTAAAAATACAAAATTAGCCAGGTGTTGTCGTGGATGCCTGTAATCCCAGCTACTTGGGAGGCCGAGGTAGGAGAATCGCTTGAACCCAGGAGGTGGAGGTTGTGGTAAGCCAAGATGCTGCCATTGCACTCCAGCCTGGAGAACAAGAGTGAAACTCCGTCTTGAAAAAAAAAAAAAAAAAAAAAAAGCATTCAGTAAGATGGTAGAATACAAAAATCAACACCCGGACGTCCTATATACAGAAAACTAGTTAGAAAATATGACATAAGAGACCCCAGGAACAAAAACTAAACAATTAAGAATGCATTTACCAAGAAAGCAAAATCTTTCCTTTTTTTTCTTTTTTGGCAAGATCTTTTAAGAAAACTCTGAAACACTACTAGGGCCAAAGACTGTCATTAAATAACCCACTTAAGACTGTTACATATGCTACATACTCACAAGCGGAGGACTAACAAGTAAACTACAGACGTAAGGTAACACTTGGAAAGCATGGGATTATAGAGAAATGGGACAATGCTGTGTAATGTGTGCTGATGCTGAATTACCTCTAACACAAAGAAAAAACACTAGAGGTAGAACAGCGGTTTGCACACACTACCATGGTGTTCAAATGCATATACATGTTATGTGATACATGCATGCATAGCTATTCTCATATGCCACGCAGATCTCTGCAAGGACACCCAAAAACTGGCTAATGGACTTGCCACCAGGAGGGGTGTTGTCTGAGGCATGTCAGTGGGAGACGAGTTTTTCATCAGATATACCTCTGTATCGTTTGCATATTGGACTACATATATCAATAATCTACAAAATAAATACCCTACTTATAAAACTATTTACAAAAGTTAGGCTGGGCGCGGTGGCTTACGCCTGTAATCCCAGCACTTTGGGAGGCCGAGGCGGGCAGATCACGAGGTCAGGAGATCAAGATCATCCTGGCTAACACGGTGAAAGCCAGTCTCTATTGAAAATACAAAAAATTAGCCGGGCGTGGTGGCGGGTGCCTGTGGTCCCAGCTACTCGGGAGGCTGAGGCAGGAGAATGGAGTGAACGCGGGAGGCGGAGCGTGCAGTGAGCCGAGATCGCGCCACTGCACTCCAGCCTGGGCGACAGAGCGAGACCCCGTCTCAAAAAAAAAAAATCAAAAAACAAAACTATTTACAAAAGTTACATTACAGGCCAGGTGAGGTGCCTCACGCCTGTAATCCCAGCACTTTGAGAAGCCAAGGTAGGCAGATCAGCTGAGGTCAGGGGTTTGAGAACAGCCTGGCCAAAATGGTGAAAACCCGTCTCTACTAAAAATACAAAAATTAGCTGGGCATGGGGATGCACACCTGTAATCTTAGCTACTCGCGAGACCAACGCACTAGAATCGCTTGAACCTGGGAGGCAGAGGTTCAGTGAGCTGAAATTGCATCTCTGCACTCGAGCCTAGGCGACAGCACGACTCTGTCTCAAAACAAACAAAACGTTGCATTATAAAAAACACTTAAAAACTTACGAGAAACATAAACACATTTACAAAATTTCAAACACATTTTTAAACTATTCTCATTCTAAAATTCATGTGGAAAAGTTAGTGTACATAAATAGCCAAAGAAATTTTGAAAAAACTGAGGAAATTCATCAAATATTAAAGAACATTAATATAAAGCTACAATATTAAAATAAATTTCCAGACCAGGCATGGCTGCTCACACCTGTAATCCCAGCACTTTGGGAGGGAGATCCAGGCAGGAGGAGGCTCCCTCGAGCTCAGGAGCTCGAGGCCAGCCTAGGTAACATAGGGAGACCCCCCCAACTCTCAAAAAGTAAACACACACAAAAAAAGGTTAAATTAATTTCCAGCAGGGCACAGGGGCTCATGTTTGTAACCCCAGTGCTTTGGAAGGCCAAGTTGGGAGGAACACTTGAGGCCAGGAGTTCTAGACCAGCCTGGGCAACATAGCAAGACCAACCTCTTATTTTTTTTTTTTTAATTTCCGCTGTCACTTATTAAGTCAAAATGAATTCCAGATGGACCATAGAAGTAAAAATAAAAGCTAAAAGTACTGAAAGAAAACATGAAAGATTTAGTAACTTTATTGAGATGTAACACATCTGCCATATAATTCACCCAAGTGCACAATTCAGTGGTTTTAGTATATTCACAAAGTTGTACAGCCACGACCACTAACCACAGAACATTTTTTTTTTTGAGACGGAGTCTCGCTCTGTCGCCCAGGCTGGAGTGCAGTGGAGCCATCTGGGCTCACTGTAAGCTCTGCGTCCTGGGTTCATGCCATTCTCCTGCCTCAGCGTCCCGAGTAGCTGGGACTACAGGCGCCCGCCACCACACCCGGCTAATTTTTTGTATTTTTTTTTTAGTAGACACAGGGTTTCACCATGTTAGCCAGGATGGTCTCGATCTCCTGACCTCGTGATCCGCCCGCATCGGCCTCCCAAAGTGCTGGGATTACAGGCATGAGCCACCATGCCCGGACAACTACAGAACATTTTTATCACCCCAAAAGAAGCCCTACAGCCACTCATGTTCACTCTCTTTTCCCTCTCCCACCAGCTCTTGGCAACTACTCATCTATGTCTGTCTCTATGGATTTGCCTTTTCTGGGCACTTCACAGAAATGAAATCATACAATATATGGTTTTTTGTCTGGCTTCTTTGACTTAGCATAAAGTCTTTGGGGTTCATCCACATATAGCATGTATCAGCACCTCATTCCTTTTTATAACTGAAGAGCACTCCGCTGTATAGATTATTTTTTTCCATTCATCAAATGATGGGCAACTGGGTTGCTTCCAAATTTTTTGTGAGACAGAGTTTCACTCTCGTTGCCAGGCTGGAGTGCAATGACATGATCTTGGCTCACTGCAACCTCTGCCTCCCGGGTTCAAGTGATTCTCCTGCCTCAGCCTCCCGAGTAGCTGAGATTACAGGCATGTGCCACCACACCCGGCTAATTTTATATATATATATATTTTTTTTTAGTAGAGACGGGGTTTCTCCATGTTGGTCAGGCTGGTCTCAAACTCCTGACCTCAGGTGATCGGCCCACCTCGGCCTCCCAAAGTGCTGGGATTACAGGCGTGAGCCACCAGTCCCGGCCCTTTTTTTCTTTTTTTTTTTTTGAGACGGAGTCTCACTCTGCAGTGGTGTAATCTCCGCTCACTGCAACCTCCAATTCCCAGGGTCAAGTGATTCTCCTGCTGAGGCACCCGCCACCACGCCCAGTTAATTTTTGTATTTTTAGTAGAGACGGGTTTTGCCATGTTGGCCAGGCTAGTCTCAAACTCCTGACCTCAAGTAATCCACCCACGTTAGCCTCCCGAAGTGCTGAGATTGTAGACATGAGCCACTGCACCAGGCCCAGCTTCCAACTTTTTACTGTAACTTTTGTTTTGGGGTGGGGTGGGGGTCTCACTATGTTGCCTGGAGTGCAGTGGCTGTTTACAGGCACTGTCATGGTGCATGGTAGCCTCCAACTGGCAGGCTTAAGCGATCCTCCCACCTCAGCCTCCCAAGCAGGTGGGATTAGAAGGGCGCACCACCACTCCTGGCCTATTTGCACTCTTTTTTTTTTTTTTTTTTTTTTGAGATAGGTTCTTGCTCTTTGACCAGGCTGAAGTGCAGTGGCACAATCACAGCTCAATGTAGCCTCAAACTCCTGGGCTCGAGCAATTCTCCCACCTCAGCCTCCCAAATGGCTGGGACCACAGGCATGTGCCACCACACCCAGCAATTTTTAAAAATTTTTTTTCGAGATGGAGTCTCACTATGTTGTCCAGGCTGGCATTCAACTCTTGGCCTCAAGCAATCCTCCTGCCTTGGCCTCCTGAAGTGCTGCAATTACAGGCATGACCAACCGCACCCAGCCTCGTTTCCACCTTCTGATGGACCTTCAGATTGTTTTCATTTTCGGGTTATTATGAATAATGCTGCTATGAACATTCATGTGTAGGCTGTTCTGTGGACATGTTTTCATGTCTACAAGGTATGTGCCTCAGGGTAGAACTGTGGGGTCATATGGTAATTCGGTTTGACTGTGTGAGGAGCTGCAAGAATGTTTTCCTGCAGAGGTCGCACCGTTTTACATTCTCACCAGCAGTGTGGGAGGGTTCTGATTTTTCCACATCCTAGTTATCCATTTTGTATCACCTGTTTTTTTGTTGTTGTTTCTTTAATTTTTAATTATAGCCACCCTAGTGAGTAGGAAGTGCTAACTCACTGTAGTTTTGCTTTGCAGTTCCTAAACTGCCAGGCATCTTGAGTTTTTAAAAAAAATGATTTAAGAGGAAATCTTTTTTTTTTTTTTTTTTTGAGGCGGAGTCTCGCTCTGTCGCCCAGGCTGGAGTGCAGTGGCGGGATCTCGGCTCACTGCAAGCTCCGCCTCCCGGGTTCACACCATTCTCCTGCCTCAGCCTCCCAAGTAGCTGGGACTACAGGCGCCCACCACCACACCCGGCTAATGTTTTGTATTTTTAGTAGAGACGGGGTTTCACCATGTTGGCCAGGATGGTCTCAAACTCCTGAACTCGTGATCCACCTGCCTCAGCCTCCCAAAGTGCTAGGATTACAAGCGTGAGCCACCGCGCCCGGCCTTAAGAGGAAATGTTTCTAAACAAAATATATAACCCAAAAGGCCATAAATATAAGGACCACATAAAAATTTAAGTCAAAAGACAAACACCCGGGTGAGGTGGCTCATGCCTGTAATCCCAGCACTTTGGGAGGCTGAGGTGGGTGGATCGCCTGAGGTCAGGAGTTCGAGACCAGCCTGGCCAACATGGTGAAACCCCGTCTCTACCAAAAATACAAAAATTAGCTGGGAGTCGCAGCGGGCATCTGTAATCCCAGCTACTCCAGAGGCTGAGGCAGGAGACTTGCTTGCACTCGGGAAGCGAAGGCTGCAGTGAGCCAAGATCGTGCCACTGCACTCCAGCCTGGGCAACAGACAGAGCGAGACTCTAACTCAAAAAAAAAAAAAAAAAAGACAAACACATTAAGAAAAAAACTGGGGGCCAGGCACGACGGCTCCTGCGTGTAATCCCAGTACTTTGGCAGGCAGAAGTAGGAGGATCACTTGAGACCAGGAGTTCAAGACAAGCCGGGGCAATATAGTGGGACCCCATCTCTAAAAAAAATGTTTTTTAATTAGCCAGGCATGGTGGCACATGCTCCTTGGGAGGAAGAGGTCACAGCCACTTGGGAGGATGAGGCAGGAGTATCACTTGAGTCCAGGAGGTCAGGCCTGCAGCGAGCCAGGATCGCACAACTGCACTCCAGCCCGGATGACAAAGCAAGACCCTGCCTCTAAAATAAAATTTAGTGCCGTGGCTCACGCCTGTAATCACAGCACTTTGGGAGGTGGGGGCGGGCAGATCCCGAGGTCAAGAGTTTGAGACTAGCCTGGCCAACATGGCAAAACCCTGTCTCTACTAAAAATACAAAAAAAAACAAAAATTAGCCAGAAAGCCAGGAGCAGTGGCTCACACCTGTAATGCCAACACTTTGGGAGGCTGAGGCGGATGGATCATGAGGTCAGGAGTTCAAGACCAGCCTGATCAACATGGTGAAATTCCATCTCTACTAAAAATACAAAAATTAGCCGGGCGTGGTGACGGGTGCCTGTAGTCCCAGCTACTAGGGAGGCTGAGGCAGGAGAAATGCTTCAACCTGGGAGACGGAGGTTGCAGTGAGCCAAGATTGTACCACTGCACTCCAGCCTGGGCGACGGAGCGAGACTCCATCTCAAAATAAATAAATAAATAAATAAAAATAAATGAGCCGGGCATGGTGGCGCGTGCCTGTAATCCCGGCTACTTGTGAGGCTGAGGCGAGAGGACTGCTTAACCTCGGGAGGCGGAGGTTACAGTAAGGTGAGATGGCGCCACTGCACTCCAGCCTGGGCAACAGAGTCAGACTCTGTCTCAATTTTTTTTTTTTTTTTGAGATGGAGTTTTGCTCTGTTGCCGAGGCTGGAGTGCAGTGGTGCGATCGCGGCTCACTGCAAGCTCCGCTTCCTGGGTTCACGGCATTCTCCTGCCTCAGCTTCCCAAGTAGCTGGGACTACAGGCGCCCGCCACCATGCCCAGATAATTTTTTGTATTTTTAGTAGAGATGGGGTTTCACCGTGTTAGCCAGGATGGTCTCGATCTCCTGACCTCATGATCCGCCCGCCTCGGCCTCCCACAGTGCTGGGATTACAGGCGTGAGCCACCGTGCCTGGCCCGACACTGTCTCAATTTTTAAAAGTTATTTAAAAGGGCTAGCGCAGAGGTTACGGTGAGCCAAGATCACGCCACTGCACTCCAGCCTGGGCACCAAGTGCAAAACTCCATCTCAAAAAAAAAAAAAAAAAAAAGAAAAAGGCCATTGGTTCAAGAGAAAAATGGCCATTCACAAAAACAAGAAACATCAATGGCTTTACGTCCTAGTAAAAGATGTTTTACCACACTCATAACTAAGGAAATGCACTTTAAAACGAGATAGCATTTTCACTACCAGATTGACAGATGTTTTAAATACTGTCATTCTAGCACTGGTGAAGGTGTGAGAAACTGTTGGCAATGCCGTCTGTTATCTTGGGGAAACTCAGCAACAACCTAAATGTCCGCCATGAGAGGGTTACATAAATTACAAAACATCCTCGCTATGGAATACCAGAGCTCTGTGGCGACAGGAAACAAACCCCAGAATATAAGTGGAAAATGCAAGGTACGGAAGATTACACACGGTTCCTTCCCAGTTTACCTTTGTTTCCCTTTTTTTTGTGTGTGTGTGTGAGACGGAGTTTTCGCTCTTGTTGCCAGGCTGGAGTGCAGTGGCGCCATCTCGGCACACCACAACCTCCACCTCCCAGATTCAAGCGATTCTCCTGCCTCAGCCTCCTAAGTAGCTGGGATTACAGGCATGCGCCACCACGCCCGGCTAGTTTTGTATTTTTCGTAGAGACAGGGTTTCTCCATGTTGGTCAGGCTGGTCTCAAACTCCTAACCTCAGGTGATCCACCCGCCTCAGCCTGCCAAAGTGCTGGGATTACAGGCGTGAGCCACCGCGCCTGGCGAGAAGATTCTTAAGTACATGAACATTCTGAACAGAAAGACCTGTATTCCCTCACAAATGTCTGAGTTCTTAGCTCTGGCATTCTCAACACTCACTGTTTCTTGAGGTTTCCTGTGTTCCAGAACCTGGTCTAATCGTTCTCTACTATGATATACTGATACTTCATTCATCAGGAAACATAACTCCTTGAACATAAAGAAAAAGAACAAAAAGCGAAAGGGCACCTCGGAATAGTCAAAATATGGGCCTGAAGCCCTCACCCTGAGCTTTGCTCATGGAAGACTACTGGCCCCATATGAAATCCATCTCATTCTAACAATTTGATGCTAACAAGTTTCCCAGCCACATCTGCAAACTAGGAAAGGAGAGAACAGGGCTCCAGACAGACCTGCAAGTTAAGGCCACAGTAAGAGAGGCCAAAAATATAAACACTCACAATGCAGTTTTGATGTGGGGACACTTCATAGACGAAGGATTCTTCACATTTCAATGGCCCTACGGGAGCCTACATATTAAAACAGAAGACCAAACATTAACACCCGTAATAATGACCCTGAAAACATCCAAGAGAGGTTCAGTCATGGGCCATCAAATGATGGAGTGTTCTAGAAAGACTTCTCATCATAATGGTTAAAATGAAATGTTTTAAAGTCAGCCTCGTGGAAAATTCGCTTGAACATTCCATTGCCTGACAAATGCTGAAATACTGGCAAGTGTGAACTAACATGGCAATGTGCTGTCTTAATTTCTCCTTCGAGGTGCATATCACTAACCCGACACACATAGTTACATTAGAAGGACCCACGTCCTTCTGTCTTCTTCTCAGCAGCATTGCTGAATAGCCTCCTGCTCTTAATATGGCATTTAATTTAGCTATCTCAAAATTAATTTCTTTTATATGTGTGTGTGTATATATATATATATATATATATTTTTTTTTTTGAGACACTGTCACTCTGTCACCCAGACTGTAGTGCAGTGGCGTGATCACAGCTCACTGCAGCCTCGACTTCTCAAGGCTTAAGGGAGCCTCCCACTTCAGCCTCTTGGGTAGCTGGGACCACAGGCACACCCAGCTAATTGGAAAAAAAAAAAAAAGGGTTTTTTGGTAGAGATGGGGGTCTCTCTAGGTTGCCCAGGCTGGTCTCAAACTCCTAAACTCACAGGATCCTCCCGCCGCAGCCCCCAAAGTGCTGGGATTACAAGCATGAGCTACCAGGCCTGGCCAATTTTTTACCTTCTAGCCACATTTCTTAATTATATGGCTATGAAGTAACTGAGCCATTCCTTTTAAAACCAATGATTCAGCTACATGTCCTTTCAATCTACCCAATCTACAGGAATTCACCTGGTTAAAAAGCCAATGGCAGGGCTGGGAACGGTGGCGCACACCTGTAATCCCAGCACTTTGGGAGGCCGAGGCAGGCAGATCACAAGGTCAGAAGTTCAAGACCAGCCTGGCCAACATGGTGAAACTCTACCTCAACTAAAAATACAAAAATTAGCCGGGCACGGTAGTGCATGCCTGTAGCCCCAGCTACTTGGGAGGCTGAGGCAGGAGAACTGCTTGAACCCGGGAGGTGGAGATTGCAGTGAGCCGAGTTCGTGCCACTGCACTCCAGCCTGGGAAACAGAGCAAGACTCCATCTTGAAAAAAACAAAAAAAAAACAAAAACCAAAACAAAAACAAAAAAAACACAGGTGGCAGTAATACTCCCGCAAGTAGATACTGTTTCTCCAAGCTACAGCTTTTATGGTAATTCCTAGTGGTTTTAGCAGAAATAACCAGCCACACCACAAATAAACTCCCTGAAATCTATTTTGTTAAATGCTGTGGAACTACAGGGAAGCCACTTTGTGGACTAAGAGCAGCTTCCTAGTAGAAGGCAGGTCTTCAGTAGGACTAAGCAGGACGGTGGTAAGAAAAGTTCTAGCTGGCTACACTTGAGGCACCAAAAACGCCATCCATGAACATTCTCTGGCTTTGAACCCAAAAGCACTTTTTACTTCATTTGAGTATGAATGGATACATTTTCAATCGCTATCAAGATTCTTTGTCAGGCCCGACGTGGTAGCTCATGTCTGTAATCCCAGCACTTTGGGAGGCCAAAGCAGGCAGATCAAAAGGTCAAAAGATTGAGACCATCTTGCCCAACACGGTGAAACCTCGTCTCTACTAAAAATACAAAAATTGGCTGGCCATGGTGGCATGCACCTGTAGTCCCAGCTACTCAGGAGGCTGAGGCAGGAGAACTGCCTGAATTCAGGAGGCGGAAGTTGCAGTGAGCTGAGGTCATGCCACTGCACTTCAGCCTGGCGACAGAAAGAATCTGTCTCAAAAAAAAAAAAAAAAAAAAAAAAAAAAAAAAAAGATATGTCAGCATTTTGAGACAAGCAAGTATCACAGGCCTCAGTAACAGCCTCTTTCATGGAACTCACCTTTGTCACATGGTATTTACTGACATGGGGGGCAGGAGTAAATGTTTATTTTCCCACAGTTTTCTTATCAACCTGACACCCCCATCCCCACCCCGCAAGCTGCATTCCCTCTCTTCCTGCCAAGGGGTAGCAAAATACTTGGAGATTCCTCTTTTGTCTTAGCTTAGGCCAACTACTCACCCAGTAACCAATAAACGCTTTGCTAATCTCTTACATTCGGATTGATGTGTTTGTTTCCAAGACAGAGTCTTGCACTGTCGCCCAGGAGGGAGTGCAGTGGCACAATCTTGGCTCACTGCAACCTCCAACCTCCACCTCCCAGGTTCAAGCAATTCTCGTGCCTCAGCCTCCCAAGTATCTGGGATTACAGGCGCCTGCCACCACCCTGGCTAATTTCTTTGTATTTTTAGTAGAGACGGGGTTTCGCCATGTTGGCCAGGTTGGTCTCAAATTCCTGAACTCAAGTGATCCACCCACCTCGGCCTCCCAAAGTGCTGGGATTACAGACGAGAGCCACCGCGCCCGGCCTGATGTGTTCTTTTTCAGGCACTCAGATAACTCAGTTCCCTTGGTCCTAACTAAGCTGAAGGTCCTCCTGGTGGCCTTGGACAGCTGGGCCACACCTTCCTCTGCCGTCTAAGTGCCAGCACCACAGCTTAATCAGACGACAAACATGTCATGGACGCTACACCTCTAGCGTCATCTCAGCAACACAAAGAGCTGTTTCACAGACAGAGTCGCAACTGACCAGCAAGTACTACTCCCCTCCACTCTGAAAAGAACAGCCGGAGAGCACCAGAAATTCACCTGAATTCTCCTGAAGGGTGCAGCACACAAGACACGGAAATCAAACAGCACAGGCTCCAAACAAAGGGAGAGCAGAGGGAGGAGGCAAAACCCGTCAACAAAACGAAGTACTGAAGGGGAGGGCGCAGCAGGCAGGCACCACCTACAGGAGCGGGGTCCAGGTGAGGCTCTTTTTGGAAGATGAAACAAACTAGCTAGTACTTGAGCCCTGAGCAAAGTGAGGAAACCAGCTCTCCCGACCTTCCTGGTGCTGGCAGGGGACCTACTCTCACAACTCTGATTTCCAAGACAGGAAGTTCCAGCAAAGGCTCCAGCTTACAGAGAACAAAAAGGCCCAAGATCTTAACGCCTGCACCAACCAGTCCTATCGTGGTTGCCTCAGTCATGTTCTGGCAATTTCACGAAAACAAGAGCATCTGGCATGACCAGGAGACTGGACTCGGCACCCTTGGTGATTGTGGCAGTCACCTCGTCATGCAAAATGACCAACCCGTCACCGTACCTGCCTGACCACAGAATCACGTTTGCTTTGGGAGACTGCGTCTGCTGTTGATCTTTCCAGGTCTTCCCTCTCCTTTAGGAGGCGGCCTCATCCTTCTACTGGCACATCTGACACTTCTGACAGTTGGAGCTCTGACGAAAAGCTCTCATGGTGGGCCACGTGGCTGGGCTCCCCACACACCAGGCCCAGGGCTGGCTCTGTGACTGTCCTGAGGAATGCAGGATGAGGCTCCTACGCACAAGCTTATATCTGACAGAAAAGACACAACTGCTAGCCTCATTCACCATCACTCCTGCACACTCCCGCAAGTCTTTCATCAAACCAATTATTCAGAGCTATCTCCTTACCCTTGCACCTGCAGCTTTCCAGACATGGAACGTTCCTCCCTCCCCTCCAGTGAAAACAGCCTTGGACACTCGGCCCAAATCGCTCCTCATCTGTGAAACTTACCCTGGGGCAAGCAGCTCTTGTTTCTCTAATGTGCTGTCCAGGCCACCAAGATGGCCCTGGTACACTGCTCAGCAGCCACCTATGACTCCAGACAGCAGGGTCACATTTTCTTTGACGACTCGGGGGCATTGGAAATGTATTTGCTGAATAAACTGTTATGGGCAAAAATGACAAATATAAAGTCCACAAGCGGATATCCTAGCCCACCCCTCACAGAAATATTCTGAGGGTAGGCCAGGCGCAGTGGCTCACGCCTGTAATCCCAGCATTTTGGGAGGCCAAGGCTAGTGGATCATGAGGTCAGGAGTTCGAGACCACCCTGGCCAGCATAGTGAAACCCCATCTCTATTAAAAATACAAAACCTAGCTGGGTGTGGTGGCATGCGCCTGTAGTCCCAGCTACGTGGGAGGCGAAGTCAGGAGAATCACTCGAACCCAGGAGGCGGAGGGTGTGGTGAGCTGAGGTTGCACCACTGCACTCCAGCCTGGGCAACAGAGCAAGACTCCGGCTCAAAAAAAATCAAATAAGATATTCTGAGGGCAAGTGACAGGGCTGGCAGTGTCAGGGGTCAGTGAGGTCTGAAAGGGTAAGAGGGCTGAGCTCATGGGTGACTGAGGCAGCGTAGCATGGGCGAGAGGATTCCACAGACATAAGACACGCACACCTGAAGCCAGGCACATGCTACAACCTGGAAATACTTTCCCAAGAAAAGAAAAAAATTTCAAGAGGTCTGGATTTTCTACATAGGTGGATCTGCCTAAACTATTCTTTCTCCCCTGTTGCACAAGACATGTATTTTCTTAGCTAAATTCTCTCATCGTTCAATCAATCCAAACAATTTACCTTCCCATTCATCCACACAGGTGACAATGACAAGGGCACCTGCCACGCAGAAGGCTGCCAAGAACATGTTCCATTTCTTAGACTCAGGCAGAGGAATGCTTGAACCACCGCACCAGAAGATGGAGGACGAGAGGAGAGAGACAATTTTTAAGAAAAAGAGATAAAGGGCTGGGCACAGCGGCTCACGCTTGTAATCCCAGCACTTTGGGAGGCCGAAGTGGGCGGATCACGAGGTCAGGAGATCGAGACCATCCTGGCTAACAGGGTGAAACCCCGTCTCTACTAAAAATACAAAAAATTAGCCAGGCATGGTGGTGGGCGCCTAAAGTCCCAGCTACTCGGGAGGCTGAGGCAGGAGAATGGCCTGAACCCGGGAGGCGGAGCTTGCAGTGAGCCAAGATCGCGCCACTGCACTCCAGCCTGGGTGACAGAGCAAGACTCCATCTCAAAAAAAAAGAAAAAGAAAAAGAGATAAAGAAACAGAATTAAAATGTCCCTGGGCTGAAAACTGACATATTTTCCAAATGGAAGGGACAGTGCATGATACAAAGCATGAATCACAAACACCTGTGGACGCGAGACCACAAACGACAAAGAGAAAAAATCTTAACCTCCAAGGGGGAAAAAACCCGAGTCAGCTACAAAAGAAACGAGAACCAAATTAACAGAACAGTTGGCCAGGCACGGTGACACACGCCTGCAATCCCAGCATTTTGGAGGGCAAGGCAGGCAGATCACTTGAGGTCAGGCACTGGAGACCAGCCTGGCCAACATAGTGAAACCCCACCTCATAAAGACAAAAAAATAAATAAATAATTGATCAGACACTGGTGCTAGAAGAGAGCAACAGCATCACTTTCTGAGGGAAAATTATTATTATTTTTGTTGTTGAGATGAAGTCTCACTCTGTCGCCCAGGCTGGAGTGCAGTGGTGCAATCTCAGCTCACTGCAATCTCTGCCTCCTGGGTTCAAGCGATTCTCCTGCCTCAGCCTCCCAAGAAGCTGGGATTACAGGCGCGCGCCACCACACCCAGCTAATTTTTGTATTTTTAGTAGAGACAGGGTTTCACCATGTTGGCCAGGCTGGTCTTGAACTCCTGATCTGCCCACCTCAGGCTCCCAAAGTGCTAGGATTACAGGCGTGAGCCACCGCGCCCGGCCACAAGGTATCTTTTATAGACCACTGGTTTTGAAAAGACATAAGATTCAGCGTTGAAGAAAATACCTTTGGAATAGGCAGTCTTGATGCCTGCTAAAGGGGATATAAATTGATAAGGCCTTTTTGGACAATTTGGCAGTATCTGCTAACATTTCAAAAATGCATAGGCTCTGAAATATCAATTCTAAAATTCTAATTATGTAAGGCTAAAGAAATACCGCACGTGAACAAATATTTAAGTACTCACCCATTCTATGCAGCATTGTAATAAAAAGTAAAACCTGAAATAACCTTTATTGCGTCCACTAATAGGACAATGTTTAAACAAATGACACGTCCATCATACAGAATACTGTGTGGTCACTGGAAGGCACATGGACCTGTATACACTGACATGAAAAGATGTGGAAAGAATGCTGGGAGCGTTAAAATTTTCTGAAGTACAACGTAGCACAATGCATACATGGTTTAGGCTTTTTAGAATAAAAAATACTTATACGCAGACATTTATATTTACACGTATAACACTGTGTACAGCCCCGAAGCAATGCCGAAACTTTCACTGTTGTTACCTCCGAGTGGGGACTGGGAAAGCAGAGGTTAGGGTCGTTCTCTCTGTTTTACAAACATTTATTGGCGCATCCATCAATTCCAGGCCCCGAGGACACAGCTGCGTCAACGACATCGAGTCCACCTGCTCTGGGGACCCGGATGACTGCTATAGGTTTTGTTCACTGTGGCGTCCCCAGAACCTGCACGGCGCCGGGCACTGAGCGGGCGCTCACATGTGCGTCCAATGAACGAATTAACAAATGAACCCTCAGTGCGCTACTGGGAGGCGGGGAGGGGTAAAGCACGATCCATGGAACTAGCACGATCACCCCGAGTGAGTCCATTCCCCGCAACATGCACCCGCAAAGACTCCGCGCTCCGCAGCGGCTCCACCTGCACGTGCGCTACCTGACTGGACCGAAGCTCCAGGAGGGACGACCCCGCAGCCGCTCCGCCCGACCCCGCGACCCCCCAAGACCCAGCCTCCTTCAGGGCTCCCATGGGCGGGTGGCGAGGGGAGTCCAGCCGAGGAAAAGGCAGCCAAGCTGGAGCTGGCGAGGAGCGGAGCGAAAGTAAACGCGTCTGCCGCGCTTGGCCTCGCCGGACCTCCCACGCCTGTGAAGCAGGTGCCGGCGCCTCGCTCCCCGGAGCACAGGGACGTCCCTGCCGTCTCCGTGGCCCGGCCCGCCCGCTGCCCGTCCAGCCAGGACGCCCTCACCTCCCGGCACGGCCGCCAGCGCCGGCGCCCGCAGCAAAGGCCGCAGGCGGCGGCCCCACAGCAGCAGCGCCCGCAGCTCGCGCGCCATGTCGTACTCCCAGAGCGCCGCGCGCAGCCACGCGGGACCGTACACGATGGGAAGGGGCGGGACGGGGCTGCGCGGGGCGGGGCTTCCTCGGGCGCGGGGCGGTGACGTCACGGCGGGCGCCGGGCTGTCCGGGCAGCTGCCTGCTCGGGCGCGTGGCGGGGTACTACCCGTCTCGTGGACGGTCGGGCCTGGGGGTGGGACCTCCGTGACCTTGGATCGCGTTGTCAAGGGCGACGGGCCTTGCGCGCGGAGGTGGGGGAGGTGGCCCCGCCGCCCCCGGCCCACGCTGGCCGGCTGCGCCTAGCTGTGCGCATTCCTGGAATGGGGCGGATGTCAGTATCCACGCGAGGGTGTGGAGGCGACGCTGGGGAAGAAGCAGTTCCCGTGTCTGCGACCTTTGTGAATCCCGGCCATCCGTCTAGGCCGCTGCAAGTCTCTTGCAAACCAAGACTGGACAAAAAGCTAAAGCGAATGAGGAAGGGGATTCCAGGCTTGACTGGCTACTACTCCAAAACCTGAACCCAGTGACCAATACCACCAGGAAAACTGCGGTTATTCGTTTATTCCACTTCTCTTGTCCTTGTCGAGAAGAGTCAAACTCTAAAGTATTTAGAAGGTTATTCTGAGCCAAATATGAGTGTGCATGGAGGGAGGCACAGTCTCAAAAGGTCCTGAGAACTTGGCCCAAGGTGCTTGGGTTACAGCTTGCTTGGTTTTATACATTTTAGAGAGACATAAGACATCAGTCAATGCATGTAAGACATAGGTTGGTTCCGTGTGGAAAGGCAGGACAACTCAAAGGGTGAAATACTTAGAGGTCATAGGTGGATTCAGATACTTTCTGATTGGCAATTGGTTAAAAGAGTTGAGTTCTGGTTGGGCGCGGTGGCTCACGCCTGTAATCCTAGCACTTTGGGAGGCTGAGGTGGGCGGACTGCCTGCGGTCAGGAGTCCGAGACCAGCCTGGCCAACATGGTGAAAACCCATCATCTCTACTAAGATACAAAAAATTAGCTGGGCAAGGTGGCACGTGCCTGTAGTCCCAGCTCCTGGGGAGGCTGAGGCGGAAGAATAGCGTGAACCCGGGAGGCTGCGGTTGCAGTGAGCCGAGATCGTGCCACTTGCACTGCAGCCTGGGCGACAGAGCTGTGACTCCGTCTCAAAAAAAAAAAAAAAAGAAAACAAAAAAAAGAAAAAAAAGAGTTGAGTTATACAGACCTGGAATCAATAAAAAGAGTGTCTGGGTGAAGATAAGGGGTTGTGGGCACGAGCACGGTGACTCACACCTGTAATCCCAACACTTTGGGATGCCGAGGTGGGCGAATTGCTTGAGGTCAGGAGTTGGAGAGCAGCGTGGGCAACATGGTGAGACCCTGTCTGTACCAAACATACCTGTACCGGATGTGGTGGCGGAGGCCTGTAATCCCAGCTACAAGGGAGGCTGAGGTGGGTGGATTGCTTAAGCCCAGGAGGGAGAGGTTGCAGTGAGCCAAGTTCGTGCCATTGAACTCCAGCTTGGGCAAGAGAGCCACACCCTGTCTCAAAACAAACAAACAAACAAACAAACAAAAAACAGGTTGTGAAGACCAAGGTTCTTATTATGTAGAGGAAGTCTCATAGATGACCACCCTTACAGGTAATAGATGGCAAATGTTTTCGCAAATATTGTTTATTCAGACCGTTAAAAATTCCTAGACCCTCAGGATCAGGAAAAGACCTGCAAAGGTGGCCTGGCATGGTGGCTTACGCATGTAATTCCAGCACTTTAGGAGGCCAAGGTGGTCTTATCACTTGAGGTCAGGAGGTTGAGACCAGCCTGGTCGGCATGGCAAAACCCCATCTCTACTAAAAATACAAAAATTAGGCCAAGAGCAGTGGCTCACGCCTGTAATCCTAGCACTTTGGGAGGCTGAGGCGGGCAGATCACCTGAGGTCGGGAGTTCGAGACCAGCGTGACTGACAGGGAGAAACTCCGTCTCTACTAAAAATACAAAAAATCAGTCAGGCGTGGTGGCGCATGCCTGTAATCCCAGCTACGCAGGAGGTTAAGGCAGGAGAATCGCTGGAACCCAGGAGGTGAAGGTTGCAGTGAGCTGATACCGCACCATTGCACTCCAGCCTGGGCAACAAGAGTGAAAGTCTGTCTCAAAAACAAAAAAAATTACCTGGGTGTGGTGGTGTGCACCTGTGTACAGCTGAGGCTACTCGGGAGGCTGAAGCAGGGGAATCGCTTGAACCCAGGAGGCAGAGATTGCAGTGAGCCAAGATCGCACCACTGCACTCCCACTCCAGCCTGGGCAACAGAACAAGATTCCGTCTCAAAAAAAAAAAAAAGTCCTTTGTAATGTTAACGCTGGTCAGTTGTGCCTCATTTCCAAGGGGTGGAGGGTGTAATGAGGCAGGACCCACCCCATCCTTCCAATTATGGCCTGAACTAGTTTTTTAGGTTTCTTTGAAATCCCCTTGGTGGAGAGGAATGATCCATTCCATGGGTTGGGGGACTTATAATGTGTTTTTGCCGGCTGGGCACGGTGGCTCACGCCTGTAATCCCAGTACTTTGGGAGGCCGAGGCAGGCGGATCACCTGATGTTGGGAGTTCAAGACCAGCCTGACCAACATGGAGAAACCCTGTCTCCACTAAAAATACAAAATTAGCCGGGCATGGCGGCACATGCCTATAATCCCAGCTACTCGGGAGGCTGAGGCAGGAGAATCGCTTGAACCCGGGAGGCAGAGGTTGCAGTGAGCTGAGATCGTGCCACTGCACTCCAGCCTGGGCAACAGAGTGAGACTCTATCTCAAAAAACAACAGCAAAAAAAGAATTTGTTTTTGCTTTACACCTTGCTGGAGGTTAGAGACTAGTTGGAGATTCAGACCATACACCCTGGTCTAACATTTGGTCCAGACCCAGCTGCAGCCTCATAATGCCGATTTCCCGGCACCTCCTCAGTCCCGGAGTGGGGCCCAGGCGGCTCCACTGAGGTTCCCAGGTAATTCGGAGGCACACTGAAGATTCACTGCCACACTCTAATAACTGTACAAAAATAGCGACTCCAGCTCGTGGCACGTGCTGCAGAGAAGCACAGGAGCCAGGAGAGTGACCTTCAGTGGGGCCGGGACAGAGCTGGGTGGAAGAGGATGTGTCAGGAAACGCTTCCAGGTGGAAAGTGGCAAGTTCCCAGCTTAAGCAATTGAGAAGGGAATGGAAAGAGGGTGGGCAGATTTGGGTGGAAGAGCAGGGTCCTGTCACCCAGACCACTCCAGCAGCCCTGACAGGCCCCCTGCTTCCGCTCTTGCCAGCCTCCCATCCTCCACAGCAGCCGGATCATACTCCGTCTCTCAGATCCTCCAGTGGTCCCCCTACCAACACACATGCACATATTTACAATCCTTTCCAAACTCCTTCTGCCTCCTCCTATAGGCCTGCATGGGCCTGCCTGTGTTCCCTATCACCACACTCCAGGCAGAGCCCTTTCCAGCATGTCCTCAGGGAATGGGGGTGGGTGGGGGGTGTCTCGGCTTCACATTTCATCCCTTTTTCGCTCCATTCAGGAAATCATCTCTCTCTTTTTTTTTTTTTTTTTTTTTTTGAGACAGAGTCTTGCTCTGTTGCCCAGGCTGGAGTGCAGTGGTGTGATCTCGGCTCACTGCAAGCTCTGCCTCCCGGGTTCACTCCATTCTCCTGCCTTAGCCTCCCGAGTAGCTGGGACTACAGGCGCCCACCACCACACCCGGCTAATTTCTTTTTGAATTTTTAGTAGAGACGGGGTTTCACCATGTTAGCCAGAATGGTCTCGATCTCCTGACCTCGTGATCCGCCCATCTCTGCCTCCCAAAGTGCTGGGATTACAGGCGTGAGCCACCGCACCCGGCCAATCCTCTGTTTTGTAACAGCTGTCACATTGGTCCATGGGGCAATATATCTGGCTTAGGCCTTTTATTTCTTTTTTTGTTTTGTTTTGTTTTTTGTTGTTTGAGACAGAGTTTCGTGCTTGTTGCCCAGGCTTAAGTGCAGTGGTGTGATCTCGGCTCACTGCAACCTCTGCCTCCCATGTTCAAGTGATTCTCCTGCCTCAGCCTCCTGAGTAGCTGGGATTGTAGGCACCCGCCACCATGCCTGGCCGATTTTTGTATTTTTAGTAGAGACGGGGTTTCACCATGTTGGCCAGGCTGGTCTCGAACACCTGACCTCAAGTGATCCGCCTGCCTCGGCCTCCCAAAATGCTGGGATTACAGGCTTAAGCCACCACACCAGGCCAGTTTCAACAAGGGGAAGTGATATTTGGCAAAAGGAGGGAAACCTGGGCTTTAGTTAAGGGTGGGGGGCCTCTGCCAAGACTGGCAGGCCCCAAGTTCTGTGGAGGGCAAATCTACCAAGTTCCAGAAAAACCCCCAGAGCCTTCTGTCCTGTTGGCCTGTAGCCTTCAGAGACAAACCCTCAGCCTCAGAGCCTTGTGGTCCTGGGGCCTCTGCTAGCCCAGGGCCCTGTGACTTTTTTTTATTTTTTTATTTTTGAGACGGAGTCTCACTCTGTCACCCAGGCTGGAGTTCAGTGGCGCAGTCTTGGCTCACTGCAACCTCCGCCTCCCGGGTTCAAGTGATTCTCCTGCCTCAGCCTCCCAAGTAGCTGGGACTACAGGCACGTGCCACTATGCCCAGCTAATTTTTTTGTATTTTTGGTAGAGATAGTGTTTCACCCTGTTAGCCAGGATGGTCTCGATCTCCTGACCTCGTGATCCGCCTGCCTTGGCCTCCCAAAGTGCTGGGATTACAGGCGTGAGCCCCTGCGCCCGGCTGGACCTGTGGCTTTGTAAGGTACTGAGGGATCCAAGGCATGTCCTAAGGTGGCCACACATGGACTTCAGGCTCCGCGTAAACCAAGAATCTAGAAAGAGGAAAAAATGTTTACACGCAGACGTACTTGACTTGAATTAGTGGAGAATGACTGGGAGCTGCTTGGGGAGGGAAAGGGAAGAACCCCCAAGTCTCCTGCCCACCTCTATGGCCAATACGAGGCTGCCCATATGAAGCCACTGCCTTCCACTGGGGTCAGCTGAGGGCCGTGAAAAATGCCCGGTGCTTTATTCACAATAGCCAAAATGTGGAAGCAACTCAGGTAACCATGAACGATGAATGGGTCAGCAAAATGTGGTCTATTCATACAATGGAATATTACTCAGCCATAAAAAGGAAGGAAGTAGCCGGGCGTGGTGGCTCACACCTGTAATCCTGGCACTTTGAGAGGCCGAGGCAGGTGGATCACTTGAGGTCAGGAGTTCGAGGAGTCCTCTATAAAAAGATGTGAGCCCATCAAAAGCACCGTTTTATGCACAATTTAGATCAACGGCAAAGCACTGTCATCTACTCATCAAAGCTCCTCAGAATCTACTTTGCTAGTCTGGGCATTACACTCACTTAAATTTCTTCAGTATCTTATAAGGGACCTATGTTTTCCCACCTCTGCCTATTTATTATGAAGTGTATACAAGTAATTCATGTGGAATTAACACATAAAATCCATACGTCCATGAGGCTGCGATGTCTTCATGGTCTGAGATGAAGTTATTCTCCTGCCTACATGCCCCTGCCCGTCTGTTACGGCGCTGTGGGCGCAGCCTCTGCTTCCCGGCACACACTGTCCTGTGCTGAGAATGTCCTGGTAGCAAAATGGCCACTGATGTGCAATCCTCTCCTTCATAAAAGGTGTGTTTCTTTTTTAAAAACAGCTTATTTCACCATGCAATGCTCCAAGCATGTTTTGGCTCAAATAAAATCTTTGGTTCTATTTTATAGTAATCAAAAGGACCGGGCATGTTTGCTGACGCCTGTAATCCCAGCACTTTGGGAGGCCAAGGCGGGTGGATCACTTGAGGTCGGGAGTTCAAGACCAGCCTGGCCAACATGGCGAAATCCTGCCTCTACTAAAAATACAAAAATTAGCTGGGCATGGTGGCACATGCCTCTAGTCCCAGCTACTCGGGAGGCTGAGATAGGAGAATCGCCTGAACCCGGAAGGCAGAGGTTGCAGTGAGCCGAGATCACGTCACTGCACTCCAGCCAGGGTGACAGAGGGAGACTCTGTCTCAAAAAGAAAAAAGGAAGACAGTTACACGTCTTCAACCTGAGATTTTTTTTTTTTTTTTTTCAGTCAGAGTCTTGCTCTGTTCCCCAGGCTGGAGTGCAGTGGCGTGATCTCGGCTCACTGCAACCTCTGCCTCCTGGGTTCAAGCAATTCTCCCGCTTCATCCTCCCGAGTAGCTGGGACTATAGGCGCATGCTGCCACGCCTGGCTAATTTTTTGTATTTTAGTAGACGGGGTTTCACCACGTTGCCCAGGCTGGTTGTCAACTCCTGAGCTCAGGCAATCTGCCCACCTCAGCCTCCCAAAGTGCTGGGATTACAGGCGTGAGCCACCATGCCCAGCCCAACCTGAGATCTTAGAAGCAGAAGCCTCTCCATGCCACATTATCCAGGGACAGCTCATTCTATGTTTCTAACATGCTAGAATTTCAAAGATAGCATCAAACACATGCTCTGTAGAGAAAAACTCCACTGAACATCTGCAATTTTTTTTTTCTTTCTGAGATGAAGTCTCACTCTGTTGCCCAGGCTGGAGTGCAGTGGCGCGCTCTTGGCTCACTGTAACCTCCGCCTCCTGGGTTTAACCGATTTTCCTGCCTCAGCCTCCTTAGTAGCTAGGACTACAGGTGCACACCACCATGCCCGGCTGAATATTTTTTTTTTTTTTTTTTTTTTGAGACAGAGTCTTGCTCTGTCGCCCAGGCCAGAGTGCAGTGGTGCAATCTTGGCTCACTGCAACCTCCACCTCCCGGGTTTAAGTGATTCTCCTGCCTCAGTCTCCTGAGTAGCTGGGATTACAGGCGTGCGCCACCATGCCCAGCTAATTTTTGTATGTTTAGTAGAGACGGGGTTTCACCACGCTGGTCAGACTGGTCTCGAACTGCTGACGTCGTGATCTGCCTGCCTTGGCCTCCCAAAGTGTTGGGATTACAGGCGTGAGCCACTACACCTCGGCCAATTTTTTGTATTTTTTGTAGTAGAGATGGGGTTTCACCATATTGGCCAGGCTCGTCTCAAACTCCTGACCATGTGATCTGCCCGCCTCAGACTCCCAAAGTGCTGGGATTACAGGCATGAGCCACCAAGCCCGGCCAGCACCACCTACAATCGTTTTTTTGAGACAAAATCTCACTGTTGCCCAGGCTGTAGTGCAGTGGCACGATCCCGGCTCACTGCAACCTCCGCCTCCTGGGTTCAAGCGATTCTCTGCCTCAGCCTCCTGAGTAGCTGGGATTCTAGGCGCCTGCCACCACACCCGGCTAATTTTTTTGTATTTTAATAGAGATGGGGTTTCACCTTCTTGGCCAGGCTGGTCTCGAACTCCCGACTTCATGATCCACCCGCCTTGGCCTCCCAAAGTGCTGGGATTACAGGCGTGAGCCACCGCACCGGGCCCGCATCTGCAATCCTATAATGACGAGCCGTTGAGCTAACTGTAAGTCATTAGCCAATCTGAACCATCTTTGAATCCAAGTAGTTTTACCATCTTTTATTATAAACACCATCACATTTCAAGTTTCCTCTTTTTGATCACAAATATAGGACTTTTTCTTCTCCTCTTAAGTATACAGCATGAGACACAGCGTTGGGGCTTTCCAGGTTTCTTACAGAAATTTCCTTACGACAAACTTAGGGTTAGCATCCACAGACCATGCTCTCGGTCACATCCTTCGACATCTGGATTGCCCAAGACGGTTGCACAGGATGCAGACTCCAAAGAGGATGAGGTTGGTACATAACGTTTTGAATTCCAGGATAACCTGAAACAGAGGCCCCTCCACTGCCCACATTAAAAGGCTGCACAACCAGGAGGGCGCCACTTTCTGAGTGTGGGCTTAGAGCTGCTGCTCTCGGGCTCTAGCCCCACTTCTTGTTTGAACACATGGCTCAAGGTTTCCCTACGGGTGGAAAAGATGAAGAGGACACTGGAGGTTAAGAACCCAGCAGGCCGAGCAGTGGCAGCAATCTCCACCGGAGGCCCGGCCTGTGCTTCCCCTCCTGGGATGGGGTGAATGGGGGCTGGTCAGGGGTGCCAGATGGTGGTCTTATTTTTACTTGAATTATTCTGCATTTTATAACTCAAGGTTCAAAGCTCTGTGCTAAAACTAGATCGGACCTTTCCAACTTCTTAGAAAGGTTCCTCGAATTCAGATTCCCAAACCAAGTATTCAGCTATTTAAAACCTATCTGTGAATGTAAGGGCCCAAACGGAAGCTATTTGGGGCGTGATTTCTAAAATTACCATCACCCCCACCTAGACCAGCCTTTGTTGGGGGACTAGGGATAAAGTGGGTTCTCTGGGTGCTGGGGGTGGTAGACTTAGGGGATGAACTTCAGCTCCCCTGCCCATGGTCCTCCTCTCAGTTTTACGGTTTTTGTGAACTTGTCTCACCCACTCAGTAAGGGAGCCTGGAACTGGACTCCAAGGGAGGCAGGACCATGTGGCTAAGTGCAAGTATCCCCCGAAGTGGGGGACCTTTCTCACTGTAACAGGGACCGGAGCTGGTGCTCCAAGGTGTCTGTCCCTCAGCATTTCCTCAAACGCCACACGGGACATGCTGCGCGGCAGCGGCAGGATTTGGGGGGAAGTCAGAAAGCACCTCGCGAGCCTGGAGCACTCTCTGCCTCAGATTCTGGGAGTCGTGTACGGGGGGGGGGAGCCGCCTGAACACGGGAAGAAGCGCCGCCTCTGGGGGTGGCAGCTACGACGGACAGGGAGGATGGAGGAGTGGGCCAAATGCAGTTTCAGACCAACTGACGACCCTAACTGTGTGAGCGACAATCACCTGTGAGCCTCGAATGTGTGGGGCCAACGCTGAGCCGCCCACCTCAGTCGCCCACCTCAGTCTCCGGGAAGAAAAGCCTCCGGGCGGCCGCTAAGCCTGGGCCACAGTTCCCAGCCACCACCCACGCCGCCACAACCACAACCGCAGCCCCAGCCTCTCCGCTATGAGCGAACAACCAGAACCATGTCTTACAAAGAACAGACTCAAAAAATATATATAAATAAATAAAAACCTTAAACATTCTTACAGGGATCTTAAAGAACAGAATACATGTTAAAAACCTCAGTAATTTATATCAATTTTAAGCGGTACTTTATATACAATGGGGAAAAAACACATGCATAGTCCAAATACAATGTTGAAAACAGCATTTTCATAACAAAAAACCCCGAACACTAAGTGTTAATACCATGTACATGAATTCAAGAAGGACCACCCTTTTTGTCTGTTGCACACAGTTTATTTAACAATATGATATAAGAAATGAGTTGGTATTTTACCATTCTATACAGTGATTGAATCTTCTCGAGTTTCGTATTTATAGGAATTAGAGCGCTTGCATGATTTACACTAGAATTGCTTTTCCTCATTTCAAGTTTCACATAGAAGAAAGAAAAGAAGGCTTCTTCTCTAGTAACATTAGCATGGTCTAAGAGTGATCATCCCTATTTTTTGTCTAAAACCAGTTTTATCAGAGAAACAAAGCAACAATTTCTACATCTGCAAGACAAGTTTGGCTTCAGCCATTATGTATAGATAGATGTGTGTGGGTGTGTACGTGTGTGCACGCCGGAGTCAATTCCTATCATCCAGGGTAATACTGGGAGACGCCCACAGAGTTCACTATAGAAAAAAATCTTCCCGAAACATCACAAAGTTATCGGGATACATTATAAGCTTGCATTATTTCAGGAATCAGTTCTGAATATTATTTTTCTTCTTACTTTTAAACATAAATGTTTAAAGTCTTGAAAATACAAATAAAAAATATGAATATAATGAACTTGTTTTTCCCGTTAAAAAAAGGCATGAGTCACCAGCAATGACGACAAAAAGAATCCAAACAAAACCCCCCTCCCCCCAAACAAAAACAAAACGGAAAAAAAAGAACCCCCCCCACCCCCCCGCCAAAAAAAAACCAAAGAGAGAGACCAGATATTTAAATCAACTGGTTTTTAACAAAAAAATATATTCTTTGTATTGTTTCTTTAAACATCAATCCACCCTTCCATGGCTCGGAAGTCGCAGTTCCATCTAGGAATAAAAAGAACCTAGATGCCTGGATTTTCAGTACAAAAGGTCCAAGAACATGAAAGGGAAAAGGTGATGCTCTCACAATGCTACAAGCCCTCCACAAACTTCTCTAGCGTGTCCCCCGTGGTGTCCCCGACCAGGGACAGTTCGCTGGACAGCGCACTCCTGCTGGGGGTGTTCAGCTGGGGGAGCATTGCACTCTGTTCGGGGTTCCCCAAGTGTCCCTGATCTATGGAGCTGGCCATGGTGACTGCGAGTCCGGGGTGGGGGGAACCAGTCTGGGGTGAGACGTGGTGTGGCGAAGGCTGGGGCTGTATCCGTGGTGACGGGCTGGAATGTGGAGGCTGGGACTGGGGCCGTGGAGACTGGACAGGGGCTGGAGACCGCACCTGGTTACTAAGGGACGTGGCGATCTGCTGGCCAGGGAGATGCGAGGCCTGTGGCTGTCCTGAGAGCATGTGTTGCTGGGGGCTCATGGGGTTCGGCTGGCCTGGGGACCCAATCTGCTGCTTCATCTGCTGTTGCTGCAGAATCCGCTGCTGCAGGGCTTGCTGGATGTTGGGGGTGCTGTCTGCCCCCAGCCCCGGCTGCCCCATCTGGCCAAGCTGTCCCATCTGAGCCGCCATCTGGCCCATGGAGCTGCCCTGGAGGGGGAGATGCTGCTGCATGCGCTGCTGCTGCTGCATGGCCGGTGGGTAGCCTCCGGGTCCTTGAGGCTGCTGGAACTGGCCGTGCCCCGCCATGCCCCCAGCCATGCCGGCACTCCCTTGCTGCTGCTGCTGTTGCTGCTGTTGTTGCTGCTGCTGTTGCTGCTGCTGCTGCAGCAGCTGCCTCCGTAACATTTCTCGGTACTGTGGATTCATACTCGCCATGTTGGGGTTGTGTCCTGGGTTCATGATGTTCAAGGCCTGGCCCTGGGGGTTCAGGCCTCCCATCGCCTGCTGCTGTGGAGGCACACCGGGCCGCGGCACGCCAGCCTGCATGGCATTCAGGTTCTGCAGGCTGGGCTGCTGGTGCATGCCAGGCTGGGGTTGCATGCCGGGCTGGGACTGGAGGCCAGGCTGGGGCTGCATGCCGGGCTGATTGGCCACGTACTTGGCTGTGCGCTGTTTGATGAAAGCTGCCATTAGCTGCGGGTTTGATTTGAGAATGTTCAGCACCTGCTGTTGCTGCTGAGGGGAGCTGGGCGACTTCAGGGTCCGCAGCAGGTCTTGCAGAGCGCTGGGTGAGATGCTCCTGGGTGGCTGCACGCTGGGCATCCGGGGCCCAGCCACGGCCGCCTGGGCCTGCATGGATATCACAGGCCTGGGCAAGCCTGGCATGGGCTGCTGCTGGGGAAGGGGCGCCTGCTGCCACTGCCCGGGAGGCATGCTGGGCATGACGGGCCCGCTCACCTGGTTGGGTCGGGGCACATTCAGGCTCACGGGGGCCATCTGGCTCCCCGGGGTCCCCATGCCCGTGCGTCCTGGGGGCATGCTGTTGTTGATGTTCACCCGGTACAGGTGCTGCTGCTGCTGGGCCTCACGCTCGATCTGCCGAGCCGCTTCCACCGCTGCAGGAGGGGGCTGGGCCGGGGGTGGGGGGGCCGGCACCTGGCTGGTAGGCTTCCCTGTGGACACCGTGGTGGGGGGCTGAGTCCGGGCCACGCTGGGGAAGCCAGCTGGTGACATGCTCACGGGTGAGGGTTGGGGCTGGGCAGGGGGCTGCGGCGTCTGGGGTGTGCTGGGCTGCTGTGTGGGGGTCCCGGGCGGTGCTGAGGTAGGAGAAGGCAGACTCTGCTGAGGCACGTTGCGGGTGTTCATGGTGGCCATCCGCCGGCGCATGAGCTGGGCCTGCTGCAGGCGGTGCTGGATCTGCTGCTGGCGGAGCTTGTGTTTGATGTTGAGGCAGAAGGGCACGGGGCATTTGTTTTCTTGGCAGTGCTTGGCGTGGTAGCAGCAGAGGGCGATGAGCTGCTTGCACACCGGGCAGCCCCCGTTGGTCTTGCGTTTGCAGCCCTTGGTGTGCTGCACCACCCGCTTCATCTTCTGGCAGGATGGCAGCGAGCAGTTGGCGTTGCGGCACTGGCACGCGTGCACCAGCGACTGGATGCAGCGCTGGATGCTCAGCCGGCGTGACTCCTGGGGGCTCTTTGACTGTGGCTCGCCCTGGCTGCTGCCCTCGTCATCCAGGCCCAGCCCCCACTTCACCATCTTATGGGCATGGCTCTTCGTGTTATAGCAGTTGATGCAGAGGTCGTAGTCCTGCAAGCAAGGAAAGGGGACAGGCCGGTGTCAGCATGGGACCCAGTACCACCAGGCATCCTGGCTGCTTCCCTCCACCGCTAAGTCTGGGTCTGTGCCAGGAGACCCAGGCAGGATAGGAGACCCAGACAGGATGCGAGCACGGACAGGTGGGAGACCCGGACAGGGCGGGAGCACGGACAAGATGGGATCATGGACGGGATGGGATCATGGACAACATGGGATCATGGACAGGACGGGGGCATGGACTGCCTATGTGTTGCTCCCAAGGACCTTCACTCCTGGCAACAGCCCTGAAGGCTCAAAGATAACCTGACCCATGCCCCAAGAACCCCTGGCCTGTAAGCTCACGGACAGTAGACACCAGCCCCCTTCCTTCCGACTTCCTCTGACCTGGGAGTCACATCAGCCCTTGCCACAGCCTGTCCAACTCCTGTACTCAAACTATGAAGCCAGACAGTGAAAGGCTGAGGGAGGCCGGTCCCTCCCAAAGCGCCGACAGCTGCCGTGAAGTGCCTCTGGGAAGGCCTGAGCTATCCGCAGTGCACCAGTGGGACTTCCCCAACGCGCAAGCCCAAGTTACTGAAAACTGCTCGCACCTGGCAACCTGATGGAGCCCTAGGACCAGGTACCATGACTGTGTTCACAAAAAGATATGAAAACTGCCGCATTCAGAAACTAGAAAGAGGACAAAGGAGACTGGAGAAAGGTGGAAAGCGGAAGAAGTGTGTGAAGGTGGGGAGGGAAGAAAGGCCCTCGCTCTGCTGAGGACCCGCTCTGCCCCGCTACAGACACCACAGCAAGTGAGGAGGCTCCGGGTTGGCAGGTGATGGTGACTGTCCTGGGAGGGGGATGGTGGGATCTGTCACCTGCCTGCCCTGCACAGCCTGACTCGGCCCATGCAAGGGACACCCACGTCATTTCACAGGGGGGTCAAAATTCCTAGAGGGGAGTGAGGGAGCATGACCGGGGGGTCCTTCAGGAACAAGTGGCCAGAGGGGCCCAAGCTGCCAACAGGACAGCGGGTGTTTCCAGCCATTTAGCAAGACTAGAACTGGGCACAGACAGGCCAGACTTCCCAGCAGAGCCTCCCTCTGGCCGTCCCCAGGGTCAGGCCTGTGGCTGTGGCTACACAGAGCAGGTTTAGGAAACACACACACAGCAACGCCTTCTGCCTTGTGACGCTGTCCTAGTTCTGGAGGAGTCAGTGCAGCCACCATCAGGTACAGACACCAACCCGGGCACCCATGCAAAGGGACAGGATGCTTCGTCAGACCCCAGGCCGGCTGTGGGGGTGGGGGTGGGGGCAGGGCCTACCTCGCACACAGTGCAGTGCCAGCGCGTCTCCACGTGGTGCTTGCACTCGTTGCAGGTGTAGACAAAGCGGTCCTGGCCCTGGGTGTGCAGCTCCACCAGCATGCAGAGCGTGGACCACTTGGAGCGGCGCAAGGAGGAGAACTCCCAGTGCTTGTCTCTGGCGAGGGTGAGGAAGGCGTCGCGCCCATCCATGAGGTCACAGCTGAGCAGGGGGTCGGGGTCGACGATGGGGGGCAGGGTGTTGATGACAGGCCCAGCGTGCAGGTGGATCACGAAGAAGACCTGCAGGAGAGGAGGGGCTTTAGTCCCACACAAGGGACATGGCACCTCCAGTGGTGAGCTCAGGGCAGGCGCAGCCACCCAGCCTGCAGAATAGGCAGGTGGCTGAGCCTGATGGCCCTGATGCCTTGGGATGGAACAAAATTGGTGACACGTTGCATGATGTCACCCAACTGGTCCACTTGGTTTCCTGGGGGCCACTTCCCTCCCACCACAGACCTGCACACGGGCCCACGCCCGCCAGCTGCGAGTCTTTCCCTCCTCCCGGCCAGAGGCACGGCTGCAGCACCGCAGCCCACGCCTACCTCCTTGTGCTTCTCCATGGTGGCATACAGCTTCTGGGACAGGTCATTGGACACGTTGGGCATGCTGGGCTTCTTCTTGTTGGCGCGGCTGATGCTGCTTTTGTTCTTGTTGGTTTTCTTGTTGTTCTTCTTCTTGGCATTCTTGCTGTCGCCCTGACTGCCCTGCAACAACACGCAAGGCTGTGAGACCAGGCAAGTGCCCCTCCACACTTGGCACGGACGCCCAGCTCCCAGGCCGTGGGCATCAGGAAGCTCAGGCCAAAGTAGGTCACCACCAGGCAGACCCCATACGTGAACGGCTACAGGTGGCTGTAGGTGCTGCAGCCTTCGGGACAGAGCAGGGCCTGTCCTCGGCCAGGCTGGTGTCATTATCAGCTTTATGCCACGCTGCCTCTAAAGGGGAAAAGAGACCCAGAGTGCGAGTTCAGAAATTAACAAATGAGGGCAGTGGGGGCTGTTTCCACTGTGCCACAACCAGATGCGGAAGATTCCACGTCACAACTGTGGTCAGCAGCTGTCTGCCTTGAGGAAGGCTCTACACACCCGAGAAAGCATGAGAGCTTCCAGGAGACAGGAAAGCTGCTGATGGGAAAAGCAGCTGCCCCATCAAGAGCAGGGACTCTGAGGCCCCTGCGGGGTCCACTCAAGGCCCACGGAGAGCAGGCTGGCTCCCTGCTGGGGCCATCAGTGCTGCGCCTGACTGGCTGAAGGTGGGCTTGCTCTCAGCCCACAGGCTCCTCCTCTGGAAAGAACGCAGGATTACCACTCACTTACACTTTAACAGAGAGCTTTATTTTTTTTGAGAGACGGAGTTTTGCTCTTGTTGCCAGGCTGGAGTGCAGTGGTGTCATCTTGGGTTCAAGTGATTCTCCTGCCTCAGCCTCCTGGGTAGCTGGGATTATAGGCACCCGCCACCATGCCCGGCTACCTATCATTTTTTTTGAGACAGAGTCTCGCTCTTGTCACCCAAGCTGAAGTGCAATAACGCGATCTCGGCTCACTGCAACCTCTGCCTCCAAGGTTCAAGCGATTCTCCTGCCTGAACCTCCCTA
Organism: Homo sapiens; assembly: GCF_000001405.40. Classification (NCBI taxonomy): domain Eukaryota; kingdom Metazoa; phylum Chordata; class Mammalia; order Primates; family Hominidae; genus Homo; species Homo sapiens. The sequence goes on from NC_000016.10 coordinate 3,732,828, forward strand.
GTAGCTGAGATTATAGGTGCTGCCACCACACCCAGCTAATTTTTGTATTTTTAGTAGAGATGGGGTTTCACCATGTTGGTCAGGCTGGCCTTGAACTCCGGACCTCGGGTGATCCGCCCGCCTGAGCCTCCCAAAGTGCTGAGATTACAGGCATGAGCCACCGTGCCCAGCCAGAGAGTTTCATTTTTAACAAGATGAGAGAGACTCTTGGTGTTCAAAGAGAGGGGTCAGTCCAGAGAGAATTCAACAATCCAGCCGGGCGGGGTGGCTCACACCTGTAATCCCAGCACTTTGGAAGGCCAAGGCAGGCGGATCTCGAGGTCAGGAAATCAAGACCAACCTGGCTAACACGGTGAAACTCCGTCTCTACTAAAAACACAAAAAATTAGCCAGGCGTGGTGGCGGGTGCCTGCAGTCCCACCTACTCGGGAGGCTGAGGCAGGAGAATGGTGTGAACCCGGGAGGCGGAGCTTGCAGTGAGCTGAGATGGCGCCACTGCACTCCAGCCTGGGCGACAGAGCGAGACTCCATCTCAAAAAAAAAAAAAAAAAATTCCCACCCCACCGACAAGCAGCCCGAGGAGCCCAAATATCACGTGGGTCCTCCGCAGGATTCAGAGACAGAAAAGGGACGTCAGGGGAAAACTGAGGAAATTGGAACGAAGTGTAGACTTAACAATAATGCATCAACATCAACAAATGGCTCACCGTGGCAGCAAATGTGCCACACTAAGGTAAGACATTAGTAACAGGAGAAACTGCGTGCTGCAATATACTGGAACTCTGTGCTCAATTTTTGTGTCAGCCTTAAAACAAAGGAAGCCTATTTTTTTTGAGATGGAGTCTCGCTCTGTCACCAGGCTGGAGTGCAGTGGCACAATCTTGGCTCACTGCAATCTGTGCCTCCCGGGTTCAAGTGATTCTCCTGCCTCAGCCTCCCAAGTAGCTGGGACTACAGGCGTGCGCCACCACACCTGGCTAATTTTTGTATTTTTAGTAGAGACGGGGTTTCACCATGTTGGCCAAGCTGGTCTCAAACTCCTGACCTCAAGTGATCCACCTGCCTTGGCCTCTCAAAGTGCTGGGATTACAGGCGTGAGCCACCACGCCCGGCCTGGAAGTCTATTTTTACAAAATTATAAAATAAATATGTTCATGAAATTAAGAAAATATAGACAAGTAATTTTAAAAAGTTTTGTTTTTCTGGTCTTCCCGAGCAGCAGTGTTCTGTGTTCTGGAGCTTTCCCTGGGCACATTTGTCTCCGTGTTTGCGACATTCCTCACGAAGCTGGGACTGCACACAGGGAGCTGGTTCCGTTTCTCGCCCCACCTGACACTATCGCGAGCCTTTCCCCATTTCCCAGAATTGACAGCATGATGCAGAGCAGAGCTAATAGCAAAGCAGTGCTCCACCCCACGCACCAGCCCTCACTAAGGCTGACCCCCAGAGCGAGCTCCTGGGGTGTTGCTGACGAAGGCATGTCCCTGCCCATTGTTGTCCATGAACCAAACACACAAGGGACAGCAGGTCTACATGCCGACACCTCAGCATCCCGCCTCCTAACACATGCATGTCCCCGGTGCACAGGGAAGGCTGCCCCAGCAGGAGCCCCTATCAGGCCTGTCTTCTGGACAACCCCACTGCTGCCATGCCACAGGCAGGTGCCCCCTCCTGGGGTGGAACTCAGCTGCGCAAAGCCTGTCTCGGACGCGGTAACCTCCCGTGTCACCCTTAGGAGATGGAACTCAAGCATTAACTCACCAGACACCAGTGAGACCAGCTACACTCCAGCGGGAGCAAGTCCGAAGACAACAGGCCAGGAGCTCTGCTTAGGAGCCACCTAGGGCGTAAACCCACGCCACCCCCTGCCCGCGCCTCCTCTGTCCTGCGAATGACACTCTGGGGCGCCGTCCAGCAGGTGGCTGCCTCTCAACCACCTGTGCAGTGAGCACGAGTGTGTGTGGCGGAAGCGGCCCAGGCCCCACGCTCCGCCTACAGCCCATCCGGCACCCACCTCACAGACGTGCTCTCATATGGGACAGGCACCAGAGTGGCAGTATGTCCCCAGCCGGCTCCCGGCTGCCTCACCCATGGCAGCAGCCCACGCAAGAGCCACCTCCATTCACCGCTTTTCCTCACTGGTCACAATCGCCTGTCCCAAGTTCTGGGGCTGCAGCCTTCAACGTTCGTCATCGCTCTCCCTGCACCTACAGCTACAGCCCACACCCACGCCACCATCATCTCTTCCCCAGACAGCCGCACAAACCCGCACACAGCGCGCCTCCTCCCACCGCCTGGCGGGTCCTCTTCCAGCACCTTCCTGTGGTGGGCGGGTCTGGCCCACACGCCACCTCCCCAAGGCTCCTTCCCCTTCAGAGCTCTGCCACGCTCAGAGCACACCATGCTTGGGTCTGGGTTCTTTTTGTTTCACATCCTACCAGGACACAGCCACTCCCTTGGGGGCGGAGATGGGGTTTTGTTTGTTCTGAAACGGAGTCTCGCACTGTCTCCTGGGCTGGAGTGCAACGGCGCAATCTAGGCTCACTGCAACCTCCGCCTCCCGGGTTCAAGCGATTCTCCTGCCTCAACCTCCCTCGTAGCTGGGATTACAGGTGCCCCCTCCCACAACCGGCTAAATTTTTGTATTTTTAGTAGAGATGGGGTTTCACTGTGTTAGCCAGGCTGGTCTCCCTTTCCTGACCTTGTGATCCGCCTGCCTCGGCCTCCCAAAGTGCGGGGTTACAGGTGTGAGCCACCGCGCCTGGCCAGGGATGGGGTTTTGTTTGGCTCAGTCTGCACTGCCTGGCACTCAGGGGCAGCGCCAAGGAGAGAGGGCAGCAGGGCATGAGCATCATGTGCAGAGTGGCCACCAAACACGGAATAAGGCCTGGCAACCCTGTGCCTCCTCGACTCACTTTTTACATCAGCGGGTTGTGTCCTGACTGCCCCATGTCCCATTTTCTGTCTTCCTCTCTTCCCTCTCCGAGTCTAAGTGGACCCCCAGCTCCCCAGAGCATCCACTGTGCAGAGAGTGCAGAGCCCACACTGCTGCCCACCAACGCCCTGTGCTGCAGGTGGTGTCGACGTGCATGTGTGAACGGAGACACCACCACAGGAAGGACCTAACAGTCGACACGCGCCTCCCAGCCTGCCACCCTGCAGCTCCAGCGGGACACGTGGGCAATGGAGCTCAGAGAAGGGTCTGTACCTCAGTGGTTTCACTGGCTGCAGTGCTCTCTTCCTTTTTCCTCTCCTCTTCTTCTTGTTCTAGTTCCTTAATGCTCTCTTCTAACACATTGGGCCAGAAATCACCTTCAAAATAGGGCAGTTCCTTGGCACTGGTGAGCCTGTCTTCAGTTGCTTGTTTGAAAATATCCTGAGTGGGCAAAGCACAACAGTGAGATGAGGGCCATGCACGCGTGCCCCCCACCATGGTGCGACAGACCCCCACGCAAGCGTGCCCCTCACCATGGTGTGGCAGAGTCCCATGCATGTGTGCCCCCCCACCACAGTGCAGCAGACCCCCACACATGTGCACCCCCCACCACAGTGCTGGAGCCCCTATGTGTGCAACAGTGATGCACAGGCCCCAATGCCCACTGATGGAAACAGCTCCAACTGTGCTGCTCTCAGACGGCCAGGGGAAAGCCTCAATCAGCTGAAGAAAATGCTTCTAAGTTCTCACTTTAGGCTTTTATTTTTCTGCTTTCTAATCCTCATAAGTGAAGGTAATTAACAAGTATGCGAATGCAAGAAAAAGGCACACAAATATCCTCCCCTCAGTTGTGACAAAAGCCACCACCTTCCTTCAGCGCCGGGTACCTTGTAGTCATGGATGATCCGCTCTGCAAACGCCTTGTCCAGCATCTTTTTGTACCACTCCTGCAGTCGTTTTGGCTTGGGTATTTTTTGATCAGGTGGGTGGCAATGGAAGATGTAATCATCTCCTTCACTTGGAGGACAGGCCCAGATGTGCCCTGTCACATACCTGCAGGACCCACGCACACACGTCAGATGAACGTGCCAGTGAAATCGGCCCTGCCTTTAAGGAGTTATAGCAGAGGAGCAAGGACTAAAGCCAGGACAGAAGTAACCAGAGAGAGAGAATGAATGCCCACAAAGCTGGGTGTGGTGGGGGCAAGGCTCGAACTTTATCCTGAGCAAATGCAAGCCTGCAAATTAGCCCTGCAACACTTCTCCCTTGGGGTGCACACACAGGGCAGGGCCGAGGCTGCAAAAGAAACCTGAGGCCTCATTAAAGAACCAGGGAATATGATGGCTCATCAAGGCAATGCCATCCCCTTCCTCCTGTGCACTGTAAAGGCAGTTCGGTTGACTATTTTTCTCCAAGGGTCAATGTCAACATAAACCTCATTCATTCTGTTCAAGACACTTTGATCAAATGCCCCTATCCTTTTCAAGTTTCAGAAGGGAATGGGGCAGGTCTAGAGTACAGAAACCAAGGGCTAGAGAAGGAAGCCAGACCCAAGACAGCATACGCTGCAGGGTTCCGTTTACACAAAGGATTCACAAAAGACAAATTCAGAGAGACAAAGTAGATTAGTGGTCGCCTGGGGCAGGGAAGGTTTAACAGCAAGGGGCAGGAGGAACATTTTTTTTCTTTTTTCTTTTTTTTTTTTTGCGGGCGGGGGGCAGAGTTTCATTGTTGTTGCCCAGGGTGGAGTGCAATGGCATGATCTCGACTCAGCGCATCCTCTGTCTCCCTGGTTCGAGTGGCTCTCCTGCCCCCACCTCCTGAGGAGCTGGGATTACGCTAGGCACCCGCCACCACGCCTGGCTCATTTTTTGTATTTTTAGTACAGACAGGGTTTCACCATGTTGGTCAGGCTGGTCTTGAACTCCTGATCTCAGGTGATCCACCTGCCTTGGCCTCCCAAAGTACTAGGATTACAGACTAGGTGAGCCAATTTTTTTTTGTATTTTTCTTTTTTTCTTTTCTTTCTTTTTTCTTTTTTTGAGATGGAGTCTTGCTCTGTCGCCCAGGCTGGAGTGCAGTGGCACAATCTCAGCTCACTGCAACCCCCCGCCTCCTGGATTCAAGGAATTCTCCTGCCTCAGCCTCTTGAGTAGCTGGGATTACAGGCTCATGCTACTATGCCCGGCTAACTTTTGTATTTTTAGTAGAGACAGGGTTTCACCATGTTGGTCAGGCTGGTCTCAAACTCCTGACCTTGTGATCCGCCCGCCTCGGCCTCCCAAAGTGCTGAGATTACAGGTGTGAGCCACCGCGCCCGGCCTTTTTTTTAATTTTTAGTAGAGATGGGGTTTCACCATGTTGGTCAGGCTGGTCTTGAACTCCTGACTTCAGGTGATCCACCGCAGCAGGAGGGATCTTATAGGTCAATAACAATGTTCTGAAACTGACTTGTGATAGTTGCACTAATGGGTAAAGTTACTAAAAACCACTGAATCATATATCCAAAAAAGGGGAATTCTATGATATGTAAACTTTGCCTCAATAAAGTTAAAAAAAAAAAAAAAGGGAATGAAAAGGAAGTAAAGGTAGGGAAAGAGCTTGCTACGTGCCCAGGAGCCAGACCTGTGAGGCTCGGGGAGCACCTGGAAAGAGGAGCTTTGGAGATTCTGAATTGATCTTAGGATGGAAAAATAAAAACGCATAAAACTTAAAATACCCATTATTTCACGGAATAAACATACAGTAAAAAATAAAGGGTTCTTACTAGTTCCAAATAATTTAATCCAAACTCACCCTAATTTCTTCACATACTCTAAATATCCAATAAGGATCTCATGGTAAACGGCTGTGCGGAGGCAACGTGGCCGGAAGAAATGAATACTATCCAGATAAGAAATGTACACACGCCTGTGGGAAGGAGGCACATGTTTAACTCAGGGTATCCCTCAAATCTGAAATCAAACACAAGCAACAAACAACACCCTGGAAGTTTACTTTTTAGACAGGGTCTTGCTCTGTCATTCAGGCTGCAATGCGGTGACGCGGTCACAGCTCACTGCAACCTCAACCTCATGGGCTCAAGCAATCCTCCTGCCTCAGACTCCCACATAGTTAGGATGACAAGGCATGTACCATCATGCCCAGATAATTTATTTTTTGTAGAGCTAGGGTCTCACTTTGTTGTTCAGACTTGTCTCAGACTCCTGTGGTCCAGTTATCCTCCCACCTCGGCCTCCCACAGTGCTGTGATTGGCCAGTTTTTCTTTTGATGGTATTTACACTGGCCACCAAACAGGATGTGATAAACAAACAAACAAACCAAAACCCAAAAACCAACCAGTCACCAACCCTGCTGCCAATCAGTTAAATGGAATTCAGTTTTCGTCACTGAACAAAAGGATGAATGGCACCACTCGGCACAGAGAGCCACAGTTAAGGCAAACTGAGAAAAGCCACTTTTAGTTCCTTCTTGCCCAGATTCCTGACTGCACATGAAGCCCTCGTGGCAGAGCTACTTCCTCTGTTCAGGTGCCAGGCTGTCCCATCCCAACTCCCCAGGTTTACCTGCGTTAGGTAAGAGCGGGTCCCACACAGACTCGCCACACAAAACACGCTCACTGCAGTCATCTCAACAGTTCATTTCCCGCTAGTTTAATGGAAAACAAAACTAACTACTTTGGTTAGTTAATTGTGGTTTCATTTACTTTAATCCCCTATGAAGGCTCACAGGCTCCTCTGGGACACTTAAGAGCCCTGGTCTATCCTAACACGGCTCACTGAATGACACGCCCTGGAAGGAGCTGGAAAACTACCTCGTGTTTGGAGGGGGGCAATCAGAGCCGTATTCTTGGACGTGCATTCCAAAAAAGCAGACATCCACGCCGTCAATTTCCTCAAAAGCAAACAGAGCTTTGGTTCGATATGGGAAAGATTCAGACATTTCCCCAGAATCCACAAACCTGAAACAAAAGCCAGAGCCGGACATTTACAAAGGCTGTTGCTGACAAGGTGCTTCTGCACACCAGGCCTGCTCCTCTAACTCTGGCCACTGCAGATGAGCGGAGGCATGGCCACCTCCTCAGACCGTGGCCTGGAGTCCTCCCTATGGGCCAGTCAGCCCCGGAGCAGGGAGCACTTGCTTTCTGACCAGTTTCCCTCACTAGGGAACTGCACCTCTGTGAATGAAATACGGGATTCTGAGGAGGACTGGCTATACAGCAGTCCCCCTTATCCACGGGGTGTATGTTCCAAGACCAGCAGTGGATGCTGGAAACCATGGACAGTATCAACCTCTATGCGTTTTTTCTTATACACCTGTACTGGTCACAAAATTTTAATTTATAAATTAGGCACAGCAAGAGATTAACAAGAATAAGTAATAATAAAATAAGAAAATTATAAACAGTATACTATAATATGGTATGTGGTCTCTCTCTCAAAATAGCTTACTGCACTGTATAGGGTAACTAAAACCCCAGACAGGACAACCGCAGCTGAGGGGGCTACTGCACGCATTCGCTGCTGCAAAGTCTTGGAAGGATGACCTCAAACTCAAGAGCTTTGCAGAGAGCAGGCTCTGGCAAGCGGGCGTGGGGACTGCTCGCAGAGCACTGTAGAGAGCAGGCACACTGACCGTGACTTCATCCCGGGCTTGACCTCCACCGTCTTGTCTGAGCTGGCCACCACTCGGACAAAAACCTCCCCGGCTTCAGGGTGATTCTGGCGCCGCAAAAATTTGTTCACTCGGTCTTCCAAGTGGTTTCCCAGTCTTGTGGTCTGCAGCCCTAGGAAGTCCAGAAGGAGCAGGTGAGAGGGCTTCAACAGCACTGCTGAGACAGTGACTGAGACTAGAGAATCCACCCCACTTTGCAGCACAGGCTGATATTTTAAAGGACTAATGTTCTCCAAACACGGAAGAAATCTAATCTGTCCTGTGACACGAGTGTTATATAAAGGAAAGGTGGACTCTGGGATCTCAGGCACTCCACTCCTGAAAACCGTTTACGTGCCCAGGTAACCTGCATCTTTTTCTAACAGTATGGGGCAGAAGACCTATAGCGGTGGGTCCAAAATTGACAGGGGCTCTAGGGCGGAGCAGATGGATGTTTCCCTGTTGCTTCCCGCTTTCCCTGGAGGGCAGAGATGGCACACCCTCAGTGGGCTCCTCCTGCCCAGCTCTGAGGAGAAAGTCCCTACTATGGAGTCTGACGTGAACGTGGAACGTTCTAGGGCTAACCAATTAAGCTCTGGCCAGAGCCTGTCCGGTGCCTCAGGAGCTGGCAAAGTATTGGTGTCCAAGCCTGCCCTGAGCCATCGCCTCGTGCGGTGCACGAATGAAGTTTCCGAGCCTTGGCGAGGGCAGCCTTTCCTGGGCTCACCTCCCCGCCGCCACCCCTCCTCACCCAGGGCCAGCCCCGGGAGGGCTACCGTCACAGGAGCTAGCCAGAGGCAGGACATTACTTCAGGACAGAGAACGCCTCATATACAGGTTAAAAAACTATAAGGGAAAGTTGCAAAAGGTTCTTAGTGATTACGTATAGACAATGAGATTTTAAAAGATGTTTTCTTCTTTGCTGGCTTTTAAATATTTCCTACATTAGTGAGAAATAGGAAAATTGGGAATTTTCGAAGATTCCTTAGCGAGCTAGAAAATTTAGACCAAACTTCTAAATTTCATTTTTCTGCAATAAACAAACCAGTGGTGCTGATTTTTGGATAAGTTGTACCTGAATAAAAATGATTTAAAAAGAAAAATGTGGCCGGGCACAATGGCTCATGCCTGTAATCCCAGCACTTTGGGAGGCCGAGGCAGGTGGATCACCTGAGGTCAGGAGTTCAAGACCAGCCTGACCAAAACGGAGAAACCCCATCTCTACTAAAAATACAAAATTAAGCTGAGCGCAGTGACTCACACCTGTAATCCCAGCTCTTTGGGAGGCTGAGGCGAGTGGATCACCTGAGGTCAGGAGTTCGAGACCAGCCTGGCCAACATGGTGAAACCCCCGTCTCCACTAAGAATGCAAAATTAAGTCGGGAGCGATGGCTCATGCCTGTAATTCCAGCATTTTGGGAGGCCGAGGCAGGCGGATCACGAGGTCAGGCGATCGGGACCATCCTGGCTAACACGGTGAAACCCCATCTCTACTAAAAAACAGAAAAAATTAGGACTACAGGCATGGTGGCGGGCGCCTGTAGTCCCAGCTACTCGGGAGGCTGAGGCAGGCGAATGGCGTGAACCCGGGAGGCAAGAGCTTGCAGTGAGCCGACATCACGTGACTGCACTCCAGTGTGGGCGACAGAGCGAGACTCTGTCTGCACAAACAAAACAAAACAAAAAAAAAACAAAAAAACCCCCCAAAAAAACAAACAAAAAAAACTCTTCCAGAGTAACTTCGCTATTTGACACCTGTGATCCACACATGGCTGCATACTCCAGAGGTGGTCTCAGACAGCACAGGGGTCTAGGCGCAGGCCGTGCTCACTGCGGTGCACTCTGCGCAACCTTCCTCACAGTGCTGCCTCCTTTTCTGTTATCACTCGATTTGGCCACTGTTCCTACTTTTTCATCACTCCTTGCCATTGCTGCAGTTATGTCCTTGTATGTGCCGTTATGCATATGTGCAAATATTTTTATAGGATACATGTGTGAAAGTAGACTTGCTAAATCTAAAAATGAACACTTTAAATTGTGCCCCTCGCTTTCTGGCATTCAACTTGTATCTTCATCCATGGCGCATGACAGGGGCCTTTTGTGCCTTTTCCTTTCTCATCTCTGGGCTGTATCTTTTTAAGGAAGGCTTTTCATAACTCAACACAATAAAATTATTATCTTACTTTTATCCTGAATGCATCTGCAGTTTTGTTTACTTTTCTCGCTTTTTAATCTACCTGAATTTGGTTTTGCATATGGTGTATGCGAAGGAGATGGTTTTCAATGCAAGATTAAGGAAGCATACCTTTACTCTGTGATCAGACACCACAACGCCTGTGCTGACACACGCTCACACTGAGAGTAGAGCTACCTCTAGTCTCCTAGGCCCTTTTCTCCAGTAATGTTCCATTTCTAGATCTTGGGCTCATCTACCGAATGCCCACGGGTCTTTCTGGATGCTGCGGTGGGAGGGGGCTGGACCTGCTCTGGGGCCACTTGTGCCATTCCGCCCAGTCACCTCCTGCCCCTTTCAGGCAATGACTGTTCTACGGAGGCCTAGTTCTCTGGGTAATTCTGTTTTGGCTACTGAGCCTCTGGCCCAGGGAAGAACTTCCAATTTGCTCAAATGCATTAGCGAACTCACTCAGAGTGAATCCTCTGAAGCAGGGCCTCTCAAATGGAGGCAACTGTGCCCCTCCAGGGGACATCTGGCAATGTCTGGAGACATTTCTGACAGACGTAATGAATTGCTGAGGAAGGTGTTACTGGCACTGAGTGGGCAGAGGCCAGGCATGCTGCTAAAATCCTGTAATGCGCAGGACAGCCCCTAAAACAGAGGGTTACCTGGCCTGAAATGTCAACAGTGCCTCAGTTGAGAAACCGAGCTAAGGAAAAGTATTACAATAGTTTATCAATGAGTGATATTTCACAAGTTTTTAACAGAGGCAGTGTAAGCTATTGCATAACTTTGGATGTTGGTTAACAACAGAGTTTGAACTTGAATTAAGACTCAGTCTCAAGTCTACAGGGTGGCTTCCTCCTCCCCTTCCCCCAGTGCATGGTCCATCCTAGCATTTCCATCTCTCTTCTACTCTGAGCTCCCCAAATGACCCTGGTTCTATTGGGGATCTCCTGAGCAACATGCTAGTCACCTGTCCTGCCAGAGAAAGGTGACAGCTGTAGGGAGCAGCTGGCAAGTCAATGTTAGAACACTGCTGCAGTTGCCGTTCTTGTGTGGGTTTGCTGGTTAACTCGGCAAAAGGCCAGCCTGGCGCGTCAAGCTGCAGAAGGCCATCCCAAGACTTGAGAATTGACTCTATAAAGATTAAATAACCATAAACTTTTGATAACAATGCAATGTGGTCTTAAAAAAAAAAGTCAGCCGGGCGCGGTGGCTAATGGCTGTAATCCCAGCACTTTGGGAGGCCGAGGCGGGCGGATCACAAGGTCAAGAGATTGAGACCGTCCTGGCCAACATGGTGAAACCCGTCTCTACTAAAAATACAAAAATTAGCTGGGCAAGGTGGCGGGCGCCTGTAGTCCCAGCTACTCGGGAGGCTGAGGCAGGAGAATCGCTTGAACCCAGGAGGTGGAGGTTGCAGTGAGCTGAGATTGCACCACTGCACTCCAGCCTGGCGACAGAGCGAGAATGTCTCAAATTAAAAAAAAAAGAAAGTCTACTCATGCAAAGTTACTTCTAGCAGTAACAGGTTGTTCCTTCTATTTCTGCACAGGCACCACCAGCTGCAGTAACATGTCCAGCCAAGTCCACATGCAGGCCAGGCTCCTACCGCTCCTGGGGTGGTGGCTGGTTCCCAGAGGCCATGGCTCATACCCCACTGTAGCAGAAGCCAGCACCCACGGGACAGACCCACGGCAGCCCACATAGGGCCCAGGGTTAGAGAGTGCTGGCCAACATTACACCACACATGCACGCACGAGGGGTGAGGGGTCTTAGGTCTAAACCACTTGAGAATAATCTGTTGATAAATTTTCTCAGAATTTACAAAGTTTACTGCACATCTAACCTTTCATCTAAAACATGCGCTGATCATAAATGCTGACTTTCATATAACAATCAGGCCAAATATTCCCTTTAAGGGTGGACTGAGATGTTTTACACTTGATGAAGATCCACAGCCCAAGGCTGCGAGTCCTGCTCTGAGCTCTGTGCTCAGCAGCCCCGTGGCTGAGATGACCATTCTGAGAAGCACAGACTTCAGGGACTCACAGCTGTGCTGCCTATTCTCAGTGAAGCCCCTGAAGAACATTCTTGCATTCTTACCCTCATGACTGGCCTGGCTCTCCTTAAGGATGAGACAAGAAAAATACAAAGTACTGGGGAAAAAACTAACGAAAATCTTTGACAACCGAACCTCAGAACCATGTGTTGAGAGGAACCAAAGAACAATGGGGACAATTTCTACAAGTTTCTAAAATGTGCAGTCCAGGAAACAGAAAGCTTCCCGAAACTTACTCTTAGCACTGAATTTGTTTTCTTTTCGAGGTCTGCCAGTTTTCTTCAAGCAGTTGTCGCACACAAAACTGCAAAATAATAGTGGTATGATGAGACTGTATATAATGATGTAAATTGTCAAACCAACAAAATGCAGCATTCAGATAGTTTGTTGGCAGTTTAAATCACATTATTATAAAATTAAAGAGTGAAGAGGCAGACTGCTTTGATTCCACAATTCCTAAAGCGGACAAACGCTTAGAACTTAAATTTAGAACCAACTGCCATCTCTCTTAATCGCTGAATTCTTGCTGACAACAATGAATGAGATGCAGTAGCCACTGCAACTGCCCCGCCACTGGCTCTGTGCAGAACTGCCCTCCAGGCCAGGGGAAACAACTCACCCTGAAGGCCAAATGATGTCATAGTGCAGAACGCAAATCTGATGCATCTTCCGGCCACACTCCTTGCAATCAACGAAACTAGGAGGCAAAGAAGGCGCACTGTTAAAGCACACGGAACCACAAGACCAGAGTCACTTGTAGAAGTCTGTGTGTGCGTCCACACCTTGTTCTCTGGGTTACTTTGAGTAGTGCTGACATTAATGCGTGTGTTGGCTGATTCAGCTATATTTTACAATGCATCCGTATGATATCTTCTACAGGAAAAAGCTTTCTTCTTTTGTTTGTACAAGCGCTTCATTCCTCTTTTCTCCCAATCTCCCTTTGCAACCAGAAAGGAAACTTTACTTTTTAAAAATTGCTGCGACAAATACATATTTCACAGGCCGGTATTTCTGACACTGCTACACATTTGCAAGAACAATGCCTTCTCTAGGTGATTTCACATGCCAAAACTGACTTAAAAAATAGAGAACAATACTTTGAGTTCTAAACATGTGCTCTTAAGTCTAAAATTGTTGAGGATACTAATGGGAAACACGGCCAGTTCAGAGCAGCCACGCTAGGCGCGAGGCACAAAAACACCAGTTCTGAGTCAGTTACAAAAGGTGGAATGTGTCAGGCCTACTGGCAAGTTGACAAGGGTTTATTCAAGTAAACACTGGTGAAGCGAGAGAATGGACCACCCATTCCCCACGAATCCTCCACACTGTTCTACGGCAGCCCACAACCACGGCCCACCAGGGCTCCGTCACCTCCAGGAACCGCCTCAACCCAGGAATCTTAAATGCCAAGATGACATTTTGAGGTCAAGACCTTGGGTTTTTGTCAGCTCCCTCCCTTGCTGCCACCACAATGCATACCTCCGAGGATAGGCTGAAGGGACTGGTGAGTAATGTGATTCCCTGTGTGCTCCTGAGCTTTGAGCTACAGCTCCTCTAAAGTGTGCCCCTGCCCTCGTCCCCTTAATCTGTCCATTGCACGTGCTATGCAAGCCCTCAGCCATGGGTCTACCCTCATCTGGCTTCTCTGCCCAGTCTGCTGGAGGGAAAGAAAAGACACACACACAGATCTGTGAAAAAAAAAACACACACACACAAATGGCGGCACCCGTTCATGGTCCTATGGCACTCTCTGACAGCCCGGCTCTGTCTGGCTACCTCTCCCTTCCACGTGGCAGCTGCTCTGAATCTGCACTCCTTTCCTCCAGTGCTTATCCTCCACAAGCTCTGTCTTTGACAACTCAGCCACTGAGCTCATCCCCAACGCTAAGAATTTCAAAGGTTGGGGCCAAGAACTTCCTCAATTCCTGTGCCGTCTCCAAAGGTCCCCTGCTCTCAACTCTTCCCTCCCATGTCAGGGGAAAGGAGTGTCCCCCAAAACTACACTGGGGACAGGTGCAGTGGCTCACACCTGTAATCCTAGCATGTGGAGAGGCTGGGGTGGAAGGATTGCTTTACTGGGAGTTTGAGACCAGCCTGGGTAAAATAGGGAGACCCCATTTCTACAAAAAATTTAAAAATTAGCTGGGCATGGTGGTGTGTGCCTGTAGTCCCAGTTACTTAGAAGGCTGAGCTGGGAGGACTGCTTGGGTCTGGGAGGTTGTGGCTGCAGTGAGCTATGACTGCACCACTGCACTCCAGCCTGGGTGACACAGCAAGACCCTGTTTCAAAAACAACAAACAAAATCCAAACAAACAAAACACACTGCATATTCTAGACCCCATGACATCCATTTTGAATTTCCCCCTTTCTCCCACTCCCAATTATTATGGGCCAACTAGATGTCTCCCCTTCCCTCAGTCCCCCAGCAAGCCCCCCTGCCTGGCTCCAAAAGCTCTTGCTTTAATTGGTGTTTCAGTTTCTTGCCTTCTCCTGCTTTGTGTCTCTTAACTAACTTCTCTACTACAGAACAATGTCTTCTCCTCTTCTGTTCAGTTCACCTCATAGACCAAAGATGACCCTCTTACACTAGAACCAGTGCTATTCTTCAAAACCTCCTCAGCACATTATAGGATAAAGTCTAAACGTCAAGAGACAGTGTAATGGCCCTTCATGAAGTTAACCTCTGCCTACCAACCACCCACTCTAGGGGCCTTGTAGTTTTATTGAGCAACCTGTGTTCTTTCATGCCTTTGTTTCTAGAATGCTCTGCAGCTTCAATGTAAATGTCATCTTGTCCAGGAAACCAGGCGCAACTGTGGTGATGCCGCTCTGCCCAAGCAGGGTCCCTTCTGTCTGGGACTCACTTGTACTGTCTCCTGCTGCAGGCTGTGCCATTACCCAGCTGTCTCTCTAGACTACAACCAGCAGGAAGGAGACCCCTTCACTCATCCATGTGTTCCCTCTGCCTGGCACCTACTACTTGAATGTAATATATTTTGAAGTTGAAAAGTAGATATAAATTGGCCGGGCACGGTGGCTCACGCCTGTAATCCCAGCACTTTGGGAGGCCGAGGTGGGTGGATCACGAGGTCAGGAGTTCAAGACCAGCCTGGTCAAGATGGTGAAACCTCGTCTCTACTAAAAATACAGGCTGGGTGCGGTGGCTCACACCTGTAATCCCAGCACCTTGAGAGGCCGAGGCGGGTGGACCACGAGGTCAGGAGATCGAGACCATCCTGGCTAACATGGTGAAACCCCGTCTCTACTAAAAATACAAAAAAATTAGCCAGGTGTGGTGGCACATGCCTGTAATCCCAGCTACTCGGGAGGCTGAGGCAGGAGAATCGCTTGAACCCGGGAGACGGAGGTTGCGGTGAGCTGAGATTGTGCCATTGCACTCCAGCCTGGGCAACAAGAGTGAAACTCCATCTCAAAAATAAAAATAAATACATACATACATACATACATAAGTTAGCTGGGCGTGGTGGCGGGCACCTGTAATCCCAGCCACTTGGGAGGCCAAGGCAGAGAATTGCTTGAATCTGGGAGGCGGAGGCTGCAGTGAGCCGAGATCGCGCCACTGCACTCCAGCCTGGGGGACAGAGCAAGACTTGTCTCAGGGGGAAAAAAAAAAAGGAAAGAAAAGTAGATATAAATAATAATGAAACTATAAAGCCAAGGAGAGAAAGACACAATGTGAAAAGAAAGGTGGAAAGTCAGGAAAAACAATCCGATGGTCATGAGAGGGGTGGGCGCTCTGCCCTGGCATCTCGCCAAGACTACAGCTCTAGGATTTCACATCATCGTCCTGTCTGTGTACCATGTGCTGGTAGAGATGAAGTAACCTGCCAAAAGTCAAGCTAGGTTTCCAGAGGTGGCCTGGGTAGAAATCTGTGCTTGCCACTCTAGCCACTGGCTTCCCTGGAGAGGGTCAGGATAGGGAGAGCAGGGTCTGTTTCTTGCCTTGGCTGAGTCACAGCCCACACTTCCCAAGTAGCCAACGCTCCTGGAGCCTGTGCTCACCCTGGGGACAAAAAATAGCCAGTATCGCCATGCCAATTTGGAGCGCC
Organism: Homo sapiens; assembly: GCF_000001405.40. NCBI lineage: Eukaryota > Metazoa > Chordata > Mammalia > Primates > Hominidae > Homo > Homo sapiens. The sequence continues at coordinate 3,748,729 of NC_000016.10, forward strand.
CTCAGAACTTTACATTGGGGACCTGGGAAGAGGCTACCACACTGAAAAAAATCTGAAGTCTCTTTAGGGGCTGTTATGAAGCAAGGTTAGCAAATGCAGCACTCTCACTCATCACTGTAGAAAAGTGCTTAACAGGGCCGGGCGCGGTGGCTCACGCCTGGAATCCCAGCACTTTGGGAGGCCGAGACAGGCACATCACCTGAGGTCAGGAGATCGAGACCATCCTGGCTAACACAGTGAAACCCCGTCTCTACTAAAAATACAAAAAATTAGCCAGGCGTGGTGGTGGGCGCCTGTAGTCCCAGCTACTCGGGAGGCTGAGGCAGGAGAATGGCGTGAACCCGGGAGGCGGAGCCTGCAGTGAGCCGAGATCGTGCCACTGCACTCCAGCCTCGGGGACAGAGCGAGACTGTCTCAAAAAACAAAACAAAACAAAAACAACAACAAAAAAAGTGCTTAACAATGGCAAGAAAATGTGCCAAGCTTTACATTATTTGAGAAAGCAGTTTCCAAGAGGTTTTCTTTCTGGTATTTCCCTTTAAACGATACTACTAGTACTACCCCACCAAATACTCCTAACCTTTGGTCTCTAAAGATTCATGCTAAATGGCTTCTTAAAGACACCCATGACCAAATTATTAGAGAGGTTCTCATAGAACTAAAACATCCATTTAATCTTATCATTGTTAAAATCCAGTAACTAGAGTACATGTTACAGAGACATACATATTTTGTTTAAGTTTAAAAGAAATCTATATCTAAAAGATAACCTCACACCAGAAATTCCACTTACGGCAACATATTTCCAATGTTTTTACCCACAACCCACTCCATAAGGAGTAACTTTACCGATTTCAAACCAAAACTGAAAGTAAAAAAGAAATAGCTATATACTTACGGTTCGGGGTCTAAGGTATCATTTTTCTTCTTTTCAAACTGATCCTTTGAAATTGTCCTTGTTTTAAAATAAGAAAACATGTTTTATTAACTAAAATTTATCTGTTGAGTATAAACTATAGGGTCTCTGGAATGTTATTTTGTAACTAGTTCTTCAAACAAAAAGACATGATGGCCCCTTAAAATCTCAAGTACATGTAATAACGGAATGAACAGAAAATTTAATTTCGTAGAACACTACAATGTCTTTTTCTACATATTCCACTATCATTTCTTTTCCTTCTGTTTTTTCAGAGACAAGGTCTTGCTCTGTTGCCCAGGCTGGAGTGCAGTGGCGTGACCATGGCTCACTGCAGCCTTAACCTCCTAGGCTCAAGTGATCCTCCTGGGTAGCTGGGACTATAGGCATGCACCACCAGGACTGGCTAATTTTTTGATTTTTTGTGGAGATGAGGGTCTCATTATGTTGCCAAGGCTGAACTCAAACTCACCCCGGTTCTGAGTAGCTGGGACTACAGGTACAAACCACCACGCCCTGTTAAGTTTTTTTAATTTTTTGTAGAGATGGGGTCTCACTATGTTGCTCAGGCAACAATCCAATTATTAATCACACAACTAGACTAAAGAGAATTAGGATGACAAGGGAAATAAATTGAAAATGTAGAATTTCAGTCACTTTGGTTTGTTTGTCTTACAAGTTAGGTTTTTTCTGCATTTGAACAAAGAAAATGGTAGAGCGTAAGTGCCTACACTGCTGGAAGAAGCTCCTGTGGCAAACCCTTCCTTTCTGTTGGGGAAGTCACACTGTGGTAGGGTGGTAGGAATCATGGAAGACTGGGGAACTCAGTCTGACGAAAAGAGGGAACGGCAGACCTGGGCAGATGTGGTGGGTGGCTGGCAGGTTTTTAGTTACTTAAGTATAGAAATGAGTTGATAACACAATTTGTGCATTTGCTTTTTCTTGCCACACAGTGGCCATTCTAACACTCGAAGGTAACTCTGCCGGATAATAAACACTGGAAATACAAGTTTAACCCTGTGCAGGAGTGAACTAACAAAGTCATAGCTGTCCACTTTGGAGCTGGTAAACAACAGGTAAAGCACTAGTGAAGGAAGGAAACACATTTAGACTTTAGGCCAAAAAATGGGGTTGGAGAACACTGGAATCCATTAATCTGGATTAGACTTCAGTAACTGAAAGGATGGAGGTTTAAGTGGAGATAAACTAAATGTAAAGGGCAGGGCATGTACACCAAACTCATTTTTTGCTACTGCCAGTTCTGCAAATGGGGATACCTGGTTTCTCAGGTATAACTGAAAATTTACATGGTCGGGCATGGTGGCCCCAGCACTTTGGAAGGCCAAGGCAGGAGGACTGCTTGAGGCAAGAGTTCAAGACCAGCCTGGGTAACAACAGTGAGACCCCATTTCAAAAAAAAAATTAAAATAAAGAAAATTTCTAATTCCCCAAAATGGAACCACTAGGAAAAAGCAATTATTTTAGAAAAAAAGACAGACCAAGGTCAAGAGAGACCAGTGGTCTCCAGTGGTAGGCCACAGTACCACCGCCTTGAATGATAAAGGCAGAGGTGGCGCTGTGGTTCAGCCAAAACACATTTTTCAGTGTAAATGTATACGTATACACATATTCAAATTAAATGTGATCATAGTTAATATGAAACAAACCCCACAACACAACAGACTGTAATCCCAGCACTTTGGAAGGCCCAGGCAGGTGGATTGTGCTTCAGTCTAGGAGTTTGAGACTAGCCTGGGCAACATGGCGAGACCTCGTCTCTACAAAAAATACAAAAAAATTAGCTGGGTATGGTGGCGTGCACCTGTAATCCCAGCTACTTGAGAGGCTGAGAAAGGAGGATCGCTTGAACCCAAGTGGTCAAGGCTGCAGTGAGTCGAGATAGTGCCACTGCACACCACCCAGGTGACAGAATGAGAACCTGTCTCAAAAACAAAAAACCAAAAAACATTGCAAGGAAGTCAAAATGGCACCGGTACCTTCCTTATAGTCATTGGTAAGAGGAAAAAACAATTTAAGGTCACCCTCCCTCACCCCAGAGAAAATGACAGGACGGTACTTACGTCTGGGGCTGTGAAGGGTCGTCACCCAGGGTCACATTCTCGCCCTGGATCTCTGTGAAACACTTCTCACAGAAATGATACCTGTCAGCAAGAAGGCCATACTTGGGTGAACTGGTCCATCATAACACACAGCCACCCAAGCAACGAAGCCACCAATCAGAGCAGGGCAGAGCACCACGACGAAGGGGGGGCGTTGTTGGTTGATTGATGGGTCAGTGAGGACAATGAAAGGAACAGGGGGCAGGTGGGGAAAGGCAGGATTAGAGAACAGGGAAGGGAACAAATAGCACAGACACAGAGGTAAGACGCAGACACCAAGACAACACAGAGCAGAAAGCCAAGGCAAAGCATTGATTAGCATTCGGTCTCATTGCACACATCACAGGCCATCATCACTAACAACGACAGGCTCGGTCCGGCTCCAAGAGGCAAATGTTTTCAAGGAGTTGTTAATACTAGAATTGCATGGAGCCCAAATTTAGGAATCTGAATTTTGTTCTTACTCAGAGAAAGTCAAATATAACTCCAGGGTTTGAGATGGAAAAATTTACTTGAACAAAACAGTCTGACAAAAGGCCTTAAAAAAGCAATTTAAACTGAAATAGCTTTATTTTTCAAAATGGAAAATTTATGCTTGACAGCAATTCAGAGATTTTATTTCCGGTATTAAGCCAGATCTTTAAATGTATGAAAATGCTGAGCACCCAGAACTGATTTTAATTTTTTCCTGTTTTTTTTTTTTTCATGTTAATCATTCAGTTAATTGTGTTACAATACAAATGAAACCAAATCCATATTCTAGACAAACATTTAACATAAATGCAGTCAGGGTCAAAGACTTTCCACCCATTTATCAATATGAATATACAGAGTAAGAAATGTGATATATTGTATAAGAAATACAATATATGTAAATCCATGAACAATCTTTGAAAATTCAATTCTAAGCTTTGATTTGACATTTTTGGTACTGGGACCAATCATTCATCAATCTGAAAGACTTAGCGAATGACTGTTCTGACTTGGGGGCAATCCAAGTTAAGTGAATTTAGAGTTAATCTTTAAAGAACAATCTGCATTTGAGAAATTATCCATCACCCCAATTTCTTGTAAGACAATATAGAGCCTGGGCTCAAGCTATCAAATACAAACAATTAAAATAAAAACTACTAAATGTTTGGAAAGGACATAAATGAGAAATCAACAGAAATGCAGGCTGATGCTGCATAAAACAAGATGAGTACACAAGAATACCGTAAGAATAAACAAGCGGGTGGAGGTGGATCACACAAGCGAGAAGAATGAGTGTCAGGTAGCGACGGCAGCACGAATGCGGTTTAGTGCTCAAAACTATGTCTACAAGATGCCAGGAAGGATTAGTATTAAAAACAGTGCGACAGGACTCGAGCGCCAGGCTGAACCACCAAGTGCAGAATGGGACGCGGCAGCTGCAGTCTCACTCACTTGCGCACTCACACGGCTACAGAAGACTGAGGCGTGGGCCACCGTGTGGCCAGTTCACTACCACTAGGACAGGTCCCCCACAAGTCCCAAATCTAATCTTAATTCAATACATTGAGCATTTTGTCTGTTGTATTTCACTAACCACACACATACAGCAAATTTTAAAGCATACAACTTCAGTGCATGCACATCTCAAGATGAGCCAATTTTTTGTGTTTGGTTGATGAGGAACATGACAGATTCACTAGATTAATGAAGGTTTCTTGCTGGGACTAATTTATTTGGCACTAACTCAATTAATAAATTATGTCAGGATTTAACACTCTGACAGGCAAGAGGCAGATTAATGTTTTTCTTTAAATATGTATTTTTTTTTTCCCTGAATGAACTATAGCAATATTCTGGCCATTCACTATTTTGTAAATATCCTAAAATCCGGTATGAAGAAGAACTTCCGTGTGCAGGAGGGTATGGTCATCACTGGCAAGAAGGAATTAAAGTACAGAAACTATAAACCAATTCAGTGGCAACCAAAACAATACACAAAAAAGACATTCCCTCAATCCCCAATACTTCCCTTTTATAAGTAAAACTCCTAATTGAGTGCCCCATTCATGATACAATCAAACACGCAGAACTATGGCCAACTAGAAGGGACCGTTCAAGACATTCTGAAATGAAACTCCCACCGTAATCACAGGTGAGTCTAAATGGTTTTAAAATCCTGGAGAAATCCTTTGCTTTTATTTAAGGACAGCAAGCCCAGCAACATCCAGGAAACAAGAACCATAAACCCATCCTTCCCCACCGAGGAAAGTGACACTGAGGGAGGCACTGGTGGTGGAATGGCAGCCCATGCAGTGGCTGGGAAACTGAGGCTCTTCCTGTATGACTGACTCCCACCCTGGAAAATCCCAGGATCAGAACCGGGGAGGCAAAGCATTATCAACAGACTCCTTGTCTGCCTCAAAACTGCTGGAGAAATGGACAATTTAGCCTGTTCGTGTTTAAGAAGGGGAGGAAGAGGGGCCCGTGGCTTCACTTTATTACTGTTCTGAGAGAGGAAGACAGCACACAGAAAAGGGAACAGTCACCCCCAACTAGTAAAATCAGCTAAAGCAACCCTGGCAGTCTATGAGTGATAGATGTTATTGCCAGACTGCCCCTACCTTCTTACCTAGTCCACACTTTATTCTCCCTGGAAACACATAAAGATTTAGAAATTCACTTTTCAACTTAAGCGCCTAGATGACATTTTGCCTGGTGTGAAGGAAGCAGCTTGATGAATATGGAATTGCAAAGGAGAAATACTTCACATAATCCAGTGATGATGCATTTCAGGGTTGCTATAGTACCATGGAACTGCATAGTTTATCTGTAAGGGTAATTTAATATATGGACTAAGTTTTCAAATGCAGATTGTTTTAAGTACCATATCAGTACATATCACTGGGATATCTATAGATAATACTTATATTATCTACAGATACTAACTGGGAAAGCTAAAGAACAGTTTTTCCAACATGAGTTACTTTCAAATTTGCAAAGTATGAAAACAAGTGAAAATGTAATCATACGCTCACTTATATATTAGGGTTTCACTTGTTTAAATGATCTGTAGGATTTTTTATTGTTCTAAGTGCCCAGTTTAGGACTACAAGTGCCAAGACAATTATTCATAAGAACACTGCAGTGTTCATAAATAGTCAAAGTTGAAAATAAAAACATAAGCAGTTAAAGTATTTGTTACAGAATCAGGCCACTGCTTTCTCAGGATGATAATATGCTAACCTACTCAGTCAGATACACTGTTCTAGAGAGCATGCCTGTGATCGTCTGAGGAACGCTACGCCTACGCTTTAAAAATTATCACTAATAAAATGGAACTCCTTTATTTGCATTTCCACTCTTAAAAATACATTACTTTTGTTTAGTAAAAATGAAGTTCTATACAGAAATAAAATTAGACGTTTCAGAACTTTCATGCCATCAATGACTTTATATGCCATCAATGACTTCATATGCCATCAATGACTCTTTGGTCCTACCAATTCCATTTAACTTTAATTGCTCTCAATGTAAAAGACCAAAATCTGTGCAAATCAGCAAAGGCAGGGTACCAACGGACCCAGGAACAGGCCCCACAACACTTTAGAGACAGTGGTAAACAATCTACCTTCCTTCTAGACCAAAACTGTGTTGGGCAACGTAGCAGGGGTGGCATTTTTCTGGGTGTAGTTAATATTAACCTTTCTCTGAAGATATCATTAACTTTATTTTGCTTGGCACAAATGGTTTTTAAAGTGCATTCCTATTCATTATTTCATCATTGAGGACCTGACAAAATGAGGCTGCGAGGGAAGACGCTATTGTCTGTATCACAGACAAGGCTAAGCTTAATACATTAATACATCATGGGGTCTGCTGAAGGTCATGGGGCTAAAAGCATAAAAGGAGTGGCCAGAACTTCCCAAAGAGCAGCAAGTCACTATGGGAGAGATCCCATTAGGAAGGGGCTATGGTATCATTTTAAACTTGGTCATAAAATGTTTCTATTGATAAAGGGGAAGTTGAGATGGAAATCAGACTCTGAATGTTAAACTATTTTCAGCAGGACAATTGCACACGCTGCACTTCTAGCAGGGATGCAGTTTAGGGTCTGTCCTTCCCCCTTGCACCAGTGTTTCACTACACTGAACAGTATTAGGAATAAGCAGGCCAGGCTTATTCCTAATAGAAAAGGCTTAGGAACCTTTTTTGAGACATTTTTGTGTCAAAAGGATTTTTTTTAAAAATAGGATTTTGATGGGAGTTATTACTTATCTTGAATATGGATTTTTAAAAAAAACATAGAAGAATTAAAACACATAACCATAAAACTCCAAAATTTTCAGGCCTGTGAACAAATAACAAAAAGCCTTCTGTCTTCTTTGAAGTATAGGACATAATTACTCTGACCAAATGAGAGTAAAATAATAAAAAACGCCAAACCCCACTGTTGACGCTTATTATTTGAACCTAAAGACAAAGAACAGGCACAAACCTCTATCTTGGCCACAGAGAATCCAGCTGCTGGCTCATAAAATAGAGGCAACGTCACAGTTTGAGCAAGATTCCTGACCTGTGCCTCCACGCATGGTGCGCTCACACTGCAGCGGCACATGGACACTTACACGCTGCGGTACAGATAAGCTGACTTCTCAAACAACTCCAAAACTACGCAAGCTGTATTTTGTGGGAAACCACAACAAAAAATACTATTCTCACTCTCTACCTATTTTAAGACAGGAGATCTATTCTTTAGCCATCTTCATATTCCAAAAGAATGGCAAGTATTTCTTAAGCAGATCCACCACTCACAAAACCCTGAAATGGCCATCTTATAATAGGAGGCAACAGAATCACATTCTTGAACTCAATTAAAACACCAGATCTCATTTTGTATCGTGCTGCTAGTGTAAAATTTAAAAATAAAGATCATGGACCCTTTTCCTCTGCCTTATAGGAAGCAGCACTCATGCAAGTCTTTCCATGAGACTGATCAGGCCAAATTACCAGGCAAATATTTGCAGGTAGAATAGTAAAATCCACATTTTCTACTCTATGAACATCTTGAAAAAGGCATGTCAACCTTTATCAGAGTTACTCTCAACTTCAGACGCTTGCTTCTAGGGCTGCGTTTTAGAACGGGCAGGGCTGAAGAAATAACGTACCTAATCCAAGTAGTACGGCAAGACTTGGCTCTGAGGTTACAGTTTTTACACTGTAAAAGTACGCTTTATAACTAACTAAGAGGCCATGGGCCTAAGTGACTAACAAGACACTGAAACCGAGCCACTTTTTCTCTTTTTTTTTCTTTTCAAATAGAGATGGGGGTTTCTCTATGTCGCCAAGGCTGATAACATAACTCCTGGGCTCAAGTGATTCTCCCACCTCAGCCTCCCAAAGTGCTGGGATTACAGGCGTGAGCCACCACACCCGGCCTGAAATTGGGCCACTTTTTATTGGAACTTCAGGAAAGAAATAATGTACACAGACTATAACCAGATGAACGTGCCTTGCCCTAAGACATAATGCAGGATGCTGCTTGACGCTTACCTATTCTGATAGCTGTAGTAGGCAGCATCGCGAGGAATGGTACACAGCTGCTTCCCATAGCAGCACAAAGTCTGTGGGGAAAACTCATACTGCAAAAATAAAGGAGAAATACTTTTATATAAAAATACATTCCATTTACTGTCTTATAATGTTCTAGTCTACTATAGAGACTAGTAAATTATTTCTGTTAGTATATTAGACAGTTTTCTAACAATTTTAGTAGCTTTAAAGACATTTTGGGATAGCATGTGATAGAACTGGCTCTAAGAGACATTCACTACAGACAGGTACCACAGGCAGAGAGGGGCAGCCAGAAACGCTTCCCCATGGCCTCCCTCAGTAAGCGCCTGTACACCCAGCTCTGATCACCCATCACATCGCTTCAGGCATCAACTGTGTCACCAGACAGCAGATTGCACATATGCACTCCCAGTATACAGGCGTGGTCTCATATTAGTATAACACCCCTCTGGCTGGATTAACCAGGAAAATTCACTTTCCGGAAAAACTTAAAACTGTACCTTGCGTCCACAGCAATATCCAAGGGACTGCATGACAGGGTCAATTTCCTGCTCAAAGACCTCTGCAAGCTTACTGCAAAACTTATAGACTCGGGATGTCTTGCGATTATAGAGCCAGGCATTGTTGAACATGAGCCAGACGTCGTCCACGTACTGCCAGGGCTCTTGGTATTGCCCTGTGTCCAGCTTCCGCTTGATGGTGGAGAGGTCCATGGGATTCTTTACGATGTCAAAATAGTCCTTAAAAAAAAAAAAATGGTCTCAGTATAGGGAATCCCCCAATATCCAAATGCCAGTCTCATCTGGCAGCTTTGTTTTAAAATAATAGAAACAGAAAGCACCAAAATAACTTCCATTCCCAACAGTAAGAAATAGGAAATGAAAAGAAAATAACCTCTGACGCAACTGATTTTACTCACTAAAAGTGTAATTAGTATTTTCAGGTATGATCACATTATAATACTCCAAAGGCAAAAGTAAAGAAAAATTGTTAAAAGATACTTCTAACAAAAAATTTTAAAAATAGATCTTTAATCCACTGAATTAAAATAGTGAACAAGTTTATCAAACAGTGTGTATTTCTAGATATTCACTCTTGATCCTAGCAAGCAAAATGAAATTACAAGACAAATATAAACACAAAGCTAGTAATGACTGCTACATAGAATCGGCTGGGTCCCCATGGCCTTTGCAAGGCTATCCAGGAATATAAAAGAGAGAAGCCCAAATATTTTTTTACAGTTCATGTTCACAAATTCTTTCAGACAAAAGTGACACAAGGCCCCAAATATAAAGTGAAGTCTCAGGGGCATGTGCTTCCCTTGCTTCAGTGCACCCCTCCTCCAAGGACCAGGGCTTCATGAACAGGTGAAATCAAACAAAATAAACACTTTCACTGATAACTGTTAACAGACAACAGTTTTTTATATTAGGAGAACAATCTTCAAGGCAGGGGGATTATTTTATCTAATTTCAAGAGATAAAACAATGGACACTCAGAAGTCACACCAGCAAAGTTATAATCTATTTTTATGAATTAACTTACTGGAATTCCGAGGAGCTGGGGATCTACAGGCTGCCGGAAAGGTAATGACTCTGGGTCCTGTCGATACAGTGCTTCTAGGGTTGGCATGAGGGCCTGGCGTAACTCCTCTGGTTTAAAGACTGCAGAGAAAACATCAAGAAAAGACACTTTGTAAAAGGTGCTCAGATCCCTCCTACCTCACATTTAAAACGGAATCCTGGCTGCTGTGACATCCCAGCCACGATGCTCCTAAGGCACTCGAGGGGCTCTCGTCCATCACCGTTAAGGACTAAAGCTTCTGAAAACACACTAGTGTCAGAACTGTGTTCAGCTTGTGAGGCAAAATACAACACTGGGAAGTTTGCTTCTTCCATGAAAGGTTTCCAACATTAAAAACTTGGCTGAAAAAGAAAGTAAAGCTAACTCCCAAATCTGTCTCATTCATCAAACTGGGTGGCAAATAAAGCCATTTCAGGCTGGGCATGGTGGCTCACACATGTAATCCCAGCACTTTGGGAGACTGAGGAGGGCGGATCACCTGAGGTCAGGAGTTCAAGACCAGCCTGACCAACGTAGTGAAACCTCGTCTCTACTAAACACAAATTTAGCCTGGTGTGTGTCGGGGGTTCCTATAAGCCCCGCTACTCGAGAGGGTGAGAAAGGAAAATTGCTTGAACCCAGGAGACGGAGGTTGCAGTGAGCCGAGATTGCGCCACTGCACTCCAGCCTGGACAACAAGAGCAAAACTCTGTCTCCAAAAAAAAAAGACCATTTCATTGGAAGGGACCTTAAAAGATCCTCTGAGTAAAGTTTTTTATCCTTGGCTAAATTAAATTCAGGCCACTGGAGACAAACGGTTTTGAATCTCATAAATGTAAACAGTAATAGAGCTACAAAATAAAGCATTTTTATAAAAAGTTCCATATTGCTTACTCCCACATTTACTAATGCCAATTTCTCCAACCCCTCAGACACCTTACTGCCTACTACACTCTCTGTTTTCACTAATACAAACATAAAATACTGGCTGCCAAATACATTCAAGATGGTACATTCATACAAACCCTCAACAAGTATGGGAACAGGTGCCAGGGAAGCTGTTCGGTGTGGGAGGCCGGCCAGTCAGCAGTCAGCGTGTCACGACCCCACCTGGCTCATGTTCACTCAC